>NC_000006.12:140070790-141320790 GCF_000001405.40 Homo sapiens | reverse complement strand
TATTTGCAGAAATAATGACTGGAAACTTCAAATCTAAGAAAGAAATAGGAGATACATATATGAGAGATATATATGATATATATATATGAGAGAGATATATATACTATATATGAGAGAGATATATATGATATATATATGAGAGATATATATATATGAGATATCTATCTATCTATCTACCTATCTATCTATCTATCTGTCTATCATCTATCTATATGTGATATATATCTAGCAGTGGGATTGCTGTATCATATGGTAGGTCTCTTTTCAGTTTTTTTGAGGAACTGGAAACTGGTCTCCACAGTGATTTTACTAGTTTACATTCCTACCAGCAATTTATGAAGTTTACCTTTTTTCCACATCATTTCTAGCATTTGTTATGCTCTGTCTTTTGAGAAAAAATAAATCATTTTAACTGGAGTTAGATTATATCTTATTGAAGCTTTAATTTGTATTTCTCTGATGATTGATGATGTTGAGCACCTTATCATATATCTGTTTGCCATTGTGTATTTTCTTTTGAGGAATGTCTATTCAGATCTTTTGCCTATTTTTTAAAAAAAGATTATTATTTTTCCCATTGAGTTGTTTGAACTTCTTAAATATTATAGCTATTATTCCTGGGTCGGATGGATAGTTTGCAAATATTTTCTCCCATTCTGTGGGTTGTCTCTTTACTTTGATGGTTGTAATTATTTGCTGGACAGAAGCTTTTTAACTTGATGTGATCCCATTTGTTCATTTTTTCTTTGGTTGTCTGTGCTTTTGGAATATTGCTCAAGAAATCTTTGCCCAGACCAATGCACTGGGAAGTTTCCCCAAAGTTTTCTTTTAGTAGATTTATATTGTCATATGTTGAATTAAGCCTTTATTCCAGGGTCTGGTTTCATTCTTCTGCACATATATCCAGTTTTTGCAGGACTATTTATTGAAGAGACTGTCAATACCCCTATGTATGTTCTTGGCACGTTTGTCAAAAATGAGTTCATTGTAGATATATTTTTGGTCTATGTGTGTATTTGTAGGTGAAGTGTTTTTCTTGTTGGCAGTAGATCATTGGGTCTTACTTTTTCATTAATTCAGCCACTCCATGTCTTTTGATTGAAGAGTTTAGTCTGTTTATATTCAGTGTTATTATTGATTAGCAAAGATTTACTACTGGTATTTTGTTATTTGTTTTCCAGTTGATTTGTGGTTTTCTCTTCCTTCCTTCTCTCCTTCCTTCTTGATGTCCTTTTAGTGATGATTATTTTCTCTGATGGTATGTTTTAATTTCTTTCTGTTTATTTTTTGTGTAGTTTTTATAGTTTTTTTTTAATTTGAGGTTACTATGAGGCCTGTAAATAACATCTTATAACCCATTACTTTAAACTAGTGACAACTGAACACCGATTTCAAAAACAAGCTGAGAAAAAAGCAAAGAGAAAACTAATAAAAAGTCTACATTTTAACTTAATCCCCCACTCTTTTTAACCTTTTCCTTTGGTATTTATATTTTATCAAATTGTCTATGTCTTGAAAAGTTGTTGTAGTTATTATTTTGGATAGGTTCATCTTTTAGTCTTTTTTACTCAAAACTTGAGTAGTTTATACACCACAATTACAGCATTATAATATTCTGTGTTTGTCTCTTGCTTATTATTACCAGTGAGTTTTTTTTGTTTTTGTTTTTACCTTCAGATGATTTCTAAATGATTGTCAATGTTCATTTATTTCAGATTGAAGAACTCTGCTTAGCATTTATTGTAGGACAAATCTGGTGTTAGCCCTCAGTTTACTTGTCTAGGAAAGCCTTTACTTCTCCTTCATATTGAAGTATATTTTAATGAAATATGCTGTTCTAGGATAACAGTTTTACTCCATCAGCACTTTAAATATGTCATGACATGCTCTCTTGGCCTGTAAGGTTTTCACTGACAAGTCTGCTGTCAGATATAGTGGAGCTTCTTTGTATGTTATTTGTTTCTTTTCTGTTGCTGCTTTTAGTATTCCTTCTTTATCCTTCATCTTTGGAAGTTTGCTTGTTAAGTGTTTTGAGCTAGTCTTCTTTGGATTAAATCCATTTGGTAATGTATAACCTTCTTATACTTGAGTATTGATAACTTTCCTTAGGTTTGCAAAATTCTGTTATTATCCTTTTGAATCAACTTTCTACCTCAATCTCTCTCTACAGCTCTTCTATAAGGCCAATAACTCTTAGATTTGCCTTTCTGGGGCTATCTTTTAGCTCTCATATATGTGCTTATGTTTTTATTCATTTTTCTTTTTTCCCCTCTGACTGTATATTTTCAAGCAGCCTGTCTTCAAGCTCACTCATTTTTTCTTCTACTTGATCAATTCTGCTATTAGGAGACTCTAATGCATTCTTCCATATGCCAATTGAATTCTTCAGCTCCAGTTTCTGCATCTTTAAAAATTATTTTGATCTCTCTGTTAAATTTATCTGATAGGATTCCAAATTCTTTCTCTGTGTCATCTTGAATTTCTTTGAGCTTCCTCAAAACAGCTATTTTGATTTCTGTCTGAAAGATCTCACATCTCTGTTTCTTTAGGATTGATCGTTAGTACCTTTTTTAGTTCATTTGGTGAGGTCCTGTTTTCCTGGATGGTCTGATGTTTGTGAATGTTTAAACCACTGATGTTTATTTAGGGCCCAGGGGCACTCAGTCAGTTGGTGATGAATCCTACCAGAACTGGATCTGTCCCTTCAAGACAGCAGGTTCCTTTCTAGCCCAGCGTGTGTCTAGAAACATTATCCAGGAGCTAGGGCCTGGAATGAAGGCCTTAGGACTCTGTCTGGTGCCCTTATTCTACTGTGGCTGAGTTGGTATCCAAGTTGCAGGACAAAGTCCTGTGTATTTTTACCCCTTCTCTCTCCCAGAGCTGCCAGTTGCACTGCCTGGGGTTAAGGGAGGGGTGATGCAGACACTCCATCAGCTGCCTCACTATGCCTAGTGAGAAATAGGTCATCTGCACCCCAAGTTTGCTGGCTCTGAGCACAGCACCAGGACTTGCCTAGGAATTGCAGCCCTTGTGGCTTAGACTGCCTTTCAAGTTTATTTAGAACCCCATAGCACTTATAGTCAGGTTATGACTGCTGGGATAGACAATTTCCCTCTGGCCAGGACTAGTCTAAATGCTCTCTCTGTGGACACTGGCTGAGTTCTGACCCATGTTGCTTTTCACTGTGATAGGCAGCACTGAGTTCCAATGCAAAGTCACACAATCACTATGCTGTCTCTCCCCCAAGGGCACAGATTCTCTCTCTGCACTATGTGGCTGTTGCCAGGGGATGACAGTTTTAGCATTTCTAAACTTTCTTTCTTACCCTCTTCAGTGCTTCTTTCCTTGGTATGATATTAAAACCAGGGTACTGTGATTGCTCACCTGATTTTTTGTTTTTATGGCAGTGATCTCTTGTGTGACCAGTTGTTCAATTTGGTGTTCCTCTGGGGAGGATCATTGCTGGTGTATTCTATTTGGCCCTTTTGCTCTACCTATCCCATGAAATTTAGTACTAATAAACACATTCAGTAAAATGGCAGGATATAAAATCAACATAGAAAAATCAGTAGCATTTCTATACACTAGCAATGAACTATTGAAAAAGAGATCAAGAAAACAGTCGCATTTATAAAAATAAAAAAATAAATGTAGGCATACCTGATATTCTTGTCCTTTGCTTCATTGCACTTTGCAGACACTAATTTTTTTGTGAATCAGTCTTTGTTTAATTAAACTCTGTAAAATTTAATTGTCTAAAGTATTTTTCTTTTAAAAATTGTGATTTCATTGATGGATCTCAACAAATTGAGTTGAACACCTTCTGGAAAAGATTGATTCATCATTCTAGATGTTCTTGAGAACATTTATGGTTCATGAAAGGAGGTCAAAGTATCAACATTAACAGGAGTTTGGAAGAAGGTGATTCCAGTTCTCATGGGTGACTGAGGGTTTCAAGACTTCAGTGGAGGAAGTAACTGCATTTTTATGTTGGAAACAGTAAGAGAGGTAGCATTAAAAGTGGAGGCTGAAGACATGAGCAAATTGCTGCAAACTCATAATCAAACGAGCAAATGAAGAGTTGCTTCTTATGGAAAAACAAAGAAATTGGTTTCTTGAGATAGAATCCACTTCTAGTGTAGATGCTGTGAACATTTTTGAAATGACAATAAAGAATTTAGAACATTCCATAACCTTAGTTAATGTAACAGCAGCAGGTTTTGAGAGGATTGACTTCAATTTTGAAAGACGTTCTCCTGTGGGTAAAATGCTATCAAACGGTATTGCCTGTTACAGAGAAATGATTCATGAAGGGAAGATACAATGGATTAGACAAACTTCATTGTTTTTTTACTTTAAGAAATTACCACAGCCATTCCAACCTTCCGCAACCACCACCCTGATTAGTCAGCAGCCGTTAACATCGAGGCAAGACCCCACCAGCACAAAAATTGTCATCCACTAAAGCTCAGAGGATTATTAGTGTTTCTTAGCAATAAAGCATTTTTCATGAAGGGATGTATATACTTCTATACATAATGCTATTGCACACTTAATAGACTACAGTACAGTGTAAACCTAACTTTTATATGTTTCAAAAAACCAAAACATTTGTGTGACTCACTTTACTGCTATATTTTCTTTATTGTGGTGGTCTGGGACCAACCCATGATATCTCAAAACTGTGCCTGTATCTTATTTTGAGCTGATGTTAATTACCATACAAAGAATATCCATTTGAAGGAATGTGGAGGAGTCATTTTACCTATTTCTTTTCTTGGAAGTTCATATTGTTTCCATTCTTTATGTCAGAGGTAATATTATTCACAGGCAGATATTAGTAAAAGAAACCCTTCAATTTCTGAGATTAACTTACATATTATATGTATATTTGTAATAAAATTACATTTGTGGAACTCACAACACTGAATTCAAAGTTAATAAACCTATAATGCTTCCTTTCATTACAAACAGCTGTAGACTCTGTAAGTGGCAGTTAGGATAAAAAAGCACTGTGTTTATGTGTTAAGAATAAGGAAATTATTGCTGATCAAATATTTAGTTTTCTTTTGCATCAAACTACACCATTAACAGTTCACTTTTGGGACCATGTTTTTTTAAAAAGAATTTGTCCCCACTATTGAAAAGCCTTAATGATATTGATAAAGAATTCCCTGTTTCCCTTGCCAATCAGTTGAAAACTAACCATTAATACCTGAACTTCTCACAAGTCTCTTTACTTTTATTTTCTTATAAATATTTAAAAAAGATATTCACTAAAAGATTACATATAAAGCTTAACAAGTACAAATTATATTTCGGTAATTTCATTTTTCATAACATTACCTAGCCTAGTATAATAATTATACTTTAAGGTTATGAGTCCAAATTTATTAAACAGGCTGATCTATATTCGAGTATCCATAACTTCCTTGAGTTCAAATGTCTGTCGTATTCTTCCTCAGTCTTCATTTTTCTACGCTGATATAATTTATTTCATACTTTCCCAACATTGAAAAGTATAAGATTTAAAATATTGAAGTTAAAGAATATACTCCATATTAAAACCAAGTATAAGGCTGGACATGGTGGCTTACGCCTGTAATCCTAACACTTTGGGAGGCTGAGGCAAGAGGATCATTAGATCTCAGGAGTTCTAGAGCAGCCTGGGCAACATAGTGACACCTTGTCTCTTTAAAAAACTAATAATAATAATTAAAACAATTAAAATTTAAAAATAAAAACAAATATAAGATACTCTTCTATTTTTTTCCATTCTTCCCTTAATCATGGTTTTATATTTCAGCATCTTCACAAAGACCAGACGTTACTTTAGAAATATGTTCTCACAGAATGATAAAGATACAAAATCGCAAACATATTATCTTCATCTAAATATTAATTTTTATCCTACTATTTACTTGATAGACTTTCTTGTTCACTTTCTTATTATACAGTGTAATAATATACTCCATCATTTTTAATGTAATGTGCTACTAATCTTAGTAACTACTGAATATCTAAAATACACAATTTGAAACATTAAATCCTGTTGTATATTTATCTTCTTTTCAGCTCAAAATGTCTATGGTTTGGAGATGGAAAGATGATTAACTAATTTTTCATTTGTTTGGGGACAGGCCACCATTGATAAAGCAAACAGACCAATCACTTCAAACAGAGAGGGCACTCAAAGCAAAGTGGTGTACTTCTTCAACTGATACTCCATGACCTTTCAAGATGAAAGGATAATAGTCATCCACCCAGAGAAGAAGGAGAAAAGTTCTATGTACTATTTACAGGGTTTAGAGGTCACTTGGTTATGCAGAAAACAGGATACAATAGAAACTGAAGAAAACACTGGAGAGAGGAATCATGGCTGCATATTTTTCTAAGCTTCCTATTCACCACCAGTTTTCATCTTTTAATAAGCCCCTCTGTTCCCCAAACTAAGGACACATTTTGTTTATTGTGTGGCTAGGACCCCCCTCTCCTTATGTTCAGCTGTCTATCTGTGCCCTCTTTAGAGTGTAAGTAATTGGCTTAAATCAAGAGCCAAATGGCATGTCTAAGTCATTCAGCGTTCTGATGATCATATGACAGAGCTTAAAGAATTTGAGGGAGGTCCCACACTACAAAGCAGCATATTATTTTCAGTGAAGTCTTGTGGCTGTGTGCACCTCTGTTGCAAGGACAATTAGACTCTTTGTTTCTCCTATGATCCTAAGAGTCAGCTTGACTGTCCTATTGAAAAACTCTCAAAGAAGTTCCCATAGCTTTTCCAAAGCATCTTAGACTATATAGAGACCACACTGTGTTTAACTCACTGGAATATATGTGGAGGAAAAATGAGAGATTTTTCTACTCCACTAGTCAAAATGTATTATATTTTCAAATGGAATGAAATTATGATGGAAAAGTTCTTATTTAAAAGATGCAAATTACCTTAAATATAATGTTTTGTTTTAGACATATTCAAAATGCAAATTTTAGAATCACAAGTCCAAAGTCTAGGCTCAACATTGTATCTCCTCTTTACTATGCCCATCATACTTTTTTCTACATGTTTATCTACCTTATTTTGAAAACAGTTTATGAATTTTATCCAAAGACTTTTTGAAACTCCTAAAAACATACTTTCATTTTCAAAGTTGGTAAAACCTTATGTAAGATATAATACTATGAAAATGCAATGATACATGGGTTGTGACATATACAAAGTTATTGGCTTTATTTTAAAAAGGTAAAATATAATGTATCTTATTTAGTGAATATCAGTTATTACCAATGACTACTAACTTATTTTATAAATGAGGTTTGACAACTTGTTCAGTTATGATTAAGAGGTCTAGAATACAATAACTGTGATTCTGAGTTCACTATTCTCTCCCACACTTCTCTTTCTGTTGATCTTAAGAGTACTGCTACTAACAGAGAGTAGAAATTCCTATATTTTTCATAAGTTTTATGAAGTGGCTACAAATTTCTACCACAAAGTTACATAAGCATGGGAAAAAAATACTTTCAATTTGCACAAAATCATGAAGGAGCAAAGACAGCAAAAGAAAGCTTCAGAGTCTCCAAAGCATTTGCTACACAATCTCCTCAAACAAACTGCTCAGCACATGCTTGACAGTAGCATTGTAAATTGACTATGCTATCTTTTAAATGATGTCTTTAATTTTGAAACATAACACTTCCTGAGGGAAATCTATTCAAAATTGACTACCTTAATACAATATTGTATATTTATATTTTGAAAATTCATTAGTGCATACGTTCAATAAACTTGGAAGCAAATACTGTATTTTATGCTAACATTTATGACACTATGTCCCCTGGACAAAGAATACAAGAAGGGAGTGTAGGCTTTTATGCTATAGGTCCACCAGCCCAGTGCTCACATACATGTTAATAAAACTTGAGAGGAATATATTGTAACTGGCCAAACTTGTGAAGAACTGCATGAGTGTACATGAAACTCAATTTTTTTCATTTCCTAAAGGAGCAAAATAGTCACTAGATTCTAATCTCTTGAGGAATGACCACACCCAAGGAATATGTTCCTAAATGTAAAAACTAGAAAATTATAGAATTTTTTTCAAATCCCTTGAATAAGTGTATTAACAATACCCTTCCAGGCTGAGTTCACATTTTTATAAAATGAAAATATTGAATGAAGTCACTGGTAAATATTAATCTACCACAACAAATATTATTTTATTAAAAATAAAAATAGTGTAAAATTATCACAAGTTATGAAAACTGCTTTGATTTGTTCTCAATATATTTTCTACAAATGTCAGACAGTGTTACTGGTTTTTTAGTAGGATCTCATGAAATAGTTTTGCAATCTCTGGGCCCTGGACTTAGACTTTTCTCTGTAATCACACTGTAAAATGCACATTTAAAAATTAAAGACTACTTTTCAATCGTATTTTTTAGCCAATATACTTAACAATAGGAGATTTTTTAAAAGATATAGACACTTTATTTTCAAAGAACTAAAAAGATCTAATAATTAAGAGATACAAACATTTATTCTGTGTATTAGGGATCTGCAAACCATGACATGTAGGCCAAATCCAGCCTGCCATATGTTTTTGCAAACAGGCTTTATTGGAACACAGTCACACTAATTTGTTCATATGTTGCCTGTGGCTGCTTCAAGCTCTAATGGCAGAGTTGAATATTTACTGTCTGGTCCTTTATGGAAAAAGATTGCTGGCATTTACCATACAAACACAGAATAAAAAGGCCATGAAATTTAGGTTAACATTAGAAAATAATGTAAGAAACTATCTGAGTTTTAACATTCATTGGAAAGTCTAAAACTTGTACATAAAGAAATTAGTAGTAGTAGCACAGTGAAAAATGAGTTTTTAGGGACTTGTTTTGAAGTTCTCCTTCTATAGCAATAACATCCCCTTGGAATGAGTACTATTTACTGTTTACTATTTACTATTTAAATGTATAATGTTTTCCTTAAACCCATTTATATTGCATATCATTAATAACTTTTTTCAATAAACATTTTATTTTCAAATATTATTAGGTTTACAGAATTATTGTGAAGGTAGTGCAGAGAGTTCCTGAATATCCCACACCCACTTTCCCCTATTATTACCCAGCTTACATTAATATGATACATTTGATGTTAAATGTAATACATTTAATTAATTAGCATTGATACAAAATTATTAACCAAGATTCTTACTTTATTCATATTTCCTTAGTTTTTACCTAATATCCCGTTTCTGTTCCAGGATCCCATTCAGGGTGCAACATTATATTTAAAAGTCAGGTCTCTCGTCAGTATTGACTGTTTCTCAGAGTTTCCTTGTTTTTAATGACCTTGACATAGTAAGTAGTACTATTCAGTTATCTTGTAGAGTGTTCCATATCGGGGATTGTGTAATGCTTTTATTATGAATAGTCTGTAAGAAAGTGTTTTGAGGAGGAAGACCACAGAGGTAAAAGTGCCACCCTCATCATGTAGGTGATATATGATTTAATAGTATGTCATTTGATAGCATGCATACTATCTAGTATCAAGTGACATTGCTGTTGATATTAACTTAGATTCTCTAGTTTGAGATTGTGTCTGTCCAGTTTCTTTGCTGTAAACGTACTCTTATTTTTTCTCCCATGCTCAATTCATTGGAAGAAGTCACTCTGCAATGCCCACACTTAAGGAGTAGGAAATTATTCTCCACCTCTTTGATAGTGGAGTATCTCTGTAAATTATTTGGCATTCTTCTTCATGGAACACTTGACTATTATTCCCCAATTGTCTCTTCATTCAATAATTATATGAGTATAGCCTGATGGACATTTATATTACACTTTGGGTTATAATTTAATGCTACTCTACTGACAGACTCTGGCTTATTTGACATATTTTTATCTTTGTGTGTGTATATTTATGTGTGTGTGTTGAGCACTTTCCAACTTTCTGATATTATGGTATGCTCCAGGTTTATCTTGTATATTTTCTGAGTCCTAGCATCAGGCATTTCTCCAAGTAGCTGTGGTTCCTTTAATTGGACAATGGTATTAGAAATGAACATGTGGATGCTAGGTATCCTTGTTACAACTGGAATGTCATTGCTTCTAGGCCCTCTAAATTGACAAAGCAAGAAAGATTAAGGTCTCTATAGTTGCACAGTAACCTGTACAGTTATAAGTACTTCTATACATAACTATCTGTTATCTTTATTAAGCTAAACATGAGTTCAAAGTGATGCCTCCTACTGTATGATGCCGGTTGTATGCCTCTTTCTAATGATCCATTAACATACGAATCATTCTTACCTGCACCCTTTGTTTCTCTGTATATTGTCTTTTGAAAAGTGAGAAACCTGTCTCCCACTATCAGCCATTTTTTAATTTATTTGTTCAATTCCAGTATACATGTCTGCTGGTTTCAAAGATGTAAACTGGCACCCTTGTGGAAAGCAACATTACCAACTAGAGTATAGTGTTTAAGTACAGTGATTTTTGCCTTTAGTCTTATGGACTCCACTTATTTCCAAAGTTACTTCAGAAAGCACCTAAATCTCTCATTCCATTTAGTGAGGCTGTTTCATACATTTGTAATGTATGTAGATTATTTTGTCACATTCTGCATTCTATCCTGGAATTCTTTCATTCCCTTAATAATTTTTTTCAAATTGCATATGTTTTTACTCTGTTTGCTATAAAGTTCTGTGGGTTTAGAAAATGCTTAATTACTTGTTTTCACCATTATATTATTATACAAAATAGTTTCACTAATCTTAAAATACCTGTGCTTGACCCATTCAACCCTTCCCCCATACCCTGTTGTTACGTTTTAAGGAATAATGCAATATCATCAAGTAGGTTTTTTGTTGTCATTTTCCCCTTTAAAATGCAAGTTCTTCCATCAGTAAACAATCTATCACCTTAATAGAGTTTGATATATAAAGAGAAGAAAGAAAATCATGCTCATATTATCACTACTGCCCTAAAAACATTTGGGAAATATACTAAGAATTCCTGTTCCAGCATTAAGAAGGATAGACACAGAGAGAAAATTCTCATATAGCATAGAGATTAATGATCAGTAATGAACTATAGTGAGAAGGAAAATACAGAAGGATATCAAAAAAATTATGAGAACTTTATTGAAAGTCTTGGCTATTTTACTCATCTGTAGGAACAGAGGTTAGCTTGCAGATTTTTACCCAGTAGAGAAGCAAGTAATTTCTGTCCTGTGAAAGAGATAACCACAGTGGTTATGTTAGAGTGGGTAGTTAAGTAGACATGAGCAGAGCAGGAGAGCCCCCTCCAGGAATGTCAAGTGATAGTCAGATGGTTGTTAAACTCTCTCTCTAAAATGATAATTGGTCACAGCTAGCACCAAGGGAACCTAGTTTCCCAAGAGATTGAAAACACCTGGAGCTGGTGATCAGCAGCTTCTTGATAAGATCTCTGGAGCTGGGCTAGCAGACTCAAGCATGTGCACTAAGAGGCAAAATGAAAGATGTATGACCTTCCTCTGGGGGTGTTCAGCTTATACACGAAAACCAATCCTAGAAAGCATGCACACAACCTCAGTAAACACACTACACATGTGTTCTATGGAAGGCAAGCAACAGCCCACTCCTGGGGAAGAATCAACAGAAGAGAAAAGAAAACCCTGCACCATGCCAGTGTATAAAACCCCAAGTCAAGGGCTGAACAGGACACCTGGATCTCTTAAGTTGCCTGCTTGGCCCTCTTCAACGTGTATTTTGCTTCCTTTGCTCTTGCTCTAAAACTATATAATAAACTCTCACTCCTGCTCTAAAACTTGCCTTGGCCTCTCCCTCTGCCTTAAATCTACTTCTGCCCCTTGGCTGAATTCTTTCCTCCTATGACACAAGGATCCAGTTTGCTGCAGACCCATATGGATTCACCTCTGGTAACAGTTACTGTTTATAGCCTTGCTGACCATTAACCAGTTTTGTATCTAATCCAGCAAACTAATCCTAACATTAATTTTTTGTTATATATGCAATTTACTTATATGACTTCTCAAACATTCTTTGAACTGGTCATAACATGTTACTGGTTCCCTCATCAATTAATGAGATTAAGACAATACTTTTCATGAGTTTATCTTATGTTCATATGAGAGTTTTGATTTTACCTTTTGGAAATTATCCTTTAACAAATGTTCAATGATATAAATAAGTTAACATTATATTTTGTGAATAAGTAAACTTAACAATATGAGAAAAATAGGCTTACAAAACAAATAAACAAATAAAAAGAAACACAACAATGAAAACTAAATTTAAAATAAAACTAAAAGTGGTTTTTAATACCTGCCAGTTTTCGTTAATAAAATAGAAAGTAAAATTTTGCACATTTGAATATGTAATATGGGTCAAAGAATAATAATAAAACATAGCAACAAAATAGTCACAAAATCTATAATTCTCTGAAATTAATTTTAACCAAAATGGGTAACTAAACTGTCTAAAAACTATGTATAGAAGGTGTAGTTCTTTATAGAAGTAAAAAAAATGAGTAATAATATCTTGATCTTAAATGAAATATTTAGGTTGACCATTTAAAAAAATAAAAATTTGAATTAATACCTTTATAATCAGAATGCCATTTTTTAAAACTAGAAACTTGAA
Source organism: Homo sapiens (assembly GCF_000001405.40). Lineage (NCBI taxonomy): Eukaryota > Metazoa > Chordata > Mammalia > Primates > Hominidae > Homo > Homo sapiens. The sequence goes on along the minus strand of NC_000006.12, from coordinate 141,308,140 downwards.
TTACTTTAAAAAATGGTACAGAGAAGACATATGTTGAAAATCTCCTTCAATTCAACTGCGTGAAAGCTTATCAAACATAGGGAAAAAAACAAAAATTAAATCTAAACAAATGTAAACCAACTAACAAACAGACATAGCAAAACACCCACGGATAGCAAAATGTATCTGTAGGTAAGTGATGGAACAGAAACATAAAACACTGACCAGGACTGATACGGTTTGGCTGTGTCCCCACCCAAATCTCATCTTGAACTGTAGCTCCCATAAGTCCCACATGGTTGGGGAGGCCTCACAATCATGGTGGAAAGTGAAAGGCAAGTGTTACATGGTGGGAGACAAGAGTGAATGAGAGCCAAGGGAAAGGGGTTTCCCCTTATGAAACCATCAGATCTTGTGAGACTTATTCACTACCACAAGAACAGTATGGGGGAAACCACCCTCATGATTCAATTACCTCCCACTTGTTCCCTCCCACAACACAGGGGTATTATGGGAGCTACAATTCAGGATGTTATTTGGGTGGGGACATGGCCAAACCACATCATTAATTTTCAGTTTAATAGAAAAATCTCAAGAGGATAAAAAATATTTGACACATGTGAAGGAAATATAAGACAGTGAGATATGCTGTCATTTTCAGACAATTTGGTATGATTTAAAGCTGAGAATCTTGACACTCTATAGACTAACGTGTCATGGGGAACTATAATTCATTCCTATAATTTGAAATTATATATGAATTATCTGTTAGACAGAAGGTCTTAAAGTTCATATCTGTCTTATTTCTTTATACTTCATAGTCTGGGATTATTTTGTGAATTCTTATCTTTTAAAAAAATGAAAATGGTACTTTACTCAGAAATAACAATGAGATAACTCTGGTTACCAAAGAACACTGTAAGTAAAATTCAAAGAAAAATTACAACTGGTGGAAAGTAGTATAATCAAAGTATAATTATGAAACATTTATAAAAATTTCCTACAGAGCTGAAAGAATACGAGCTGTCACAACTCAATAATATCACTGAAAAATCAAAAGGAGAAATGACTCAATTGAAGAAAAAAGAAAATATATGGAAATGAGTTTTTACAAAAACGTCAGAAAATGAAAAAGAGAATGTGTTTACTATCACTAATACTCTAGAAGATTCAAATTAGTAAATTGAGATAGTTTTATAAACATCAAATTGATGAAATTTTAAATCTTGATAATATCAAGTGTTTATATAGATAAAGAGAACTGTTATGTCATTAGGGATATAAAAGTATAAGACCAATTTGAAGAAATAATTAAAAAAATAAAATTGTTGCAATTCTGTTAGGTAGTCATGGCTCAAAATAGAAAAATCAAGCAAACACTAAAATCAGACTAAATTCTCTTCAACAGGAAATAGAAGAGGATATTTTAGTATAGAAATTACATAAGATAAAAATGAATGAACTAGAGCTACACATATAAAAATGGATACATCAGAAATATTGTAAAAAGCCAGTTGCTGAGTGATAAAGTTTTAAAACTTACAAAATTACTATATTTTTATAAATACATATATTTATATTAATCTATAAAGTTATACAAATATGTATCCAAATGATAAACTTTATATCAAAACAATGACTGCTCACAAATAGAGATGCATAAAATAATTTAACCAATATTAAACTTCTTAATGTTTAAACAAAATTCAAGAGAAAATATGAAAAGACTATTATTTTAATGAAGTTGAATGATGTGAATGTGGATGTATATTTTTTAATTTCTGATTGTTAAAAATATTATATATTAAAAGAAATCTCACTGAAAAGTAACCCTAAATCTTTATTTTAAAATTTATGGTAAATATTTAATAAATAAGAGTGAACAAAATAAATTTGAAAATTATGGTGATTTAGCAATTGTCTAGAAAATGTTAATATTTAACATAAATCTACTATAGTAGAAATAATATATGTATATGATTTTCAAAAGTAAATGATTTGCCATTAAATCAAAGGAAGAAGAAAGATCAAAAAAATATGTTTTAGTTAACAAATGATCAAGAGGGCATTTTATAACAGTGAAAAAGTAAATTCTTTGTTTTTTAAATTTTTGGGGGCATTTAGCTATTGGAAAGAAAATTGTCATAGAACTATTTCTTGTCATATGTAAAACCATTACACATATGAATATTGTATACTGTTAAGAATATCTTCAATAAAAACATGATATCACATTTTAAATCAATAATTATCTTAAATTATATCTGAAACTCTTAAAAATATTAGAGGAAATATCTCAAATTGGGTTGCGGAAACACTATTCATGTGTAAATCTATATTGACCATATCTTTGAGATCTGTGCACATTAAAAGACATATAGTGTATTTTACACTTTTAGGTAAATGGTAGCAATCAGAGAGGGAAATCAAGAGAAAGGCTAGATTTTACATATACCTTGTTGATATTTAATCTGAAGAACATATAAGTACAGTACATACTTAAATATTAAAAATTTAGAAAGTAAACTTTGAGATAGAAGTAAAATAAATGAACTTAAAAGGGCTGGCTTTTTTTAACTACTGGAAGGAAATAAAAGAGAATTAATTTGAAATCTCTTTCATCATTCCAAGAATAAGAGAAAACCAGAAACCATAAGTGAATATCAAAACACTCATATGAATGTTTAAAATTTATCTAGGGTAGGGATTAAAACAAAAGATAAAGAATTAAATGCAAAGAAAAAACCTTAAATATTTCTGGCACATATAAAATTATAAAAACTTTATTTTAAATCAGTAAAGGAGAGATCATTCCCATGATAAGAAGCATAAATTGTCAATATACCTTTCAGAAGATCTCCTCAAATTTAAAGGAGACACAATTGTTTACATATTAGATTGTCATAAAAAATATACATAATATCTAGTCTTGTTAAAGGTTTCCAGAAACTGGCCATTTCATAAAATGTTCATCATTTTTTCGTCAGGAAGAAAATCTTTGAAGCAATCTGGCAATATTTGTAAATATCTTTTTAAATGGCCTTTGACTTCAAAATATTGGTACTGGAAATTTATCTTCTACAAACAAATATATGTATTTATAGTCAAGTATATTCAACCCAACCTGTCTCTGATATCAAATATTTGGAAGCATCTAAATACTAATCATAATAAACTATGCTAATATGAAAAATTGAGGCAAATTTTTACAAAAAAAAGAATTAAAGTTGTGATGTCAATTACTAGAATATAGTTTAATGTTACTTGCCATTATACATATCAGTGCAAAAATAATAGTTACAGACATAATATGAAGGGCATTGCTTAGGAAGAGCAGCAGCACCAGGATTCTAAGATTGCAAATGACAAAAAAGTAACTTTGATGACTGTATATTCCAAAAACACATTCAAAGTATTCTTTTGGTTACAGAAATGAAAAAAAAAAAAAAAAACCATTGCAAATCCAAGCCTCACAAAATGCAATGACCACCAGTAACAGTTACGATAGAGCCAGCATGATTCTCTTTATTTACTCTCTGCTTCTCTCCAAGTATCGACTCCATTGCCTCAAAAATTTCGCAGTGCTCAAGAAGAATTACAGGCTTGCCTGCAATATACTTTGAAGTTAAAGAGAATATGTTACTCGTCTACTAAATGCAGTTCAATTTTTTTCTGGGAAGCAACTCTTTCGGCCAAGTCCTGTCTGATAGAAAATCGGAGTGCAATGATTGATCCCTCCTGTTTTCACTAATCTCAGTAGCCAAAGAGAGAGAAAATGTAGAGGATTCTGACTCCATGACTAGAATGCAGGATTATCTGTGGAATAATATAAAGTAAGATACGAAAAATCTAACTTCAAATAAGTTACGGTTTATTCAATAAAATGTATTGGCTTACACTACCGAGATGTCTTGATCTAGGATGGGATTCACAGTTTATTTGATTCACCAGCTCAACAGTGTTAATAAAGACCCATTTCCAAACCATTTCTCGAGTCTTACTTCTGCTGCATCTTACTTCTGCTTTGCTTTCAGGCTGGTTGCAAGATGACTGTCAATAATTATTGAAGCTACATGCATTCTCATGCTTGCACGGAGACAGAAACTTCTTCTGCTAGTTCTCTCCAGAGGGTGAGAATGCTTCTTTCCTCGAAACCCCTATTGCATTCTCCTGGGTTAAGTCTATGACTGAGCCAATCGCTGTGGCTGAGAAATGGGATTATGCCCAATTTCTACAGCCAGGGATGATGCTAAAGTCCCACAAAAACTTTTGAGTTGCATGGATAGAAACCCAGCTAAAAATGAGTTAGGAGACACAAGAGAGAACCGGTGGTCAGATGACATAATCATTAACAAATCGTGGTGACTCCTGGGAATACAGAAGGTTTTTTTAATGAAGAGCTCTTAGCAGGACAACAATGAGATTTTTTTTCCTCTTATGCCTTCAAACACATTCTGTTGGATCTCCCTTCCCCAAATGCATGAGATACGTGGGGCAGTTTCCAAAGTTTTTTCAGTCACGTTTGTCTTTTGGAATAATGTCCCATGTATTTAAAAACAAAATTCAGGTTTAGTTCATTGGTTTGCACCTATAATCCCAGCACTTTGAGAGGCTGAGGTAGGAAGGATCACTTGAGCCCAGGAGGTTGAGGCTGCAGTGAGCTATGGTTGCACCACTGCACTCCAGTCTGGGCAACAGAGCAAGACCCTGTCTCTGAAAGAAATAAATAAAAATAAGAAACAAAAGCCAAATACAAGCTTTTAAAAATTCAGTTTCTAATTACACACAAATTTATTCCTTTTTTACTCTTTAATACCCCATTCTCAGTCCTGTTTATGTTCCGCTTCCCCTCCCGCCGCAGTTCTAGCTTATGGCAATGTGTGTTCCTTACTCTCATTGATACATCCGCACTCCTCATTGCTTCTGATCTTTTCAAGTTTGGGCAGGAGGGAGGAATTGAAAGGCAAAGAGAAAGACCTTTTTTTTTTTTTAAATATATTTTTCTTGGTTCCCAGATTTATTCTGGTGGATATATTGGATTCCTGGCTCTTTATTTTCTGAGGTATTTTGTTGATTCTTTGAAGATAACTTTCCCAACATCAAGAAGGCCCATACCCTACTCTCCTAAGACTTCTCTGTGATCATGAGCAACCCTGGACTAAGAAGGACAGCAGTAACAATTTCATGTGTCAATAAATATACATCTGTAGCCAGACATTCACTCTCAGTGAAGCGTCTCAACTCCATACTGTATTTTTGTTTTTGATGTGAGCTCTTCTTTCTTAGCTTTTGAGAGAAAAACACACAATTACTGTCCCTTTAGCCTTTTCTACCTCTATTATTTGCTTTGAATCATGTTATTTTTAGTGTTTCACTATCATAAAGATTGTTGGATAAAGGTTATCGATAATGTTTTATTGTTAATACACAAGTTAGTTCTGTGTGTACCTTTCTAGAACCACTCTTTACTGTAGGGGTTTTTTCATCACCTAACTTCCTTAGAGTTGAGTTCTCATCTCAAACTCCCATGCGAAGTAAAGATTTTATTTTTGTTTAAAAATCTGTGTAGCAACTTGAATTAGAAGGCTTAAAGAGAAGAGTTCCATATTTTTAAAATAAAAACTATTAAAAATATTTTAAGTACATCAATTTTTTTCATAATGAAAATAGGCAATTTAGCAACCAGAATAAATTTTAAGATTGTGTGTTTTGAAATTATATTTTAAATAACCATTCTTCAGGGGAAAACCTAAGTTTCAATTCTTTTCACAAAGAGAACTTTTAAAAGTTGACTTTGTGCTTTGAATGATAGCTATAGACCATCAGCAAATTTTTGTGGGGCAAAAAGAAAGGAAATTGATAAGACATTTCAATAAGTTTAATTTTAAATGTAGAGTTGCAGAGAAAGGGCATATTTAGGCTATTTAATTCCATTCATTTCTAAGAAAACTCTAATTATATCCTTCCTGTGAAAAGTAATTAATAACAAAATGAAAAGATAAAATGAAGTAATTAAAGTTTGAACAAGTCCTTAAATACCAAATGCAGACTTTCTAAACATAGCTTATGTGTAAAGAAATATAGATATTATAATTGCTGACTTATTCTTATGCCAAAATAAAAATGATATTTGACACTGATATTGACAGAGTTAAGAATGAACAAGTTGTACTTATTACGTAATGGGATTCCTACAGCTCAGCTGACTTGCTTTCTGGACCTAGCCACTTATTTGACTAATGCAGTTAATTATCCCATAATATTATCAGAAAAATCATTTTTTCTAATACAATATTTGAGGATACATAGTTACCTCTATAGAAAGCATGCCTTGCACAATTTATAGGACCTAAAATATCTGAGGAAATAACTTAAAAAATGTCATTCTTGCTCTGGAACTGTTGCAAATTTAGTCTGCTTTACACAGGCTCTAATCTCAGGAGCTCACCTAGTCCCTCCAAATTCCATTTCACTTCTTTGTGCTACTGCAAATCTATGGTTAGATAATGAAGACAAAATAGCTCTCTTTACCTTTAGGCTTTATTATGTCTTCAGAAAACATTAGGTTCTCTCTTAAACTCACACTTGTGTGATTCCCAGAAGTCAAAACATGTATGCATATGGACATACCAGTTTATATACAAACACATATACATGTATCTGTAGAGAATCTCCTTTTATTTCAAGAAATAAAAGTTCGTTCTAAGGATAGGGAAATCTGTATCTGATAATCTTTATGTATTTATTATTATCTTGATACTAATGACACATAGATGAGAGATTCTTAATGTTAATTTTTAACATCTATGACTTTAGTAGTTCATCTGAATATAGGCACTTTCTGTGAACTAGCTGCTCTAGTTGTTGTAAAGAAGTGTCTACCTCTATTTGCTGTAATGAAAGGCAGAAATAAATATAATATTTTACAGCTTCTAATTGATTTATGGGATGAGAACCTATACAGTTAATTGCTGTATGTTGATAGATGATACTTTAAAGAAAAAAAAAGAAGAAAGAAAGAGAGAGAAGGGGGGGTAGTGGAGAAGAAAGAGAAAGCAAGAAAAGAAATCTTCAGGCTTCCCAAAGCCTTACCATACTGTGTTGAATTTATGTCAAATCCTCATTACTGAATTACGTGTCCTGGTCTTTAACAGCATGCAATTTTCATCTGAAATAATTTCTAAGGGAGATTTTATATAAAACCTTTCTTTTCGTACATTGTTATTATGGAAAATTTAAAAATGGTAATTTCCCTGTGCCTGTATATATCAGTATAGGTGTATGTGTACATCTAGTCACAGTGCAATATAGTAAGTGTTTCAAAATGTTATATCTAAAACTAAGAATCATGACAATAGTACTTATTAGGGACACATAAAGGGCTTTTGTGGTCATTATGACTTGTTTGCTTTACTGCTGGCAATCACATAAGAGCTGTCATATGGCAGGAAACATTAAACAAATGGTCTTGGGTAAGGTTACATACATTTGTGCTATAACCTCCTGTCTAAGTGAATAGTTAATTGGACACCTATGTGAAATCTATTGAAAAACGGCCGTTCCATTCAGCCCTAAGTCAATAAAAACAACATGGTCCTAATTTGTTTTTATTACTACAAAAAAAGGAAATTTTAAAAACATTTAAAACCTACAGGAATTCATTGTAGGATATAAACATGCTTACGTATTTTTTGTTTGTTTCACTCTTTTTGTTTCTTAAGTTCTAACCTATGTGCTTCACAGAGGCTTATTAATATTCAGATTTGGTATTTTTGCAAGGTGAGAGTTAAAGCAAAATATTTGGATAACAGAATTCCCAATCTAGAGACTGCTGGGACCAGAGAGACTGTTCATTTCAGAATTTCAATCATTAATTTTTCATTTACTGAATATTGCTGAAGATATAGGAGCCAACTGAAGACACCCAGGGCAAAGAGGGGTTCAAAAGCCTCTAGTTGTCTCTGACTCCCTTTCCTTCCTAAAGCTCTGACTGCTCCATCTCCATGTCTGTAACTTTAAAAATGGTGCTAAATGGAAGGCTACTTAAAATGCTAAGATATAAATAAGATGCTGCTGTTTATTTCAATCTGGACATTCTTTAGCAATAAGCAAAATAATTGTATTATGTCAAGAGAAGACCTGTTGTTCAGTTGTTAAAGGTTGGACTCTTAAACCACAATGTTAATACCTACCTCACAGAATTGTTCTCAGGATCAAATGAATTATTTTATGTAAAGGGCTTAAAACAGTCTCTGGCGATTATAAGTACTGTTTAATAGCATGCTATTATTACCTTAATTGCTAAGATAAACTCTCTAATTATAAATGTATACAGTTGTGTTAGTACACACAAATGTTTTTCCTAATATGAACACTTCAGTCAGGCTAAAACATTGAACTATAAAATTAACCATGTAGATAAAAAATGTTCCTTCTGATAGAAGGTTTTTAAATTACGTTAACTTAGCAGGCTAGTCTAAATAAGAAAGTAATTGTGTGGTTATAGATAACGCCTAATGAATAAACACTCTATAAATCATGTATGAAAATGGAGAAATGTCCAAGCATGTTAAATAGTCATATCATCTTTTCATGTTCTATTGCAAGTAAACTAAAAAACTACTAAATATGTGCATGAAAATTCATTAAAAATGGTGGGAGATTAAATATATCAAATATAGTCCCTGTCTTCAAATAGTTTACAAAAGAATGGAGGGAAAGATTAGTAAACAAAAGAAGGCAACCTAAGTTTGAAAAGTGATAGTGGTTCACTAGTGACTAAATGTATTATGGATGAATAGAGAAAGGAGAAATGAACTCTAGCTTAATATTTAGAGCAAAGATCATACATTCATCGACTAGTTAGCCCCCTGTCTCCTTATTAGTGTCCTTCGCGTTCACTTGACCTTCGAAATTCTGGATTCACCTGCTCACACCTTGACATTTGTACTCAGCTCTCTTCACTATGCTTGAATAGTTAGTGCCTTTGAAATTTGTAGCACTCAGAGAATTTTTCTGAGTCACAGTGTTATTTCAGGATTTTCATTAATCTACTCTAGAGCTGCTAGTTAAATTATACCTAAGACTTTTAAACAACATTTGTTGTTTGGTTGTTTATCTTCTTTCTAGCTTAAAAGAGAAGAGAAATATGGCTCCACGCTATTGAATTTGAAAGCTTATACTGTGTTTTCTGGGTGTTCTTTTTCCTTTTGGCATGCAAACACATACTTTCAAGCCTTTACCTATCTGCAAATATCAGAAAGTATAAAATCAGGGAAACATAGACTCTACCCTGGGAGAAAAATGGAGATCAACTCTGCAGGAACCTATTTTTATGTTCTAGATTCTTTAAACAGCAACATTTTCCCTCATATGTATCTACCATTAGAAGTTCAACTGCCTCCTGGAGCTATTATCATGGTGTTTCCTCAGTACTCAGCTTTTTTTTTTCTTTTTTTTTTTGGTTTTCCCATATTTGTTTAACCAGTTCTTTACATTAAAGTTTTTCTGTTAAATCATCTAATGGAAATATTTCTGCTTACATGAGAGATATAATAGGTTTAGCCAAACAATACCCCCACAGGAAACTAGATAAAGCTGAAAATAGTTATACAAATATTTTAATATATCATCAGAGAGCTATAGATGTAATGAAAACTAGATGGACAAAAGAATAGAGAAGACAGAACCATTCAGAACCAAATTCTTGCATGAACAGCCACATGCTTTCTGCTTTGGAAATTGCTAATCTTGGATGCAATCTTAAAATAGGGGCTTAATGCAGCCAGAGTAACACTGTGAGGCCCAAGAAAAAAAGCAGGAAATCTTTGAACAGTGATACAGGGTTGGATAACATATTCAATTCAAATACAGTCAGTTGCCACAAAATAAAGTTGCTGCATTTGGGGAACTTAGTGACTCTGAGTGTGCCCTGAAGTTAATATTTCAGGAGAGACTTTCAGCAGAAGGTCACTTGGGAAGAGTGAAACTATCATAGACATCAGAATGTGTGTGTATTTTGAGTAATAGCACTGGGGATTTGAGGACTCATCCATGACATACAGGTGATCTTCACATTAACACATTCCCCAAAATTTAAATCTATGAGGTGAGAAACTAAAAAACTAAATTAAAATCCTCTAAAGGGTAAACAAAACAGAAAAACAAAATATCCCTTAGTTTTTAAAGTTTAAGGAGTCAAATCCTATCAAAGCCTCATAAAAATGCCTTGGAGAGAAAAAGCTTGAAGGTACACCAAAGCTGCCACTCAGATCTATCTACCTCATTTCTACTCAGAAATAATTATTCCCTATTCCTATTGCCTAAAAAAGGAAGAAAAGGGGAGTTTCCAGTTAAAGATATCATCATCTGGAGCCTCTATGTTTCTTATACAATGAATAGGTCACAGGAAAATGATTGTGAGCCCTACAAAACAGATAAATGTGAGCTGGCTTCTGAAAGCAGAAAAATAAAAGGAAAAATACTAGTCAAGCTAAAAGCTTGTTTTTGAATTGATCAATATAAATGATAGGCCCTAGCCAGACCATGAGAAAGACAGAGAGAGAGAGAAAATTGTATATACATGAGTACTATGGCTTGAATGTTTTTCTTCTCCAAAACCCATATTGAAATTTAATTGCAATTTTAACAGTATTAAGAGGTGAGATTTTTAAGAGGTAATAGTTCATGAGGGCTCTGCCTTATTGAGTGATTTTGATGCCTTTATAAAAGGGCAAATTCAGACCCCTATTTCCCTCTTTTTTACACTCTTGCCCTCCATCGTATGATAACACAGTAAGAAGGACCTCACAAGATGCCAGCACCTTGATATTGGAAACTCCAGTGCCCAGAACTGTGAGCCAATAAATTTCTGCTGATTATAAACTATCCAGTTTCAAACATTATGTTATAGCAGCAAAAAATGAAGCAAGACAATGAATAATAAATAGCTGAAATTTGAAATTAAATATGATCAGCACCCAAAATAAAATATTTATAAATTTAACAAAATACGTGGAGAATGTGTTTGTTGACTGCTGCACAACATTACTGAAATCAATATGAAAACATGTATAAATGGAGAGGCATGCCATATTCATAGACTGGAAGATTCCATATTGATCATACATCATTTCACCCTAAATTAACCTATAGATTCAGCACAATCCAAATCAAAATCCCAGCAAAGCATTTATAAATATTGCCAAGTGGATTCTAATGTTTATTTTTTTGGAAAAGATAAATAAAGTACCCCTAATCTGAGAAAGAAGAAAAATGTTACAGGATTTATATTACTTAAGCTCAAGGTTTACTATAAAGCTACTTTAATAAAGAAAGAAAGATAATAGGCAATTAGATATTAGATACATGTATCAGAATAGAATCTAGAAATGGGCCTGTACAAGTATAGACAACATATTTTTGACATAGATGCAAAGATAATTCAGTGGAGGAGGATAGTCCTTTTGACTAATTAGATATAAGCATGCAGGAATAATTGGATATAAGTATAGGAAACAGAAAAAAGGAAACTTCATACATACCTCATATATTAAAGCAAAATTATCTCAAAATGGATTATAAGCCTAAATATAAAACCTAAAACTATAAAATTTCTGAAAGACAACAGGCAAAAATGATTGTGTTTTTAGTTAGACAAAGATTTCAATGATGAAACATTTGAAGCACAATTCATTAAAAAATAAAATATTAAACTTTGTTAAAATTAAACCTCTATTCTTTGAAAGATACTGTTGAGTATGAAAACTCAAGCCACAGAACAAGAGACAATATTTGTCCATAATAAATCTGATAAAGGACTTAATTACAATACAAAATAATTTCTTAAATCTTAATTTTTAAAAGGCCCAGTAAAAAACAACAAAAATAAAAATAGATGTATTGGACAACATTAAAATTTAAAACTTCTGTGCATCAAAGGAGACAATCAACAGACTGAAAAGATAACTTATGGAAAAGTAGAAAATATTTGCAAATCACTATATAAGGATATAGCTTTTTTTTTTTAATCCCTCCAAATCTCATGTTGAAATTTGATCCCCAATGGTGGAGGTGGGGTCCTAGTGAGAGGTGTTTTGGGTCATGGGGGCAGATCCCTCATGAATGGGTTTGTGCTATCCTTGAAGTCATGAGTGAGTTTTCACTCTATTCATTTCTGCAAGAGCTGCTTGTTTAAGAGAGTCTCACATCTCTTTTCTCTTTTTTTGCTTCCTCTGTCACCATGGGATCTCTGTATCAGCCAGCTCTTTTGCCTTCCACCATGAGTGGGAGCAGTCTGTGGCCCTCATCAGAAGCCAAATAGTTGCTGGCACCATGATTCTTGGATAGCCCGAAGAACCATGAAACAAATAAACCTCTTTTCTTTATAAATTACCCAGCCACAGGTAAGCAACACTAAACAGACTATGACACCCGATAAGGAGCTCATATTTAGAATATATTTTGAAAACTCCCTTAACTCAATAGCGACAACAACAACAACAAAAACAAATAACGTGCTTTAAAAAATGAATAAAAGACTGGAATAGACATCCCTACAAAGAAGATATATGAATGGCCACAAAGCATATAAATAGATGTGACATATCACTAATTATGAGGGAAATGCAAATCAAAACCACAATATCACCTCACACCCATTAGGATGGCTGCTCTAAAAAATAAAACAAAACAAAAAAAGAGAAAATAGCAAGTGTTGATGGGGATGTGGAGAAATTGGAACCTTTGTGGACTATTGGTGGGCATGTCAAATAGCCACTATGGAAAACAGTATGACAGTTTCTTAAAAAATTAAAAACAGAAATACCATATAATCCAGCAATTTCACTCCTAGATATATTTCCAAAAGAACTTAAAATATATTAATAGTACTCCTTTGTTCATAACAGGATTATTCACAGTATCCAAAAGGTTGAAAAAACCCAAATATCCATCAATGGTTGAATGTATGAACAAAACAGTGTGTGCGTGCATGTGTGTGTGTGCAAAATATTATTCAGCCTTAAAAATAAAGGAAATTTTGACATGTATTACAATATGGATGAACCTTGAGGACATTATACTAAGTGAAATAAGCCAATAACAGAAAGACAAATACAACATGATTCCCTTATATGAAGTATCCAGAGTAGTAACATTCAAAGAGACAGAAAGTAGCATGGTGATTGTGAGGGCTGACGAGAGGAAAAAATAAGGTTTATTTAATGGGTATAGAGTTTCAGTTTTGCAAAAAGAAAAAGTTATAAAGATTACCCAACCATGTGGCTATACTTAACACTGTATACTGTACACTTAAAAATAGTTAAAGTGATATATTATTTATGTGTATTTTACCACGATTTAAAAATGTTGAAATCCTAGTATAAATTTGTAATGAATGTAAGCAGACATTTTATCAATAAGACATATGGATGGCAAATAAGACCATGAAAGGATAATCAACATTATAATTTATTAGGGAAAAAATTAAAAGCAAAATGGTCTTTTGCAATTAAGTGACTACATACTTAATACATTTTAAAAAGCTAAGAAGCCTGACAATACCAAGTGTTGGCCAGGATTTGACCTGTAACTGTTAAATACTGATGACGGGAATATAAAATGATACCAGTATTTTGGAAAACTCTGTTGCGGGAAGTCAGGGACCCCAAACAGAGGGACTGGCTAAAGCCATGGCAGAAGAACGTGGATTGTGAAGATTTCATGGACATTTGTTAGATCCCCAAATTAATACTTTTATAATTTCTTATGCCTGTCTTTGCCATAATCTCTAAACATAAATTGTGAAGATTTCATGGACACTTATCACTTCCCCAGTCAATACCCTTGTGATTTCCTAGACCTGTCTTTACTTTAATCTCTTAATCCTGCCAGCTGAGGAGGAAGTATGTCACCTCAGGACCCTGTGATAATTGTGTTAACTGCCCAAATTGTAAAGCATGTGTGTTTGAACAATATGAAATCTGGGCACCTTGAAAAAAGAACAGGATAACGGCAATTGTTCAGAGAATAAGAGAGATAACCTTAAACTCTGACCATCTGTGAGCCAGGTGGAACAGAGCCATATTTCTCTTCTTTCAAAAGCAAATGGGAGAAATATTGCTGAATTATTTTTCTCAGCAAGGAACATCCCTGAGAAAGAGAATACGCCCCTGAGGGTGGGTCTATAAATGGCCCCCTTGGGTGTGGCCATCTTCTATGGTCAAGACAGTAGGGATGAAATAAACCCCAGTCTCCCATAGTCCTTCCAGGCTTATTAGGAAGAGGAAATTCCCGCCTAAAAAATTTTGGTCAGACGGGTTGCTCTCAAAACCCTGTCTCCTGATAAGATGTTATCAATGACAATGGTGCCCGAAAATTCATTAGCAATTTTAATTTTGCCCTGGTCCTGTGGTCCTGTGATCTCACCCTGCCTCAATTTGCCTTGTGATATTCTATTACCTTGTGAAGTACGTGATCTTTGTGACCCACACCCTATTCGTACACTCCCTCCCCTTTTGAAAGTCCCTAATAAAAACTTGCTGGTTTTGCGGCTTGTGGGGCATCACAGAACCTACCGACATGTGATGTCTCCCCCAGAAGCCCAGCTTTAAAATTTCTCTCTTTTGTACTCTGTCCCCTTATTTCTCAAACTGGCCGATGCTTAGGGAAAATAGAAAAGAACCTATGTAGCTATCGGGGCAGGTTCCCCAATAAAACACTTTGTTAGTTTATTTAAAAGTTAAACATATACCTGCCATATATTCTAACCTTGTTACTGCTAAGAGAAATGAAAGCATGTGTCCACACAAAAAAATTGTACACAAATATTTATGGAAGCTTTATATAAAACACCTCCAAACCACTAAAATACCATCAGCATATGAATAGTAATCTATATACTGAAATACTACACTGCAATGATAAGAGAACTGTTGATATGTGTAACAGCATAGATGAATCTTCATTATTCTTGGGAAAGAAACCAGGCAAAAATAAGAGTACATAGTTGACAATTCCAGTTATATAAAATTCTAAATAGTACAACTGATATGTAATGACAGAAATCAGATTAATAGTTACTAGAGAACTGGAGGCAGAAGGAGTGTTGGACAGGGAGGGGAAGAAGGAAAGAATTAAAAAAAAACACAAGAAAAATTTGAGGAGAGAAAAATACATTGCACATATATTTAATAGTGTGATAGATTAATGGGTGCATAAATATCAAGATTTATTAAATATTACATGTTAATATATGCAATTTAATATAAGCCAATTATACTTTAATAAAAATAAAGAAAAATTGACTAAGCGGTGCACATCTGTAGTCCCAGGTACTTGGGAGGCCGAGACAGGAGGATCACTTGAGCCCAGGAGTTGAAGTCCAGCCTGGGAAACATAGCAAGATCTTGCCCTAAAATTTGATAGAAATAAAAAGAAATTTAAAATATCCATTAAATTATTAGAATTTATTCTGCAATATTGTTAAATAAAGCAATATTTTTCAATTTAAAAAGAGATAAACCCTTCTGCAAAATAAAAATAAAAATATTAAATTTAGTCCAAATTTTGGTAAAAATAAACCAGGTAGTAGAAACTAATAAAAGCTCTTAAGGGTAGAAAGTCAGCAAAAACTGAATGCAGGGCATAGAAACGGGAACAATGTTTATTTCAGTTTATATGTTTATACAATTTTAACCTTCAATTTATAAAAAATGTACACATTAAAGAAATATAAAACATAAAGTTTGGAAAAACCAAAATTGAATAGAGCAAGAAACAAAATAAATTTTGATATGTTGATAACCACACAAAGAAAAATATACATTCAAGCAGGTTCTGAATACAATGTTTTGACTGTATACTGAATATTAGATATCCTAAGGATAGAATACCATGAAATCTCAAAATTTTTAGCAGGCGTGTTTGTATTTCAAGCATAAGATTATTATTATAACATCCATTTATATAACATTACCCTAAAATTATAATTCTACATAGCTTCAATTTGTGCAAATATATAATTAATGCAAGCATCAGTTAAATATTTATAAAGAAAATCAAGATGAGTTTGGAGTAGAGAAACATATCTTGTTCTTCTAGATCTTCAGAAGGAAGGTGGACTCAAGCCTGCACAGATCTACTCCTTTTTTCAGAAAAGTGTAAAAGGGATAAAGTCAAGCAAGATCTTCTAAGATTGATTACATCTTGGGAGTTTGGCATTGGCTGGAAAAAAACATATTAATTTGCCTAGGAAATCTTTCCATAGCATAAAAATGTATTACTCTAAAGTATAGTGTGCTACAGGAGTACTGCAAGATATGTTTCCTATATGCTATTTCAAATATATAAAGGCAGAGAGATTGCTAATGGTGTGAATTAGATATGAAAGATTGTGAGATGCAAACAGATTGTATGTGGGTGGGGAGAGTTTTTATGCTATCATCAAGGGCCAAACAAGGAAGCATATATATTGAAATGTGTGGATGTGTGGATGTCGAAGGCTATCAGGATGAGGAGATTCATCCTTTGTATATCTTTATAAAGAAGTGGTGGTTTATGTTGGGTTTTCTGGAGTCACAAGACTAATAGCTGTAGAACAAAAATGAAACCTCTTTGTTTAAGCTGTGCTCTACAAGTCAGATATGACACATGCATTCTAGTACTTTAAATTAAACCTGTTTCAAACAAGTTGCCTTTAGTATAATACCCACTGCCATGTTAAATGTCTGACATTATTTGTCATCTGTCACTTACAAATAACTATATTAATACATTGTATTCTTAAAGACACTGTAGCTTTTTAAATACTGACTAGTGTATTTGGTGTTGTTACTATACTTTTCATGACGAGACTCTGAAAGGAAAAGAAATACATTGGAGTGGCTTCTGGGGAAAAGAAATAGAAAGCAGCTTACAGGGTGTCTGCTGCAGGTGCTGCCCAACCCCTGACAAAGGGTGAATGATAAGTGGGCAGTCCTCGAGCCAGCTGTTACTGGACATTTCAGGGCCTTTACAGGGAGGTTGTGCTGGGTGGTCATGCAGGTTTGAATCCTGGCTCTGCCAGTATGAGCTATGTGATCTGGGACAGTTACTAATACCTCTGAAATGCAGCTTCTTCCTGTGAAAAAGGAGTCAATATTTACTGTCATTAATGGGTATTAAATGAGATCATGAATAACACTGTATTGAAAAAAACACTTAGATATACTTTTGCCTCAGCAAGAACAATGAGATACAAACAGGGATATGAAGGGTAATTTATTGAAAAGTAATATATAGAAGGAAAACATTTATATTAAGAATGAAGACTCCAAAAACTGTAATTCTCTTTTAAAATACAGATTCACTTTCTTAAAACATTTCCTTTAATAAAAAATAAATAAAATTTTAAAAATAAAAAACACAGTCAAGAATCCAATGTAAGAAAAAGGTACAGTCAGTAATGTACCATATTTCCAGATAAATATTTCATATTTAAGTAATAAAAATACTCTAAATGTTTTTTTTTTCATATTTCTTATTTGTGCTTAATCAGTGGAATGGCAGTTCTACACTGAGGAGAGCCAAATTTCCAAAAATCTGTTATAGGTTTTCAAGACTCATTTATTTTAGTTGTTATTACACTTCCAAGCTGCCAGCTCATTCCTCAAACAAGGAGACTCAATAGATATCAGTGTTGAGGAGATTTAAAATTCATTCCAAAATTTATGATTCTCACTTCAAGGAAGAAAGATGATCCTTAAAGCCAAAATGACAGGAAAAAAAATCTTGTTTCTGAAAGAATAAAAATCTGATTAAAAGAAAGTTTAGATTCTTCATAACACTGACCCCTACAGAATAAATATATTTATGTATAACTAGGAGTATTATAATTTCCATTAATTGTTCTATTTGCACAGTAAGTACAATTTTATTGGTTCTTATTGTTCATGTATTTTTATACTATCGTTTATTAAGTGTAATAAATATGATTGTTGGCTTTTTAAAGTCAGTTTCCATCATATTGTAACTAAAATGTTCAACTGTGTTAATTTTATCTAAAAATAGAAAGTAAATTGTCACCTTACATACTGTTTTAAAATACTTTTATGAGTCACTTAAAGAGCATAATGATTAGGGAACATAATCAAGATCATTTAATCTCAAGACAATTGCAATATTGGAGTTAGAATGACTGCTGTGGTTTGAGGAAGTCAATGTCGATATTATCCATAGCATAACTAACAGCCCCCTTCTTAAAATGTACCTAAATCCCTAATTGTTTCTTAGGCATGCTCTTAGACTCCTCTTTTGGCTATTGACAGTTCAAAAATTTTAAATACACATCACCGTTTTACAAACAAGACTTGTAACTGTTCTATGCTATTTGGCTCTATGAACTTTTACCTACTCACCTTGGCAGCTAAGAGTGGAAACAAATGTAATATGTTTTACAAAGTTAATCCTCATACCACAACAGAAAAGAATGACAGAAAAATTTTCTACTGGTGCTTTCTCATTTATCTTCCAATTTTCTACATTCTACATTCCTACCATGACTATGACTGTGATTGCCAAGCCTTTTCCAAAGACATAATGCATTAAGAGTAATATGAACAAGAGGACAGAAGTTTCCAATGTTCATACTTTCACCGAAACATCTATTTGAACAACCACCTACACATTAAAATAAGTTCACAAGAGCTATGGAATCCAGGTGAGAGATTATAGCATCTGAGTGAAGAATAGAAATAAGAAAAAAAATGTGTTGAAGAGAGTAGAAAGGACAATGTCACATTACTTATATCATGTCTCCTCCAAGTCTATGCAGTGCAGTACAAAAAGAGATATCCTTCACATGAGGAAGGAGAAGGAAGTGAGCAAGCAACTTCACCATAGACCCCAGCAACAGGTCTGCCTCCGTGAACATCGGCGCAAGGTTGGCCCCTGTGGACCTAGGCTCTGGGCCTTCCCTGTTATGAGGCCAGGTCCTATAGTCCCAGTATCCAGGCCTGCCTCTGTAGACCTCAGCTCCAAGCCCACCCCAGTGCCAGGCTAGCCCCATAACCCCAGGCTCCAGGCTAACACTTATGAACCCAGTCTCTAGGCCAGTTCCTGCATTGCCAGGCTCCACGCCTGCCTGAGAACAAGGCCATTACCTAAGGTTTCAGGCTCCCGAAGACCCAGACTCTCTAGGTCAGCCTTCCCAGATCCAGGCCCCAGGCCCAATGTAGTGAACACTGGTGCCAAGCTGTCTCATAAGGACTTAGGACAAGGTTCATCCTTGCAGACTTATGCCCCACACTTGCCCTAGGGACAAACCAGCTCCCATGGACTCAGAGAGAAGGCCTGTCTAAGTGTAAGACTGGCCCTCATGCACCCAAGCCCCAGGCTCCATGGGGCCAGTCACCAAGCCTGCACCAATGGACCTGGACATCACGCCCCACCTGATGGAATCTGATGCTGGGTCAGCCCCATGAATTCAGGACCAGGCCCATCTCTGCAGATTCTCAATACCTGCCTCAGTACCAGGCTGGCCACTGTGTACTCAGGCTTAAGGCTTGCCCCAGTATCAGATTGACCCCCATGGATTCAGGCTCTAGGCCTGCACCTATAGTCCTAGACACCAGGCCCCTATGTGGAACCAAACTCCAGGATTGCCTCAGTGGACAAAGGCTCCAAGGTTACCCACACAAATATCACCAGTCAGCCTATCTAGGAAATTCTGGATGGGATAACTGCTGAAGTGCTTTCCCCACCAAAAACAGTTACAAAAGACTAAAAGAAGTTCCTATTTCTTTAAGTGTGCAAACACCAGTGCTAGGTCACAAGAATCATGAATCATCAAGGAAATTCTTATCACTGAAGGAACAAAATAAAGCAAAAGTAACTGACCCTAAAGAAATAGAGATCTACACATTGCCTGATAAATAATTCAAAATAATCATGTTAAAGAACCTCGATGAGTTACAAGAGAACAGGGATAGATAGACAAGCAAAATCAGGAAAACAATATGTGAACAAAAAGAGAAGTTCAATAGAGATAGAAAAATGAAAAAATGAAACAAATTCTGGAGTTGAAAAATACAATGACTAAAATGAAATATCCCATAGGAAGTTTTAACAACAGACTTGATGAAGCAAAAGAATCAGTGACCTTGAAGACATGTCACTGAAACTACCCAGTCAGAGAAATAAGAAAAAATAAAAGAAAAACAGTGAAGAAAGCCTGTGGGATTTAGGAGACATCATTACGTAAACCAATATATATATATATTACGAGAGCCTCAGAAGGAGCACAAACAGAGAAAAAAGCAGAAAGGCTTTTTTTAAAAAAATAATGAAAAACTAACCAAATCTGGGGAGAGAAATGAACATCTATATTTATTATGTTCATAGAAACCCAAATAGATTAAACACAAAGAGATCATCCCTAAGACACATTTTAATTAAAGTCTCAAAAGTTAAAGACACAATTTTTAAAGCAGCAAGGGAAAAGCATTTCATCACATACAAGGTAAGCCCCCAAGAGACCATAAGTAGATTTGCCAGCAGAAACCTTGCAGGCCAGGAGACATAGGGATGACATATTCAAAGTGCTAAAAGAATAAAAAGCTGCCAACCAAGGATACCATACCTAACAAATCTGTTCATTCAGAATAAAGGAGAGGCTGGGTGCGGTGGCTCACACCTTCAATCCCAACACTTTGGGAGGCCGAAGCTTGTGGATTGACTGAGCTTAGGAGTTCGAGACCAGCCTGGCCAACATGATGAAACCCTGTCTCTACTAAAATACAAAAATTACCCGGACATAGCGTGCATGCCTATAATCCCAGCTACTTGGGAGGCTGAGGCATGAGAATTGCTTGGACCCAGGAGGTGGAGGCTGCAGTGAGCAGAGATCCTGCCACTGATAGGGGTGACCGAGCAAGACTCTTTCAAAACAAACAAACAAAAACAAACCTATGAAGGAGAGATAAGGTGTTTTCAAGACAACAACAAAAGCTGAAAGAATGTATTATCACTAGGCCTGCCTTACAAAGGCTGAAAGGGGTTCTCAAAGTTGAAACAAAAGAACACGGACAACGTGAAATCTATGAAAGTATAAAAGTTACTCATACTATAAAGGTAATAACATAGTCAAATTCAGAATACTCTAGTATTTTAAAGGCAGTGCATAAATAACTTTTAACTCCAGTATAAAAGTTAAAAGACAACAGTATTAAAAATAAATATAGACACAATAAGTTATTAATGGGTATACATTATTAAAAGATGTAAATTTTGACATCAGTAACATAAAATCTGGGGAGAAAAAAGTTAAAGTGTAGAGTTTTTGTTGTAATTGAAGTTTAGTTTTAGCAGCTTGACATAGACTGTTATAACTATACATTTTATATAAGACTCATGGAGACCACAAAGCAAAAACCTGTAGTATATACCAAAGATAAAGAGAAAGGATTAATATGATATGTATGATAGTATGGTAATATGATATGTATGATAGTATGATAATATAATATGTATGATAGTGTGATTAATATGTATGATTTTTGATAGTATGATAGCATACTACTATCAAAAATAATCAAATCACAAGAGAAGACAGCAAGAGAGGAAAAAAGGAAATGCAAAACACTCAGGAAAAATATAACCAAATGGTAATAGTTAAGTCCCTATCTATCAATAATTGCCTTATGTAAATGGATAAAATTTTCCAGTGAAAAGACATGGTAGTTAATGGATTGAAAAAAAAAAAACAAGATCTAAATAGATGCTGCTCTTAAGAGAGGGCTATAGCTTTAAGGACACACATAGGCTGAAAGTGAAGGGATGGAAAAAGAGAATCTATAAAGTGGCACCCAAAAGTGAGCAGAGGTGACTGTATTTAAATTAGCCAAATAAATTTTAAGTGAAAAGTTGTCACGAGAGACAAAACAAGTCATTGTGTGGTGTTGAAGGGGTCAAACTAACAAGAGGATATAGCAATTGTAAAGATATATGCACCCAACATTGGAGAATCTAAATAGATAAAGCAAACATTAACAGAATTGAAGGAAGAAATAGCAATAAAATAAGAGTAGGAGCTTCATTATCCCACTTACAAAGTTGGATAGCTCATCCAGGCAGAAAATCAATATCCTTATTGACCTGAACAACAGCAGACTGGAACAACACTACAGATCAAATGGGCCTACTATCCATATACACAATATTTCATCCAACAGCAACAAAATACAAATTTTTTTCAAGTGCACACAGAACATTTTCCAAGAGAGATAATATATTGGCTACAAAATTAGTATTAATAATGTTTAGAAGAAACTTTAAAGTTTAGAAACTTCCCAACAAAGAAAAGCCCAAGGCCTGATTGCTTCGCTGGTGGATTCTACCAAACATTTAAAGAATTAATGCCAGTCTTCTCAAAGTCTTCCAACAAATGAAAAAAAGGAAGAAATACTTTCAAATCCATTTTATTAGGCCATCATTAATCTAATACCAAAGACAGACAAGAACACTATAAGAAAGAAAGTTACAGGCCAATATCTCTGATGAATACAGATGCAAAATTCTGCAACAGAATACTAGCAAACTGTATTTAAGTGTACATTAAAATAATCATACACTATGATCAAGTGGAATTTATTCCTGAAATATAAGATTGATTCAACATATGTAAATTAATAAATGTAATACTCCACAGTAACAGAAAGATAAATCTTATAAAATTATCTCAATTTCTGCAAACAAAGCATTTAACAAAATTCAACATCCTTCACAATAAAAATTCTCAACAAATTAAGCAGTAAAGGAATATACCACGACATAATAAAGGCTATATATGAAAAACCACAGTGAACATTATATTTAATATTTAAAGCTCATAGCTTTTTCTGTAAGATATCGAAAACAAGTCTTAATACCCACTCTCTTGGTGTATCAATACAAGGGATTTCCAGCCAGGGCAATTAAGCAAGAAAAAGAAATAAAAAGCATCGAAATTGGAAAGGAATAAGTGAAATTGTCTCTGTTTGCAGATGACATGATTTTCTATATAGAATGATCTAAAGACTACACTAAAAAAGCTTATAGGTTTAACAAAAAAGTAAAGTTTGCAGTTAAGTTGCAGGATACAGTAAAGTTGAAAGAATACAAAATCAACATAAAAAGTTGAAGGATACAAAGTTGCAGGATACAAAATCAACATAAAAAATCGGTTGCATTTCTGAACACTAACAACAAACTATTTGAAAAAGAAATCAAGAACACAATTCCATTTAAAATAGCATTCACAAAAATGAAATACTTAGGATTAAGTTTAACCAAAGAGGTGAAAGATCTGTATACTGAAAACTATTAAACATTGATAAAAATATATTGAATATGACACAAATAAATGGAAACACAACTCATGTTCGCAGATTGGGAGAATTAATTTTGTTAAAATGTCCTTACCACCCAAGGCAATCTACACATTCAGTGTATTTCCTATTAAAATCCCATCTGTCTATCTACCTGTCCATTTATCTATTTAGAAAGACAGAGAGAGAGAGAGAGAGAGAAAGGTTCCTTAAAAAGTTAAAAATAGAACTAACATATGATCCTGTAAAACCACTCCTGGGTATATATTCAAAAGTAATGAAATCAATACCTAAAATACATATATATACTCTTAGTGTTATTCACAAAAGCCAACATACAGAATCAACATATTTCCACTAATTGATATATGGATAAAGAAAATGTGAGTTATAATATATGTATGAATATTATTCAACCTTAAAAAAGAAGGAAATCTGATCATTTGTAACAATGTGGATGAACCTGGAGGACATCATGCTAAATGAAATTAGCCAAGCACATAAAGAGATATACTGTAAGATCTCACTTTCATGTGTAATCTAAAAAAAAAAAAAAAAAAAAAAAAAATCAAACACAGAGAGCAAAACAGTTGTTTCCAGGGGATGAAGGTTTGGAAAAATGGGAAGATGTTCAAAGGGTAGAAAGTTTCAGTTATGCAAGATGAATAAGTTCTAGAGATCTAATGAATGGCACGGTGACTGTAGTTAATAGAACTTTGTTGTATACAGTAAGTCCTCTCTTACTATCATTGACAGTTTCTTGGAAACTGTGATTTTAAGCAAAATGACATATACCAAGACCAATATTACTATAGGTTAATTGATATAAGCAAGGGTTAAATTCCTATGACATATTTCTGGCCATAAAAACCTCACTAACTTCTAAATAAAGACACAAAACACTTCTAGTGTTAAACATTGGAATAAAAGTGAGTTATACATACATTTAGGAAAGATTAATAAAAGCAAGTAAGATAATTCTTTACCCAATTTTTAGTGAATTGGTAGTGGTTTCATAATGGTAGTGGGTTAAATCAAGAAACAAATGTTTGCAAAGCAAAAATTGTAAGGATATCTCCTATCACAATGCAGCTCAGACACAAACAATAACAAATATGCTGAACTTGCTGAGTGCCTTGGTACTACATTGTTTATTGCCATTCATTTGTATGATTATCATATAGTCACAGGTGGCCAGAGTCTATCCTGGCACTCCCAAGGTGCAATGCGGGAGCCAACCCTGGACAGGACACCATTCTATCAGAGTATACTCACACACACTCACACTCACTCAGACTGGGACAATATAGACGCATCAGTTGACCTATTATGTATGTCTTTGTGATGTGAGAGGAAACCAGAGTACCAGGAGAAAATCCATGTAGACATAGGGCATACAGGCAGACTCCACACACACAGTGGCCCTGGTGAGAACTGATTTTTCCTTTCACATAAACATTATAACAAGACAAGTTGGAGAAAACAGTGTTATATGAGGACCTATGGTACTTGAGATTTGTTAAGAAAATGGATCTTGTGTATTCCCATCAGTCACATACACACAAAATGGTAACATGTGAGACAATGGACACATTAATTAGTATGACTATTGTAATCTTTTCACAATGTGTACTTATATCGAAAACATCATGTGATACACTTTGAACATACACAATTAGTATTTGTCAGTTATACCTCAATAAAGCTGGGGAAAAAACCATCAAGAATAAAATGATTATTAAACCTTCTAAAAGATATTTTTAAAATTAACAATAATTATAAAAACTCTCGCCTCTTGGTCATTATTTTTTTAATTCTTACATACTTTCCCTGTTGCTTAGTCCTAAAATATATTTTCAGGAAAATGTATTTTTTTATTATAAACTTAAATTTAAGAAGAAATACACATTTAAAAAGACTAATTAAATACACCAACAAATTAATGAATCTCTTGTGGGTTTTTTTTTGTGGTGGTTGTTGATGTTTTTGCCTCATTTTCTTTGTTTCCTGAGTTCTTGAAAATAAATATGCATTACTGTTATTATCATGAAAACTCAATTAGTTAAAATGAATTTATCTCATCAGTGTAATGCTCAACTTGAATAATTGCTTAAGCTTGAATAATTTTCTCTACTATTTTAAACATATTTTTTCTTATTTAAAAGGTGGTATTTTACTTATCTCTTTTACTTCTGGTCCTCTGAGAAGCAGACATCAAGAGCAGATTAAACATGCCAGGATTTTATTAGGAGAGATGCCTGTGTAAAAGGAGATGGGATGGAGCTAGTGTAGGCTGGGATTGCACTCAGGCCACTAAGCAAGCTCAATCCCTAGTGAAAGAAAGACAAGAGCTGGTTGGGTGGGAACATCCTAGACTGCTGAGCACTCTAAATAACTTTTAGAAAATGCATTGCGGATTCCTTAACTAAGCAAGGAACATGAGGCAAACAAAGGCTTTCTGTGTTTTCCAAATAATAGGTATGCTTCACTCTCCTTTCCCTTTTATATTCAGTCATTGATGAAGACAGTCTATGGAAGGTTTGTAATCTGCAAAAACACAAGAATGAATGTAAAAATACAGTAGTTTAGCTCATTTTGTATCATTAATTAGACTTGTCTAAACTGTAGTACTTTAAAGAAATCTAATTATAGAATTCTCTTCTAAAGCTTAGAATATTTTATGTCCTCCAATGTCCACCATCCATGGTTTTATTTTTCTTCCAGTAAAATCATGATATGTTCTTTAAGTATTAGTTCTCCCTCCTTGCTATCTGTTATTTTTGCTTTCATAGTCTTCATCCTAACATCCTTTCCTTCTTTATTTAGAAACATTAGGTTTGATCATCTAATAATTTAATATACCACTCTGCCAATTTTCACTTTCATTGCCTATAAGGCTGATTTTAATTATGGCACATATTTTACTTGGATACCTGCTTGTCTCATCTATGTCACTTTTCATGGTCTGTGGTTTTTGTTGTTGTTGTTCCAGTTTTTTAAATTTATAGTAAGACAATATTAATTCTCTAAGATTAACGTTAGTGTGCTCTGTTTGAGGTGGGTTTTCTTTTTCTATTTACTCATCTTTGATAAAGAAAAAATGTTATGAGCTTCAAATTTCTAAATATTGACTGACTACTTATTGTCCTTATTTTGGCTGATATACCCCCTTCCTTAATCGGCAAAGAAAAAAAAAACAAAAACCTCAGCATGTTAATGTGAATAGGCCTCAGCCCCTTTTAGATCTAGTAACAGCATTCATTCCACACATCTGTATTGTCCTTTGTTCAGTTTTCTTTTTAGCATTCTAAGTAACTTAACTTTCTAAATTAAGGGCATGTGGAACCCTGAATCACTATTAGACATCTTAACATTCTTTCCGTTTTTTCCTTCACATCCAGTTATTTCTGAAAGTTTCTTTCTCTGAATGGAGGTGTGGGTGAGAGTAGATGAACACTCACCTTTCACTATGTGTGTGTAGGAGAAAAGCAGGGATGAAAGCCCAGGGTATGGCTGCTAAAGACTGAAGGTCTGTTAGCCAAAGCCTTCTTGCTGGATGACAGATCTGCTTTGGGTCATATGAAAAATGTGAAGAGGTCACAGCCTGTTGGGATTTAAAGCTGCTAGGAAGATCCTACTTCATACTGTCAATGGGCTCTGGCAGTTTAGGGTAGAGATGTGAGAGCCCTCTGTATGTTTACATAAGCAGTTTGGTTAGAATTTGGGAAAACTGGCATCAGGCTGTCTGCCCAATACCAATTCAAACTGAGCTCTGAATATTGCTTTTAAAATCTGAAACCTAATTGAAATAAAAATTTTATTTTACATATTAATAATAATATTTTTAAATGTTAATACAAAAACATTTAGTAATTTTTCTCACAAATCCTGGGAGAATAACATGGAGAATCCATTGTATTATTTGATCTAGATATCTGTTTTACTTAGATCAGCTTTTCGGAGGTAATGAATAAGCTTATCACTGTTGTCTCATCTTCTCTATAATCTTTTATGAGACTGACTAAGGCTTAACAGAAATATGCTGCAGTTGAAGAAGTAAATTGACTTTTTGTTACAATAGTGTTATTAATTATATCTACATGAAATCCTCTATTGCTTTGCCTTCTTAGGATATTTAAATAACAGTATATAGCACATACTACTATTTGCTTTTATTCAATACAATTTATAAATAATATTACAATGTATTTAAGACCCATTTTTCAATATTATGCCTAGAACTGCCAAAAGCACATGAAGGTGACTTCATGCCTACCAAAAGCCTCTGCTTTTTAAAATTCATTCCCAGTTATAGGTTACTGCCCTAGGATCCCACAACAACAAGCTTAAATAAATATTTTTATATATGCCAAATATTACATTATTGATCAATTCTCAGGCTTTTGAAAAATAAAAACCAAACCAGAGAAACAAAAACCAAAAACATAATGAAGTACATTTCCTAGGAAAGAAGGAGCCACAAAATAATTGATGTATATCTAATAAACACATTTTTAGTGAGTTTCTAGTATTTGACAAATGATTAGGATTTTAAATACAGGATGTTGTAACTTGGCCACATGAAAAGAAGGTAAGTGCATTAAACAGCACCTGAACTTAATTATTAAATAGAATATTTAATAGAGTTCTGAACCCAGAGGATGTAACATTATTAAAATATTAAATCTGAGTCTTTAGAAGAAATGATAATGGAAGCACATTATGCACGCTCAAAATGCAAAATAGTTACTTTTATTCAAACACCTGTTTAACAGAAGTGACAGTTTTATAAAATGAATAGGACTGAAACAGGCAGTCTTAATTTCTGTCCTTTCATTTAAATTTTTGTCTTTTCACTTAAAAATAGTTTGAGACCCAAATGGGGAGGGGATATTTCTCAAGAAAATAAGTGAAGAATGAAGGTGGAGACTTATCTATAATTTTGCTATTTTATTTGTTTTTTCTACTACCTAATCTTTTTTCCCCTCAGATCTTGCTCTCAGATTAGTCCAATTCATTGTCATTGACTAACCCACTTCTACAGTTACTACTGTTTTGTTTATGATGTCTTTGAATTCCTTTATTACTCAAAATTTGTTCCTATAAAAAAACCATATATGCTCTTTATGCATTTCATAAAATAATTTTATTATATAGTATAATTGATTTAACTGTTCATGTCTACCTAATTAAAATTTAAATATTTTAAAATATTCATAGAATATAAGAGATGTAACAAGAAAAATTATTTATTACTGATAATATTATAAACATACCTAATGCTGTAAATATACTTTAAAACTTTAAAGTGAACATACTTTAAAGTATATTTAAAACCATATCATGTATCTTTCTATCTTCCATAGCCACATTTTATTGAATATCTTTAAAAGTAATTAAAATATTTTAAATCATTATGAGTTTGCATACATATCAGCAGAACTAAAAGATTCAGAAAACAGATGCTTAGGTCTTCTGTTATAATTTAAATGTGTCTTATCCAGAACAAATGTGGCAGTTTTCATTCCCCACCTACATTTGACATAGATATAATTACCGTTTTTAACAGAAAGACTTCTCAAGTCTACCTGTGGTATGCTTAATAAAGACTCAAAAAAGATATCCACGTGCTGACCCCTGGAACCTGTGAATGTTACTTTAGAAAAAGGATATTGTAGATATGATTAAGTTAAGGAGCCTGAGATGAGGAGATTATCCTAAATGTCTGGATAGGCTCTTAATGCAATCACATTTATCCTTGTAAGAGAGGGTCAGATGGAGACAGAAGAGAAGATGCATTAGTGCTTCCAGAGAATCTATCTATCTATCCATATGTTATCTATCTATCTATCTGTCTATCTAGTATCTATCTATCTGTCTATCTATCTATCTATCTATCTGTCATCTATCTATCATCTATCTTTCTCTGAGGAGAGAGAGAGGAGAGAGAGCGATGGATTGATCTTAAGGAGTTGTTTCATGCTGTTCTGGAAGCTAACATGTCCAAAATCTGCAGGGTAAATTGGCAGACTGGAGACCCAGGAAGGGAGAGTTGATGTTGCAGCTTGAGTTCAAAGGCACGTTGCTGGCAGAATTCCCTCTTCTTTGGGAGAGGCCAGACTTTTTATGAAGCCTCCAAATGACTGGATGATGCCTACCCACATTATGAAGGATAATCTGCTTTTCTCAGAGTCTACCGATTTAAATGTTATTATCATCTAAAAAATACTTTTATGGCAAATTCTAGAAGTGTTTGATAAAACATATGGGTACCACGGTCTAAACAAGTTGATATATAAAATATGTAATCATAGCAGGCAATGTAGCCAATGAGGAGATTGCAATGATCACAAAGAAAAGAATGAAGACAGCCACCAAAGGTTTTAAAAGGCAAATAATTGATTCTTTCCTAACACCTCTGGCAGGAGAGCATTCCTACTATCCCTTTGATTTCAGCCCAGTGATACTGATTTCAAACTTTTGACCTGCATAATTGCGAGAAAATAAATTTATGTTGCTGTAAGTCATTAAGTTTGTCATATATGTGATAGGAAACTAACTTTACTGAAATTAAAAAAATAATTCTACTCTGCAAAAGACATTGTCAAGAGATTGAGAAAGACAAGCCACAGACTAAGAGAAAATATTTGCAAAACACATATCTTATAAAGGACTTGTATCCAGATGTAAAAGAATTCTTAAAATTCAACAATAAGAAAGCAAACCACCCAATTAAAATGGGCAAGAAATCTGAAGAGATACCTCATCAAAGAAGATATATGATGGAAAATAACCATATGAAAAGATGTTCAACCTCATTTGGAAGTTGCACATTATAATAAGAAAATATCACTGCACACCTATCAGGATGGGTAAAATACAAAAACCTGACAATATCAAATTCTATACAGGATATAAAGCAACAAGTACTCTCATTAATTGCTAGTGGGAATGCAAAACGTTACAGGTACTTTGAAAAGCGTTTGACACTTTCTTTCAAAGATAAAATAGCCTTACCATTTTATCCAGCAGTCCTGCTCCTAAGTACTTCCCCAAATGATGTGAAAACATGTCCACACAAAAATCTGCACATGAATATTGATAGCTACTTTATTCAAAATCAGAAAAAAGTTTGTAAACAATTAAGATGTTCTTTTATTGGAGAATGGATAAAGAAGCCGTGGTATGTCCATACAATAAAATATTACTGACTAGTGAAATGAATGAATGAATCTGTTCTTTGTTTTTTTGTTTTGTTTTGTTTTTTTGAGACGAAGTCTTGCTCAGTCACCCAGGCTGGAGTGCAGTGACGCTCTCGGCTCACTGCAAGCTCTGCCTCCTGGGTTCAAGCAATTCTCCTGCCTCAGCCTCCCAAGTAGCTGGGATTACAGGTGCCTGCCACCATGCTCGGCTAATTTTTTGTATTTTAGTAGAGATGGGGTTTCACCATGTTGCCCAGGCTGGTCGTGAAGAGTTTGATCTTATTAAATATTAAATATTAACATATTACTAATCCTGTACGTTAAGTTTTTACACTGTAATTTGTTGAACATACTGGAGGTAGAATCTTTTTTTTTTTTTTTTTTTTGAGATGGAGTTTTGCCCAGGCTGGAGTGTAATGGCACGATCTTGGCTCACTGCAACTTCTGCCTCCTGGATTCAAGCGATTTTTCTCCCTCAGTCTCCCTAGTAGCTGGGATTACAGGTGGATGCCATGACACCCAGCTAATTTTTGTATTTTTAGTAGAGACAGGGTTTCATCATGTTGGTCAGGCTGGTTTTGAACTCCTGAACTCAGGCAATCCACCCGCCTTGGCCTCCCAAAGTGCTGGGATTACAGTCCTGAGCCACCACGCCAGGCCTGAATGAATCTTAAGTACATATTGGTAAGTGAAAGAAGCCACTCTTAAAATGGTACATTCTATATGACTCTGACTATACGAAAAGAAAAATATGACTGGTTGCCGGTGGCTCACAGAGGGGAGGGAAGATGGAGGAATAGGTAGCATGAGGGATTTTTAGGGCAATGAAACTATTTTGCAGGAATACTATAATCGTGGATACATGAAATTAGGTATCTGTTAAACCCCATAGAATTGTGCAACACAAAGATTTAACCCTAATGTAAAATTATAGACTTTAATAAATAATAATGTATAAAATGTGTCAATATCTGTTCATTAATTTTAAAACCCTAGCACAATCTGTTATTTAAGGAGAAACTGGTTTTTGGAAGGTCGGAGGGGGTAGAAATTCTCTTTACCATTGGTTTAATTTTTCTGTAATTCTAAAACTTTTAAAAAATAAATACTATTAATTGTTTAATGTGGAATTGGCTCAAATTTTGATAATGGGAAGAAGCTGGAAGAATTTTGAGGCACATGAAAGAAAATGCCTAGATTGGTTTAAAATACTTTTATTAGAAATATGGAAGCTGAAATTGCTATATTGAGGGTCAAAAAGAAGTGAGAAACACATAGTGAAAGCTTCTATTGCCTTAGATATGTATATACAGTCATGCATGCCTTAATGAAAGGGCTACCTTCTGAGAAATGTATCCTTAGCCAATTTTGTTGTTTGTGAACATCGTAGACGGTACTTATACTTAGCTGGTAGAGCCTATTACGCACCTATGCTATATGGGATAGCCTATTGCTCCTAGGATGCAGACCTGTACAGCATTTTACTGTACTGAATACCACAGGCAATTGGAACATACTAGTATTTGTGTGTCTAAATGTATACAAAACATAGAAAAAGTTAATACAGGATATATGATAAGAAATGGTACATCCAAATAAGGAACTTACTGTGGCTGGAGGCTACAGGGCTAGAAGTTGCTCTGAGAGAGTCAGTGAGCGAGTGGTGAGTGAATGTGATGGCCTAGTACATTATTTTACACTATTGTGTCCTTTTAAACACCGTATACTTAGGTTACATTAAATTTATCAAAAACATGAAATATTCTTTTTCAATGATAAAGTAACCTTAGTTTACTATAGTTTTTTTATTTTATAAACTTTATATTTTTAAACTTTTGACTCTTTTGTAATAACACAGCTTAAAACATAAACACATTGAATAGCTGTAAAAATATTTTCTTTATATCCTTATTTTATAAACTTTTTTATTTTTATTTATTTCTTTTAAAGCACTTTTGTTAAACTAAAACACACACGCATTATCTTCTGAGATTTTGTAATGCCCCCTTTATACTGCATAAATGACAGTAGACCATTCACTGGTCACATGTGTCTCTTTTGTAACACTAAGACCTATGCTAAACTAAGTGGCAATAATTACTTTCAGAGACATGACTGGCACTAGAGCAAAAAGTTGTATGCTGAAATAATATTAATTTTTAAAAACTAAATCTGAGCCCTGTTAATTAAAGAAGAGTGAAATGTAAATATGTCAGATTATTTTGACCGAAGAATGTCATGTTTTAACTTCAAATTAATCAAAAATGATAGAGGAAAATTGAGAACATTTTATTGAAGGACAAAATTATAAATAATATATTTTCTTTTTTCCATATACTCTATGTAAATGTTGTAAATGTTCTAAAGTGTAATGAAAATTAAGGGAAATGAATAATCTTTTAGTTACCAGCATTTTAATTAGACATGTTATAAATACGGCAAAAATTTATTTACTATATGCATAAATTATATAAGGCATATATATTAGATTGCTAGGGTACCAAAATGAACTACGTGGCTTAAACAACAGAATTTTATTTTTTTCAGTTTTGAAAGCTACAAGTCCAAGAATAAGGGGTCAGTAAATTTCGTCTCTTCTAAGCACTCTCACTTTGCCCTGTAGATGGCCATTTTCTCCCTCTGTCTTAAAATGTCTTCCTTCTGTGTGTGCCGTGTTAATCTCTTCTTCTTATAAGGACACCAGTCAGATTAGATTTGGCCCCCCCTCCAACCAATGAGGTAATTTAATTTTAATTACATTTTAAAAGACCCTATCTTTGAATATATCTGTATTCTGAGATAAGGGGATCCAGGACTTCAACGTATGAATTCTGGGATGGGAAACACAATTTATCCCATAACACTATATATGTACAGACACAGAATATGTACATCTTGCATATTGCAGGAACACATAAATTTACAAAATTAAATAAGAATGATAGTGACACAGCAATGATTGCTTCTAGCAAAATGGGAAAATGGGCCAAAACCCATTGTTTAAAAAAAAATTAGCTGTATATTTTAACCCTTTAATAGAGCATAACATAGATACAGAATACTGCATATTCAGTAAGTATACATTTTTGTAGGCTAGATACACCCATAAAACTAGAGCCTAGATTACAAAATATGATGTTACTAGTTTTCCAGTAGACTCCATGCATTCTCTTTTAGGTACTACCAACCAGAGATAATTACTAGCATGACTTCTACATGATAGATTAGTCTTGCCCTTTTTTGTACTTTATAAAGTATAAATCCATGAAGTTTCCACCATGATCAAGACAGAAAACACTATCTGCCTCCTCTAAATGTTTCTCCCGTCACTTGGTAAAGGCTCCCTTCTGCTCCTTACCCTTATTTATAGGTGACCCTTGATCTGCTCCCCACTAATAAATTAGCTCATATTTTGTAGAACTTTATATGAATGAAAGCATATAGTTTATCTTCTTTTATACCTGGCTTATTTCACTCAGCATAATTATTTTGAGATTTTTATCTTCAATAAGAGGCATTATAAAAGAGAAAAAGTGAAAAATCACAATACAAACGGTACAAAAATAAACATAAAAGCTTATGAGAGAATATTTTGAAATTACATCTCATAAAAATTGCAAATATAGATTAAATTTTAATTTTACAGAAGTATCTCAAAGTAATGAGAAATCTGAAACAATTTGTTTAAGAGTGGATTGTTAGTTAAGTGGTTAATTTTATTTCTCTATGTCAGCAAAGAGCAATTCAAAATTGAAATAGAAAACAGCTATTCACAATAGTTTCAAGAATATAAAGAATTTAGGGATAAATCAAACAAACTATGAATAAGCTCTGTACACTGAAACTACAAAGCACTGCTGAGAGAAAGTAAAGATGACATAAATAATGAATAATAAATACTGTGCTCATGGGTTGAAAGATTTAATATTGCTAAGATGTTATTTTCCCTAAATCATCTATAGATTCAATATAATCCAAATAAAAATCCCAATAAGCTTTGTTGTGTACATTGTCAAACTATTCATAAGATTTATATAGAAATTAAATGGATTTAGAAAAGACAAAGCAATTTTGGAAAATGAGAATAAAATTGAGAACTTAGACTATCTGATTCCAAGATTTACTAGAAAGCTTCATTAATCAAAACAGCATGACATTGGCATAAAGAAAGAAGCATATATCAATTGAAGAGAAGAGTCTAGAAATAGACCCAAATAGATGTGGTCAATTGATTTTCAAGCATGCCAGTTTAGTTCAGTAACATATAGTGCTGGAGCAGTTGGCTTGTCATATGCAAAAGTGTGAACCACAAACTTGACTTGACACTGTACTCAAAAGTCAGTTCAAAGTATATGTACTTTGAACACAAAAATATAAATGAAAACATGTTCACCAAAGCCTTCTATTTTAAAGTTCCCAGTATTTTGTTCAAGATAGTCGAAAACTGGAAACCACCCAAATGCCTATCAACAGGTGAATTCGTAAACAAACTGTGGTAGATACCTACAATGAAATATTACTCAGCAATTTTAAAAAACCAGTTGAATACATCCAACAACGTGGGTGAGTCTCGAAAGTATTATGTCAAGTGAAAGGAGCCGTACAGGAAAGAGTAAATAATTTATTATGTTTGTGTCGAATTCTAGAAATAGCAAACTTACAATGATAGAAGCAGAGCAGTGGTACCAGAGTCCAGGTAGAGGGAGGAAATGACTGCAAAGGAGCATTTTTCTATAATACACCTGTGGTGGTTGTAATGCTACTTGATAAGTTTATTGCAATTGTAACGTCAAAATTGGTGAATTGTATTGTACATAAATTATAGATCATAAAATCGTTAAAAAAGTATCTTGTCATACAGACTCAGATACTTTGAAATATGCTTTCTACCACAGTTAACAGATCATTTCTATCTATACCCAGCACACACAGTAGTACGAAAAGTGTTAGAGTAGAAAAAGTGGGGACTCCTCTTCAAATAATTTAATGAAGTTAGTAATATGGTAAGAACAAATTAAATGAGGATGTTATATTAATATAAGCATAACAATCATAATCTTATATCACTCCTAATCATGATTATAAAAATTCTAAACAAAGTATAGACAAATCAAGTCCATTGCATATAAAATATAATAATAAAGAAGGTAGTTATCCAAAAGTTCTAATAGCATTAAAAAATAACATTATATTATCAGATTAATGGAGATAAACACAAATCACAAAAATGGCAATATATTTCAATAGTCTTTCATGATAAAATTCACTGGAAGATTGTAATAACTAGAAGTTTCTTAAACTGATATTCAGAAATGAGAAAATTCTAGTTAACATAATACCAGTAACATACTACATAATAAAATGTAGGCAAATTTGTTTTTAGTTAAGAATAAACATGCATTCCCTTTATCCCTACATTACTATTTTTATTCAACATATTCAACATTGTAATGAAAATTACAGTCAGTTAGAAAAAAATGCAATAAGCAAATATTATAAAACCTGCAAAGAAAGCAACACAGCTGTCTTTGTTTAAATATAACCACAATATAATCTACAGATACCATATTACAAATAATAAAACAGAAAAAATAAAGCCAGAAGAGTAAGCCTAGCATCTTGAAGGTTAAATTCTAAGATTATCCTAAAACTGAATACACAAGCCAGAGATTCAGGAAGTGGTGCCAATCTAAAGAAAAATAAATGTAAAGAAAGCCAGATTAAGTGGTATCTAGCAGACAATAAAACCATATCTTCAAATTGATGAAATAAAATATCTACTATGCTAGACTTTCTGTTAGAATAGCCTTCAAAAATGAGGTGAAATAAATACATTTCAATTGGGAAAAATTGTCAGCAGCCGCGAACATGAAATAAAACAGGAAAATATATTTTTCAGGTTAAATGAAAATGGCAATGCATGAGAGCATTAATGTGTGCAAGGAAATAAAGACAATAGAATACAGAAAATATGTGAATAAAACTAAATGAATATTGATGTATAAAACAGAAGTAATAATATCCTAAATGATTTTAAGACACATGTTTAAAATTTCTACAAAAATATTACAAAAAGGGGAAAGGGTAAACAAAGCTGAAGTATGTTATCAGACATTAATAAGTCAAAGCTGTGTCTCAAAGGCCACAAAAATAGGAAATCAATGCAAAACTAATAGCTCATTGACTGAGAAAGAGAATATGCTACAGTTATACCAATATATAGGGATTAGAGGTCAGAGAACCAAAGGGTGGAAGTAGGAGTGACCCTGTCTTCTTCCAAAGCACTTTAGAGATATCCTGAATGCTGATAAGGGGGGGGCACAAAACTGTGTACTCCTGCATCAACCAGTCATTAGATTTTGGCTAACCCTAAGAAGAGGGCAAACACCTGGGCAAAGCAGCTGCTTCCTGCTGAAGGCAGAGCCTAATGAGTGACTCAGAGGTGAGCCTTTAGCCGTCAAGAGTCCCGGTAGATGAAGAAATGAATACCTTGACCCAGAAAATGTGATCTTGAACAGTACTCCATAGTATTCACTACAATGATTTAGAATAAAATATTACAATCATTTATTTATATGCTAAAAGGTAAGAATGAAGGGAATATAAAAACAGCAGGCTGGACAAACAGGAACAAATAGCCAGTGGGTGGAATTGAACTGAAATACGTGATGGTTATATTAAGTGGAAATTGGCCAAAGTCCAAGATAGATACTATTAAACTG
Source organism: Homo sapiens (assembly GCF_000001405.40). Taxonomy (NCBI): domain Eukaryota; kingdom Metazoa; phylum Chordata; class Mammalia; order Primates; family Hominidae; genus Homo; species Homo sapiens. The sequence continues at coordinate 141,270,895 of NC_000006.12, read as the reverse complement.
GAAAGAAATAAAAAACAAATTATATAATGTTATTAAGAGGCACAGATTAAATACTATAAAAGAAAAAGAGACAGGTTGAAAATTTAGGAATAAATAATATATAATATCAAACCACTAAGAACAAGAAAGCTGGAATGGTTATGTTAATAACAGAAAAAAAGACCTCAAAATAATAATTATTCACTATATAAGGAGAGTCATTTCACAGTTACATAAGGGTCAATTCATCAAGGATACACCAGAACTCTAAGTGGCAAAAATCTAATAACAACTCAAAATTTAGGAAGCAAAGCTTGTCAAACTGAAGGGAGAATTAAAGAAATTTATAAATATAAGTGTGATTTTAATACTCTTCTCTCAATAATTAATAAAATAAATAGATAAAAAATAAGAATAAAGAATGTTTGGACAACATTATAAAACCACTTTACCTAACTGATAATCCATTATCATTATAACTAATGACTATAAAATATACATTCTTTAAAAATAAACAAAATGTTTATCAATATTTTTCATATGCTAGAATATAAACAAAGTTCGAATAAACTTAAAATGATTTGAATAAAACAAGTAAAGTATCTGACCAAAAAATGTGTTAAATTAGAATAGAATATGATATTTTAAAAATCCAAAATATGAAAAATAAGTAACAAAATAACCCAGGGATCAAAGAAGATATCATAAGAGAACTTTTAGAATAATTAGTAATCCCAAAGTATCAAAATTTGTGGAATGAAGCTGAAACAATTCAGAGAAACATTTATGAATTTAAAAGTTATTTGTAAAAGAACAGAAAGGTTTAAAAATTAGTGATCTAAGCTTTTGCCTAAAAAACTAGAAAAAGAGCACATTTAAACCAGAGTATAAATAAAACAAAGTAGAAGATATGAAATAATAAAGAGAATAGCAGACATCACTGAATTAAAAGCCATACAAACAATAGAGAAAATAAAGAAAAAAATAATGCAATTGATAAACCCCTAGAAATATAGAAGAAAAAAAGATGACAAGGCAAAATTTCTATATAAAGGCTACAAAAAGGATATCATTATCTCAAAGACTTTGAAAAATAATAATGAAGATATTATGAGCAATATTTTGTCAATAAATTTGACAACTTGGATGAAATGTAAATTAAAAAAAAAAAAGTACCAAAACTGACTAAAAAATAAACAGAAAACCCTTAGGGCTCTACATCAATTTAAAATATAGTACTTTTAACTGAAAAACTTCTCAGAAAAAAAGTTCTAGGCCCAGATGTCTTTACTAGTGAACGTTGTCAAACATTTAAGACAGATATAAAAATCGTACAAAAATATTTTCAGAAGATAGAGACAAAAAGACTATCACAAATCATTTTGTGAGAATACTATTTTAAAGTAAAACTTGAGAATAACATTACAAGAGAGAATATTATAGACCAATATCGCTCATAAGTTAGGTGCCAAAATTAATGTCATTAAGAAATCAAACATTCTAATATATGTTTATAAAAAATCATCAGTAGATTCCAGGAATACAGGATTGACTTGACTTAAAAACAGTCAATATAATTCCTCATGTTAAGCAAATAAAGGAGAAAAACCATATGATCAACTAACCGTATCCAGAAAAATTATTTGATAAAATTCAACATTCATAGTAGAAATCGTTAATGCAGTAGAAGGGTATTTCTCAATCTAATAAATGCCATCCAGAAAAAACATACAACCAGCAACTAACTATATATATATATATATATATATATTAGACTATATATATCTTATATATTTTTTCTCTCATATATATATATATATATATATATATATGAGAAACATATATATGTTGCCATTATAGTATGGAAAATGTTTCTATATACAGAAAGTTTGGTTGCCTAAAATTAAGAACCTAACAAGAGTTCCCACTCTTACCATCTCAATTAAGTATTGCACTGGAGGTCCTAGCCATCAAAATAAAGCATGACAAATAAGTATGAATCATCATATTAAAAAGAAAGGAATAAAATTATTTTTTGTTTCTAGACAACATAATTGTGTACATACATGATCTTTAATAATCTACAAAAACTACTAGAAAAAGTAATTTAGCAACCTTACAAAATAAAAAATGTACAAAAATTAAATATATTTGCATATACCACAATAATTTAAAAAGAAATTAGCAAATACCATTCACAGAATAATAAAAAATATGCTTTAAAATAATCATAAAATAGGTGTAAAAGCATTACACAGAAAAATAGAAATCACTATTGGGAGAAATATAATAGACTGAAGTAAGCGGCATACTACATCATGTTCTTAACTTTTTAATACGTTAATTTTTCTCAACACAATCCAATTCAATGTCAAAAAATTTGTGTTCTTGTTTTGGTAAGAATTGTCAAGATCATTTTAAAATCTAAAGTGTATCTAGAAATGCAAAGCAGCTATAAGATTAAAAACATCTTGAAAAAATAAAAGAAAATTGGAAGAATGATGCTATGTAGATTTTGAGCATTGTTTAAAATATTATGAATAAAACTTTCAAGCATGCAGAAAAGTTAAAAGAACATTACAGTGAATACACATATACCCATCAGCCTAGAGCCCACAATTCTAACATTTGCTGTATTGTTTTATCATATTTATCTATCCATCACTAATATGCAAGATAATATTTTTAATGACAATATGCATGTGTAATTGTATGTAAAACAACGTACCAGAATACTAACAGCAATTACCTCGGAGAAGTGGGAATACAGGTGATTCTAACATCTTCCTTTTGATTCTTTGAAATCCTATTTTTCTTTTAAAAAACTTTGTTCCCATTATTATAAAATATTAAGGTTATTTTTATTATAGACAAAAAACATATAAGAAGGAGAGATGATGCTAGAAAAGCACCGGCTCACTCTTGGCAGCACTTGCATAAACTGAGCCAGACCAGCATTTTTGCTTCTTGAGGATAAATGTCCTTCCCTATCTTTTTTTCTTGTTTACCACTGGAATGCCAGTGCATGAAACAGTGGCTGGCACTTTGAAAGTGCTCAGTAGCTCTTTGTGGAATCAATGAGTTACAATTATAGTCCTATCAAGGTAAATGATGCGTCTTTTGGTAGAGTTTACACGCTTCTTGAGCCCTGGGAGGAAAGTCTTCTTTAATGAATGGTGTGACTGATCTTGCTACCCTATAGAGTGGTTGTCCCTCTTTGAAAAGACCTGCCATGTGAGTGGATCATCACATGGGTTTAAATGGGCACAGGATCACACAGGCGGGCCAGGTGCAAAATGAAGCATGTGGGCATGAAAACAGGAGCGCCTGGTTTCACTTAAGTCCGTGGACACTACCCCTAGGGTGGAGCCCTGGCCTGGGACCCTGTCCTTCTCTAACCGGCACTTTCCTGCCCCCCTCTCATATCACATTCACATAGAGGTCTTCTTATGTTCACATGTTTCCTTTATCCTTGGATAAATATGTGGGAATGGAATTGCTTCCACAAATACTAAGTATGTGTTTATGCACAAAGCATCAGATTGCTTTCCAAAATCAGGATAATGGTTACTTCTGGGGAAAAATGAGGCTATGATCTCTAAGTACAGATAGAATTGAGCTAATGGAAATACTTGCTAGTGAAAATATTGCACAGGAATGTTTTTTATATTGTTGTTAAGCCATATATTTATGTTTTGTTTACTTTTTTTCAGATGTATTATATTTTTCAATTCAGAAAGATGAAAAAAAGGGGAGAGGGAGAACCTAAACCAAGAACATTATCCCCTCAACTAAGGTATGTGTTTAAATATTTGAAAAGAGCCTGAGTTCATTTATGTTTCCTATCTTACAAGACTGACATTTACAGCTAATGTTTAGTTAATTAGTTAGATTTAATATCCTATTCATATGGTAAACAAAATTTATTGGATGTTTACAACCTTCCCACCCAGTTTGAATAACAAAAGAATGATCAATAGTAGATTAAATAATGTGGCTTGTTTGGTGTGAATTTGAGTGATTACAGTGTATATCAAAAATTTCATACTCTCTTGTGATACATTTTTGATTATTGCAGAAGACTTGAATGACTGTTAACCAGTTAGGCTTTATTTTCTTTGTATCATTAACTTGTCCACTGTGTGACTTTGTATCTTTTCAATGTACCATATTTATATGTTACCGGACCGGACCGGATGTTTGGACATTTTCAAAAGTGCCAAAGTTGCAATATTTTCTAGTTACAAATCCTCAAAAATTATCTCAAAGATTTTTAGTTCCGACTTCCTTTTTCTTTCAGTGATGACTTTAGTAGAGTCATACTTAAGGCTGCTCCGACTTTATAAATCTCTTTTGTACATTGTTTTAGTCATCCCTTTAACATTTCAACAAGTTATAAACTTTCATTCAATTCTGTGACACTCCTGAGCATGGACTAGATGCACAGCTCTGTGTTAGCCACCAAGGGATAATAAAGATTAGTAGACATCTAATGCAAAAATGTGGAGTCGTCAGAAAAGTCTGGTTTATTTTAGCAATGTTTATGGCTACTTGAATTTAAACAAGTATTTTTTTAATTTTCCTTTGATTAAGCCCCATCAAATACGAATGCTGCTGAAACCTTGTCAGTAGATGGATCTACATATTGAATTGATAGATAAAAGATTCATTCACAAGATGAAAATGAAAGCAAACCAAATAAAATCATTACCTCGGGGGAAATGCCAAAAGACATTACTGTCTTTTGTGAATTCACATCAGAGATGAGATTTTTTTTTCTTTTTTGGTTTTACAGAGTTCTAATTTCATTAAAAATCAAATTTAGTTAAGATTTATAATAAAGTATATTAAAATAAACCAAGTAACAAAACAGTGAATGCCTGACAAAAATAAATTGAATGCAAATGCCATTGATTACTCTGTGAATCTCTTTGTTTTCTGGCCCCAACATCCTTTCTGGCTGTGTCATTATTTGCTCATTCCTTTTACACATTGCTTTGACTGAATTGATTTTAATGTTAACTATTTAATGACTTGAATGGACCATTTGCCAAACATCAAATTCAGGTAAAATAGCAAGAATACTTAAATGTTTTTGTGTTTAAAATATTAATGTTTTTACAATTTGTAATACAGCCAACATTTTAAGATCATAAAAATATTATTATTCTGATTGAAAACTGCAGTCTCCTTTCCAAAAGCATTCCTAGGTTCCCTACAGAACATAACAATATTGTTTAGCTTAATGTTTTAAGTCCCTCCACCATCTGATTACTGATGTGTCTTATGCTTCTTTTGACACAGGCAGAAGACACAGGCAAAAGTGACCATTCCCTATTTTTATCAACCGCTATTTTAAATCAATATTAAAGAAACTAATCAAATGTTGAGGTTGCCAGAACTCTTCTTTTAGGTTTCCCTTATTCTCTGTTCTTTTATTATTTAAAAAAAAAATTAGTTGCCACATGCTCCCCCATTGTTGTTTTGTTTGTTTTTTAGGTTGCACATCACTTTTGGACTACTTCTAGGAGAAATAACAGGTCAATTAGTGTGGGTTCCAAACACACCATCATTTTACAAAATATATTGGTGGTAAAGAAAGAAATATTGATGACAAACACAATCAAGTAGCACACAATTCAAATATCTTACAGTGAAATTCTGGCTTCATAATAGCAATAATGTAACACATAAAGAATGTTTAATCTAACTTTTTAAATACAAGTATTTTCACTTTGGGAACTTCCCCCTTCCTACTCTGAAAGAAAAAATGTTTTTTAGTCTTTTTGCCCTTCCAGGTACTTCTCAGTATCTGTCAGGAAAATAATTAAATAGGAAGCTATTTTTCAGTATTGAAAGGAGATGAAATCTGCTTTATTTCTTTAAAAAATTGAGTTGTGTTATCTAAGGCATAGCTTTCTACACATTATAATTATGTAATGTTATATTCTTCTTTTGTCCCCTCTTTATTCTTTAAAGGGAATGTCCAATTAAAAGAGATTGCATTGATCTGATAGAAGACAAAAATATTAAAGTCAATTATATGCATATCAGAGAAAAGAACTTTTACTAAAAATCTGGGATGATTTGTATTAGAAGTCTACAAGTATTCTGAGTCTATACCATCACCCTGAAATAGAAAATAGAATAGCTATGTATTCATGGCAAATAATTTTAGAATAAACTGCAAACCAAAATAATGTGATAAATAGTTTCCTTGGGAGAATAAACACATTCTGGAACTCAAGTCATTGTGCATGGTCTAAAATGAAAAACGAAAACTACCCAGGAATGACCATCTTCCTAGTGTGGAATCGAGAATATACATCATGTATATTTTCAACTACTCTATTAACAGATTCAGCATATTCTTTCCTTTCAAGGCTTCACTCACTGTTTGCATTTAGCACCCTGCCTTTCACACTTCAGCTGTAGTACGCAAAATTTTACTCACTCTAACAGAAACAATCAGATCATTTCTCTGTGGGAGTAAAACCCACATAGATCATGTTACTTAAGTTAACACAGTATAAATGTTATAAATGTTCATCTTTCAGTTTGAATCACTATTGGAAAATCCCGGATTTTCCTGAAACCTTTTGAATCCCAGTGTGAAATAAAGCATGAGTCTATGAGTAATGTCAGAAAAAGGAACAGAGGATGGTGCCTCACTCAGGTTGGATCTGGGAGGGACTGATGTGACTTCTACAGTCAGATCCTCCTGGCTCTCTCAGTAGCTCCGTTCTGGTGGTCTAAGATGTTGGATGGGGTAGCAGGCTCCCTTTTGCATCTATACTCTTACGATTCTTTACTCTGCTAAGTATCATTGCATTCTATAACATTAACAGGTTCAAAATCTGTAAGTTACTTTACCATTTTACACAGTCACTGGCATTCTACTGAATTTCTAAGTAAGAAAAAAAATGGACTTGTTTGCCCTAGTCATCGGAATGTTTCTCAAGTGGAAAGAAAAGTACATCCATTAATCTAGTAAAGACCACAACAATATATTTATGGTCTTCATTGAAGAGCCCTTTCTGGCCAAAAATCTTGCCAATACTAATGAGAATTTTTGTACTAAAAATCTGTCTTTACAGAAAGAAGGGAGGCCTGAAACAAGAGAGCACAGTAGTAGAGAAAAACGTAAACTGTTTGCCCTCTCTTTGAGCATATTGTTTCTTTTCTGTTCGAAGACTAATTTTCAGTTACAGTTTTATTGAGATATAATTCATATAGCACAAAGTTTATCATTTAAAGTGTACAATTTAATGTTTTTTAAAAATATCCACAGATATTAGCAACCACCACCAAAGTCCATTGTGGAATATTTTCATTACCTCAAAAAGAAACCTTATACCTTTTCTTGGTCACCCTTTTACTTTTTATACCTTTATACCTATATTAGCAAAACACCACCAAAGTTCATTGTAGAATATTTTCATTGCTTCAAAAATAAACCTTATAACTTTTATCTGTCACCCCTCCATTCCCCCAGCCCTAGGCAACTATCAAATTATTTTTGTCTCCGTAGATTTTCCTCTTATGAACATCTCATATAAATGGAATTATGCAACATGTGGTCTTTTGTAACTGCCCTCTTTTGCCTAGCATGATGTTTTCAAGGTCCATCCATGTTGTAGCATGCATCAGGAGTCCATTCCCACTCTTCTTCATGGATGAATAATACTGTATTGTATGAATATACCACATTTGATTATCCCTTCATGAATTGATGGAAATTTATTTCTTCCCACAATTTAACTATTATGAATAATGTTGTTATTAACATTCATGTACAAGTTTTGAGGGGAAATTTCTTTTCATTCTCTTAGGTATACGCCTAAGAGTGGAATCAGTGAGTCAAACGGTAAATCTGTTTAACCATTTCAGAAGTGGCCAGACTGATTTTCAGAGTGACTATACCATCTTACATTCCAACCAGCTATGTATGAGCCTTCTGAATTCTCCACGTCCTCACCAACACCTGTTATTATCTAACTTTATGATTACCAGTCATTCTGTATGTGCATAGGAAGAGGTATTTCATGGTGGTTTTCATTTGCATTTCTGTGGGGGCTAATGACATTAAATTGTATACTTTAATAAGCATCTTTTCATGTGCTTATTGAATAGCTTCTTTGAAGAAATATCTGCTCAGATCCTTTGGCCATTTTTCATTAGATTATTTGTTTAACTATTACTGAGTTGAAAGTATTCTTTACATGTTTTAGATAAAAACCCCTTATTGGAAAGATAATGTATAAATATTTTCTCCCATTTATAGATCTTTTCATTTTCTTGAGGTACACCAGAAAAAAAATATATAGAATTTTGAAATTTTGAATAAATCTAACATCTATTTTCTTCTTTTGTCGTTCATGCTTTTGATGTTAAATCTGTGATTCCATTGCCAAATCCTAGGTCATAAAGTTTAAGCCTCACGTTTTCTTCTAAAAGTTGTATAGCTTTAGTTCTTAATTTAGTAATGTGGTCCATTTTGAGTTATTTTTTGTATATGATGTGAGGTAAGAGTTCAATTTCTTTGCTTTGCAAAGCGGAAATCCAGTTGTTCTATCACCACCTGCTAAAATTATAGTTCTTTCCTCGTTGAATGCTCTTGGCACACTTGTCAAAAATCAGTTAAACCATAGACACATGGGTTTATTTCTGGACTCTCAATTGTAGCTTTTTTATTTATACGTGTCTACTTTCACTGGTAGTATGCTGTCTTAATTAATATTGCTTTGTCATAAGTTTTCAAATTGAGAATTGTGATTTCTTATTTTCAGATTGGTTGGCTGTTTGAGATTGCTTGCAATTCCATATAAATTTTAGGATTAGCTTACAATTTATATTTAAAAAAAGCAAGCAAGATAGTATTTTTGTTATGGGATCTCTGGGGTGTCACTTCTCTGGCTGGAAACCTCTGTGGCTGGTGGTGCCTTTTCCTGTGTTCTTGTCCTGCATCCAGGAAGAATTAAATACGCAGACTAGTGGAGGGTGAGCAAGATAAAGAGCTTTATTGACTGTTAGAACAGCTCAGAAGAGACAGGCAATGAGTAGCTCCTCTCTGTAGCCAGGACATCCTGTTGTCTCTGCAGCTCTTAGCAGAGAGGAGACCTGGAGAGGGTATCTTCTCTATGCAGATGGTCCTCCCGATGTCTGCCCAGCTCCTAGCAGAGAGGGTTGCTCCTCTCCGCAGTTGATCCCCCCACCTCTCCGTCCTCTGCCCTGCTCTGGCTGAGTCCAGGGCTTTCATATACCTCTAAGGGGAGGGAGGAAGTGCCTGCTGACTGGCCCAGAAAAGGCACCACAAGTTTCCACTCTGGTCTGTGGGACTGAGCCTGGACCCCATCCCTCAGGCCCTCCCTGGCCTGTAGGTGAGGCCTTCCTGGGGGCCCTCCCCTTTCTGCAGAGGAGCCTGTCTGCCTCCAGCCAGGGCTGCTTGTAAGAAGGGACACCTGCAGGCCAGTGAGGAGCCACCCTCAGCCCCACCTCGCCTTTCCCTCTCAGACTGGTGGGCCCCAAATTCCTGAGGGTGCCGAGGCCTGGCATATCAGCACTGCCCTGAGCCTGCAAACACCCAGCAGGGCTGTGGCAGTGCCCAGGCTGGGCCCCAGCCCAGTTCCTAGATTGGAGGGGGCTGTGGGAGCAGAGCGAGGTCAGGCAGTCGGAGCAGACACTCCCAAGCCTGCAGCGGTGAGAACAGACACTCCGGAGCCTGCGGGACTGGGAAGTAGAGGGTGGAGGTGCGGTGCAGGGTGCACACTGCAGAGACACAGGGTTCTGCGCCTGGGAGGGGAGCTCCTGCCCAGCCTACTCATAAGACACAGGGCTCCTGCTTGTCCCCAGCTCTTGCTGGCTTACTGGAACATGCAGCCCCGGCCAGGTGCCAACAGCAGGGAGAAGCCAGGCACTTCCGAGCCTGTGAGAGCAAGGGTCTCTTCCAGGGACCCCAAGAGTGCAGGAATGCCTGAGTCTGCAGTCATGGTTTGTGGGGTTGCAGCCGGGCCCAAAGGGGCGGAGCTCCTGCCTCCTCCATGGAGTGGGAGGCCGCAGTCTGCAGTGCTGATTGGGAGGCTGCAGCTGCACCTGGATGGCAGGGATCCTGCCTGCTCCCGGCCCCCCAAGACCACAGGGAGGCTCAGATCTGTAGCCACAACTTGGACGGCTGCAGCCCTGCCCAGGACAGTGGGGATCCTGCCTGCTCCATGGAACAGGAGGCCAGGGTTTACAGCCATGGTTTGGGCAGTGTCATCACCCCAACTCGGAAGGAACAGGGCTCCCACTTGTCCGCAGCTCCCTTTGGCTTCACTGATAATGCAGCCCTAGCCATGTCTCCCTGCTGCAACCGGCCTGGTGGCCCCATCAATTTGATAGGGACTGCATTTAATATGTAGATCACTGAGGGAAGTATTAACATTCTAAAAATGTCTCAATAGATGAACATAGGAGATCCTTGCATTTATTAGTCTTCTTCAGTTTCTTTCAACAATGTTTCACAGTTTACAGTGTACAATTCTTGCTTTTTTTTTTTTTTTTTGGTTAAAGGCATTTCCAAGAAATTGTATTTTTCTATCATTGTAAATGGTATTATTCTCTTTCTTTCTTAAAATTTCAGTAGCGTTAGGAGTACAAGTGGTTTCTAATTATGTGGATGAGTTGTATTCTGGTAAGGTCGGGAGTTTTAGTGTATCCATCACCCAAGTAATGTTCATTGTACCCAACAGGTGATTTTTAATCCCTCGCCTTCCTCCCAATCTCCCCCCTTTTGAGTCTCCTATCCATTATACCACTCTGTGTGTCGTTGCATACCCATAGATTAGCTCCCACTTATAAGTGAGACCATGTGGTGTTTGGTTTTATTCCTGAGTTACGTCATTTAGAATAATGGCCTCCAGTTCCATCCAAGTTGCTGCAAAAGACATTACTTCATTCTTTTCTGGCTCAGGAGTATTTCGGGATTATTTTCATACTTTCATTTTTGGATTGTTTATTTCAAGTATGTGGAAATGCAACTGATTATTGTCTGTTAATATATCTTGCAAATTTGCTGAACTCATCAACTAGCGTTAACTCTAACAGTTTTTTAAAAATTAATTCTTTACAATTTTCTGTGTGTAAGACTATGTGTCTTTATAAATAGGAATAGTTTTACTTCTTCTTTTCCACTATTTATGCTTTTTATTTAATCCCTGTCCTAATTATCCTGGCTAGAACCAGTACAGTGTTGAATAGCAGTGGTAAAAATAACATTGTTGTCTTGTTCCTAATCTTAGGGATCTGAAGGATCTCAGGAAAGCATACAGTCTTTCACCATTAAGGATGATGTTATCTATGGGTTATCGTAGGTCTAATTAATCAGAATAACGTTCCTTCTGATTTTAGTTTGTTGAGTGTTTCTATTAAGAAATGGTTTTGGATTTTTTTCAAATGCTTATCGTCTATCCATTTAGATGATCATGTGGTTTTTCTTTTTAATACCATTGATATTGTACATTACATTAATTTGCTTTGGAATAAGTAAAACAACTTTAAATTTCTGGAATAAATTCATTTATTTATAATGTTGCATAACACTTTTTATATGTGGTTGGATTCAGTTTGCTTGTATGCTGTCCAGGATTTTTGCATCTGTTTTCATACTTAACAGTCTGTAATTTTCTTGCGATGCCTTTGTTTGGTTTTAGTATCGGGGTCAGGGTATTACTGGCCTTACAAAATAAGGTGGTACTCCCCTCTTGTAATTTTGGAAGAGTTTGAAAAGAATTTTTAATTCTTTAAACTTTTGGTAGAATTCACCAGTGAAGTCATCTGAGGCTGGCATATTCTTGTGTGGATAGATTCAGATTACTAATTCAACTTATTTATTTGTCATAGGCCCACACAAATTATTTTTGTTTTGTTTTATTTTGTTTTGTTTTGTTTTTGAGACAGAGTCTTGCTCTGTCAACCAGGCTGGAGTGCAGTGGTGCTATCTCAGCTCACTGCAACCTCCACTTCCTGGGTTCAAGCGATTCTCCTGCTTCAGTCTCCAGAGTAGCTGGGACAACAGACATGTCCCACCATGCCCGGCTAATTTTTGAATTTTTAGTAGAGACGGGGTTTTACCATGTTGGCTAGGCTGGTCTTGAACTCCTGGTCTCAGGTCATTTGCCCGCCTTGGCCTTCCAAAGTGCTGGTATTGCAGATGTGAGCCACTGCATCCGGCCCAACTTGTATTTTTAATCTGAAATCATTTTTGGTAGTTTGCATCTTTCTGGGAATTTTTCCATTTTAACAAAGTTGTGTAATTAGTTGGCATTCAAATATTCATAGTACTCTTTTACAACATTTTTTAATTTCCTTGAAGTTGGTTATAATGTTGCCTTCCTCATTTCTAATTCTAGTAACTTGAGAATTTTCTCTTCTTAATTGATCTACCTGGATAAGGTTTGTCGATTTGTTAATCTTTTTCTAAAACTCAGTTTTCAATGCAATTGATTTTCTCTATTGTTTTTCTATTATTTATTTCATTAATTCCCTCTCTAACTTTTATTCTATTATGCTTTCTGCTTGCTTTACATAGTTTTCTCTTTTTTCCCCAGTGTCCTCATCATGCAAGTGGAAAATTGATTTCAGATCTTTATTCTTTCTAAATAAAGGTATATACAGTTATTAATCTCCCTGTAATCACTGCTTTAGTTACATACTATATGTTTGAACATGTTGTTCCTTTATTTTCATTAATCTGATAGTAATTTCAAAATTTCCTTTTGGTTTCATCTTCGACTCATTGATTATTTAGGAATATGTGGTTTTATTTTCACATGTTTGTGAGTTTTCCAAATTTCTTTCTCTAATTGATATCTAATTTTATTCAGCTGTGGTTAGAGAAGACACTTCACATCATTTGTAGTTTTTAAAATCTATTGAAGTTTATTTTGGGCCAAGCACATGGTCTACCTTGTGAGTTTTCAACTTTACTGTAGAAAAACTTGTGTTCTGTTGCTCTTAGGTGGCAGGTTTCACAGACATTTATGGTGTTCTAAAGATGACCAGCTGGTTTATAATGTTGTTCAAGTCATTTATTTTCTTGTTAATCTTTACTAGATTTTTTATCCATTATTGAAATTGAGGTATTGAACTTTCCAATTATTGCTGTCAAACTGTGTCTTTACTGCTTTTTTTTTGTTTCATGTATTTTGGCACTCTGTTTTTAATTGCATATATGTTTACAATTGTTATATCCTTGTGGTAGATGTTTTTATTATTATAAAATATTCCTCTTTATCTCTCTAGAAACTTTTTAAAATTCGTTTTTAAGGCTTTTTATCTGATGTCAGTAGAGCCACTATATCTTTCTTGTGATGGCAGTTTGCATGAAATATCTTTTCCAGCTTTCACTTTCACACTATTGCATCTTTGAATCAGAAATATGTCCCTTGTAGACAGAATATGATTGATGCTTATTTTGTGTTGTTTTGCTTTAATCCTGTCTGGCAATTTGCCTTTTCATTGGATTGTTTAATGTATTCCAATTTAATATTACTGTGGATATAATTGGATTTACATCTGCCATTTTACCTTTTGTTCTCTATATGTGGCATGTCATTTTTGTTCCTCTATCCTCCTTTAATATCTTTTTTTGCTTTAAGTGAATATTTTATAATGTAACACTTTAATAATTTTAATTATTTACTCTTTCAGTGTTTACCTTAATGGTTGACCTAGGACTTGCCCCCTATATCTTTTCAGCTACATCTTTATATTCACATTCACTTAATTTCAGTGAAATATGTAAATTTTTCCCCCATATAGCTCTATTCACTTTGGGTATTATTGTTCTACAAATTATATCTATGAATATTATGCATTCAACAATACAGTTATAATTATTACTTTACATGATTTTGTCATTCAAAGAAGAAATAAGTAAGTATAATACATATTTATAGATTTCATTATTTTAATTTTCTTATATATCATTTCTGATTCTCTTCATGTGTTCCTTTACTATGAGTTACTGTCTTCAGTCTACTTGAAGTTCTTTGAGATTTTTAAATGCATAGATTAATATTTTTCAAAAAATTTGAGACATTCCAGCAATTATTTATTTTAATTTCTTTTTCTGATTCTTTATTTCTCTCTACCCACACTGATTCTCCTACTATATGTATATTAATGCACTTAAAGGTGACCAACATGTCTCTGAAGCTCTGTTAAATTTTTTTCACTAATTTCTCTGGTTTTCTGATTGCATAATTTCCATTGGTCAATATTCAAGTTCACTAAGTCTTCTGCCAGTTTATGTCTACTATTAAGGCCTTCTAGTAAATTTTTCATTTTAGTTATTTTACACTTTAACTCCAGAATATCCATTTGGTTCTTTTTATACTGTCTATCTCTTTATTGATATTCTTTATTTAATGAGATACCATTACCGTAACTTCCTTTATGTACTTTATCATTGTTTTCTTTACTTCTTCAAACAAGTTTATAATGGAAATTTTTGTTAATCCCCAAATCTGGATCACTTTCACGGGCAGCTTATGTTGCCTGTTGTTTTACCCCAGATTATGGGTCATTTTTTTCTGTTTCTGTTGTCTCATACTTTTGCATTGGAAACTGGACATTTGTGATGTTATATTGTAGCAACTCAGGGTGGTAGTCACCTCCTTCCCTTTCCCCAAGGCTTATTCTTGTTATTTGCTTTTTTGCTTGTTTAGTACGTGTTTGGGGTATTTTAGTGAATACTCTACTCAGTGCTAAGTCTCTGATGTTGCTCCTCGGGGAATGTGGCTTTGGATATTCCCACTGTCACCTTGGGATATCTGTGGTTTTGACAAAGTTGTCTTCTTTTTTCTGACTGCACCCAGTTATTAGCCTCTACTGATTACAGACTGATTGCTCTATTTTTTTGCCCAACAATGCCCTGGGATATATATTGATTCACATACCAATCCCATAAATTCTGATTTCTTTGAAGGGAAAATTCCTGAGGTCAATGTCTCGTATTTATTCTAACTCCAGAAAGTTTCTTCCTAGATATTTATTCCATATTTACCTCCAGCAAACTAGTAGGTCTATGTAGGCTTAGCCTCTGTCTACAATGAAGCTATCAATCTGGTTCCAGTTGCCTTTCTCTACATTATCCACCTTTTTTTTTTAAAGTGTACCCTTAGGATGGAAAGTCTCCATACTCTATTGCAAAAGAATGAAGCTTTTTGGAGAAGGCTTTTGAACCTTCTGTTCTACAGTATGTTCCCCTTACCCCCATGACCCTGGGCATGGCCGTACAGTTGGTATTGAGGGCAATGGCTGTGCTTCTCTGAGTGAC
This sequence comes from Homo sapiens, assembly GCF_000001405.40. Classification (NCBI taxonomy): domain Eukaryota; kingdom Metazoa; phylum Chordata; class Mammalia; order Primates; family Hominidae; genus Homo; species Homo sapiens. The sequence continues at coordinate 141,255,597 of NC_000006.12, read as the reverse complement.
ACCCTCCTTTTAGGAGTTGAGTGATTGATGGTGGAAATAACAACAGTGCCAGGTTTCTTGGTTTGTTTCTTGGTGTGAAACCTGCACCCCATAAACCAGGGCAAGTGGGAATGATGTCCTCACATTCTCAGCAGTGCCACTCCCAAGATAGAGCCTCCAAACAACATATGGGGGCTAGGTGGAAAAAAAGCGGTGCTTACCTCTCACCACACTCACCTGAAACATAGTCTGAGTAACAGATAACTGGGAACAAGATGAGAAATCCTGGTGTTCTCCCCTTGCAGAAAGATATCACTCTGACTGGGAGTTGGGTGGGGAGAGATCTCTGTGCTCTTAGTTGTAACACTGCGAAGTAGAGTTTCCATTGTGGGAGGAGGGAAAGCAAGGATCCTGGTTCAGATACCATAGAGTCTGTTAATTCTTATCAAGTTCTCATTGATTTTCTTGCATAAATACATATTTATTTACTATATATCTTTAGGGCCATTTCCAGAAAATTAGATGGCTGTAATTTTTACAGTTTTCAACAACTTCACGGAAGAATAGGTTCGTGGAGCTCCTCATGTTGTCATACTGGAAGTAGCTCCCCTGCGTCTATTTTTAAGTCTCTTTCCACTTCATCATTCTTCTCAAACTGTGATTAACATCTGAGTATTCAAGATATTCCAGAAAGTTTGGCAAGGCCATATGATAAATTTGGATTGTCTTTATACCCCTTGATTTAATGCATATATATAGGGTAAAATATTTATATTAAAGTACATATATTATTGTAATAACACATATGATTCAGATAGGTTTTAAACATAAAATCTGAGACAAAAAAAAAAAAAAAAACCTCTTGTATGAGGGTTTTCCAGAGGGACAGAACCAATAGGATACATATTTACTTTAAAGGAAGCTTATTAGGTTACTTGGTAGAACTGGCTCACAAGATTACACAGTGAAATCTTATGATAGGCAAGCTAGGGAAAGAGGGAAGCCAGTCAGTCCAAGTCAGAAAGCTTCAAAACCAGGGAAGCTAACAGTGCAGCCTTCAATCTGTGGCTGAAGGTCAGAGAGACCGCATGAAGTCACTGTTGCAAGTCCCAGAATTCAAAGGCCAAATAACCTGGAGTCTGATGTCCAGTGGAAGGGGGAGTGGAAGCAAGCATCTGGCATGGGAAGAAGAAAGAAAGAAAACCAGAAGACTCATAGGCGGGATAAGCAAACTTATCCCACCTTTTTCCACCTGCTTTGTTCTAGTTGCACTGGCAGCCGATTGGATTTTCCCCACCCACACTGAAGGTGAGTCTTCCTCTCCCAGTCCACCAACGCAAATGTCAATCTCCTCTGGCAACACCCTCAGAAACACACTAGAAACAATAAGTTACTAGCCATGTAAGCATCCCTCAGTCTGATCAAGTTGACACCTAATATTAACCATCACAACACTCTGGTAGTGGGCTACCTGAGGCAACATTTCCAGACCCTTAGCATTACTTGCAACTTCCTACAGGATGTGTATTGGGCAGATGGCAAGTGACCCACCTGTCAGTAGGCAAAGCGTAAAATTTGAAACTGAACTTGGCAAACAATACATAAAAATAAAATTACCTGTGATCTATAATATCTTCCTAAAAACTTATAAGACTTTCTTATTCTGTGTTGTATATTAAATGGTGTAATGTGCATTATGTTATGCAAAATTCAACTAAAAGATGCAGTTTTCTTTTCAAGGGCTCTGTAATTTAACAAAAGTGTGAGCAAAGTACTGAATTCTTCCATAATTTAAAATGAAATGTAGAAGAGATTAATGTAATATAAGCATACATAGTCTAACAAACAACAACAAAAACAATTGTTTAAAGATTCAGTTCTAGTTACAAAAATATTCTATTACTTCTAAGGCCTACCCTTTGCCCTCAACTTCTATAAAGATGTCCTTCTCAATAGCTCTTCATCTTTCTATATTCTTTCTTCTTTTCCCTCAAGATTTGACTATGCAACTTTTTACGCTCACATAGTTTTAACTGCATTCTTGAAGCTAATTATTCCCCAAAGAACATCTCTGTTTTGTCCTTTCTATCTCCCTTTATTCCACCAATCTAATTACATAGAACATTGTGTTCCAGAAAAATACTGACAGATCATTTTCCCAGTCGACTTCTCCAACTATTAAAATGAATCTTACCCCTCACTTTCATTTTCTCCTTCTATTGACTCTAGTGCTGAATTTAGCACAGCCTCTAAAATGAAAGTGTGCTAATGATTTCAGGGAACTATAAAACATGAAAATTACAAATATTTCAATACACTGCCAAGAGAACATAATACAGTACTCAGTGTATCACCACCTGACAAATAGTTTCAGACTTTTAGGGTTTCTTATGAAGCTAAAATTAGAGGTTTGAAGTGCTGTAATAGAATATTGTGTACATTCCTAATTTATTTTCAAGATACACAAATCATCAAGAAGAAATCTGCTTCTAAGATGCTGATTCTGAAATATGTTCCCGGTGTATTTTGAGAGAGTAGAATACTTTCCTGTTTGCCAGTTATCTTGTTATCTTTGGCGTTATATCATTCTTTGCACAAAATATATTTCCCAACCTGAGTATTGACTGCCAAATTATTTCTTGCTACAAATATACAAACAAATACAGATTCACCAGATGCTTTCTGTTGTCTTTCCTTTAATTAACTTTTTGGTAGGATTCTTATTTGGGGTTGATTTTCAAGTATGGAATTCCTACTCAAGGATTCCGGCTTATCCATGGAATAATGCTGCATTCATACCCCCACCAAACCCCAAATAAAATTTTTTAAATTCATACATTAGCATCTTGTAAATTAGTTTAAATTAGAAGTGTTCCACAGTAGTGTGATCACCCATAATATCTAGTAAATAAGTCCTTAATTGAAAAATAGCTTATAATTTTGGAATTTAGCTGAATAATTTAAAATGTCATCTACAAAGGATAAGGTAATAGGTGCTCGAGTCATACTGAAAGCTTTAAATCTGAATTCTGCCATTTGCTGGCTATATGAATTTGAAAAAAAAATTTTATACTGTATGCATCACATTCCTTATTAAAATAGGCCTAATAAAGCATGACTTTCACAGGGTTAAATGTGATAGTGCCTATAAAGATTAAATATGGGCCGGGCGTGGTGGTTCACGCCTGTAATCCTGGCACTTTGGGAGGCCGAGGCAGGTGGATCCTGAGGTCAGGAGATTGAGACCATCCTGGCTAATATGGTGAAACCCAGTCTCTACTAAAAATACAAAAAATTAGCCAGGTGTGGTGGTGGGTGCCTATAGTCCCAGCTACTCAGGAGGCTGAGGCAGGGGAATCACTGAAACCCAGGAGGCAGAGGTTGCAGTGAGCCAAGATCGTGCCACTGCACTCGAGCCTGGGCAATAGAGTGAGGTTCCGTCTCAAAAAAAAAAAAAAAAAAAGATTACATATGATAATAGTAAGAAAATGAACTTCTGCCATGTGCTGAGTTTTAGCTTTTAATAATAAAAATTTAAACTACTTTGCCATATGCTGTATATTGTTTTTAAGATTATAAGTTGACTATATCATGTTACTTTCGCAATTAAAAAAACTGTTAAGTAATATACAGTTGTGTGAAGGTTGCTTAGCTAGTAAATACATGAGCTGAGAGAGGGAACATCGAACTCAATATTACACAGCACTGAGTATAACCAAAAGCTCATATTTTAAAATAGCATTTATTGAGTGCTTAATAAGTGCGAGGGAGGGGTGTGTTTTAAGCATTTGCATTTTTAACAACTCTTTAAAAAAATCAGCTGCTCATATTCTCCATTTCCAGAAAAAAATAACTTGTTTCTTCCATCTTTCTAGTGGGTTAACTTATCCCCTAAATTATTACTTTTTTTTTTTTAGTAGGCACTATAAAAAGAGTTCCTTCACCTAATATCCTTTACAAGAGCCTGGAAGAACAGTTGATATCTGTGAGAAAGAATGAAGTTTATTGACCTTAAATACTAGGGAAAACTTTGCCATCAGCCAAATGAATATTAATAGGTGTTGAATATCTACAGATACAAAATAAGTACATAAATTTCCCTCTGTCTTTATAAAACATATGGATATCATTAAATTGAATTTTAAGTAGACTGAGATAATGTGTTGTGGACTCTTCCAAAGGAAGATTTCCAGGGACCTGAAAGGTTATTAAAATCACTTATTCTGTCTACTCAGGAGACTGAGGCAAGAGAATTGCTTGATCCTGGGAGGTAGAGGTTGCTGTGAGCCACAATCATGCCACTGCACTGCAGCCTGGATGACAGAGTGACACTCTGTCCCCCGCCAAAAAAAAGAGAGAGTTGATGTCCTTAAATACAGTCCATTTGTATGCTGGTTCTTTGCCTGAAAATTTTCTTCTCAGTCAGATCTCTAAATACCTAGCCTTTAAATATCAAAATAATTATTTTGAAATTCATTATGCTGGTGATTGTACCAATAGCTCATTCCTTTTATTTAATATGCAGTATTCCAGTTTGGATATACCATAGTTTACCCACTCACCTTCTGTTTGACATTTGGATTGCTTCCAGTTTGGGGCTTTTACAAATTAAGGTGCTCTGAATATTCGTTTAAAGTTTTTGTATGACAATATGCTTTTATTTCTATTGGGTTAGCACCTAGTAATGGAATGGCTAGATCCTATGTTAGGTATATGTTTAAGGAACCGTCAAACTATTTTCCAGAGTGTATTATCTTATATTCCCACCAGCGTTATGAGAGTTTTAGATACTCCATATCTTTGCTAGGACATATTTTTAGTTAGACATTTAAAATTTTATTTTAGTCATTCTAAGAGACTTGAAGTTCTATTTACTTATGATTTTAATTTGCCTTTCTCCAAGGAATAATGATGCTAAGCATTTTTGTGCATTTATTTTCAATCCTTGTGCATGTGTGTGTGTGTGTGTGTGTGTGCGAAGTGTTCAAATATTTTATTCACTTTTTAATTGGGTTTATTGTTACCTTATTATTGAGATTTGATAAGCCTCATACTTTCTTGATATAATTTATTTACTAGATATATGATTTGCAATTATTTTCTCCCTATAAGTGGCATGCTTATTTTTTTAGCAGTTTCTTTCAAAGAGCAGCTCTTAACTTTTATGACGTTCAGTTAACCAGTTATTTTTCTTTTATAGATCGTGCTTTTGATATTGCATCTAAAACATTTTATTCCCAGCCTGAAGTCACAAAGATATGTTCCTATTTTTTTCTTTGATAAATCTTAAATTTTATCCTTCATATTTAGGTCTAAGATTCATTTTGAGTTTTTTAATATATGATATAATACAGGATTGAAATTCATTTTTATATGGATAGCTAAGAAAAAGTTTAATGGAAAAAAAATTTTTTTTTGGTGAATTAACATTGAAATTTTTGAAAATCAGTTGACCATATGTGTTAGTCTATATCTGACCTCTATTCTCTTTCACATTGCTTTGCCTATTTTTGTTATAATAAATCAGAATCTTGATTATTTAGCTTCGTAGTAACTCTTAAAATCAGTTAGTATAATTATAGTTGTCCAGTGTCATCCTCTTCTTCAGGTTGTTTGGGCTATTTTAGATCTTTCGCATTTCCCTGTGGTTATTTGAATGAGTATGTTGATTTCTACAAAATGATTCTGCTTGAAATTTTATTAGAATTATGATGTAACCATAGATCAATTTGAAAAAAATTAACCTCTTTAATAATGTGATACATGAACACATTATGTATCTCAATTAATTTAGATATTCTTCAGTTTCTTTCAGCAATATTTTCTAGTTTTCAGTGTAAACATCTTACATGTTTTAGTATTTTTATTCTCCAGCAGATTATAGTTCTTGATATTACTATAAATCCTACTGCTGTCTTATTACTTAAGTTTTGAATTGTTCATTGCCAGTGTATAGAAATACAACTGATATTTGAATATGGGCATTTTATCATAGAACACTGCAAAAAAAAAACTAATTCGCTTATTAGTTCTTACTTGTTTTATTGATACTACCTTTATGATTATGTTACTTGTGAATAAAAAGTTACACTTCTTTTTTAATGTGAACGATTTGCATTTCTTTTGTTGTCACACTATTTAAACCTCCAAAACAATATTTACTGGAAGTGTGATGGAGGGCATCTTTGAATTATTCCTGATCTTACGGGGGAAAAACATTATGTATTTTACTTTCCATTGATGTCCACTGTAGGTTTTTCAAAGATGTATCTCATCTTTGTCCAATGTTGATGACATTTTTTTTTCAGTTTTAGATGTTGGATTTTATAAAATGCTGATTGTTTTAAGAAAACACCTATTAAGTTGACATATATATTTTTTTTAGTCTGTTAATATGGCAAATGACATTAATTACTATCTAATGTGAATGCACCCATAACACACAGAGACATAAGAAACGTTTTCCTAACATGGACATGAACAGTGTCCCTCACTCCCATTCTGCGTGACCTCAATCAAGATACAGACTAGAGGCCGGGTGCGGTGGCTCACACCTGTAATCCCAGCACTTTGGGAGGCCGAAGCGGGCAGATCACGAGGTCAGGAGATCGAGAACATCCTGGCTAACACGGTGAAACCCTGTCTCTACTAAAAACACAAAAAATTAGCCGGGTGTGGTGGCGGGTGCCTGTAGTCCTAGCTACTCAGGAGGCTGAGGCAGGAGAATGGCATGAACCCGGGAGGCGGAGCTTGCAGTGAGCCAAGATAGCGCCACTGCACTCCAGCCTGGGCAACAGAGTGAGACTCCATCTCAGAAAAAAAAAAGATGTAGACTAGATTCCTCCATCCAAGAAAAAGGTACCAACTCATTTAAATAGTAGTATAGTATTTCCACTTGAAACAGGAATGCTAAAGATTAGTAGAGTAGCTTCAAACACATGCTGACCTCAATGAACCAGCACTCTTGGTTCCCATGTAATTGTGTAGCCTCATTTGAAAAACTGAACCAGTGCCTATTGGTTTTGCTTTTGGTTTTATTCTCCACTCTCTGTGGTAGGCTTATGTATGCTTTTAACCTTCCACATATCCAAAGAAGGGGCAGAGAGAGAGAGAGACAAAAAATATGACTATATTCTCCACAGCCAAGATACATTTTGAAATACCAGAATCTCTTCTTAAATTCCTGAGATTTAGAACAGATTTTATCTGGAACAGTTTTTTATTTGTGTTTCATGTTCCTAAGTATGTTTTGTTTTATACTGTCTATTAAATGGAAGCTGCCATAGTAGAGATTGTCATAATACTTTTGTAAATGTGCCCAAAGGTTATTAAGCAATAAAACTTTCTAATAAATATAATTCATGAATATGAAAATGCTCATAAACGGTATTTAATTCTTAAGGGGAGCCACAGAAGCTCTGAAACCACGAGATGATATATCGCTTTTGGACTTTGTATAAGCTTCTCTGGTACAGCATCAAAGTTTAAAAGAATGAATACTGACTTAGAACTATAGTGCAAGTCATAAATTAGGAAAAATCATCATATCATAAGCTGTTCTGGGAAAAAATAGCATCCTCACTTGTGATCATTATTCGCTGTTGATGAGTTTGTATTGTTGGATATATTTTATCTCCTAATTTATAGGATATTTCAAATATTTGTAGGAAAAAAAGAATTGTATTATAATTTTAATTAATATTTTTACCATTCAAAAGGTTACATTTAAATAGGATAAACACAGAGGGAAATTTATTATTCATTTATGTAAATTTTCATACTACTTTATACAAAATTTCATAATTATCATTTATCATATTTTTATTATAGTCATTTATTTATGACTGTCACCCCTTCTAAACTGTAAGGACCTTGAAAGTAACACAGTGTTTCATTTAGCTCTGTAATCAGTGCCTGCATGTGAACATATGGTAATCATTTAATAAATATGCTTGTATTTTTTAAAAACTTAAATTGAGAATAAACTGGCAAAATTCCTAATAATTAAGCAGTATGCACATATCCAATAGAAACAAAATTTGTAAATAAATGGTAATGAATGCTATTGAAGAAAATCATTAATTACAGTTACTCACTGAATAAGATAGGGTTTTTTGTTTTTTTGGTCAGTGACAGGCAATATACAATGGTAATCTCATAAGGTTATAATATGGCATTTCTACTCTACCTTTTCTATAATAAGACATGTTTGGATATACAAATACCATTGTGTTACAATTGCCTACAGCATTCAGGACAGTATCATGTTGCACAAGTTTGAAGCCCAGGAGCAATAGGTTATAAGTGCATACTAGACTATATACTATCTGGGTTTGAATAAGTACACTCTATGAAGTCCATACAAGGATGCAATCACCTAAGGTCATGTTGCCCAGAACATATCGCCATCATTAAGTGACACATGAATATATATATATGTGTGTGTGTGTGTGTGTATGTGTGTGTATATGTATATGTATATGTACATATATATGTGTGTGTGTATGTATATATGTGTGTGTATATATATATGTATAAATTGAGATTTTATATTTATTGAAAGCAAGTCATATGTTGTGGTGGTTTTCTGTTTTGTTCACTTTAATGTTAAAGATGTCAAGAAAACTTCATATGCTCTAAGAAATTGGGAATCTATGAATTTCCTGGTAGAACATATATTAGTCAGGGTTCTCCATAGAAACAGAACTAATAGGATATCTGTCTATCCATAGATAGTTAGATAGAAAGAGATTAATTATAAGAATTGGCTTACACGATTATAGATGCTGAGAAGTCCCACAATCTGCTGTCTGCAAGCAGGAGACCTGGGAAAGCTGGTGGTCTCATCAAGTCTAAATGCCTGAGAATCAGAAGTGGCAGCCAATGGTGTAAATCCCAGTCCAAGGGCAGGGGAAGACTAATGTCCCAGCTCAGCAGGCAGGAAGCAAAGGGGCAAATTCCTCCTCCCTCCATCGTTTTGTTCTGTTCAGTCCTTCAATGAACTGGATGATGCCCTCTCACTTTGGAGAGGGCACTCTGCTTGGCTGAATCCAACAATTCAAATACTAATTTCATTCAGAAATGTTATCTCAGGCACACCCAGAAATAATGTTTAATCTGGGCAGCCTATGGCCCATTCAAGTTGACACATAAAATTAACCATCACAAATATTTACAAAAACGTGATTACATAGGCCTCTTTTAACTCTCTATAGAAATGTACTTATATATATAACATATATTTATACATGTATAGTACACATAAAAGTTATAAACATACCTTATACATATTATATACATATGTAACTTCAGTTTATACTTAATATTTATGTTTCAAAAGAGAGTCAATAAACACATATTGAACTCTGATCTGATTTCAAGCACTGTGCTAGGCCTTTGGGGCAAGGTTGAATAAAGGCATAGCCCTCCTCATCTCACATTCTCGGTACTAACAACACCTACCAAGGATCTTTCATATTTTGTGTAAATCATATTTTTTAATGCTACTACATACCTTTGAAACATTTTTTAGGAAGTGGCATGTTTTGATTACCAATAAACATTATGAGGTACTAAACTCTTCTCAGTTTTTGTTTAAGCTGTATTAAAATGCCTATTTAAAAGAGATTATTATAGTTCAATGAAGCTCTTTAAATACTTCATAGAATAATCATGTGTCAAAAAAGATTAGTTAGTTATGTGTTTGTCACTTGCCTAGCTGGTTTTCCTACATAATCTACAGCTGTTTTCCTGAATTAGCAGTTGCTATCACTAAGTTATAATCTTTCTTCTTCTCCTTTACCTGTCTCCTGCCCCATACAGTCAAACCACAAGTTAACAGCACATTCATCTTTTAAGAGCAATCTAAAAAGTCACTTCTACCTTGCCCAACCATCACCAGTGTTGTATCTGCACTAAGCTGGAAATAGCTCTATTCTCCAAATTCTATGGTATTCTATGAGAACATTTCACTAAGGCTTTATCTGTTTCAGTGGAGCCATGTCACACATTATTTACTAGGTGTGAGCTGCTAAGAGGAGAGAATATTTCTCACTCATCTTTGAATTCACATAATACCTAAAACAGTGCCTTACACAAGGCTGCATCTGAAAAGAAAATATTTTCTGGATTAGTACATATATTATTACAATTTAACACACTCTTGGAAGTACTCTCATTCAATCACATACAAACCATAGGATAATATCCTGTATGACTCTGAGAACACTCTCAATTGAATCAGAATTCAAGATTATTGGGATTTTGTTCATTATATCTGGCTTTGGGAATACATGATAAGTTAATTGGGTTGAGAGGGATATGAGGACTTTTACTGTCATCAACAATTGTTTTCTCAAAATAATTAATTGAGAGCTGTCTCTAAAACATATTCTAAGTAAAATATAATGAAATAAGAATAGGAAACTCTAATTTTTGACCACATACAGAAAAGTTAAGTTTATAATCTTAGACATAGTTTAGCAATTAAAAAATTAAAGTCATGTGGGATATTTTTCTGACAAATAAGTATAAATGGAAATTTAATTTCTTTGGAATAACCGACTTTCCACAATTAATGCTAATGTTTCTTCCATTTTTGGAAGACTAGTACTTGACAGGCACACAAACTGGACTTTTACTTTTATATTTCCCAAAAGAAAACGTATGTATTTTTGGATACAGAAAATAAGTACCAGATCTTGTGTATTGTAAAGTGAAAAAAAAAAAAGTTTCAATTTATTTTCTGAACCTCACTGATTACATAGAGGAAAGAAGTTAACACTTAGAGGGATACATTTTGTTCCACCTGATTGGCTAGTGGCATTACATATGATCTTACATTTAATCATTAACACCTTTAAAACAAAATACATTTTTCCTGTTTTATAAATAAATAGCTGAGTTTTTGATACTTTTCTAAGGTTGAATAGCTAGTAACAGTTGGAATTAGAACCTAAATATGTCTAACTCTATATTCCATGTTCTTTCCACTTCCAGAAACTGTGATGTGTTGGTAAATGTTTAACAGATGGCTCGTGTGGGAGGGGCTGATTTATAGCCTTGGCTGATTTTCAGGGCACAAATGCTCTTGCCTTGACGAATTTCAAGCTACCAATACCATCTTAATAAAGATGGATTGACCAAAAAATTAACTCTTGGGTGCTGGGAACAACCACCTCCAGCACACTGCTACAACAAATGATTTTGTTATGGGCAGTTATAGTATCAGGGCAAGGCCATAGAGAAGACATCAATTGTTCAAGCTGTTAATGCTGAGTCAAAATAGAAAGAAATGACATCCTAAGAGTTTGGAAAAATAAGAAATAGTGAGCAAACACCAAGGCGAAATCAAAAATTTCTAGTGGTTTTATACCAGGAAGAAAATAAGAGATTATGTATGAGAAAACCTATAAAATTATTTTTGTTATCTTCAGCCTACATTTCTCCATGTCCCATTGTGAGATTTTTAAATATTGTATGAATGCATATCCCTCAGATAACATAGTTTGTAATTGCAAAAACTGGAAACAATTTAAATGCCTATCAACAGTGGAATGCACAGATGGTAATACGTAGTAAAATATTCATATAATACCACACAGCAGTGGAAAAAAAATGAACTACCACACAAGTCAGTATGGATAAACCTCAAAAATATTAAAAGGGAACAACACAATGGGCACAAAAATACAAGCAGAGGAATTCCATTTAAATAAGTTTTTAAAATAGGTAAAACTAATCAGTGTATTTGTTTGCAATGTATATGCAGATAGTAAATTCCATTAAAATAAGTCAAAGTAATGATTAACAATCAATTCTGGGTAGTGGTTTTCTGTAAGAACAGAGATGGAAGATAGAACTTGGCTTGGGTAGACAAGACACTTTTGCATGTTGCTAATATTTTATTTCCTGATCTAATGTCTGGATATATTGTTGTTGAATTTTATTTCTTCTTTGAATTTGCTTATCTGTTCACACACATGTAAATACAATAATTTGCAATAATATTTTGAAGACTCAAGAACAATTCTAGCCACAATCCATAGAAAATGCATAAAATAATTTAAATTTATTATTTTTGCTTGTGGTATATACATAGTGTCTTGCCATGTAAGTTGAGTGAAATGCAGTACTCACTCTTTATGTACTTTAAGTACTTTATGTACTTAGGCAGTACGTAAAAGGCACTTAACAATTCTAAAATCTGATCACCTTAACACTTGAACAACATATTTATAGTTGGTATAAAAATATTGATATACCATTTTAGGAGCAGTCAAGTATAAAAATAAACCCAAATTCAAAACAGAAAAATAGATCAAGAAACAGTTATTTAAAAATCCTAAAACCTTAAGAATGTAAACATTCTAATAAAACTTAAAATATTTGGGAAATTTAGAAATTCATTTATATTAAAATCGTGCAGTATAGTAAAACTAGAAGAATTGTTGAATATATGCTGAGTTGTGTTAAATTTAACAACAGGTGTCAGTGTACTAAAAATAAAATTTTGTGCTTGTAAGACAGTAGTTTTATAATAATCATATATAGTAATATATAAAACTAAAATAGTGATAAGATAAATCAAGCAGAGAAAAACCAATATAAACATCAATGTGCATAGTAATAATTGAATATGATATTTTTATTAATGGCAAATCAACTATATATATATAAGACTCATAACAGATAATTTGAATTAGCAGAACTGGATAAAAGGTATGCATATTTTGAACTCAATTATCAATATTATTTGTTAATAAAGTTTAAAATTATTTAGTCATTTATTATTATTACTGTACATTGGATTCTGGACCTTACACAACATAGAGAGCTCACATTTAAGTAGTGACAATGTATACATTAGACGGAATTATAATATCAAAATTGAACGAATAGTATAATTGAAAAGTATTAAGTAGGGCTGTGGGTACATACAGAAGAACTTGCAAGAAAGATAATATTGCCTTGTTTTATAAAAAAATTTATATAGTATTTTTCTCATGGAACATTAAAATAACATTTTTCAAATTGTTAAGAAAATATACATTATTCCACCAAGTATCTTCACTAAAATCTACATTCTTCAATCTTTTGTATACATATTGTAACATTTTAATAACGAGGTAACCTATATTTGAGACCTACTTTATTCATCTAATATTATAAATAAAGCATTTTATGAATATCTTTGGGAAATAACTTAAAATACTCTTCATTTGAATCCATTTTAACATGTACAATTACTATTTCCAAGGACCTAGCTGTTTTTAGACCCTGTTACAGATTATTGATTTAAAAGATGTTTACCAATTCATGACATTAGAAATATGAGTGCGTCTATTAAACAGAATAAGTTTTACCTTCTGAAGAACAATTATTTCTTTGACATGCCACTGCTTTGCAGATTGATTTGTACCGTATTATCAGAGACATTGAAAATACTTTCAAAAGTATGTTGACTGATTAGATTTCTTATTTTATACAGTATTCGATTATGTTCTTTTCTAGTTTATTGGTGATTTACTTATACATCTTGTAAGATCTGCACAACAAAGAAGTTAACTAGCTTTAAAACATCTTTGCAGAGAAATAGGGAAGGAAAAATTAACCATTTTAATAAATAGACTAAACATATTGGTTCTCAAATTACTAATCAATCCCATATAATATATAACCCATCCCACATTTGTTTATTTGTGATAAGAAAATATTATTAAAACTTATGCTATAAGCATATATGAAAGGAGTTTCCTAACTCCTAACTCTTACTGTGGTTGAGACTCTTAATACAGTTTTCAGGTAACAAGGATGATAAACAGTAGAGGGTAGTGAAAAGGGAATGAAGACGAGAGAAGTGACATTACCAAAAGGCTCTATCACAATCTTAACACCAAGGACAGAATATTGCAAAAAAAAGTCACTTATGACAGTAAAATAAAATCATTCTAATATATTTGTCCCAATGCAATATTCCTGTCTTTGTTTTGTAGGCATGTATCCTCAAAAGAGAAAGAAAGTGACTTGTGAAAGAAGGAGTATTGTTCAGTAAAGCCAAATTGTGGTTGATTGCTAAGTCAGAATTTTGTACTAACATTATCCATAAAAATTGTGTTTGATTTTATTTCATGGTGAAACACATCTTTTAAAATATACATATTGTTGTATTTTTGTATTATATTAATAACAGATTAATTATTGTGAGACTTTTGTACCCATTTTGTAAAATTTTCCATTTCACTGATTTCTGGCATCAATTTATATTATTTCTTACTTTCTAGTTTCTTGGAGCTTACATTGTTCCTTTTTCTTTAGCTTTTATGGTGACAGTATAGGTAATTGATTTTAAATTTTTAGTATTTTTAATACATGCATTTAAGCTATAATATTCTTTTAATTATTTTGTAGTAGAATTTTACAGCCTTTGATAGATCATATTGTTATTAATAATCACTTCAAATTATTTATTAATTTCCATTGTAATATCTTCTTGGACCAATGAGTTACTTTGTTTCATGTAAATATTCAAACATTTACATGACAGAAATGCAATATTCTGTCCTTGGTGTTAAGATTGTGATAGAGCCTTTTGGTAATGTCACCTCTCTCATCTTCATTCCCTTTTCACTACCCTCTACTGTTTATCATCCTTGTTACCTGAAAACTGTATTAAGAAAAAAAAACATTATTTTTCTCTTTCAATAATAGAACGATAATTTAATTCATAGTTATCAGAAAACCTTTACTACATTAATTTCAAACTTTTGTTATTTTGCAGATATATTGATGACACAATAGTGCATTTTTAAAAATTTACTATATGCATTTTCTTGTTATTGATTGCAGTGTTCAATATGTCACTAGATCAAACTGGTTAATTTTCTTGTTCAAATCTAATATATAGCCAATAATTTTTTTGACAACTGGTCTGTCACTTATAGAATGAGGTGTAATAAAATTTTCAAACATTATCATGGATTTGTCTCTCCGTACTTTTCTTTTGGTCAGCTTTTTTAATATAACTGATGCCAAGTTATAAACAGTGTATAAATTTATAATTGCATAAACTTCCTTTTATACTTTTATCTTTATACTTTTATGAAATATGTCACCCATAATAGCTCCTGTATATGTTTTCCAATCATTTTATTTTGAATTTATCTGAGTTGATTTTCTTCAACTTTTGTTTTAAGTTCTGGGGTACATGTGCAGGATGTGCAGGTTTGTTATACAGGTATATACTTGCCATAGTGGTTTGTTGCACAGATTAACCCCATCACCTAGGTATTAAGCCCAGCATAGCTGTTCTTCCTGATGCTTTTCCTCCCCCTGCCCCCGTGGCCACACAGGGCTGGACAGGACCCAGTGTGTGTTGTTTCCTTTTCCATGTGTCCATGTGTTCTCATCATTCAGCTTCCACTTATAAGTGAGAACATGCAGTGTTTGGTTTTAGGTTCCTGTGTTAGTTTGTTGAGGATAATGGCTTTCATCCATGTCCCTTCAAAGGATTTGATCTTGTTCCTTTTTATGACTGCATAGTATTTCATGGTGTATATGTACCATATTTTCTTTATCCAGTCTATCATTAATGGGCATTTGGGTTGATTCCATGTCTTTGCTATTGTGAATATGCACCCAATTTTTAATACAACATCTATTAGAAATCATAGACTGAAAAATCTCAAAAATGTCTTCTTAATACACCAAAGAAGATACTAATGTAAACTGTTGATAATTCTTTACACAGTTATCTACTCTTAAATTACTAGCAAAGGAGATTCTACATATAGAAAACATCACTTATTTTCATATGTGAGAAAAAAAGAAATGATAGCAGAGCTTACAGTTATGTAAATATTATTGGCAACAAAGTGAACAAATTATCCATCTACAGATATGCTGATTATGTTGTAGTTGTGAGTATCATAATCAGAATATTGCCATTTTTTCTCATGGATAACAGAGCAAGATATAGACAAATAAACATTTTGGCAGGAAAGAAGCAAGTACATCTGGATGACAACTGTATTGTCCTGGTATTAAAATTAGTTTTCGCTATATATTTTCTGCAATTGTATGAAAATCCTTGTTTTTCCATAAAAAAGGTAAATTTCAATGAATGGCTTTCCCTAATTTTATAGCTATCCAATGGCAAAGCAACAAGCTGAAAATTGCAAAACCTAGCCAAAAACCCACGTTTGGTTCGGTTTGGTTTATGCAGTGCTAATTTATTTTTATTAATCAATTATATTGCTGATCCCAATGTGGAATATTTTCAAAATACATAAAAAATATAAATACAAAAATAAACATAATCTATTATTCCACTACCTACAGTCGTTCACTACTAACGTGTTGGTGTATTTCCTTTGAAACTTTACATATATGATTTTATACATAGTTGATAAGAACGTTTGTGTATTTTATCCATTTATTTTTAAATCTCTCTTAAAAGCCTGATATCATAATTCACTTTCTACAAAACAAAAACAAAGTTAGATTAGTTTTATGTGATATTTTTAGTGGTCTATAGTTAAGCTGAAGGAGACATTTCTAAGTAGTTCATACACTTCAATGAGTAATTGAAAATTCCTTATTCCAATTTACTTTATTAAAGTCTAGTGGTTGACACATATTTGTATCACATTCATGCATTCATAGTTATTAAATAATAGGATTGGTATTTGCTGCTGGTCACTTTGGGTAAAATAATTCTAATGTCTTTCTAACAGCATTTAATCTGTTAGGATTTTTGGAGTTTTTTGTCTGAAGTTAGGTCATAAAAACTTGTGTTCCAGTGAGTAAAGTACCTAAATTATGCATAATTACCTTAATTATTCTTTGGAAGTTAAATGTTTTAAACTTTCCTCTAGATCTACAAATTGGCATCTATGCATTTTGCTCCAATGTCTTGATGGATTACTATTCAAATAATTGATAAATAACTCATATTTTTCTGGGTAGTAGAAATATGAGTGATTTATAAACTGAAATTACAACTTGCTGCAATGTGGATCATCTCAATTCTAAATTGTGTGTGTTTCCAAATTCTTGTCTTTGAAATTTTGTGAATTATTGGATGAACCAGTGAAATTATTTTGTGATGACCCATTACATAGTACCAACCTTCATGGCACAATTTCTGGGTGAAAAAAAAAAGAGAAATAAAACAAAGTATAATAATGTTACCAATAAAAAACTAGACTATTTGGTATGAGAGCCAAATTTATTTGCTAACTAAACCCTAAAATTAGACAAAATTACTCACCTGTTCATTGGCAACTTTGGAGCAGTGCTTCCCCACCTGAAGGATGTGCCCCAATAATATTGAAGGTCTGATCTAAGAAATAACTCCTGCTTTGGGCAAATAGCTTGGTCCCAAAGAAAAACTGTGAAACTGAGCAGAATATAAGAAATCATTTTTTTCAAATAAATCAATAATATTTAATTTTTACATGTAACTTGCGGAAAGAATGATTAAAATGGAAAATGGTGGTCAGGAGTGCTACACCAATAAAAAATTGTCCACTTGGAAAGAAACAAAATGTGAAAGTAAGCATTCCCTTAGCAAAACATATAAACATACACACACATAAACATTATGTAATATGAACATGTTCCAATTGTATTAAAACTTTTAAAAAAATACCATTGTAAAAACAACATTCCATTAAAAGGATGTAATTTATAATTCACTTAACCAATTCCTCCCATAACATCAATGATTTTGGATGATAACCAGTTTAAACTGCATCTATTTCTCTCCCTAATCGTACATTTTCCAATTATATAGTAATTCTTGGCACAGTCATTCACCTGTGCCTTACAGTCACTTTCTCCTGTGTCTAGGTAGGCACTCTAGTGAAATGAAATTAAACTTTTTTTTCTGAAATAATAAAGCAGCTTGAAATTATGCACTCCTCAATTTCATAATCTTTTAAATCTAAGCCCATTACATTTTTATCTGTTTTTAACATACTACTTATGTATTCTTTTGAGAAAGCATCCTGATGCTCACTTCAGTTACTTATGATTTAAATTTGCATACTGTCTTTCTTCTGAAAAGCTTATGGTGTTGAATAAAAACACTCTCAACTTTCATTAAACATCTGTCACAATCCATTGCTAAAACGCAGCAGGAAGCTTTACAACAATGACTAAAGAAATACGTTGAAAAAACTACATAAATGGTAATAAGAAATTTGTTATACCATCATTCAGATCCCTCTGATCTAGCTGCAAAATAATTTTGAACTTTATGTTAAATGTATTCCTTACATATAATTCATTTTCTAGAGAAATTTAAATAGGTGATTCTGAATATCACGTGTAATTTCTTACATCAGCAAATTCAACCCTTTGTGTAAAATTCTTACATATTTATATTCTTACGTCCATCAGTGGAGACTATGCCATTCATTTCTCAGTGCTGAAAGTAAAAAGTGAGTTGGCTGGGCAGTGGCAGTGGGGGCATAGTGTTTAAGTCTCTATTTCCATAAGCAGATATTGAGGAATTTGGGTAAAAATGAGATAGCCATGAACAGTTACAAAAATTGAGTGAAAAGTATCCATCAAAAGAAGGAAACCTGTATGGTAATAACTATTTGGGAGGACCTAAAAGAAAATCCAAGTGATTTACAGTTCTGACAGTAAGAGAACTCTGAAATATTAGCTGCTACCAAACTGAGAGGTCATGGATCTAATTTCAACAGAATAATCTGGCAACACAGCCAAATCCAGGTCAGGGTTTACCAAGCTCCCATTTATGGAAAAAAACAAGAAGACTACGGAAAGGTTGAAAAATGTTAGAATGTTCTGTAACCAAAGGACTTTCGAATTAGTCAAATGAGGTACCTTTTTAGAATAAAAATTAGCACTGAGAAGAAATTGTTCAGAGTAGAAGTTCCATCTATAATATGGACTCATTGGTCAGAGGAAGAGATGTGTCATAAGATAAAGAAGAATACTGTGCTGGATAAGAATAAAGCCCAGAAAGCACAAAAAAATTTTAAGATAATAATTAAAAACAAGATAATGTAATTTAGAAGTGTAATCAAAGTATAAATAAAATCACATCTACTACAATTAAAAAAACTTAGAAGTTAGTTTGTTTTAAAAAGGGGGAAACTTAAGAGCTGATAGTACTCAGGGAAGAGTCAGAAATGACAAAAGGATTGATTTTGACATTGAATGTTAAACTAGAAAACCCAGGAGAGTAAATAAATGCCACAGATATTATTATTTCTTTAATAAGCTTACGATTTTCTTTTTTTTCTTTTTTTCTTTTATTATTGTTATACTTTAAGTTTTAGGGTACATGTGCACAATGTGCAGATTAGTTACACATGTATACATGTGCCATGCTGGTGTGCTGCACCCATTAACTCATCATTTAGCATTAGGTATATCTCCTAATGCTATCCCTCCCCCCTCCCCCCACCCCACAACAGTCCCCAGAGGGTGATGTTCCCTTTCCTGTGTCCCTGTGTTCTCATTGTTCAATTCCCACCTATAAGTGAGAACATGCGGTGTTTGGTTTTTTGTCCTTGAGATAGTTTACTAAGAATGATGATTTCCAATTTCATCCATGTCCCTACAAAGGACATGAACTCATCATTTTTTATAGCTGCATAGTATTCCATGGTGTATATGTGCCACATTTTCTTAATCCAGTCTATCATTGTTGGACATTTGGGTTGGTTCCAAGTCTTTGCTATTGTGAATAGTGCTGCAATAAACATACGTGTGCATGTGTCTTTATAGCAGCATGATTTAGAGTCCTTTGGGTATATACCCAGTAATGGGATGGCTGGGTCAAATGGTATTTCTAGTTCTAGATCCCTGAGGAATCGCCACACTGACTTCCACAAGGGTTGAACTATTTTACAGTCCCACCAACAGTGTAAAAGTGTTCCTATTTTTCCACATCCTCTCCAGCACCTGCTGTTTCCTGACTTTTTAGTGATTGCCATTCTAACTGGTGTGAGATGGTATCTCATTGTGGTTTTGATTTGCATTTCTCTGATGGCCAGTGATGGTGAGCATTTTTTCATGTGTTTTTTGGCTGCATAAATGTCTTCTTTTGAGAAGTGTCTGTTCATGTCCTTCGCCCACTTTTTGATGGGGTTGTTTGTTTTTTTCTTGTCAATTTGTTTGAGTTCATTGTAGATTCTGGATATTAGCCCTTTGTCAGATGAGTAGGTTGTGAAAATTTTCTCCCATTTTGTAGGTTGCCTGTTGACTCTGATGGTAGTTTCTTTTGCTGTGCAGAAGCTCTTTAGTTTAATTAGATCCCATTTGTCAATTTTGTCTTTTGTTGCCATTGCTTTTGGTGTTTTAGACATGAAGTCCTTGCCCATGCCTATGTCCTGAATGGTAATACCTAGGTTTTCTTCTAGGGTTTTTATGGTTTTAGGTCTAACGTTTAAGTCTTTAATCCATCTTGAATTAATTTTTGTATAAGGTGTAAGGAAGGGATCCAGTTTCAGCTTTCTACATATGGCTAGCCAGTTTTCCCAGCACCATTTATTAAATAGGGAATCCTTTCCCCATTGCTTGTTTTTCTCAGGTTTGTCAAAGATCAGATAGTTGTAGATATTATGAAATAAATAAGAGATGGAAAGCAGAAAAAATAAAATGAAGATATTTTTAAAAGGATATTGTAAAAGGTGATGGTCAAAGAATATTGTCAATAAAAGACCAATCTCTATCTCCAGTTATAGAGATAACTGCGAAAAGCACTGGAGCAGGAAAAAATGTTAAAATGTATAATTAATGTATATACTCTGAAATAAAATATGACTCCAACCTATGTATTAGGATGGCAAGCACACAAAAGGAAAAATATCCCAGAATTGGGAAAACCAAAATGTGTTCTAGTAATTCTGTTAAACTCTAAAGTAATACTTGGACCGAAAAAAAAGGATATATCCATTTATAAAGATTAGCATCAGACGTGTACATGACAAAGATAAAGAGACTGAATCATATGGTAAGTGTTTCTCTCTCTGATACAATTTGGACTCTGGTAATCACCTGTTAGAAGCAAAAAAAAAAACAACAACAAAACACGGTTTGTCTAACGAAACAATGCAATACTATGCTGTGAGGAAGAGAACCCTTTAAAGATGTTCAGAAACATTAAAGGGCAGAAAGAACCAATACATAATAGGCAAATTGAAATAAGGGAAATGCATTCAAACTGCTAAACCCAGAAATATGACAGTCAGATATATGCTCAACCGACATGTGCATCAAAAAACATACGCAAGATTGACCATGGAATATTGAGCATTGTAATGCTCAATTGAAAACTATTTGTGATAGGAAAAATTTCAAAACAACCAATATTTCTGAAAACATTGTAATGATTAAAAATGTGATGTATTTTCAGAACAGAATACTATAAGCGAATGATAATAAACAAATTATTGCTACACACATAAATAGAATTAGACTCTTATAATATTAAGGCAAAATGGCCGACACAGGACTATACACTGTACATTTCAACTTATATAAAATTCAAAAAATGCAAACCAAGATTATGATGATAAAATTCCAGAAAGCATTTAGATTTTAAGAGGGATGATGACTGGATGTATACACAAACGGTGGTGGTGAGGGGTGGTGGGGGCGCTTTTTGTTGCTGGCATTGTTCTTTTTTGAATTGAATTTGTTTACATGCTAAAATTTACTTTCTGGAAATTCTTTGAGGTAGAACAATCTGAGCATGTTTTCAGTTTATACGGTTTATTTAGTCAAAAGTTTTATTTATTGACACTCAGCTATTATGAGCATAAGATATAATTTTAGACATTAGACGTCTCCATTCTCATACACCAATGGCATCAGAGTATAAGGTTGAATGTGTGTGTGTGTGTGTGTGTGTGTGTGTGTGTGCCTGTGTGTGTATTTTGTTGGGCTTATACATGTAAGATTAAGAAATGTAAGGAATGAAAAGGGTTTCTATCCACTGCTCCCTTGAACTATATATGGTTTAGTGATACAAGTTCAGTACGAATTAAATAAATACCCCAAGTCAGGTAAAAGGGTCTAATATGTGTTTGATATTAGGAAATAATGATTTTAAAGGTTCTTTTACTTTTTATTAAGTACAATGTTAGCATACACTAAGATAGAAAAATGCTAATAAATTTTATGTGCTCATCATCCTTCATCAAGAATTAACAGTTTACCAGTCTTATTTCATCTGGGACCCCTACATTTGTAAGTATTTAGGATAAATTACTATAAATTATTTGAATAAATATTTCAGAATTCATATGTGCTATATTTTATTTTAGATAAATATCATGATATGTATTGTTTAACACATTAACAATAAACTCTTAATATTATTTAATACTGACCAGGCTTAGTGGCTCAGGCATGTAATCCCAACACTTTGGGAGGCCAAGGTGGGAGAAAAGCTTGAGTCCAGGAGGTCAAGATAAGCCTGGGCAAAATAGCGAGACCTCATTGCTACAAAAAAAAATTTAAGTAGCCAAGCGTGGTAATGCACACTTGCAGCCCTAGCTGGTTGGGAGAGCTTGCTTGAGCCCGAGTTTGAGGCTGCAGTGAGCTGTGGTCACGTCACTGTGTTCAGCCCAGGTGACAGAGCAAGACCTTTCCTCAAAAATAAAATGTATAAATTTTTTAAAAAGTTAAATACTTAGAATATATTCAAGTTTTAACAATAGTCTCAAAACAGTATATTTATAGTTGATTTGTTTCAGTTAGGATGCAAAAAAATGGTTGTTTGGGCTCTGTTGTTTTTGTTGTTTTTTTCTGTAACAGTCCCATTCATCTCTTTAGCATATTTTCGCCATTGATATTCACAGAGAAACTAAGACATTTGTTCTGTAAAATGTACCAAATCCTGGATTCAGCCAAATACTCCATTGTGACTTAAT
Source organism: Homo sapiens (assembly GCF_000001405.40). Lineage (NCBI taxonomy): Eukaryota > Metazoa > Chordata > Mammalia > Primates > Hominidae > Homo > Homo sapiens. The sequence goes on along the minus strand of NC_000006.12, from coordinate 141,232,702 downwards.
TTTTATTTTATTCTATATATTTCCTGTTTATTGACATGTATATAAATATTCGATTAAATTCAGGTTTAAATTTTTAGGCAAAAGGGCTTCATAGATTTTTCTATAACATTTTTATTACAACACGTTGTAGAACACATAACATGTATTTCTCCGCTATTATTGATGCCAAGATTAATCAGTAAGTCCAGGTATTATCAATATGATCATTATTCAATACACCTTCAACTTTTCATGTCACTATTTTAATACTCAGTACTAATGACTCATTTACCTATTAGAATAGCTAAGCTAAAATTCTTCTATAATGAAAAAAGATCGTTTACTGAGTTTTCTTGCTTACATTGAAAAAATTTTCTTCAGGAAAGCCATTTGAGTTGTTTCTTTTTTTAAAAAATGTCAATACTCAGATTATTGAGTTGATCTACTAACAGATTTTGAGATCGATTATGATCATGGGGGTGGGTGTAAATATGAATTCATTGATTTTTTAAAAAGTTATTCTTTATTTTAAAATTATTTTAGACTCACATGCACTTATAAGAACCAACACAGAAAGATCGCATATACTTAGAATCCCTCATTGGTAGCAATTTGAAAAACTGGAATAGAGTATTACATTCAGAAGAATGACATTGCTACAATCTACTCATTTTATTCACATTTTCCAGTTTTACTTAAAGCTGAGTTTGTGTGTTAGTTTCAATCATTTTGGTCACATATGTACATTTGTGTATCCACCATCACATTAAAGATAAGGAACAGTTGTATCACCACATGGATTCTCAGACTGCCCTCTTGTCAGCATAGTTACATTCCCTGTTCCTCCCTCTCCCTAAACCCTGGCAACCACTAAGTGGCTTTCTATGTCTAAAATTTTATCTTTAAAAAAAAATTATTTAAATAGAATCATATAGTATGTAATCTTTGGGATTGCTTTTTTCCCCCACACAGCATATTCCCTAAAAATACATTCAAAGTGTTGTATGTATCAATAATTCCTTCTTTGTATTGCTGAGTCATATTCCATGGTATACATGTACCACAGCATGTTTAATTAGTATATTGAAGGATAGCCGTGGTACTTCCAGGTTTGGGCTATTAGTTGACTATTAATAAAAATGCAATAAATACTCATATAGAGATTTGTAATGTAAACTTAAGTTTTCAATTCTCTGGGATGAACGCTTGAGTGTCATCCTATGGTAATTCCGTATTTAGTTTTATAAGAAACTGCCAAACTGTTTTCCAGAATGGCTATATCATTTTATATTTCCACCAGGCATTGATGAATGATCTGGTTTCTCTGCAATCTCACTAGCATTTGGTGCTGTCATTATTTTTTATTTTATCCATTCCGTTAAATATATAAATACATCTTGTTTTGATTTTACTTAATGAATTAAGTATATTTTCATGTGCTTAGTCACAACATGTGGATTTTCTTTGATGAAATGTCTGTTTATTTTCCCATTTTAAGTTGAATTTTTAATGAAGAATTTTAATAGTTCTTATACTGTAGATACTATTTCTTTGTCAGATATGTGGTTTGCAACCATTTTCTCCCAGTTTGTAGTTTGTCTTTTTTTCCCTCTTCACAGGTTCTTTCACAGAGCAATAGGTTTTCTTCTTTTTAATTTTTTTGTTTGTTAGTTTGGTTATACACCCAGGTATATGAAGGCGTAATTGACAAAAATTACATGTATTTATGGTATATAGCCTGATGTTTTGATATATGTTTACATTGCGAAGTGATTAAATCAAGCTAATTAACATATCTAGGCTGGGCGCAGTGGCTCACGCTTCCAATCCCAGCACTTTGGTCGGATCACAAGGTCAGGGGATCGAGACCATCCTGGCTAACACGGTGAAACCCCGTCACTACTAAAAATATAAAAAATTAGCCGGGCGTGGTGGTGGGGTCCTGTAGTCCCAGCTACTCGGGAGGCTGAGGCAGGAGAATGGCTTGAACCCGGGAGGCGGAGCTTGCAGTGAGCCGAGATTGCGCCACTGCACTCCAACCTGGGCAACACAGCAAGACTCCGTCTAAAAAAAAAAAAAATCTATCACATCACGTATGTTTTATGTGATGAGAACATTTAAGACCTACTCTCTTAGCAATTTTCAAACATACAAAACATTATTATCAACTATGTCATCATGCTGTGCAATACTCTCCAGAACTTATTAATCCTAATAGTTTTTAATTTTGATGGTGTCCACTTAACTAATTTTTCTTGTAGTGGATTGTGTTTTTGGTGTCAAGTCTAAAACCTCTGCCTAGTCCTTGATATAGAAGGTTTTCTCCTATTTTTTTAAGATTTTTGTAGTTTTCTATTTGACAATTTAATTCCCTAATCTATCCTGAGTTGATTTTTGAATGAAGTGAGACTTAAATTGAGGTTTGTTTTATTTTATTTTGCCTATGGCTGTGCAATTATTTTAGCATCATTTATTGAAAAGGATATCCATACTCATATAATTGCTTTTGCTCCTTTGTAAAAAATCAATCAGACATATTTATATGGGTCTATTTTCGAGTTATCTATTCTGCTCTATTGATCTATATGTCTATCTATCAATATGGCACTATAATTATAACGATAGGTATAAAGTAAGTACTAAAGTTAGATGGAGTCATTCTTTTACTTTATTCTATTTATCAAGATTGTTTTAGCTATTCTGAGGTTTCTTTCTTTCTATATAAAATTTAAAACAAGTTGTTTTTAATGTCTACAAAAGTAACATAGTGGGATTTTGATAGGAATTTTGTTAAGCTTATAGATTAATTTGAGAATAATTAAAATATTTATTAAGCTGACTCTTCCGATTCATGCAAATGGTATATCTCTTTATTTGCTTAAGACTTATTTAATTTCAGTCATCTATTCTGTAATTTTCAGCATATACAACCTGTACATATTTTGCTAAGTGTATATCTGACAAGAATTTTAAAGTAACTGTCATAACAAGTATTCAAAAACAAATCATACTAAATTAAATAAAATATTTAATATTATATTCAGTGAAAAATAGAACTGGTAAAAAGGAACCAAATGCAAATCATAGAACCTAAAAATACAACAAACACAAAAAAACTTTTAAAAGCTTACTGGATGCATTCAACAGTAGAGTAGAAGTTACTAAGAATATAATTAGTTTGCAGGAGACTGGATCAATAGAGTTTACTCAATGTGAGCATAGAGAGAAAAACAGATTGCAAGAAAAATAAACACAGCCTCAGTCTCAGAGATTTGTTAGGCAGCTACCAAAAATTCCAACATTCATATAACTGGAGTCCCAAAATAGCAAAGAAAGAGACTGGAGTAAAAAAGTACTCAATGAAACAATGGCAGAAATATTCCCCAATTTAGTAAAAAGGCATAAATCTATAGGTTCAAGAAAATGAACAAACCCCAAAGAGAATAAACTAAAAAAAAATCCATGCCAAGACAGATTATAATTAATCTTCTGAGAACTCAAAACGGGGACCAAAATTTGAAAGCATTCAGAGAGAGATGATGCATTACTTACAGAGGCACATCAATTTGAGTAGCAACCAATTTCTCAACAACAATCAGGTGGCCAAATGGGAATGGCACATTATTCAAGTGCTGAAAAAATGAACTATTAACAGCAAATTCTGTATGCATTGAAATTATCCTTCAGGAATGAAGGGAAATGACATTTTCACTCTAAGGAAACATATATCACTAGCAGACATACTACCACAAAATATTAAATTATGGTTTTTAACCAGAAAGGAAATAATACAAGAAAGAAGCATGGAGCATCAGGAAGAAACAGAAAAAAAAACAGAAAAGAATAAATATTGGTAAATACAATAAGCAGACTTGTCATGAGTTTTCTTAATTAAATGTAGGATTAAAACGAAATGTATAGCACCAACTGATATTCAAGATCATAATATTTTAAAGTGGAGAGGGCAAAGGGAAATAATGTGTCCAATTTCATTTGAAGTATGAAAATGTTAGTACGAGTGGACTCTGATAAGTCAGTGACATATGCACATAGTGATACTCAGAACAATCCCTCTTAAAACTGTACAAGGTGATGCATTTAAACACAAAAATAAGTCAAGATGAAACCCTGAAAGATGGTCAAGTGACTCATGAGAATGCAAGAAAAGAGAAACAGAGGAATGAGATAATTAAACCCTACTGTAAACCCTAACATAATAATTATCAATAATTACCTTAAAAGTAAATGGTTCAATTATTTGTTGTAATACAACAATACAAAGTGTAGCATAGGGAAAGGCAAAGTAGATAAAATAATAATAAAAATAAATCCCACACCTCAACTACATAAGCAACTCATTTCAATTTCAACACAATAGGTAGTTTGAAAATAGAGATAGAAAAATATACCCCATGCAAACATTTATCAAAAAAACACAAGTGACTGAGTACACTAACATCAGAGAAAATATACTTGAGAGCAAAGAACATTACCAGTAGCAGACAGGAACATACATACTGATAACAAGATCAATCCACAAAGATATAATTGTTCTAAATGTGTACACACAAAACAAAAGAACCCCAAAATATAAGAATCAAAAACTTTGTGCTACTACATGACTACAAAATTTAGAAGTAAAAATATTACTATTAAAAATTAAAACCACTGTACATATCTTTAGATTTTATTATAATGCTGTTTTTCCATATAAAAATATAAGAATATAGTACAAACTGTAGTACTATTTTTCACTTCACATACATTTTTCCCTGGGTATGTTTGTAACACATTGATATATAATTAGATTTATTTGTGTTAAAACATATTCAGACTTCAGAGATTGCTAGCTTTTGTCTTGATTTATTTATATTTAATCAAGTTTGAGATTACAATCAACCTGTAGATTGACAATTTCTCATTATCAATTTTTTCAGTACATGAACATGGCATATCTCTTATTTAATTTGTCATTAGTCGTTAATATTTTGGTTTTTTAAAATAAACCTTATGCATTCTATATTTTTCAGTTTATTTCTATTTCAAGAGTTTAGATTCCATTTCTAGTGGTATTAGTTTTTAAATCCTTATATGTTCATTGCAGATATATAGAAATGGAATTGATCATTGTATAGTAATCTTTATTCATTGACTGATAGATTCACTTACTTTTTTCAATATTTTTTCTGTATTTTATTTTAGATTGTTTCAGTTATAATTTTGTCAATAAATAATGGAAATTTTACTTCTTTTTTACAACATTTTTATTAGTTTGTATGGTTTTATTTTTAATCTGTCATCGCACTAATATAGAAATGTCATAAAATATGAGTAGAAGTGGTGACCATGGGCATTGTTCATCATTCCAGACAGAAAGAAACTTTCAATAATTCCCCGTTATATATGTTTTTTTGCTGTGGTTTCTGGTAGTCTTTATAAAATAAATTCCTTTCTATTTCTGGTTTACAATTACATTTTATCTCAAATAAATGTTGAGATTTATCAAATATTTTTTCATATCTATTCATATGAATACATGCTTAATTCCTTTTTATTGTAATAATGAGTTATATTAAAATTTTTAAAGCTAAACAAACATACTCTACTGGAATAAACCCATATTGGACACTACGTGGTAACTTAACATGGCAGAATTTGATTCCATAATATTCTGTTCAGGAGTTTGACATCTCAATTACTGATGAAAATTGCCATGTAAATATGGTTGTCTGTTAAATCTTTGTCAGGTGTATTTACACAGGTATTATGGGTTGAATTGTGTCTCCCTCAATTTCATAGGTTGAATTCCACACCCCTAGTATCTAAGATTGTGGCTGTATTTAAAGATAGAGTCTCTAAATCAGTAATTAATTTAAAATATTGTCATTGGGTTGGCCCGAATCAAGTATGACTAATGTCCTTATAAGAAGAGGAAATTAACACAGACACACACAGAGGAAAGACCAAAAACCGTATAAAGAGAAAGGGAGAAAACAACCATTCTACAAGCCAAGGAAAGAGTGCTCAGAAGAAACCAACCCTGATGGTACCTTAATCTTGTACTTCTGTTTCCAGAATTGTAAAAAATAAATTTATGTTGTTTAAGCCACATAGTCTGTGACATTTTGTTATGGCAGCCCTAAGAAACTAATACAGCAAGTTCGTGCGAACTCCTAAAACGTGTTATAAAATGTCTTTAATATGGTTTTTCTGTTCCCCCCCAACACACACACACAAATCTCATCTTTAATTGTAGCTCCCATAATTCCCACGTGTCTTGGGTGAGACCTAGCAGGAGATTATTGAATCATGGGGGTGGGTTTTCCCATGCTGTTCTTGTGAGAGTAAATAATTCCCGCAAGATCTGATGGTTTTATAAAGGGCAGTTCCCCTGCACACCCTCTCTTGCCTGCCACCATGTAAGATGTGCCTCTGCTCCTCCTTCACTTTCTGCCATGATTGTGAGGCCTCCCCAGCCATGTAGAAGTGTGACTCCATTAAATCTCTTTTTCTTTATAAATTACCCAGTCTTGGGTATTTCTTCATAGCAGTATGAAAATGGATTAATACAGTCTTTTTTGTTTTTGTTTCTTTCTTTTTAAATTTTCTCTAAGAGTGGGTATTATAATCTCTTGATTGTGTCTTTTGAGGTGTTTCATTTCTTCTTGTGTTTAGTTTAATAAATTGTGTTTTTCATGGAATTTGTTCATTTTATCTAAGTACTAGAATTTACTTGCATAAAATTGTTTCAAATTGCCATTTGCTTGTCCTTATGTGTGTGAAGATCTGTAGTGATGCTCATCATTTATTATTAATTTTGGTAAATTTGTGTTTTCTCTCTTGTTTATCTGATTGGTCAGTTATATTGGACTTTTCTTAAATGAACCAGCCTTTAATTTAAAAAAAATTATATTATTAATCTGTCTTCTATTTTATTGTTTTCTATTGTTATCTTACTATATCCTCTATTTGTTTATGTTAGGTATAGTTGGGTTTTTTTTTTTTTTTTGGTTTCTTAATGTCAGAGCTTGTATCTTTGATTTTAAATTTTTCAATTTAAATCAGCACAGAAAAATATAACATTTCCTACAACTACTACTTGTACTGCACCTCTTATATTTTGAAAATTTGCTTTTTCATTATTGTACAGTTTAAACATGTTCTTATGTCACTGTTGAAACAAACATGTATTTGTTGATATTAATTTTCTAATATTTAGATATTTGAAATTCCACTAGCATTTTAGGTAAAATATTTAAGTGTGAACTAAGCCAATTGTAAATTGAGATTCAGGAAGAGATATTAAAAGATTGATTTGGATTGAAGAATAAATGAACGAGTATGGCGGGATCTAGGGTGATCTTAAACTTGTTCAAGGAAGTGTAATAGAGAATGAAAGGTTTGTAACGGTACAGAGATGGGTTAAAAGAAAAGATTCTTATTGTACTGAGTGCTGCCAATAATTCAAAAATAAAAACCTCGTTTAAATGAAACTACAGGCAATTAAGTAATGGATTGCTAAACAACTAGGCACTAATTGTATACTCAAGAATATTGGTCAAACATAAATATATGGTATCAACTGCAATCTGGGGGAAATGACATCCATCAGTAGAGATTCTGTTTTGTCTAAGTTAGCAAGTCATATACAGACCATTTTATAATAGTGTAAAAAATATCAAAATATGTGTATATAGCAAATCCTTTTCTATGTCTTGTATACTCCTATGCATTACAATTACACTCCTTACTATACAAATTTTTTTATATATGATGAAAACAGAAATTAATGACATTGAATTCTATTTTGAAGCGAACTATTATATATCTATAATGCAGGCTTTTTTCTCTGCAATTGTCCTATCTTTAAGGAAATGTGTTGCTCATATTTATATTAGCTCAATATTATGCCTTGTGGCAAAAAGTGCTAATGAAACACAGCCACATATAATATTTTTACTTATTTGAAAACAATTTTCTTGAGGCTGTGTGGACACATTGAAATTAACCTTATTTAAAATCCAGTATTATGCTTTGAAAATAAATTTAAAGCCTCAGTTCTTATACCAAATTATCTTTTGTATATATAGGTTATATAACTTTAATTACAGTTATTATTTTGTTTTCTGCTGCTGACCAAAGCAGAAATGTAATTCTTATGTTTTCAAAGACACATAAAATGGAACATATGTTTGATCACTTATTCAAATACTGTTATATGGGAAATGATTACTTATTAAATCTAGGGAGAAAATTCATTTTAATTTCTCTTCAACATAGGTCACTCATAACCAGTTATTACCTTTTTTCTTCACATTCATTTTTATGCAGTTTTTCTTACCATTTGCTTTCTCAACTCGAAGCCTTCTGCTTGTAGACACAAACACATGTCCTCACATAAACACAGACATGAACGCACAGAAAACAGACTGATTGTGGAAACTTAAATAAATGGAGGTATATTCAACAGGAGCCATGTGAGGTCCATTTTTATTGGCATTTCTCTCAAGAAAAAATAAAGTGGTATACTTCTCATATAGTCAAATACTTTTAATTCTGAAAAAAGGAAGCAAATTTTCTTTTGGCCATTAAAAATACATTATTTTCCTAGATTTTATTATAGTAAAATATACATATCATAAACTGTATCATGTTAACTGTTCTCAAGTGTACAATTCAGTGGTGTTAAATATATTCTTTTTCCTCAGCCTCCCGTGTAGCTGGGACTACAGGCGCGCGCCACCATGCCCGGCTAATTTTTGTATTTTTAGTAGAGACGGGGTTTCACCGTGTTAGCCAGGATGGTCTCGATCTCCTGACCTCGTGATCCGCCCGTCTCGGCCTCCCAAAGTAAATATATTCTTACTGTGCGACCATCACTACCATTCATCTCTATAAGTCTTTTAATCTTATAAAACCAAAACTCTATACTCCCTAATTTTCCTTCTCCCTAGCCTCTGAAAACTATAATCAACTTTCTGTCTCTATGATTTACCTCACATATGTGGACTCACACAGTATTTATAACAGGCTTATTTCACTTAGGTGACCTTAAGGTTCATCCTTGTTGTAACATAGGTCAAAATTTGCTTCTTTTTTAAGGCTGAATAGTGTTCCATTGTATGTACATACTACATTTTGCTTTTCCATTAATCCATCAATAGACACTTGGTTTGGTTCCATCTTTTGGCTGCTGTGAATAATGCTGCTATAGATAATTAGGTGTACAAATATCTCTTCAAGATCTTTCTTTCAACTCTTTTGGGCATATGCTCAGAAGTGAAATTGCTGAATTCTATGGTAATTATATTTATTATTAATTTTTTGAGAAAACACCATACTGGTTTTCATATTGAGCGTACCATTTTGAATTTCCCCAAGTATTGCAGTTTTTCAATGTTTTCATCAACAGTTTTTATTTTCTGGTTTGTTTGATAGTACCCATCCTGATGCTTACAAAGTGGTATTTCATTGTAGTTTTGATCTGTATTTTCCTAATAGTTAGTGATGTTGAGTATCTTTTCATGTACTTATTGGACATTTGCGTTATCTTGCTTTGAGAAATGCCTATTCAAGTTTTTTGCCAGTTTTGGAATTGGGTTGTTTGCTTTTGTTGTTGTAGAGTTTTATAAGTTCTCTATATATTCTGGATATTAATTCCATATCAGAAAATATTTTTCCCATTCATCTAATGGACAGAGATAATTTTACTTTTTCCTTTCCAATTTGAATGCAATTTTGGTTATTTTTGTTGCCTGATGTCTCTGACTAGAACTTCTAGTGCTTCGAAGTGATTAAAGTGAGCAGCCTTGTCTTGTTCCCTCTTAGAGAAAAAGTTGTTAGACATTCCTCATTGAGTATGATGCTCCCTGCATGTTTTTCTATATGGCTTTATTACTTGAGGTAGTTTCCTTCTAAAAATAGTTTGTTGAGTACTTTTCCCATGTCAGGATGTTGAATTTTGTCAAATGACTTTTTCTGCCTCAATCAAGATAATTATGTGTTTTTTTCTTTCATTTATTTTGTTTATGTGTTGCTACATTTATAGATTTTCGTAAGTTGAACCATTCTTGCATTCCCAGAATAAATCCTCCTTGGTCATTGTGTATAATCCTTTTAATATTCTGCTGAACTCCAGTTTGATATTACTCTTTTGAGGAATTTTGCATGTATATTTTTAAAGAGATAATGGTATAGTTTTCTTATAGTGACATTGATTTTGGTAGCAGGGTGCTATGGTTTGGCTCTGTGTCCCCAACCAAATCTCATCTCAAATTTTAATCTCCACATGTGGAGGGAAGAACATGTTGAGAGGTGATTAGGTCATGGGGGCAGATTCCTCCACGCTGTTCTCTTTATAGTGAGGGAGTTCTCATGAGACCTGATGGTTTTAAAAGTGGCAGTTTTCCCTGTGCTCTCTCTCTGTCTGCTGCCTTGTGAAGAAGGTATTTGCTTCTCCTTTGCCTTCTGCCACGATTGTAAGTTTCCTGAGGCCTTCCCAGCCATGTGGAATTGTGAGTCAATTAAACTTCTTTCCTTTATAAATTACGGAGTCTCAGGAAATATTTCTACAGCATTGTGAAAATGGACTAATATAGAAATTGGTACCAGGAGTGCGGTACCTCTATAAACTGAAAATGTAGAAACAACTTTGGAACTGGGTAACAGGCAGAAGTTGCAACAGTTTGGAGGGCTTAGAAGAAGATGGGAAGATGTGAAAAAGTTTAGAACTTCCTAGAGACTTGTTGAATAACTTTGACCAAAATGCTGACAGTGATACAGATAATGAAGTCCAGACTGAGGTGATCTCAGATAGAGATGAACTTATCGGGAAGTGGAGTAATGGTGATTCTTGATAAGCTTTAACAAAAAGACTGGTGGCATTTTGTCCCTACCCTATAGATCTGTAAAATTTTGAACTTGAGAGAGTATTTAGGGTATCTGGCAGAAGAAATTTCAAAGCAGCAAAACATTAAAGAGGTGATCTGGCTTTTCCTGAAAGCATACAGTTATATGTTCTCACAAAGGGATGGGGTGAAATTGGAACTTATGCTTAAAATGGAAGCAGAGCATAAAATTTTTGAAAACTTGCAGCCTGGCCATGTGATAGAAAAGAAAAAACCATTTTCTGGGGAGAAATTCAAGCTGGTTGCAGAAATTTTTATAAGTAACAAGAAGCCGAATATTAATAGCCAAGAAAATGGGAAGAAAATATCTCCAGGGCATGTCAGAGATCTTCACAGCAACCCCTCCCATAACAAGGTTGGAGGCCTAGGAGGGAAAGATGGGTTATTGGGCTGGCCCCAGGCCTCCCCTGCTGTGTGCTGCCCCTGGACATGGCATCTTGCATCCCAACTGCTCCAACTCTAGCCATGGCTAAAGGGGCCATGGTACAGCTTGGGTCATTGCTTCTGAGGGTACAAGCCCAAGCCTCGAAGGCTTCCATGTGATGTTGAGCCTACACATGCACAGACAACAAGAGTTGAGGTTTGGGAACCTCCACCTAGGTTTCATAGGATGTATAGAAACACCTGAATATCCAGGCAGAAGTCTGCTGCAAGGGCAGAGCCCTACGGAGAACCTCAGATAGGATAGTGCAGCAGGGAAAAGTGGGGTTGGAGTCTCACACTGAGGCACTGCCTAGTGGAGCTGTGAGAAGAGGTCTACCATCCTCCAGACCACAGAATGGTAGATCCACTGACATCTTGCACTGTGTACATGAAAAAACCACAGGCATTAAATGCCAGCTTGTGAAAGCAGCCACAGGGGCTGTACCCTGCACCACCATAGTGGCAGAGCTGCCCAAGGCTGTGGGGGCCTACCCTTTGCATCAGCATTCCCTGGGTGTGACACATGGAGTCAAAGGAGATTTTGAAGTTGTAAGATTTAATAACTGCCTAGTAGGGTTTTGGACATAAATGGGGCCTTTGTCCCCTTTGTTTTGGTCAATTTCTGCCTTTTGGAAGGAAAACATTTACCCAATGCCTGTAGCCCCATTGTATCTTGGAGGTAAGTAATTTTTTTTTTAATTTCACAGGCTCATAGGCAGAAGGGACTTGGCTTGTCTCAGATGAGACTGTGAACTTGGACTTTTGAGTTAATACTGGAATGAGTTAACACTTTGGAGGACTGTTGAGAAAGCATAATTGTGTTTAAAAATGTGAGAAGGACATGAGATTTGGATAGGGCCAGGGGCAGAATTATATGGTTTGGCTCTGTCTTCCCAACCAAATCTCATCTCTAATTGTAATCCCCACATGTCAATGGAGAGACTTGGTGGCTGGTGATTGGATAATGGGGGAAGTTTCCTCCTTGCTGTTCTCATTATAGTGAGTGAGTTCTCAGGAGATCTGATGGTTTTAAGTGGTGAATGTCCTCAGCCTTTTTCTCTTTCTGTCTGCAGCCACCTTGTGAAGAAGGCACTTGCTTCCCCTTTACCTTTCACCATGATTGAACGTTTCCTGAGACATTCCCAGCCATAGAGAACTGTGAGTCAGTTAAACCTCTTTTTTAAATACATTACTTCTTGTCAGGTAGTATCACTGTAGCAGTGTAAAAATGGACTAATACAGAGGAAGATGCTGGCCCCATAGTATGAGTTAGATAGTATTCCCACATCTCAATTTTTAGAAAAAGTTTGAGATGGATTGCTGGTGATTCTTCTTTCAATGTTTGGTAGAACATTTTTATATGCTTATAGCTTATGTGTCCTTCATTTCCTGCATTGCTGTCTTCTTTTGTGTTTTGTTATTTTTTCTGTAGTGAAACATTTAAATTGCTTTCATATTTCCTTTTGTATATATTCTACAGTTTATTTCTATGTGGTTAATATGGAAATTACATTTAATTTAACATCCTAAAGTTATATCCTAATTTTATGCCAGCTTAACTTCAATACTATATAATAATTTTTTATCGTATATTATTATACAAAAATAATTGTAGCAGCTTCATTCCCATTCATTTTGGTTCTTGATGTCACCAGACATGTTTATACACTGTGTCCCCTAAAATATAAACATAATTATTTTTAAATTTATAGTTTTTTAAAATTATTTAGAAAACAAAATGGTGAATTAGTGATAAAAGTCATAATAATACTAGCTTTTACACTAATAATTGCTTTTTGAAATTTTATTAGTCTCTTTTAAATCATGTAGAAAACAAAAGTGAACTTATCAATCATTGTTAGAATAATACTACCTTTTATAACTGCCAGTGTGCTTAAGTTTACTAATACCTTTATTTCTTCATATGACTTCAAGTTATTGTCTGGTGCCATTTTATGTCATCTTGCAGGACTCCCTTGAACTTTTCTTGCAGGGAAAGACTAGAGGCAACAAATTCCCTCAGCTTTTGTTTATCTGGGAATGTCTTAGCTTCTCCTCACTTTTGGAGGAGAATTTTACTGGATATGGGATTATTGGTTGATGAGTTTTTTGTTTTTGTTTCTGTTTTTGTTTTTAGCACTTTTAACCCCAAACTCCAAAGTTTTGAAGAGAAAGTTGCTGATAATCTCATTATGGATACCTTGTATGTGAAGTCATTTTTCTCTTGCTGCTTTCAAGATTTTGTCTTTCAAAAGTTTCATTGCAATATGTCTTTGTGTGAGTCTCTTTGAGTTCATCTTACTTGGAATCTGTTAATCTTTTTGGATGTTTATGTTCAGGTCTTTCATCAAATTTGGAAAGTATTCATCCATTATTTCTTCACATATTCTCTTTAACCTTTTTCTCTTCTCTTTTTGGAACTCCCACAAAGCATATGTTGGTTCATTTGATGATGTCTCACAAATTCCATAGGTCTTTTCTGCAGTATTTTTTTCTCTTCCTCAAACTTGATATTTTCCATTATCCAATTTTCAAATTTACTGATTCTATCTTCTGTTGGTTAAAATTTGCCTTTGAATACCTCTAGTATTTTTTTCATTTATGATGTCATTCTTTCACTTCCTGAATCTTAGTTTTCTTTTAGATTTTCTATCTCCTTTATATTTCCATTTTGTTCAAACATTGGTTTTAGTGAGGTTTTGTTTGCTTTTACTTCTTCCACATCATCCTTTAGTTCTTTGAGCAATGTTAAGATAGTTGTTTTAAAGTCTTTGTCTAGTAGGTCTTCCAACAGGTTGTTCTAGAGACCATTTCTGTTGATTAATTTTTCCCTATGAATTGGCTATACTTTCCTGTTTCTCTTTAAATTTTATGATTTTTGTGTTGAAAATTGGATATTTGAACCTGATAATGTGGTAACTCTGAAGCTCAGGCTGTCTCCCTTCCCCATGGTTTGCTATTTTTGTTTATTGTTTTTAGGCTTTTAAAATTATTTTTTTAGGCCCTCCTTATGCCAATGCTCATCCTGAGGTTTAAATTTACAGTCATCTCAGGTCTTTTCTGAACCCATACCCTTCCCTAGGCATGTGCAGTCACTTTCTGTTTTTTTTCTATTTTTTCCTAATTGTTTTTGAATGTCCTGGATTTTAATGTCTGGCATCCAAGACAGGAAAATAAGAAAAAAAATAAAGAGAAAGAAAAAAGAATACTGACACCCCAAATCCCCTGGAAATCACTTCAGCCAAAGTGGGAGGGACTGACAACTAATGGAGTTTATATGCCACTCCAAAATATCCTACTGTCACATGTCGACTATTTTTAGTTAAAGGCATTTAAAAAACAGGAAGCACAAAAAGACTACTCTGACTTTCATGCTATTTTTTAAGGTCAGGAGACGAAATTACCATGTGAAAGATGCCCTCCCTATACTAGAAGGAAATAATGTTCTTTTTAAGGTGCATATATATATATATATATATACACACATTCACACACACACACACCTTATATATACTGTGTATATATATAATATATACACCATATATAATATGATATATATGGTATATATATACACACCATATATAAATATGATATACATATGGTATATATATATATATATATACACCTTTAGGTCTTCATTTCCTTATATGGGCTCCTGTGTCACATAAAACTTATACTAAGTACGTTTGAATATTTTTTCTACACATCTGTCATTTTATTTCCTGCCCCAACAGATTAAACCTAATACAGTAGAGGTAAAATTTTGCCTCCACTACAAAACATGGCAGGGATGTACACCATTAATGATTACTTGCCTCTTTGCTTATACCCCTGTGATCAGAAACAGTAATCAGAGATCAGAGCAAAAATTCCCAATACTTGAAGGACAGGATGTTTTTTGCCTATCCTGGCTCTTGCAAGCTGAATGCAGGTTCCTCCAGGAATACATGAACAGCTGCCTGTCATGGGGCTTTGGGTGCTAGATTGGAAGCTACTTCTATGCTGAGAGCTGAAGTTTTTTGAAATTCACTGAAATTTATCATAGAGGCATTCCCCTGGAAGTTTCTAGCCTTAAAAAGACTTCAGAGTTTCAAAATAGTTACATCATACAGATTCTGCAAGTGTTTTGTTGTTTACATTGAGAGATAGATTCCTTGCACTGTCTACTCTGACACCTTCCCAAAATCCATTCAACAACACAGGTTTCCAAAAAATCAAAACACTAAACATATAATGACCTAATTCTCTGCTTTTAGAAATAAAAGTTGTCAATAATACATAGAAAATTTTAGCAAAAAATTGCACTAACTGTATTTTAAAGTGTCAGTAATAACTACCAATTGATGGTAATAAGAGCCCTGAACTGAGCACATATTTCAATAGTAGAAGCATATTTATCCTATTTTATGACTGTAAGTACTCTGTAACACTTAATACTAATAAAAACTTGGAAAGAGATCTAGCATTTCAATTAAATTATTTCATTTTATCAGTATTTATGTTGATTTTAAATGGTTATTTCCCAGAATTATTTTAAGAATACATGCATTATTGAGTACTTCTGAGCCTGTGAGACTCTTGTCTCATGCATTTAATTACCATGGAAAACCACTTCAGTGGTCACTTTTCCCTGCACAGATAATCATGGAACCCTGTGTCCTAAATAAACATGAAGACAGAGATCCTTACTGGTCTTCACGTAGAGAGAAATGTTGAATGAAATAAATCACTAATGTTAAATCATTGAGATTGGATGTTATCAGCTCATGCAGCATAATTGAACTATGCTGAAAGATACAAGATGCAAGAGGCTAAAAGGGAAATACATTTGACCCTTCAATATGCAGATATTAGGTGCACTGAACCTCCTTGCAGTCAAAAATCTGCATGTAACTTTTGACTGTCTACAAACTTAACTAATAGCCTGTTGATTGGAAGTATACCAACAATGTATATAGCAGATTAACACATATTTTGTATATTGTATATGTTATATATACTGTATCCCCATAATCTATAAAAGCTAGAACAAAGGAAATGCTATTGATGAAATCATAAGAAACAGAAAATATATTTACTACTTATTAAGTGGAAGTGTGTCATCATAAATATCTTCATCCTCTTCATATTCACATTGAGTAGGCTGAGGAGGCAGACGTAGAGGAGGGTTTGGTCTTGTTGCTTCAGGAGTGGCAGAGATGGAAGGCATAGAGGAGGTATAAGGGGAGGCAGCAGATGTAGGCACACATGGTGAAATTTTATTGAAAAAAATCCTCATATAAATGAACCTATGCAGTTCAAACCCACGTTGTTCAAGGGTGAATTGTTCTAATGTACTAACTGTGTTATCTGGTGAAACAATTTCTGAACCTTGGAACTAATTTTAAGTGTCACTAAGATGATTGTGATATTTAATCAAGTAATATAATATTATTTGAGTTATTTCAACTTAGATATTTTAATCTGTATATGACAGATTAGAGCACCACATATTTAGTTGAATATGAGAAAGACATCATAATAATAAACAGCCTGATCTATGAGAAATCTCACATACTGCATATATATATGATCTAGCACAATCCACAAACATTAGTCATATTTCTAACACACCTTAGCTAATGTATTATACACATGTTTTACAAAAGTCTTTCCTATGTCTAGAGATGATTTTTCCCTGTGGATTGACTTACATTTTGCTTGGATATAAAGGGTAACAATAAACTTTCAGAATGCTTTAGTGTTAATAGATCAAAGGGAAATGAGTTCTAGAATTTTTCCTCAATGTAGGGTAATCACTTACTATAAATGGTATATTGCCATTTTATTAATATTACACAGTTACAGTTATAATTATAATTAATATTACAATTTATTCTTATTACATAGATGTAATTAATAGTGACTTTTTACCCTTAAAATCACCCATTTGAAAAATAAATTGTATGATCACTCACTCACAAGTATATTATAGCATATGAAACAAATGCTGTGACTTGTAAAGATTAACTAAAATTAGATATGCAGACCACATTCTTATCCCACCCCCACTGTAATCTCTGTGAGGGTGAGGCATTCACACTCTATCACCAGCACCTACTAAGGAATCTGATATTGAAAAACTATGTATTTAGTGAATTCATAGACTATAAATCTAGATGAGAGGACTAATATGCTAATGGTAGATTTAGGGTACAAAAAGATTGTAATAGACTGAAGTCAGTTGACTGAGACTAAAATCGTATATGAGTAGAAATCCTTAATTGGTTTTCAAAATTTTTATTTTAAAAACATGAGAGATCTTTTTATATGTAAAAACATATGGAAAATTTCAAGACTTTAAAAATATATGGATTTATTTATTCATGCCTACTTCCAAAAAGAAATAATTTTGAGACAGTGAAAGAAAGTAGCATACTATGATTTATTTTATAATTTGCATACTATTAAGTTGTATTAATCAGAAAGAAAAAATCCCACTCTATTTGGCACTGAGTGTGCCATGTCTGTTTTATTGTTTAGCTTAGGTGTTTAATGACTTAGAAAAAGAGAGCCTCTGAGAATGTAGAGGATATTTTAAACCAGTTCTACATTTGCTAAGGGATTTGAGACTATTTAGCGTGGAGAGGAGAATACTTAACAGGTTATAATAATTGTTTGCAAATATTTGGAATACTGTAATACATAAAAGAGTGTTCAGATTTTGTTTATCTCTAGAGGGCAGAAATAAGACCAAACCAATAAGTGAAAATTTGGAGGAGACAATTTTCAGCTCTATGTGAGAATATGCCAGAAATTAATACTGTTTAGCAGTATAATGAGCTGCTTCAGAAAATATGGAATGCCATATGTTAGAGATGTCCATCTTTCAGGAATAGAAGTTATTTCTTCCTTGGCAGAAAAAGTTAAGCATTTAAGATCTTTAACAACCTTCAGATTCCACATATTTATTGTCATTATATCATACTGAGAGATATGATAGAATGGATGTTATGAATGTACTGATATGATTACAACAAAAATTAGAATCACAGGCCACTCAAATATAACCCCTTTATACTAGGGGTATGGTCAATGTTATTAGGAAAATAACTATAATTATGACAGAATTGCCTGTTCTCTAATCTCTAGCAGAATAGCTGGAATGCCAAAACCTCAATGTTTATCTCTTTCTCTGGCAGTTTCTTTGGGAATGGTTCACCGGTTTTCTTTGAGTGCCATTAAACTCTATGCCTCTTCTCATCTGTTACGGACCAAAAAAAAAAAGTCACTCTTCCATACCAGTAGGGAGCTGCGAGCTCCTTTCCATTATTTTTCTTGCTTTTTTGGAGGCAGAGAATTTTCCCACTACTTTGTGATAATTTTATTTTTACCAATATCAAGTTACTCTTATAGAAATCAAGTTTTAAGGGAGACATCATGGTATTTTTGTGTTACTCTGAGCAGGAAGAGCATTCTTCCATATATTATTTTTTTTAATTAATAGACAATAGTATTCTTGCCTTTGTAAGTTATTTTTTTAAATAAGATTCATAGTGTTTTGTGTTCCAGTTTTTAATTTAACTTGCTCTTTTATTTTAAGACATTCTTCTGTATTAATGAATGAAGAATAATGAAGAATTTCATTCTTCAGTATTAATGAATGAAGAATAATGAAGAATTTCATTCTTCAGAAATTAATACATTTTCCTTAAGATGGTTTGCAAGAAAATCAGGGTAACACTACATTAGGGAAAAGTATAGAACTTCCATTCCCAGTGATATTTTTTTCATCTTCACATTACTCAAGAAGGGAGAAAATATTTGTCCTCTCATTTCCTTTTTTTAATTCTAACTATTAAAACTTCCCCAGTCTTCTATATAAAGTATTTTTAACTTATTCAGGGAAGATTGCAGAGGTACCTATTGTCTTCTCAGCCTAACTTTCCTCTCTTTTCTCTTCCCAGGAACTACTCACATCTATTGCAATATCCACCAAATTATAGTAAAGAATGGCAAGGATTATGGCAGGATTGTAGCCACCATTGAAACAAGATTAATCTAGCTTTCATTGGAGATCAATTTGTAATGAGAAAAGATAAAAGGAAAGAAAAAAATGCAACAAGAAAGGCAAATGTGCGGAGGCGGTTTAAGTTCCTACTTCTAGTTGGTCTGAAGGTCTGTTAACATTCCTGCTACACATAATATTAAATTATTAAATGGAGGGGTTCTAACCTGACTTGGATTCCATTAGGCAATAAATTTCTTGTCAAAGCTAGTGTAAATAAAATTTCTAGTCATGAAAAGCCGAAAGATTAATAACTAATATGAAAAAACTATGTACTTGGTTAGGCTAACTTGGTTAGGCTAGTTTCTGTAATCTTGTCAGGTATTAATTAACCTTTAACTATAGGTTTGACTCGATTTCTTACTCATATTTTTATACTATATTTTCCTGAAACATATATTTTGAGCCCAAATTAAGGATCTCCACTTTCCTTCTTGTAAGCAGATTTAACACCAACACTACACAGGTTAAGAGGAACCTTAGAGTAAGGCTGAGTGTCATTGCCTCCTTGATTACCTTTTAATGCTCCTCCCTTTCTTGACCATTTTAAAACTTTAGAACAGGTGGGACGCTGGGAAGTCAAAGGATCAACAAGGTCCTTAATGGCTTTTGGTATTTTAATATTAACAAAGAAAAGAGATTCCTGTTAATGACAAAATTTATGAAGATTGGCATATCATAAGCTTCTGCTCATATAATTTTAAGGAGGAAGCAGACAAAAAATATGAATTCATCTTGAGGGCATCTTGTGACAGCCAGATTCAAAGGTTTCTTTGGCAGAACCTCCAACAGCCTGTGCACTGAGAGGAATGTGCACTGGGGTAGAGCTGTGGGAAGTTCCTGCCCTTTGCAGTGGGGAGGAGCCTGGCCTCTCTCTCCTCTTCCAGGGTGTGGTACCTGGAATTCAGTCTGCAAGGCAGGAAGTGCACTAGCAGGACTCTGGCTTTGTGGAGAGTCCCTGTTTCCCCTTTTTTCCTTTTTGCCCAATAAATCCCATTTTCTCACCTTTCAAGTAGTCTATGAGCCTAATGTTTCATGGTCATGTGACGAGGACCCCATCTTTAGCTGAACTAAGGGAAAGCCCTGCAACAATCGTATTCTTTGTTTTTAACCTGTGTGCATAGTAATCTGGAAGTATCTGGGAAGGTCTGCCACCCCCAGGAGCAGTCCCTAACCAATAAATGTCAAATGCAGAAAGTAAATACCCAAGCCTCCTTGCCCCTACTCAGTACCACCTTGAGATGTGTTCTCAGTGGCCCCTAGAGCTCCTTGACAGGCTTGAGCCGGCGTTTCCTGAGACTGCTTGATATCAGGCTCTTGCTTGACTTCCTTCCCTGTCCTACTTCATTCCCTACTGGATTTCCATGAAATCACATTTTAATAAATCACTTTAACACAAGTTCTTATGTCAAGCACTTCTAGAAATCTTAAACAAACATATATACTAATGACGTGAGAAGTAATATTCCAAGCCTAGGATTTTTGTCCAAAAAGAAGAGAACCTATGAAAAAGGGGCTGCTAATTATTCAAATTTTAATATGAGAAAAATTTACCCACTTTCTCTATAATCCTACCATTATGTTTTATTCTAATTTAGTATTACAAATAATTTTTTAATGAATTCTTGATGAATAGCCAAATAAAGCTCATTATTATTTAACACTACACACCCTGTGAATATTTGTATACATTCACACACAGCTATTTTATAGTGCACACTATTCATAAAAATAAACAATAATTATCAAGTGTTTCTCAACCGTAAATGGGGTAATTATCCATTATTTTTGTAGTACTAAAGACAGAAATCATTTTATGAGCAAGTATATTCCCTCCAACCTAATCGTCCACATAAAGCACTCACATACATTTATGATATAAAAGTATAAGACTCTGAAGTCAGAGTTCCAGTTATTCTAAGACTTTGAAAGTACCTCAACAGTGGAAAGGCAAGAGAGTTTATTCTTTTATTTATTTATTTAGTCCAATTATTTTGTACAATTTTAAAAATTTCTCTGGAGCTTATGTTTTTTAGAAAAATCTTTTAAAAATATTCTTCTAATAAAAGAGAATCAGTGGATCGTGACATTAAAATAACTGCTTGTATTTTACAAGCTTAATAATCCTCATCACCAAAACCTAAATAGGATATTGTATGGAAGCCATTGGTACCCTGCTTGGTTCCCTTCCCTGCAGGATCTTTCACCAGCTGTGAGTGTTATAGCAGCTCATGCCTTACAGCTGGTCCCTTCTCAAATTGCCCTTCACCATACAGAAGCCACCTGGCCTGGGCAGGGTTACTAGATGTAGCAAATAAAAATGCATGACACACAATTAGATGTGAATTTCAGATAAACAACATATACTTCTTTTAAGTATAAATACACCATGCAATATTTCAGACATATTTATAATATAAAATTATTCATTGTTTATCTTAAATTCAAATTTAACTGAGCCTCCTGTATTTAATCTGGAAATCCTATGCCTAAAATGTTACCTCCCTTTTCTATTCTCTTCCCCCTTCTCCAACCCTCCCCTCCCTCTAGACTGACACACACGGGGGAAAAAAAGCGAATCCACTTGTCTTAGGTGGGATCATGCTTGAGAAATCCATGTGACCATTCTGAATAGTCTCTAGGTGAGATCTCCTCTTTGCTTAGCTTTATTTCCCTGCCTGTATTAGTCACAGTTCTCAAGAGAAACACAACCAATAAAGTATGAGTAGATAAATGGAAAGAGATTTGTTATGAGGGATTGGCTCACACAATTATGGAGGCTGAGAAGTCCTATGATCTGTTTTCCTTAATTTATTTTCCCTGAGAGTATGCCTCAGTAATTAATCACTTTCACAAGAATCCCAAACTTGGGCTCTGTTTTTAGGGTATCAAACCTAAGATAGCTGATGCCAGGAGTGGTCCTAGGAAGTAAACTCAATGACAAATATTCCAGAGGTGGAATATAAACTGACCAGAATACAGTGAGGATGGCATCTCTACTAGTACGTGGAGTATTGATTGCCTCTGGCATGTATAGGATTTCAATTGCTGACTTTCACCATTAGTAAAGGAGAGTTGGTGAAGGCAACAAGGGGAAAGACAGGCACTAGCTGGGGCAATGTCTGGCTTTTAAGGTGTATAAGAAAATAGTAACTAAGAAAACTGTGGAATTATGTTATTTCTAAGTGCCAGTGATGCATTAAAAAGAGAAAACAGGCTCAACTGTATTTTTAATCAGTAATTTAGATTTTATTAATCATTATTTTATTTTATTTTTATTTTTTATTTATTTATTTATTTTTTGAAAAGGGGTTTCACTCTTGTTGCCCAGGCTGGAGTGCAATGGCTCGATCTCGGCTTATTGCAACCTCCACCTCCCAGGTACAAGTGATTCTCCTGCCTCAGCCTCCCGGGTAGCTGGGATTACAGTCATGGGCCACCATGCCCGGCTAATTTTGTATTTTTAGTAAAGATGGGGTTTCTCCATGTTGGTTAGCCTGGTCTTGAACTCTGGACCTCAGGTGATCCGCCTGCCTTGGCCTCCTGAAGTGCTGGGATTACAGGTGTGAGCCACCACGCCTGGCCATTAATCATTATTTTAAAGAAAAATGTAAGAATCTGAGGACTTTATTGTTAGTCTTTAAAGGGGAATTCATCTTGTGTAGCCAGAGGAAATACTTAGCTGAAAACAAGGTATATGAGCTCATTATGAGAGTGGCAAACTTTCAAAGAAGGCTGAGGCTCAGTCTACCAAATCTGTGCCAAAATCAGGGCCCTGTTAGGAAAGACACGGAACCCTGAAATTTGAGATGAGAATATCTTGAGAGCCCTGATTTTACAGATTTCTTGGGACACTCCAGGCAACCAAAACTGTCGCACTCTCCCTTGTTAGAAGATAGACTCAGCCCCTACCTTGCTTGAAGACAATGCTCAGACTTCAAATGGGCTCCTTAAAGAAAACTTCTGCCCTTCTCAAGTTCAGGGCAAGGCCATACCATCTTCAACAGATAACTAGAGAGTTTTTGAAAAATAGATCTTGACCTCCTACTGGGCCCTGCTAGAAATTGAGCATGATGGATGATCAGAAGGCTGAAGTCAGCTTCTCCAGTAAGAAATACTGATCCCTCACCAGTTTCCAGAATTGAGCCAATTCTCCAAAGCAAAATTCACTGACTGAAGGAAGAATCTGCAACACTATAGCAAGTATCTATGTTGGTGATTTCTCCAGTCCTTTCCCAGACAAACTTATAGCCACGTATATGGTAACTTTATATTGGGGAAAGGTGAATATCCAAATTTCTTCCAGGGATGTTGGACATGCGATCTGCATTAATGCTAATGCATAGATTCGTACTATGTTCATAATGAGCCTGTTAGGATTCTTAGTTAGCTACAGGCAGTTAATAAATGGATAATGGCCCACGTTCACCTCATAGTGAGTCCACTGAAGCAGAGAAAGCTAAATATAGACCCAACTAGTTGTCACTTTTCCAGCCCAAAATACGTAAGTGGAATGGGCATGCTTAGTAGTTGGCAGAACCCACACAATTGTTCCTTGACCTGTAGAGTAATAACTGTTGTAGTGACAAAGGGCAAGGAGAAATCCTCAAAGCTGATTCATATATAATATAATATCCATAAGCAATACCTGCTATGAATGATAGAGATCCCTGCCACCCTAAAATATGTAAGGATGCAAATATTGTGATACTCATCATATCTCTAGTTAATTCATCATAATTCATTAGCTTAGCTTGACAAAAATTGATTGTCAGAAAGTTAAGTAATTAATACTCCTAAATGGACCTGTGGTTCTAGATTTGGTGTCAGTTCTAGAGTAGGTTAAAATAGCCTATTGTATGCAGTATAGAGTTCCGTGATAAGGATAATGTATTACTTTCAATTGACATCAGGAAGGAGAATAGAGAAGTTGCCATTCACCTGAACAGACAAGTGTATACACTGCCTCAAGTCCTGTCATAGTTTAGACTGATAAAAACTGGACAGTCTGGGCATTCTGGAAATATTACATTTGCTTACTATGTTGATGATATTATGATACTCATACCTAATGATCAAAAAATGCTAAGTATTCTGGATGCCTTGGTAAGATACATGTGCTCCAGTGGGAGAGGTAAAAACTTTTAGAAGTCAGGGACCTCTTACATTGGGAAATATTTGAAAGTCACATAGTCTGATGTGCACTGGAGCATCCACTCCAGGATACCTTGCAATTCCCACTCTTTCCACCAGAAAAAAACAAAACAAAACAAAACATAATGACTGGTAAGCCCTTTTAGGGTTCGAACAGCTTATTCTACATGTGGGTTCCTCCTTTGACCCATTTAACAGGTAACCTGGAAGGCTGCTAAGACTGACTGTGCCTCTAAGCAGGAAATGGCTCTACTGTAGGTTCAGCTGTATAAGTAGCCCTGTATTTTGGGATATGCACTCCAGAAGACTCTATGTTATTAGAGTTATCCATGTTTAAAAAGATGGGTGGGGCCTCTGACAAAGAGCAGTAGAAGCGTCACAACACTGACCCATAAGACTGGCAGAAGAGATCTTTAGCAGAGAACTCTCCACAATGGGGAAAATAGATCCTGTGCTGCTACAGGGCCCTACTAGAAAGTCTCTGATCATGTTACTTTGAGTGCCCATGTAGCAATAATTACCCATAGTTAGCTGTCATGGCCACCAAATCATATGTTTAGGCAGGCCAAGTTAAAAACAATTATAAAATGGAAGCATTACTGCTTGAAGAATGCTTAAGGGCGAAACTAAGATATAAAGGGCAAAGCAAGCTACAAACAACTGGTCTGGAGCCCCATGTTATTTACCATCTAATGCCTCTTACTCAACCCACGCCAATGTCACATAGATACCATTCATGATGAGCTGATGAAAGAGAAAATAACATCATGCTTGATCAGCCTGTGGGTAGTATCAGCTTGTTACATGGGCTGAAGTAAAATATAGATTCCATATCCTACTTTTAATATGGTTCTGAAAGAATATGGTGAGGGAAAAATTCTTTCAATAGGTCAAGCTTTAGGCAGTACATTTGATTATTCTCTTAACCTAAAAGTGGCCCATTGTAAGGATATGCATAGGCTTATTGGTAGTGAAAAACAGAATTGCTACATAGTAAAGGGCCACATATCAGTCAAAGGTAGAAGACAGAATACAGAACATGTAGCAGTAATTTGCACAGGGAATTTTTAATGAAAATATTCACTAATAACAGGGATTAATTACCAAATAGTACAGTTGAACTCTATAGAATAGGGAAATAGAAAATACAAAGAATAGCCACTACCTCTAGGACTGAGGTAGAGCATGGAAGGAAAGAACCAACTTGGAAGAGTGTTCTAGAGAGAGGCCGAGATTTAAACTTCGTTGGAAAGGATGTGGCTGGGAAGTATTGCGTGGTGCAGAAATTCTCTGAAATGCCATAGGAGAAACTGCCCACTGGAGGGCCAATGAGACCCTAGAGGAAACTGACTAAGATGGCAGCTTGTTGCTGAAACTCGCTGGCAAACTACTCTCGGGAATGCTGTCAAAACTTTTTCTAAGACTCCACCCTCTGGACTGCTGATAAAACAGGTTGGAAAGCTGTCCTCAAGGGTGCTAGGAAAATTCAGAGTGAATGTCACTGGGAAGGTATAACTGCGTGTCTCACATGTTGCTGGCCATCACATAGCATAGAATCAAAAAAGAAGAAAGCACACCAGAACCAGAGGAAGAAAAGCCCCTTCCTCCTAGAGCGTCCCTGAAGTGCTCTCCACTGATAAAGACTAACATTGTGCCTGCTGGCAAAGGAGAAGTATTTTTTTTTTTTACAAATAACCCAATTTACTTATTTATTTATTTATTTATTTATTTTACTTTAAGTTTTAGGGTACATGTGCACAATGTGCAGGTTAGTTACATATGTATACATGTGCCATGCTGGTGTGCTGCACCCATTAACTCATTGTTTAGCATTAGGTATGTCTCCTAATGTTATCCCTCCCCCCTCCCCCATCCCACAACAGTCCCCAGAGTGTGATGTTCCTCTTCCTGTGTCCATGTGTTCTCATTGTTCAATTCCCACCTAAGAGTGAGAACATGCGGTGTTTGGTTTTTTGTCCTTGCAATAGTTTACTGAGAATGATGATTTCCAATTTCATCCATGTCCCTACTGCCCAAGGTAATTTATAGGTTCAATGCCATCGCCATCAAGCTACCAATGACTTTCTTCACAGAATTGGAAAAAACTACTTTAAAGTTCATATGGAACCAAAAAAGAGCCCGCATTGCCAAGTCAATCCTAAGCCAAAAGAACAAAGCTGAAGGCATCACGCTACCTGACTTCAAACTATACTACAAGGCTACAGTAACCAAAACAGCATGGTACTGGTACCAAAACAGAGATATAGATCAATGGAATAGAACAGAGCCCTCAGAAATAACGCCGCATATCTACAACTATCTGATCTTTGACAAACCTGAGAAAAACAAGCAATGGAGAAAGGATTCCCTATTTTATAATTGGTGCTGGGAAAACTGGCTAGCCATATGTAGAAAGCTGAAACTGGATCCCTTCCTTACACCTTATACAAAAATTAATTCAAGATGGATTAAAGACTTAAACATTAGACCTAAAACCATAAAAACCCTAGAAAAAAACCTAGGCATTACCATTCAGGACATAGGCATGGGCAAGCACTTCATGTCTAAAACACCAAAAGCAATGGCAACAAAAGCCAAAATGGACAAATGGGATCTAATTAAATTAAAGAGCTTCTGCAAAGCAAAAGAAACTACCATCAGAGTCAACAGGCAACCTACAAAATGGGAGAAAATTTTTGCAACCTACTCATCTAACAAAGGGCTAATATCCAGAATCTACAATGAACTCAAACAAATTTACAAGAAAAAAACAAACAACCCCATCAAAAAGTGGGCGAAGGACATGAACAGACACTTCTCAGAAGAAGACATTTATGCAGCCAAAAAACACATGAAAAAATGCTCACCATCACTGGCCATCAGAGAAAGGCAAATCAAAACCCCAATGAGATACCATCTCACACCAGTTAGAATGGCAATCATTAAAAGGAGAAGTATTTACAAGGTTCAGCTTGAGTATCACAAAGCAGGATAAAGATAGGTAGGTTTTGAGATTTGATGCAGTAAATTGATAACTGAAATAGGCCCAGAAGAAACAACATTGGAAGATTGCAAACAAGGATGTCTGAGGAAAAGACCTGTGGTTCTAATTATGGGAGGGGGCAGCAAGTGTGAGGATATTTTTTAATTAAAGTCGAATGCTTGCAAGAGAACATCCATTAGAGAAGGTGCCCCAAACAACCAAGTAGTCAAAACGGCATGGCTAACTGATGTCAGCCAGCCCCTCTATTTGGACACCATAGTGCTTATGCAGTGGGTTCATAAGTAAAGCAGCTATAGTGGCTGAAACGTACACTATCTGTGAGCTCAACTGCATTGGAACTGTTTTACCAAGGCTGATCAGTCCACTGCCACTGCTAAATGTGCAGCCATCCAGTGTCAAAGAACAATGCTGAGTCCTTGATATGACACCATTACTTTAAGAGAGCAAGCAGTCATTTTGTGGTCCATTAATTATATCAGATACTTTCAATATTAATACATTCCAGGTATGGATTTCCCTTTTTTACCTGTTATATGGAATCCTATATAAGATCACACCAGAACTAGGGGCATACTTTATAGAAAAGAATGTGGAAAGAGAAACATGAACATAGAACCAACTATTTTAACATACAGCGCACCTTTCAAAAGCTGCTGGCTTCATAAAACATTGGAAGCGCCTCTTGAATGTGTCAGCTTGAAGAAGACATTCTGAGAGCCGGAAATACCATTATAAACAATGTGGTACACACTGTAAACCACTGGCCATCATATGTAGTGTTACCAGTAGTTGAATACGTAGGTTCAGGAACCAAGAGCTGAAAGTTGGTATGGTTCCACTCACCATCACTCCCTATGACTCACTTAGGGAACTGTGTGTTCTTGCTGAAATTTTAGATGCAGTTTGTCAGGAGGACTTTATCTAAGAGATGTTGATGTTTTACTAAAAAGCATAGTAAGTGTTCCATGGAAATAAAAGTATGATTGCTGCTCCTCATGTCAATAGACCAGCAGACTGTCAGGGGCAATTGACCCAGACATTTAAGAGAGGGTAGGATCACTGCCATATAAAGGATACATCACAGAATATATTTAGCACTCTGATGATTCACTGAAGCATCTATTTATGCTTGCATGGCATTTTTTTAAAACCTATATATCTTGACATAATTTTAGACTTATACTGGAGTTGCAAAAATAGTACAGAAAGTTTTTATGCATATTTCATATTAACTTCCTCTAGTATTAGCATCTTACATACATAATACCATTCTCAAAACTAAGTAATTAACATAGGTACAATGCTATCAGCTAAACTACAAACTTTAATTGAATTTCACTACTTTTCTTCACTAGTAGATTTTTACTAGTTTGTTCTTTTTTGAAATTCAGTGTGAGACCCCACATCACATTTAATTTTCATTATTCCTTATTCTCCTCCGCTCTGTGACAGTTCATCATTTCCATGATCTTGACACTTGAAAAGTAGGTCAGGTATTTTGCAGAGTGTTTCTCATTTGGGATCATCTGAACATCTGACTGGGTTTGTGGATTTTGGGGAAGAACGCCATGGAGATGATATGCCCTTCTCATTGAATCACATTAAGGAGCACATGATATCAATTGTCTTATTACTTATTACTGGTGACATTGAACTTGATTACTTGTTTCAGGTGATGTCTGTTAGAGTTCTCCACTGTAAAATTATCTTTCTACATTTCCAGACTGTTCATGACACAAGCATTACTAGAACAAGCCCATCTTCAAGGGGAAGATAATTATGCTTCACCTCCTGGAGGGAGAAATATCAAAAACTGGTAAACATATGTTTCAAAAAACCACCATGGTAATTAATAAATAGAAGAAGACACTTGTGGCAATGTAAATACCTATTTTTCTTCCATTTTCACCCACTAATTGTAGTGTTCATCAATTCATTTTGCCTGCAGAAATTATTGCTGTGCTGCTCTTCTCCAGTGTCTTTCTATTTTTATTACTTGTACTTCCATTAATTGGAATGCTTCTTTAAGTAAGAATTGTCTCATTTCCCCATTTATTTATTTACCTTATCATTTATTTACATCAGTATAGACTTGTTGATATTTAATGTTTGGATTATAATCCAATTCTATCATTTCATTGTTCAAATTGTTCCAGCTGTGGCCTATGAGCGCTCCTTCAGGCCAGCTTCTGTATCCTACTATCTTTTATTTTTTAGCGTTTTATTACTTTCTGACATTTCTGTTTTTAATTATAAATGGCAATAACAGCAACCACAGCCTGATGAAGTCATGGCAAATAGGGGCTCGAAACCCTTAGTCACCCCACTCACCAAACCATTTGGAGGGTAGTGCCTATCTAGCAGAAGGGAAATCTAGTAGCTGTGGTAGACTGAGGTGATGCTACAAGATTAACTGCTGACCCACCGGGATCAGTTGGTTGCATTTCTTGCTATAAACACTTTTCTTATAAATGTTTCCAAAAATTGTGAGCAAGTAAGATGTCTGGATGAAGTAAACTTAATTAGAAAAGAAAGTGAATCTGAGTCATTCAAGGGGTGGTATTTACGGATGCTGATGTTGCACCATCCAGGCCCCTTCATTGCTACCCTCATTCCCCCCAGCTGAACTGAGTGTTGATTACTAATGGTGCAAAGATGCCCTCTTGTCTGGAGGATTCTCTCAGTTTAATGCAAGCTTCCTCATCCAGAGGTTAGATAACTGCTCACCAGCCAGCAAACATTGATGGAATGATATAGAGGTACAAACTATTGACCCCTTGCTTCAAGTTGAGACCAAATCAGCGGTCTAATTTGTGTCCCAGATTTCCCTGTGCATCAAGGCTAAGGTAGAATTCAATTGAGAACACAGGCATGCTTATTTTTCTTCTCCTGCCTTTATTCTGTTTCTCTCACTTATCTTCTCTTAAGCACATGCCTCAATAAGGCACTTTAATGAGAATCCCTAACTGAAATATAAATAACTGACCTAAATAGATAGGAAGAGTAGCAATACCTGCTTAGTGAATATTCTGTTTTCAATGTCTTAAGTATTAAACATAATTCTGGTTAGGCCACCCCTATTCAAATCCACCCTTTGTCCTTTCTTCTTCTTCACCCAATATGTTCACCTATTCTCTTTATTTTACCTCCATGGGTATCTCAGTCCTTGTCACTTCTCTTCATTCCTACCATAATTGATTCACATGTGTAACCTGGTATACCAAATGCCTCTGGTGTCTTCCTTCCTATTCCACCTAAGCTTTACTCACAGAATGATTTCCTCCATGAAAATAATCATCAGATATTCTTACTATGCTCTATTACTCCATTTTATGCATGGCCTTAGTGAGACCAAATCATTAATTGAATAGCTACCAAGAGCCAGTACATTTCCAGATGCTTTACCTAAATTATAACATTTAATTGGCATAAATCATCGTTTTTATCTGTAGGAATCAGTACAATTTCTGAAAAACACACAGGGATGAATGAATGAAAAAGGGAATAAAATAAGGGAAATGTTTTATTTATCTGAAGGAAAAGTCATAAACGAAATTGATGAACAGAAAAGAAATTCTGTCACCATCATGTTAAGTGCTTTCTTGTGCTGGCATAGAGAGTTTAGGCCAATGGTTTCAAAGTGTGGTGCAGGGACCCCAGCATTGCCCTGACAGCTAATGAAATGTGCGAAGCAATGATGGGGGTCCCATACTCCTGTGAAGCCAGACATTAACATTATTTGAAAACAAGTAAAGCAATGTTCCTCTTCTCAATAAATATTT
Source organism: Homo sapiens (assembly GCF_000001405.40). NCBI lineage: Eukaryota > Metazoa > Chordata > Mammalia > Primates > Hominidae > Homo > Homo sapiens. The sequence continues at coordinate 141,201,406 of NC_000006.12, read as the reverse complement.
TTTATTTTGAAAATAAAATCCTTTTTATGAAAATGTTGTATTTATGTTCGTTTGTAATTTTTCCTTCTAAAATAAATAAATAATATACATATATTTAATTGCTCAGTATTAATTTTAATCAACAAAAGCTTTTCTGGATCATCAATAAATTGGAAGACCACAGAATAGGCTTGGAGACCGAAAAGTTAAAAACTACTGGTTTAGGTCAATTGCTCGATTTTAATTATGTATTAATGGTGAAGGGGAGAATAGCAGTTTTATTCTTAGCATAATATTTTCCATATTAAAACTATATCCCATGATATATGTGTGTGTATATATATGTGTATATGTATATAGATATATATGTAAATAGATATATATATATATTTCTGAAGTGTTTCAGTGGCTTTAATTTTAATTTAACTTAAAATTATAGTATACCAGCTCAGAACTACTCCCCATGTCCCCAAACACTCACAGGTCCTACTTTTACAGAAGTGTTTCAAAAGTACACTTGCAGAGATTATAAAACCAGCCTATGATTTTAACACTTGAAACTTTAAAAGTGATAGAAAATTTTATGATTATATCTTTTTTAATATCTAAGATATTAGATATAAGAGATAATCATATATCTTAAATATATTAAATATTAATCTAATATATTAAACATATAAGTAGAGATTTAAAATATTTTTGAAAAAACATAAGTCGCTTTCAATTTGAGAAACTTGCATTATAAAGTTTTTTTAATTTTGCATTTTATCTTGGAATATCGATGTAACATTTGAAGGACAACAAGACTAGGATTGCCATTTATTGTAGTTTTGTTTGTCTGTGTGTTTGTTTTGGAGATGGAGTCTCGCTCTGTCCCCCAGGCTAAAGTGCAGTGGCATGATGTCGGCTCACTGCATCCTCTGCCTCCTGGATTCAAGCAATTCTGCCTCAGCCTCCCGAGTACCTGGGACTACAGGTGCATGCTGCCACACCCGAATAATTTTTTGTATTTTAGTAGAGATGGGGTTTCACTGTGTTGCCCAGGCTGGTCTCGAACTCCTGAGCTCAGGCAATCCACCCTCCTCAGCCTCCTAAAGTGGTAGGATTACAGGCGTGAGCTGCCGCGCCAGGCCCATTTTTTGTAGTTTTAATAGAAAAAAATTGTATTGAGTTTGAAATTTCATTGGTGATTTATTTGTAATTCAATATACGTAAACACAAATGTATGAGTCACTGTTGATTGTTAAGGCATATCCAGCATTTATAATGTAGTTTCCTAAATAATTTTGAAATTGAAAATCAAACAGACATAATATTTCATACAATCAGGAGTATTAATATACTCAAGAATATTTAAGTGCGCAAAACTCTAGATCCAGGCTTACTTATAACCTCAGTGAGAATGTGTTGCTCTGTATTTGAAATCAAAATATAAGCCTATCAAGAAGTAACAAGCAATAACTAATGACTAATTTTACTTTAAATTTATAGTTATTTTTATTAGAGGATAAAATAATAACTTAATCAGAATACAAGATAAATAAATGCTAAACTTTTCCTCTCTATTATTTGGGTTGGTTTTGTTTTCAGAGGAAATTCTTTCCTTGAACCATAGGAAATGAGAACATGGTAAATGAACTAATTTGGTAAAAGTTTTGCTACTGACATTTTCATCTAAAACTGAGAATAACTTACTGCCAGTTTTTATCAGATTTTTAAAATTAGTTTTTAAAGTACTTAAAGGTGAGTATTAGAAATTGTGATAAAGTTGACATGGTATTAAGAGGTGCATGTGAATAAGTTTAATGGCGATAATGGACCTAACAAGGGAGGAATGCCTGAATCCTGCCCCAAGTAAGCAAATCTGCCACCCAAAGTCTCTCTGGGAGTTTATGGACAGGGGATCAAGAAAACTAAAATAACATATTATTATTTTATTGAGCTTAGTCCAAAATTCCACTTAGCTTTTGAACAAGTTGTACTGGGCTCTGTTTAAATTACTTTAAAATCTATTCCAGGGAGATCTCAGGAGCTCCTTGAAATCATGAGAGTTGCAATTATTGCTCTATTTCTCAGGACTTCCAAAACCAGTGTGTACATTTGGCTTTCACCAGTCTGATGAGAAGCATATTGAGCACTAGCCTTGGACTGGTTAGTGGGCTGTGTAAGAGGAAACAGGGGGTTGGGAAGAAAGACTGAAAGAGGTAATTTGACCCAAAGCCTAAGCCACATGTTTATCGTAGACCAGGACAGCAGCCTAAAGCCAGCTCCCAAACTGACAAGAAAAGGCCAAGGGGCCAATCAACACCATACTTCTGTGAAATTTTTGGAGGGAGGAGGTTCAGAAAGGTTTCCCCAATTAATCTCATAAATGACTGCCTGACTTTAGGTTTTAGAAACTTTTATGTGGTTTTCTGCATTTTAAAATTTCTTTGAAAACCACCCTTGTTGTAAACATGCCTAATCAAGGCTCTATAATATGACTTATTCATATTAGTATCTGCTATCCTTGAACAGTACAGTGGGAAGGAAAAACAATGATAGAGAAGTATTGTTTCTGTTTGTTTTTTGGTTTTTAATTTCTTAGTGCTTTTCAATCACATGCAGTTACTGGGATACCTTTAGTGAATTAGAGCCCTAACTGTCCATTTTAGGGGGAAAATGAAATCAGAAAAGCAATGCCTAAACTTTTGAAGTCACTTCCTAGATCCTTCCTGCTACACCTCTATGACTCTCTCCTGCTAGTTCTGACATCCATGATCTCAAGACCCTTTGATTATCCCTCCTTGGCACCTCCAGAAGCTTCAGACCTGATTCAAAACAAAACATTGTTTAATCACAAGGCCAGCTTACATGTTGCACTGCCAGTTGACCTATATTTTATTTATCCTTTTGTTTTTATTCACCTATGTTACCCAAACAAGCACACCAATACCCAAACCCTGCCTTTAACACAGAGAAATGGAAGTTTAAAAAATTAGATCATTTGACTCTTGTAATTACATTAATTTAAGATTCAAATTCTAAACTTTTCTCTAAATCACTCCCACCATTTTCTTTTGGCCCAAATCAGAGGGGTTTTATGCAAGAACAGCTATAAAGCCCACAGCAGGAGGTGTCATTGAAAGAGTATACCAACTCAGAACCATTTACCATGTCCCCAAACACACACAGATTCCACTTTTGCAAAGAAATTTTCGAAAGTACACTTGCAGACATTATAAAACCAGCCTTTGATTTAAACCTACATAACATATAGGCAAATTCTTAAATGCTACTTCTTTAAATTGTATAATCCAAATATAATCCCTTAATACAATCCTATCTGAGCAAAAATAATAGTTCTGAGTTCTAAAATATAGTAAATAATATGTTGTGTAATGTTGTTTTTATTGGCTATAGGCTATAGATGAAGCAGCACTACCTACAAGAAAACAGTAGAGACAATGGAATTCTTGGTTTATAACAGCCAATTTTCATTGGTCTATATATGTCTATACTGTGTTCTATGAATGTTATATAATTAATTCTGCCCTCCCACCCCATTTATATGTTGAAGTCCTAATAGCCTCTAGCACCTCAGAATGTGACCTCATTTAGATATAGAGTTACTGCAGACGTAATTAGTTAAGTCATGCTTGAGTAGGGTGGGCCCCTGGTCCAACATTACTAGTTTCCTTTTGAAGAGGGGAAATGTGAAGATAGACATGAACACAGGGAGAATGCAACGTGAAGATAAAGACAAGATCTGGGTGATGCTTCTACATGCCAAGGAATGCTAAAGATTGCCAGAAAACCACCAAGAGCAAAAGACTAGATTCTTCTGTACAGCACTCAGAAAGGACCAATTCTATGTGGAGCCAGATGGTGGAATACAAGGCTCCACTAGGCCAAGTGCGGTGGCTCAAGCCTGTAATCCCAGCACTTTGGGAGGCCAAGGTGGGTGGATCATCTGAGGCCAGGAGTTCAAGACCAGCCTGGCCAACATGGTGAAACCACTTCTCTACTAAAAATACAAAAATTAACAGGGCGTGGTGGTGCACACCTGTAGTCCCAGCTACTTGGGAGGCTGAGACAGGAGAATCGCTTGAACCCAGGAGGCAAGGGTTGCAGTGAGCAGAGATTGTGCTGCTGCACTCCAGCCTGGGTGACAGAGTAAGACTCCATCTCAAAAAAAAAAAAAGAAAAAAAGGCTTCACTAATCATCCCCCACACCAGGACACCAATTTAACAACTATATACACAGAAAAAACCTTCATAAGGGCCAAAAACCAGGTGAGTACTCATAGTACCTGGTTTTAACTTCATATTGCTGAAAGAGGCACTGAAAATATAGAAAAAACAGTCCTGAACCACTGATGCCACCCCTCCCCTACCCCTGGCAGCAGTGGCATGGTACAAAGAGTGTCTCCAGGCACTGGAGGAGGGAGAACATAACGGGTATGAGGCATTGAACACAGTGCTGTACTGTTAAAGAGGAAAGGAAAATGGAATCAAACTCAGCTGACTCCTGACCAAGGAGGGAGCATTTAAACCAGCCCTAGCCACAGGAGAATTACCCATCCTAGAGGCTGGAACTTGAGTTCCCGCAAACCTCACCACTGAGGGCCCAAGTACTCTGTGTCTTCATATAAACTTGAAAGGCAATCTAGGCCATAAAGACTGCAACTCATAGGTGAGTCCTAGTGCTGAACTAGGCTGAGAGACAGTGGACTGGGGGGGCATGTGACATATTGAGACACTAGCTGGGGTGGCTAAAGGAATGCCACTGATATCGCTTCCCCTAACCCCAGGCTGCCCTTGTTTGGCTCCAAAAGAGATACCATCCTGGCTGGGCACGGTGGCTCACAGCTGTAATCCCAGCACTTTGGGAGGCCGAGGTGGGCTGATCACTTGAGATCAGGAATTCAAGACCAGCCTGCCCAACGTGGCAAAACTCTGTCTCTACTAAAAATACAAAAATTAGCCATGTGTGGTAGTGCATGCCTGTAATCCCAGCTACTCAGGAGGCTGAGGCAGGAGAATCGCTTTAACCCAAGAGGCAGAGGTTGCAGTGAGCTGAGATACTGCCACTGCACTCCAGCCTGGGTAACAAAGTGAGACTTTTTCTAAAAAAAAAAAAAAAAAAAAAAAAAAGATACCATCCTTCTACTTGAGGAGAGCAGAGGGATTAGTGGGGAGGACTTTGCCTTGCATCTTGGATACCAGCTAAGCCACAGCAGGTCAGGGCAGCAATCAGAGTTGTGAGACCCCCGTTCTAGGCCTCCCAGATGACAGTCCTAGACACACCGTGGGATAGAAGGAAAACTATTGCCTTGAAGGAAAAAAACTCAGTCCTGGCAGCATTAATCATCTGCTAACTGGAGAGCCCTTGGGCCATGAATAGCCAGCAGCAATACCCAGGTACTATGTTGGGGGCTTTGGGTGAGCCTCTGAGAATTGCTGGCTTCAGGTACCAGCACAGCCCACAGGCATGTAGAGCATCAAGCAAGCTCTTGGGCTCCCTGATTCCAGGACTTGACTCTTGGATGGCATTTCTGGACCACCCTGGGCCAGAGGGGAGCCCACTCCTCTGAAGGTTGAGTCCCAGGCCAGGCAGCATTCTCCACGAGCTGACTTAAGAGACCTTGCGTTGTGTATGTGTACCCTAGAACTTAAAGTGTATTTATGTTTAAAAAAAAAAAAAAGAAAGAGAGAGACCTTGGGTCTTAAGGGAACGTTAACAGTAGTCTGGCAATACTCCTCATGGCCTGGGGTGGCAGTAGCTACAGGGTGAGGCTCCTCTGACTTTGAAAAGGGGAGGGAATACTCAGAAGGACTGTGTCCTGTGGTTTGAGTGCCACAGTACAATAGAACACCAGGTAGTCTTATAAGGTTTTTGACGCTAGTTTCTGACTTCCTGATGGCAACTCTGGACCCATGCAGGGCCTGGAGACCTCACTACCCTGAAAGGAAGAGTACAGGCCTGGCTGGCTTTGCAACCTGCTAATTGAAAGGCCTCAGGGCCTTGAGTAAACATAGGCAGTAGCCAGGAAGTGGCGACAGCAGGCCTTTTGTGAGATCCAGTTCTGTGATGGCTTCAGATCTGACCCAGCACAGTCGTACTGATGTTGGCAACAAAGGTGCTTGTGTCATTCCAACCCCAGTTTTAGGTAGCTCAGAGAAGAGACAGAAAGACTCTGTTTGTTGGGAAGAAAATAAGGGACGAGAACAAGAGTCACTCCCTAGTAATCCAGAGAATTCTCCCAGATGTTGTTCAGGATCATCAAGTTGGTTCCTCTATGAGTCTGTAAGAACCACAGCATTACTGGCTTGGGGTACCCCCTAAAGCAAATACAGTGTAGATCACAACATCCAAGTCTTTACAAATATCTGGAAAGCCTTTCCATGAAGTAGGATTAAAAATAAGCCCAGACAGTGAAGACTACCACAAATACCTAACTCTTCAATATCCAGACACCAAAGAATATCTGCTAGTATCAACACCATGCAGGAAAACATGACCTCACTAAAAAAACTAAATAAGAAATCAGAGACCAAGCCTGGAAAAACAGAGCTATATGACATTTCAGACAGAGGATTTAAAATAGTTGTGTTGAGGAAACTCAAAGAAATTCAAGACAACAAAGAGAAGGAATTCAGAATTCTATCAGATAAATTTAACAAAGAGATTGAAATAATTTTTTTAAAAAATAAAGCAGAAATTATGGAGCTGAAAATGCAATGGACATAGTGAAGAATGCATCAGAGTCATTTAATAGCAGAACAGATCAAGCAGAAGAAAGAATTAGTGAGCTAGAAGACAGCCTATTTGAACATGCACAGTTAGAACAGACAAAATTAAAGAGAATTAAAAACAGTGAAGCACACCTACAGGATCTAGAAAATAGCCTCAAAAGGGCAAATCTAAGAGTTACTGGCCTTAAAGAGGAGGTAGAGAAAGAGGGGCAGAAAGTTTATTCAAAGGGATAATAACAGAGAACTTTCCAAACCTAGAGAAATATATCAATAACCAAGCACAAGAAGGTTATAGAACACTAAGTAGATTTAACCCAAAGAAGGTAACACAAGACATTCAATAATAAAACTCCCAAAGGTCAAAGATAAAGAGGATTCTAAAAGCAGCAAGAGAACACGTAACATATAATGGAGCTCCAATACATCTGTCAGCAGACTTTTTAGTGGAAACTTTCAGGCCGGGTAAGAGTAGCATGACATATTTAAAAGGCTAAAGAAAAAAGCCTTTTACCCTAGAGGAGTATATCTGGTGAAAATATCCTTCAAATGAGGAGAAATAAAGAATTTCCCAGACAAAGAACAGCTGAGGAATTTCATTAATGCTAGATGAGATCTACAAGAAACATTAAAGGAAGTACTTCAATCAGAAGGAAAAGGACATTAATGGGCAACAATAAATGATCTGCATGTACAAAACTCATTGGTAATAGAAAAACACAAAATACTATGACACTGTAACTATGGTGTGTAAACTACTCTTATGCTAAGTAGAAAGAATAAATGCTGAACCAATCAAAAATTATAACTACCACAACTTTTTAAGACAGTACAATAATATGTAAATAGAAACAACAAAAAGTTTAAAAGCAAGGAGACAAAGTTAAGGCATAGAATTTTTATTAGTTTTCTTTTAGCTTGTTTGTTACTTTGTTTATGCAAATAGTGTTAAGTTGTTATCAGGCTGAAGTAATGGATTATAAGATAGTATTTGTGAGCCTCATGGTAACCATAAACCAAAAAAAATACAATGGAGACACAAAAAATAAAAAACAAGAAACTAAATCATATCACCAGAGAAAATCACCTTTGCTAAAAGCAGATAGGAAAGACAGAAAGAAGGAAGAGACGACCACAAAACAGCCAGCAAATAAATTAACAAAATGGCAGGATGAAGTCCTTACTTATCAGTAATAACATTGAATGTAAATGGACTAAATTCTCCAATCAAAAGACATACACTAGCTAAATGGATAAAAAACAAGATCCATTTATCTGTTTCCTACAAGAAACACACTGTAACTGTAAAAGCACACATACACTGAAAATAAAGGAATGGGAAAAAACAGCAGGAGTCCCTATATTTATATTAGAGGAAATAGATTTCAAGACAACAACTATAAGAAGAGACAGACAAGGTCACTAAATAAAAGTAAAGTAGTTTATTCAGCAAAAGGATATAAAAGTTTTAAATATATATGCAACTAACACTGGAACACCCAGGTATATAAAGCGAATATTATCAGAGATAAAGACAGAGATAGGCCCTGATATGGTTTGGCTCTGTCCCCACCCAAACCTCATATTGAATGGTAATTCCCATGTGTTGGGGGAGGGACTTAGTGGGAGATAATTGAATCATGGGGGCAGTTCCCCCCATATTGTTCTCATGGTAGTAAATAAGTCTCACAAGATCTAATGGTTTTATAAGGGAAAACCCCTTTTTACTTGGCTCTCCTCTCTTTTCTTGCAACCATGTGAGCTGTGCCACTTGCCTTGTGCCGTGATTGTGAGGCCTCCCCAGCAACATGGATCTGTGAGTCCATTAGAACTCCTTTTCTTTTTTTTTTTTTTTTTTTTTGGTTGAGATGGAGCCTCGCTCTGTCACCCAGGCTGGAGTGTAATGTTGTGATCTTGGGTCACTGCAGCCTCTGCCTCCTGAGTTCAAGTGATTCTCCTGCCTCAGCCTCCTGAGTAGCTGGGTTTACAGGTGTCTGGCACCATGCCCGGCTAACTTTTGTATTATTAGTAGAGACAGGATTTCACCGTGTTGATCAGGCTGGTCTCAAACTCCTGACACCATGATCTACCCACCTTGGCTTCCCAAAGTGCTAAAAACCTCCTTTTCTTATAAATTACCCAGTCTCAGGTATGTATTTATCAGCAGCATGAAAGCAAACTAATACAGTAAATTGGTACCGGCAGTGGAACACTGTTGTAAAGATACCTGAAAATGTGGAAGTAACTTTGAAACTGGGGAACAGACAGAGGTTGGAACATTTTGGAGGGCTCAGAAGAAGACAGAAAAATATGGGAAAGTTTGGAACTTCCTACAGACTTGTTGAATGGCTTTGACCAAAATGCTGATAATAATATGAACCATGAAATTCCAGTTGAGGTGGTCTCAGATGGAGATGAGGAAGTCGTTGGAAACTGGAGTAAAGGTCACTCTTGCTATGTTATAGTAAAGAGACTGGTGGCATTTTACCCCTGCTTTAGAGATTTGCAGAACTTTGAACTTGAGAGAGATGATTTAGGGTATCTGGCAGAAGAAATTTCTAAGCAGCAAAGCATTCAAGAGGTGACTTGGATGCTGTTAAAAGCATTCAATTTTAAAAGGGAAACAGCATAAACGTTCAGAAAATTTGCAGCCTGACAATGCAATAGAAAAGAAAAGCCCATTTCCTGAGGAGAAATTTAAGCCAGCTGCAGAAATTTGCATAAGTAATGAGGAGCCAACTGTTAATCACCAAGACAATGGGTAAAATGTCTCCAGGGCATTTTGGAGAGCTTTGAGGCAACCTCTCCCATAACAGGCCTGGAGACCTAGGAGGGAAAAATGGTTTCAGGGCCCAGGCTGCTGTGTGCAGTCTAGACACTTGGTATCCTGGGTCCCAGCTCCTCTAGCCATAGCTAAAAGGGCCAAGGTAGAGCTCGAGACATGGCTTCAAAACCAGACAAAGATACATTTCAAAAAGACCAGTATCTCCAGTGAATATTGATGCAAAAATCCTCAACCCAATACTAGCAAACCAAATTCAACAAAAGTTAGAAAGATCATTTATCATGACCAAATGGGATTTATCCCTATGATGCAAGGATGGTTCAACATACACAAATCAATCAATGTGACACATCATATAAATGGAAAGATGGATAAAAATTATTTGATAATTTCAGGTGCTGCTGAAAAAGCATTGGATAACAGTCTACATACATTAATCATAAAAAAAAAACTCAAAAAACTAAGGTTAGAAGGAACATACTTCAACATAATAGAAGCCATATATGACAGACATATAGCTAGTGTCATACTGAATGGGGAAATATTTAAAGCCTTTCCTCTAAAATCTAGAACACAATGAGGATCCCCACTGTCACCACTATTATTCAGCATAATACTGGAAGTCCTAACTAGAGCAATCAGATGAAAGAAAGATATAAAGAGCAGTCAAATTGGAAAAGAATAAGTCAAATTATCTTTTTTTGCAAATGATATGATCTTATACTTGGAAAAACCTAAAGACTACACTAGAAAACTATTAGAACTGATAAACAAATTCAGTAAAGTTTCAGTATACAAAAATCAACATAAAATTCAGTTGCATTTCTATATTCCAATAGTGAACAATGTGAAAAGAAATTAAGAAAGTAATCTCATTTACAATAGCCACAAATAAATTTAAATACCCAGGAGTTAACTTGGCCAAAGACATAAAATATCTCTATAATAAAAACTATAAAACAATCATGAAGGAAATTGAAGAGAACACCAAAAAATGAAAAAATATTCCATGTTCATGGATTGGAAGAATCAATATTGTCAAAAATGTTCATACTATCCAAAGCAATCTATGTATTCAATGCAATCTCTATCAAAATGCCAATGACATCCTTCATAGAAACAGAAAAAAAAATTAAACTTTATATGGAACCACAAAAGACCCAGAATGGCCTTAGCTATCCTAAGCTAAAAGAACAAAACTGGAGGAATTGCATCACCTGACTTTAAATGATACTACAGAGATATAGTAACCAAAACAGTAAAGCACTGGCATACAAACTGACACGTAAACCAATGGAAGAGAATAGAGAACCCAGAAAAAAATCCACACACCTGGCTGGTGTGGTGGCTCATGCCTGTAATCCCAGCACTTTGGGAGGCTGAGGCAGGTGGATCACAAGGTCAGGAGATTGAGACTATCCTGGCTAACACAGTGAAACCCTGTCAGTACCAAAAATACAAAAAATTAGCCAGGCGTGGTATCGGATGCCTGCAGCCCCAGCTACTCAGGAGGCTGAGGCAGGAGAATGGTGTGAACCTGGCAGGCGGAGCTTGCAGTGAGCCGAGATCATGCCACTGCACTCCAGCCTGTGCGACAGAGTGAGACTCCATCTCAAAAAAACAAAACAAATTAAAAATCCACACACCTAGAGTGAACTCATTTTCAGGAAAGGTGTCAAGAACATACACTGGGGAAAAGACAATCTGCTCAATAAACGGTTCTGGAAAAAACAAATATCCGTATGTGGAAGAAAGAAACTAGATCCCTTCTTCTAACCATATACAAAAATCAAATAAAAATAGATTAAAGACTTTAAGACCTCAAACCATGAAACTACTACAAGGAAACATTAGAGAAAATCTTCAGGACATTGGTTTGGACAAAAATTTCTTGAGCAATACCCCATAAGCATAGGCAACCAAAGAAAAAACAAACAAATGGGATTATATTAAGTTAAAAAGCTTCTGTACAGCAGAGAGTACAATCAACAAAGTGAAGAGACAACCTAAGGAATGGGAGAAAATATGTGTGCCAACTACCCATCTGAAAAAAAAAGATTGATAACCAGAATATACATGGAGCTGCAACAAATCTATAGGAAAAAAATCTAATAATTCAATCAAAAAATGGGCTAAAGATTTGAATAGATAGTTCTCAAAAAAAGAAATACATGGCAAATGGCCATATGAAAAGATGTTCATCAGAGAAATGCAAATCAAAACTGCAATGAGGTATAACCTCACCCCAGTTAAAATGGCTTATATTCAAAAGACAGGCAATAACAAATGCTGGTGAGGGTGTGAAGAAAAGGGAACCCTCATACACTGTTGGTGGGAATGTAAATTAGGACAACCACTATAGAGAATAGTTTGAAAGTTCCTCAAAATACTAAAAATAGAGCTACCATATAATTCAGCAATCCCACAGCTGGGTATATATCCAAAAGAAAGAAAAATGGTGTATTAAAGAGATAGCCGCACTCCTGTATTTGTTGCTGCACTGTTTACAATATGTAAGATTTGGAGGCAATCTAAGTGTCCATCAACAGATGAATTTACAAAGAAAATGTGGTACATGCACAATGAAGTACTCTTCAGTCATAAAAAAAGATGAAATCTTGCCATTTGCAACAACTTAGTTGGAACTGGAGATCATTATGTTAATTGAAATAAGCCAGATACAGAAAGAAAAACATCACCTGTTCTCACTTATTCGTGGGATCTAAAATTCAAAACAATTGAACTCATAGACATAGAAAGTAGAAAGATGGTTACCAGAGGCTAAAAAGGGTAATGGAGGTGCAGGTGTGAGGGAGGTGGAGATGGTTAACGGGTGCAAAAAATAGAAAAAATGAGTAAGGCCTACTATTTGATAGCACAAGTGTTTCTATAGTCAATAATAACTTAATTGTTCAATTTAAAATAAAGAGTGTAATGGGGTTTTTTTTGTAACTCAAAGGATAAATGCTTGAGGTGATGGTACCCCATTTTCCATGATGTGCTTATTTGACATTGCATGCCTGTATCAAAACACCTAATGTACCCCATAAATGTATACACTGACTATGTGCCCACAAAAAAATTTTGAAAAAGAAAGAACTGCCAGGTGTGGTGGCTCATGCCTGTAATCCCAGCACTTTGGGAGGCTGAGACTCCGTCTCACCTGAGGATCACCTGAGGTTGGGAGTTTGAGACCAGCCTGACCAACATGGAGAAACCCTGTCTCTACTAAAAATACAAAATTAGCCAGGCGTGGTGGAGCATGCCTGTAATCCCAGCTACTCAGTAGGCTGAGGCAGGAGAATCTCCTGAACCCAGGAGGCGGAGAAGACAGTGAGCTTAGATCGCGCCATTGCACTCCAGCCTGGGCAACAAGAGCAAAACCCCATGTCAAGAAAAAAGAAAGAAAGAAAGAGAGAGAGGAAGGAAGGAAGGAAGGAAGGAAGGAAGGAAGGAAGGAAGGAAGAGAGAGAGAGAGGAAAAAAAGAAAGAAAGAAAAGAAAGAAAGAAAGAAAGAAAGAAAGAAAGAAAAAAAGAAAAGGAGGGAGGGAGGAAGGAAGGAAGGAGGGAAGGAAGGAAGGAAGGAGGGAAGGAAGGAAGGAAGGAAAGAAACCAAGAACCAATTCTGCTTAACCCTTGATCTCAACCTTCTGGCCTCTTGAATTGTGAGACAATACGCTACTCTCTTTTAAGCCATTCAGTTTATGGTACTTTGTTACAGAAGCCCTAGCAAATTAATACAAATATTTATAACGTATTTATTTGTTTATCTGTTTGTTTGTAATCATCTAATGAATACTTGTGACAAAATCAACTATTCTGTTCAAAGAGATGAAACTATGCTTCAGTAACAACATCAAAATAGTAGATTTTTGTAACAAAGCTTATTTCTTGTTTCTCTACCTGTCTATTGAGGATTGACTGGAGTCAGTTTGTCCCATCCCGCCTCACTCACTGACACATCTGTAATGTAATAGTTCACTATAACAGAGAGAAATATGGTAAATTACACTGGCTCTTAAAACTCATCTCTGGAGATGACACATAGCATGCCATTGGCCGGTGAAAGTCACATGACATCATTTAATATCAAAAGACATGGAAGAATCTTACAATAAGACCAAAAGGAAAAGAACCAAAATACAGAGGAACAGTCTAACAATTGCCGACTGACCCCAAGCTAACATATTATCAATAACGTATATCACTATAATCTTTCTTTTGAACATTTCCATTGTCCCAAATACTTCCCTTTATTACACTAGCAGTCAATTTCTTCTTGCAACTTCCCTCCCCTAGGAGAAGTGACTAAAATTTTGCATTCTGTCTATAAGAATATCTTTTCTAGACATTTTATATAAATGAAATTACACAATATGTAGTCTAGCTTCAAATAATTTTATATCTCTTTACATAAACTGTAAAATATTTACAGCAATATGATTTAATTTTCACCTATCATCTATTGTGCTATTGTTAGCATAAATGTAATTTCCACATCTGTTATAAACCTCAGCCTACATTTATATATTTTTGCCTTTAAGAATCAATTATCTTTTAAATATTTTTAAATGGAAAAACCAAGTCATATTAAATATATAATATTATTAAAACTCAAAATAAGAAAATATACAACTCAATTTAAAAAATAGACAAAAGACTTGAGCAAACACTTTACTAAAGGAGAGGACAGTAACTATTTTACAAAAGTAAACAACACCAATGGCTTTTAAGAACATAAGGATATGCTAATAATCATTAACAGGGCAATTTAAATTAAAGTGAAAATGATTACTTCTATACACCAAGGTTAAATTTTAAAAAATGACAAATGCAAGTGTTGACAAGGATGGAGAGAAGCTGAAACTCTTGTGACTGGAACTCATAGCTGAAAGGATTTTATAAAGTTATACATATGTACCATACTACTCCTATGTCTAAATAATTACATTATGAAAATCTATTACACACACACACTTGAACACAAATGCTCATAACCACATTTTTTGTAATGGCCAAAAACTTTAAATAATCTCTATATGCATCAACAGGTAAATGAAACAAATTTTGGCCTATAAATATAAGGATTACATCTTACCATAAAAAGAAATAAATTATTGAGATATATATACACACATTTGTGTTTGTGTGTGTATATGAATAAAGCAATATGGATAAATCTCAACAAGATTATGATAAGTTAAAGAACCCAGACACAAAAGACCACATACTGTGTGAATCTATTTATAAGAGATTCTAGTGCAGACAAACAAATATAAAGTGAAATAAATCCAATTAATAGTTGCCTAAGGTGATGAAAATGTTCTACATCTCGATTGTATGGTTACTATATAGATTAATATATTTGTCAGAATTATTTTGTATCAGTTCATGCAAGTGCCTTTTATTGTACATAAAATATACATCTATAAAATTGATTTGAAAAATGCCTTTTTATCTGTAGTCACCCTGTAAAATCTAGTAACAGCCAGTAAATAATATTTGCAATTCCCATGTTTAATGCAAAGTATGTCTGTGTATATCTCACTTTCCCCTTAACATATGTGTATTGCGACTTCTAAATTTCAATCCATATTTGAAATACAACCTTTGCATTCTTTCCAGTTTAACTTAAACCTCATAGAAGGGTAATATGAGAAAACTTTATGGTGATGGAATACATGTATATCTTGGTATGGTGGTAGAACCACAAGCCTACACATGTGATAAAATTGTGTAGAACTAAATACATACACACACACACACACACACACATGACTATAAGTAAAACTACTTTTTTGAGACATATTTAATCTTTTTAACTAAGCTATTTAATTTGAGATTGTTGCATATTGATATACTAGTGTGAAAATCTAATAAAATTCGTGGATTGTGTCAATGTTAATATCCTAGTTCTGATATTATAGTACAGTTTCACAAGATGTTATAACTGGTGGGAAATGTGTAAAATGTATAAGGGATCTGTTTTATTTCTTACAACTGCATGTGAATCTACAATTATCTGGAATTTAAAAACAGGATATGACCCAAGAAAAAATAGTTTAATTTCTTAAAAATCTTCTACATTCACTGCTGTTGCTTACACTATATTTTAGCAACCTGATTCAAAAAAAACAGGAACTTCTAAAAGCAAGTTTTCTTGAACAAACATTTGATTTTGTAGTTACGTAAATCTTATTTAGTTGTCTTCAAAGTTGCTCCAGGTGTAATTCCTATTTTTTCTGATTTCCTGTTTCATTTTATCTATTCATCATAGCACACTAAAAATTCACTGTAGTTGAACACATATTCTAGGACCTATAATCCATAGCAATAATCTTGACTAATCTGATAAGTAAACAAGAACCATTTAGGGAGCATGTGTAATGGGGCACGAAGACAGTCTTTAGATAGGCACCTGTGTCACGTTCCTTTATGCAATCACATATGTGGTTCACAACAAGATAAAGAATTTAAACATTGGCCCCAGGGAGGAGTCCCAGGAGTCTCTCCATGCCCTGACCTCATTATGTCACTCTCATGACACAAGACTATTGTTGGGCCTAATTTTTGGGGGGTAGAATCACTGTGCAAGCACACATCACGGATAGTGGATGACTTTTCTCTGTCATCCACTCTGCAGGAGTAATAAAAATACATAGTACGGTTCATAAATAGCTGTGGTCTTTGGGGGGTACTTCTTAGATGTGTTTTGCTCTTCCAAATATCAGTCTAATGCTGAGCCAGCCACGGAGAGAGATTAAATAACTGTTGCTTGGCTTTTTATTCTTTATACTGAAATTTTTCATCCTAAAATAGAAGTAACATGGAGAAAAATCTGCTGGAAAACTGAACTCTTGACACTGAAGAAGAGATAATAGATTTTCCAAGCCTACAGGAAAAGATTCTGTTCTTCATTTTCTTAAGCACATTAATTACTTTTGAGTAAAAATGAGAGATTGGAAAAGTGGTATTTATTGTGTTTTGTTGCTAACTAGAAATTGGAAATAGTCACTAGTAGAACCCTGAAGAGAGCCTAGTCCAGTCAAGGTGACCATGGCTAAAAGACCTCCAAATTAATACCATAAAGAATTGCCTTTAGCTCTTTATTCCCCATTTCTGCCACCAGGTATTCATTATAGTCTGTCCCCCTTTTTTTTTTTTTTTTTGATGCTGTTTACTATTTTTATAAAGCAAACAAAGACTTTGTGGTTCTAATGACTGCCACCAAGACATGAGTGGATCTGTTCTTGGCCAACCACCTATTTGATCTTGGATCACTTAGCGTCATATTGCACTAGTGAATCTACCTTTAAAGAAATGGATGCTACCTTCATTTATACTTCTTGTTCCAAATCAATTAAATTGTTATAAGCTACTTAAGATGACTTTTCTTATATACTTTAACTTAATCCTAAATGCATCTTTTCATGAAACAAGCTCAAAGTTAAACCTGTGTCTAGAATTGGTGGGTTCTTGGTCTCGCTGACTTCAAGAATGAAGCCGTGGACCCTTGCAGTGAGTGTTACAGTTTTTAAAGATGGTGTGTCTGGAATTTGTTCCTTCAGATGTTCAGATGTGTTGAGTTTCTTCTTCTGGTGGGTTTGTGGTCTTGCTGACTTCAGGAGTGAAGCTGCAGACTTTCGCAGTGAGTGTTATAGTTCATGAAGGTGGCGCATCTGGAGTTGTTCATTCCTCCCGTCCAGAGTTGTTTGTCCCTCCTGGTGGGTTTGTGGTCTCGCTGGCTTCAGGAGTGAAGCTGCAGACCTTCGTGGTGAGTGTTACAGCTCATAAAGGCAGCGCTGACCCAAAGAGGGTGCAGCAGCAAGATTTATTGTGAAGAACGAAATAGCAAAGCTTCCACAGCGTGGAAGCGGACCGGGGCAGGTTGCCGCTGCCAGCTCAGGTGGCCGGCTTTTATTCCCTTATCTGGCCCCACCCACATCCTACTGATTGGTCCATTTTACAGAGAGCTGATTGGTCCATTTTACAGAGAGCTGATTGGTCCGTTTTGACAGAGCGCTGATTGGTGCATTTACAAACCTTTAGCTAGACACAGAGCACTGATTGGTGCATTTACAATCCTTTAGCTAGACACCAAGTGCTGATTGGTGCATTTACAAACCTTTAGCTAGACAGAAAAGTTCTCCAGGTCCCCACCCAACCCAGAAGCCCAGCCAGCTTCACCTCTCAATGGCACTCACTGCAGGACTTTGTGGCACCTAGCCTGGGCACTCCAGTAGCCCAGAGGGAGCTCATCTCCTGATCAAACCAAGCAGGCACCGGCTGGCCACGTGGAGTGCGGGGCCCACCACCAAGCTAGTGCCCACCCAGAACCCGAGCCAGCCCATGAGTGCTGCACACAGCCCTGGCTCCCTCCTGTGCCTCTCCCTCCACACCTCCCCACGAGCAGAGGGAGCCGGCTCCAGCCTCGGCCAGCCCAGAGAGGGGCCCCCACAGCACAGTGGTGGGTTGAAGGGCTCCTCAAGTGTGGCCAGAGTGGATGCTGAGGCTGAGGAGGTGCCGAGAGTGCACGAGGGCTGCTAGCACATTGTCACCTCTCAATCCCCCCTCTAAACAAGACACCCCAACTGCTGTTGGGAATTTGGCCGATGACCACTCTAGCTACTTCCTGCTGGACAGGGGCAAAGAAGGGGCCCTGTGGTTGTAGTGTCCTCCAGAGGGGAACTCTTTAGGCCAGTGCAAGGGCCAGCAGGTCAGTCCAGGGGTCCTCGGTAGAAGTTGTTAGTTGAGCTCATTTGGGATTCAATTTGTAAGACCATCTGTAGCTTGATAGCCTCAATTCTAGAGGAAACAAATTTGACAAGAAGGTTAAAAATACAGGGCCCAAAGGTGAGTAACAGCAAGATGGCTGCCATGGAACCTAGAAATGGGAGAAGCATGTTGCCCAACTCCAGAGTTGGTATAAGAGTTTGCAAGGCATTGTCTGCTTTAAGAAGCCTTTTCCTGTAAATGCTAGGCAGCATCTTGTACTTATCCCTGACTGGTTAGTGTAAAAACAACACTTTTCCCCTCAGAAGGTGCAAAGTCCTCCTTTCTCCACAGCAAGGAGGTCTAGGCCTCGGTGGTTTTGGAAAGTCACTGCTGCCAAAGAGTCTATTTGGGATTGTAGAGTAAGGATCAATTTTGTTATTTCTTGTAAACTGTCTGAGAGGCAGATATTGGTTGAAGTTCCACATAAGAAGAATATGCCTTGGCTGGGTAGACAGAAATTTTTTTTTTATTAGTATACTTTAAGTTTTAATGTACATGTGCACAATGTGCAGGTTAGTTACATATGTATACATGTGCCATGCTGGTGTGCTGCACCGATTAACTCGTCATTTAGCATTAGATACATCTCCTAATGCTATCCCTCCCCTCTCCCCCCACCCCACAACAGTCCCCAGAGTGTGATGTTCCCCTTCCTGTGTCCCTGTGTTTTCATTGTTCAGTTCCCATCTATGAGTGAGAACATGCAGTGTTTGGTTTTTTGTCCTTGCGATAGTTTACTGAGAATGATGATTTCCAATTTCACCCATGTCCCTACAAAGGACATGAACTCATCATTTTTTATGGCTGCATAGTATTCCATGGTGTATATGTGCCACATTTTCTTAATCCAGTCTATCGTTGTTGGACATTTGGGTTGGTTCCAAGTCTTTGCTATTGTGAATAGTGCCACAATAAATATACGTGTGCATGTGTCTTTATAGCAGCATGATTTAGAGTCCTTTGGGTATATACCCAGTAATGGGATGGCTGGGTCAAATGGTATTTCTAGTTCTAGATCCCTGAGGAATCACCACACTGACTTCCACAATGGTTGAACTAGTTTACAGTCCCACCAACAGTGTAAAAGTGTTCCTATTTCTCCACATCCTCTCCAGCACCTGTTGTTTCCTGACTTTTTAATGATTGCCATTCTAACTGGTGTGAGATGGTATCTCCTTGTGGTTTTGATTTGCATTTCTCTGATGGCCAGTGATGATGAGGATTTTTTCATGTGTCTTTTGGCTGCATAAATGTCTTCTTTTGAGAAGTGCCTGTTCATACCTTTTGCCCACTTTTTGATGGGGTTGCCCTGGCTTTTAAAGGAATAGGGTACACTGTTTTTTCTTTACTACCACTCTTTCTCTTTGACTTTTTCTTTGTCTCTCTCTTTCTGACTCTCTCTTTGTCTGTCTCTTCCTCTCTCTCTTTTACCTTCTTTTTCTGTCTCTCTCTTTCTCTCTGACTCCATCTTTGTCTCTTCTTCTCTTTCCTTCTTTGACTGTCTCTCTGTCTCTTTCTCTTTCTCTCTTTCTCTGACTTCCTGTCTCTTTCTCTCTTTCCTTTCTGCTGCCTCTGCCAGCTGCTTATGCTGCTGTTCTCCCCTCTCCTTCCCCTTTTCGATGGCTTCAGCAGTGTAAGACTGCTACCTCCTTTGGTTTTTGCACTGCGTGCAATAACTGTATAATTTCTTTGTGGTATTTAATGGGAGTTCCCCCAGACATTAGGAACTCCCTTTCTTTCCATATTGCAACATGGGCATATAGGATTAGATAAGCATACTTTCTATCTGTATACACATTTATTCTTTTTCCCTTTCCCAGTTCTAAGGCTTGGGTAAGTGCCACAAATTCTGCTAACTGGGAAAGTACGGTTACATCACTAACTATGGCATAATGTTCCCTTCATATCCCATTCTCCACAAATGAACTTCCATCGGTATATAGATTAAGGTCAGGATTAGCTAAGGGGACTTCTAAGAGATCATCTCGGGTGGCATAAGTCTGGACTATAATTTGTTGGCAGTCGTGCTCAATTGGTTTCCCATCCTCTGGGAGAAAAAGTGGCAGGGTTGAGGGCCACACATGTACATATCTGAAGCACCAGTCCCTCAAGGAGTAGCACCTGGTATCCAAGTAGATGGTTGTCTGATAGCCATAAACTTCATTTGGCACCTAGTATGCCATTTACATCATGAGTAGTCCAGCCAGTGAGATCCTTTCCTTGTATTATTTTGATAGCCTCTAACACTAAGACAGCCACCACTGCAACTACCCGTAAACACTGAGGCCAGCCTTTTGATACTACATCCATTTCCTTACTTAGGTATGCCACAGGTTGTGGGGTTGTCCCACAAGTCTGAATAAGGACTCCAAGAGCTATCTCTGCTCTGTCTGTGACATATAAGGAGAAGTTTTGTCCTGTGGGAAGGGTTAAAGCTGCAGCTTGTACTAAGGCCTGCTTTAAGGTTTTGAAGGCTGTTTCTGCCTCTGGTTCCCATTCTACTAGATGAGTATTTGCTCTCTGGGTCTCCTTGATTAGAGTATAGAGGGGCCTGGCTATCTCACTGTATCTGGGGATCCATAGTCAGCAAAAGCCAGTGATTCCAAGGAACCCCCACAACTGTTTTAAGGTCTTAGGGTGAGGATAAGCCAGTATAGGCTGTATTCGTTCCTTGCTGAGGGCCCTGGTCCCTCTGGCTAAGATTAGGCCTAGATATTTGACCTGCTGTGGGCAAAACTGGGCCTTTGACTTAGACACCTTGTACCCTTGATTAGCTAGAAAGTTCAAGAGACCTAGAGTAGCCTGCTGCCATAAGGCTTCTGAACTGGTAGCCAAAAGTAAATCAACCACATACTGAAGGACCAGAGTGCCTGGACTTGAGAAATGGCCTAGATCTTGGGCCAGTGCCTGATCAAACAGGTGAGCGCTATCCCTAAACCCTGGGACAAGGCCATCCATGTAAGTTGGGACGTGTGGTCTGTGGGATCCTCAAAGGTAAAGAGAAACTGAGAGTCAGAGTACAGGGGAATATAGAAGAAGGCATCCTTGAGGTCCAGAACCATGAATCGTTCTGCTTCCTCTGGTATTTGAGAGAGCAGGATATAGGGGTTTGGTACAACTGGATATAGAGGAATTACTGCCTCATTGATAAGTCTAAGATCTTGCACTAGTCTCCACTGACCATTCAGTTTTTGTACTCCTAGAATTGTGGTGTTGCAGGGACTGCTGCATTTCCTTACTAAGCCTTGAGCTTTTAAATGTTTAACAATATCCTATAATCCTTTGTGAGCTTCAGGCCTTAATGGATATTGCTTTTGATAAGGAAAAGTGGTGGGGTCTTTTAGCCTGATTTGTACTGGGCAGGCATTTTTTGCCCTTCCAAATTGTCTTTCCAATGCCCAGACTTCAGGGTTGATTCCCTCTTCAAGTAGGGAGGAACAAATGGATAACTTGTTCACAACGTTCATGTAGATGATAGCTCCAGGTTTGGCTAATATATCCCTCCCTAATAAGGGTGTGGGACTATCAGGCATAACAAGAAAAGCATGTGAAAAGAGAAAGTCTCCCAATTACAACTGAGGAGGTGGGAGAAATACCTGGTTACAGGCTGTCCCAGGATTCCTCAGATGGTAATGGACCTTGAAGACAGTCATCCAGGACAGGAGATTAACACTGAGAAGGCTGCCAGGAGGAAGTCAATTTCCTGGCCCTCAATGATTAAACGTACCCGAGGCTCAGTGAGGGTGATGACATGAGCTGACACTTGCCCCAGGCACCTTCAGTCCTGTCACTGGATCATCTGGTTGGGGGCTCCTGACCCAGAGAAACTTTGTCCTCTGGGGAAGTGCAACTTCCAGTGATTGCCTCGGCATAGCGGACATGGACAAGGGGGCGGCTTGTTTCTCATTGGACAATCTTTTTTAAAATGTCCTTGTAAACCACACTGATAACAAGCCCTACCAGGTGATTGGCTTGCTCCATTTTCTGTCCTCTCTGAACCACCAAGGTTTGTTTGTCTGAGGGCCATGGCTAAAGCTGCAGCCTTTCTCTGATCTCGCTTTTCCTTTGGGCCTGTTCCTCTTGGTCCCTATTATAGAACACTGAGGTTGCCAGGTTTAATAATGCCTCCAGATTTTGTTCAGGGCCCAGGGCTTTCTTTTGGAGCTTTCTCCTGATATCTGCAGCTGATTGGGTAATAAACTTATCTTTTAGAATCAATTGACCCTAGAGTGATTTGGATGACGGGGGAGTATATTTTCTTAAGGACTTCCATAGCTGCTGGAGGAAGGCAGAAGGATTTTCTTCCTTTCCCTGAATTATGGTGGACATCATTGAATAATTCATGGGCTTTTTCCTAATTCCCCTTAGTCCTTCTAGAACACAAGTCAACAGATGTTTATGACTCCAGTCCCCATGATCTGAGTCAAGGTCCCAGTGGGGATCCATACTGGGGATGGCTTGCTGACCAGTAGGGAATTGGTCCCTTTCTTCAGCTGTCATTCTATCATTTACTTGACTAAGATACCAGATACCTCCAAACTCTGAGGCTGCAGCTAAAGCCGCATTCTTTTCATTAAAGGCCAGGGTTTGATCTAACAGTAGCATGACATCTCTCCAAGTGAGGTCAAAGGTTTTCCCTAGACCCTGTAGGACATCTATGTACCTATCAGGATCATCTGAAAACTTCCCCAGGTCTGCTTTGATCTGCTTTAAATCAGAGAGGGAGAAGGGGACATGTATCTTGGTTGGGCCAAATTCCCCTCCCCCTACAGCTTGAAGGGGACATAACCGATAGCCCAGGGGGATTTGTGTTCCTTTGGAGATTTCTTTTCTTATTTCCTTCTGGGCAGGGGAGATTAGAGGAGGATTATCATTAATAGGAAGGGGAGCTATAGGGAGGCTAGGATATGGGGGTAAGCTGAGAGGTCCTCCTGTGGGATGTAAATTCAAGCTTTGCATAGTTGTGTATTCTCCTTCAATGAAAAGAAAACTTGGACATAAAGTATTTAACTCCATTTGCCTTCCCTCTTACAGAAAAGGTCAAGCTGCAGGATAGTATTGTAATTTATACTTCCCTCAGGTGGCCATTTTTCCCCATCAGAGAGAGAATAATGGGGCCAGGCTGTAGTGCAGAAAAAAATGAGCTGCCTCTTTTTCAGGGTTTGTGGGTCAAATTGGTCCCAATGTCTTAGGATACATTTCAAGGGTGAGCCTGTTGATGGCTGAGTGTTTCCCACCTGAAAGTCAAAACCACCCACAGTTTTGATTTGTTGTGTTTCTTCTCCTGCCCAAGAACCCACAACAGTCCCTGGACCCTACTGATCAGAATAGTTGCACTCACCGGCGCAGCAGCAGAAACAACCCCTGCCCAAGAGCCCACAATGGTCCCTGAACCCTGCTGATCAGAATAGTTGTGCTCACCAACGCAGCAGCAGAAACACTAGTTTTCCTCCCAGACCACAGGGAGGACCGAGGAAGGTCGGATTTAATGGCCTTTAGCAATGGATTCTCGAAAACCTGCACCCTCACCTGGCCTCCTAGACCACAAAGAGGAAAGAGAAAAATCGAGTTTAGTGGCCCTTACTGATGCATTCTCAAAAAACTGTTAGAGTCCTAAGCATTCTCCTGTTAGTATTGGGACCTTACCCCTGTCCTACAAAGATGTTATGCCCCAAAAACGAAGTGGAGGGCCATATCCTGAGGGAGGGGAGGGATCTCCAGAGTTGGAAGAGTGACACCTTTTATCCTCATTTATATGAATAGGAAGGATACAATTTCTGAGGCTCCCCATATCCTAGCTGCAGGAATAGCTTTGGTTAGGACTGCTAGACTGAGGAGGGATCCTGAAATTCCAGATAGTACCCCCTATGACGGGGCTTTGGGCAAAAATTATGTCTTTCTGACTAGTGAGCCCGGGTGCCTAAAGAAGGTAACAGAGTCCTGGATTTTATATTAGAAATCATTCTCATAGGAGAAACTAGAAAAGCACCAGAGACAGGGAATGATTTTTAGAAGCAGGACTAGCCTCAGAGAAGAGAGGTGAGAGGAAGTTTGTCTGACAGGCATTAGGACCCAGGAGGCAAGAGTCAGGATAGATAGGATAGATGGGCAGGTCTCACTTGGGCGACATGCCTTTGAGAGTTCTGCTCATGGTCACAGGATCAACAACTTGTCGGCACCCCGGGGCTGAATGGCTTTCCTCTCTGTTGACCCTCGGCTCAGCCCAGAAGTACAGGAAAAGCAGAAGCTGGTTCCAGGCAAACCAACGCTCCCAAATCTGAAGAGTTGGGGGTTGTTAGAGAGCCCTTTCTCAGAAAGCCTGAAACTCATGTCTTTAGTCCAGCGACCATGCTAGTCGCTTTTAACTGGCTGGCAGGAGCCCAGTATTTAGCCCCTGAATCCTAAGGAAAAATAGGACAGAACAGCAAGTGATAAGGGTCTGATGGTACTCACTGCTTGGCAATAGGTGATAGTCTCACCGCTTGGAGATAGGTGATGGTTTCACCACTTGGCGATAGTCTCACTGCTTGGCGATAGTCTCACTGCTTGGCGATAGGTGATAGTCCCTTCGTGGTTGCCAAAATGTGTCCAGAATTGGTGGGTTCTTGGTCTCACTGACTTCATGAATGAAGCTGTGGACGCTTGCAGTGAGTGTTACAGTTCTTGAAGATGGTGTGTCCGGAGTTTATTCCTTCAGATGTGTCCGGAGTTTCGTCCTTCTGGTGGGTTTGTGGTCTTGCTGACTTCAGGAGTGAAGCTGCAGACCTTCACAGTGAGTGTTACAGCTCTTAAAGGAGGTGCATCCGGAGTTGTTCATTCCTTCTGTGGGTTCATGGTTTCGCTGGCCTCAGGAGTGAAGCCGCAGACCTTTGCAGTGAGTGTTACAGTTCATAAAAGTGGCGCATCCAGAGTTGTTTGTTCCTCCCGTCTGGAGTTATTTGTCCCACCCAGTGGGTTCCTGGTCTTGCTGGCTTCAGGAGTGAAGCTGCAGACCTTCGCGGTGAGTGTTACAGCTTATAAAGGCAGCACAGGCCGGGCGCGGTGGCTCACGCTTGTAATCCCAGCACTTTGGGAGGCCAAGGCAGGCGGATCACGAGGTCAGGAGATCAAGACCATCCTGGCTAACACAGTGAAACCCCGTCTCTACTAAAAATACAAAAAAATTAGCCGGGCGTGATGGCGGGCGCCTGTAGTCCCAGCTACTCGGGAGGCTGAGGCAGGAGAATGGCGTGAACCCGGGAGGCGGAGCTTGCAGTGAGCCGAGATTGTGCCACTGCACTCCCACCTGGGCCACAGAGCGAGACTCCGTCTCAATAAAAAAAAATAAATAAATAAATAAAAATAAAAAAATAAAGGCAGCACAGACCCAAAGAGTGAGCAGTAGCAAGATTTATTGTGAAGAGCAAAAGAACAAAACTTCCACAGCATAGAAGTGGACCCAAGCGGGTTGCCACTGCTGGCTCGGGTGGCCTGCTTTTATTCCCTTATCTAGCCCCACCCACATTCTCCTGATTGGTCCATTTTACAGAGAGCTGATTGATCCGTTTTACAGAGAGCTGATTGGTCCATTTTGAAAGAGCACTGATTGGTGCATTTACAAACCTTTAGCTAGACACAGAGCACTGAGAGCACTGATTGGTGCATTTACAATCCTTTAGCTAGACACAAAAGTTCTCCCAGTCCCCTATGCGATTAGCTAGACAAAGGGCACTGATTGGTGCATTTACAAACCTTTAGCTAGACACAGAGTGCTGACTGGTGCATTTACAAACCTTTAGCTAGACAGAAAAGTTCTCCAGGTCCCCACCCGACCCAGAAGCCCAGCCGGCTTCACCTTTCAATGGTACTAGTTGTGGGACTTTGCGGCACCTAGCCCGGGCACTCCAGCAGCCCAGAGGGAGCTCATCCCTGGATCAAGCCCAGCAGGTGCCAGCCAGCTGCGCTGAGTCTGGGGCCCACCACTGAGCCGGCGCCCACCCGGAACCTGCACCAGCCGATGAGCGCTGTGTGCAGCCCTGCCTCCCCCCCGCACCTCTCCCTCCACACCTCCCCACGAGAAGAGGGAGCCGGCTCCAGCCTCAGCCAGCCCCAGAGAGGGCTGAGGTGGGCTGAAGGGCTCCTCGAGCGCAGCCAGAGTGGACACTGAGGCCAAGGAGGCACCGAGAGTGAGCGAGGGCTGCTAGCACGTTGTCACCTCTCAAACCTACCTTTGATTCAGTAAAAGCCTGTAGCCCCAAAAATGCTTTATTTTGTTAAAAACATATTCAATTTTGCCTTGTTAATTTTATTTGTATGATTTTGTATGTTCTTTAAATAATAAGTTTCTAAGTTTGAACAGTGATCTATCAGAGGTAATTCTGCCTTAGGAGCTAATCAACCACCTGGGAATCAAGGACTCTGATTTTTTAATTTCCTTTCTTTGACTAACTTGCCAAAATTTGGGGATAATTACTAATTTTGGGTACATCAAATCTGCCTTAAGGAGAGTAGGGTTAATAACATAGTAAGGATTTGGTGAGGTGGAACTAATGGATTTTAATACTTTGCAATGATAAAATATCTCATGGGGATATTTGGAAGTGAGTTTATCATTCTATTGAACTAAACTATTAAACCTGAACATGAATGCTCAATCTCTGTAAATGTGTTTATTCAGTTTCCGAATTCTGCAGATTTCAAAGTTTTGATTTATTCATGATAGGATAAGAACATGTAAAATTAAAGCAACATTTCTCTTGTTCATATTGAAAACATCTCTGAAGACTAAATAGTAAATGAGGCCTAAAATGAACAGTCAGTTTAAGCCCAGCAGGAGAGTTCTTCAGAGGGGAACAGATTTGGAAACTAACACTTTTCGATTTGCTGTATCGCTACAGAGGTGTAAATTTCTAGGAAGTCATGCAGACTGCTTAAATGAGAAGATCTGCAAAGGGAAGAAAATTCTGCTTTTCTGGTCATCTGAAACTCCTATCCTTCCCGTGCACCAGAACTTTTTATTTCTTATCAATGTACTATACCTTTCAAGATTATATATTTCCTTGGGGTGCTTACCATATATTCTAAATTGACCATTTGTCAGTCAGCTTTGCTTTTTATAAGAAAATTGAGACAGGTTTAGAAAAATTAAAGTTTCTGATGTTGCAATCAACCATAGATGGAAAGGGCATTGTTGTTTCCAGCAGAACATAAAATAATGCATGTCCTTTCTGTTCCAAAATGTTGATCACTGAGGTTTCCCAAACTCAAGCATATGGAAATCTCTTGAGGTGAATTGTTAGACTTTCTTCTATTAGACATTCAGCCATTATTGTTAGTAACAATAATTGCAACAATGATAGTGATACTTACAACTTATTCAACATAGACTACTTGCTAGACACCCATCTATTTGCTTTCTATATGCAATCTTTTTTTTTGCCTCATAATCACTTTTGGAGGTATTTTTATCATCATCTTATAGGTAAAAATGCTGCAGCTTAGAGAATTTGAGTAATTTACTTAAGCTAATACAACTCATAAGTGGTGGATCTAGACAGAAACTCAACTTTCTCTGACTCCAAAGGCCATCATGCCACACTCCCTTGGCATTACTATCTCCCTTCATTAGAAAATGCTGTACTGCATTAGTCAGACCGAATGTTGGCCTAGGGATGTGATAGAATTCTGAGAACTAGGATGACTCCAATTTTCCTGACATGGGTTCTAAAATTTCCTAATTGAGCATTACATAAATTGGATCATTAGAAATTTCTTTGAAAAGTAAATACTAGTTATTCACAGGTGACTGAGAATACATGTCAGTTCATCTTTCAACCATGGAGTACTTGTGACTATGAAATGAGCATTTTAACAGAGAAGGTTGCAATCCAAGGTAAGGGGAAGTCTGTGAAGTAGGTAAGCCTTCTACCCCATGTCCCTTTCCAGTGCCTATGTTTTCCCTTTTCTCTGCTTTTCCTCCAGTCTTCTCATTATGGTCACCAGGTTTCCTTTCTCACTCCCACCTCTCTCTCTCTCACTCACCATGATTTCCCCGTCTCCTCCCCATTCCTTCTTTCTTTCTCTCCCTCCTTCCCACCTCTGACCTTTAAGTCTGAAGTCTGCAGTCTACAAAGTGTGCCTACCCACACTTGCATATTCAAGTTTGTTTCATTTTGGGTTGGAGAAATTTGTCAACTTAATTTATTTATTACCCCTCAGGGGCAGAATTAAAGTATTACGACTGACCAATTGAAGTGTTTGTTTGGTCACAGAAGCCTAATCAAAAACCTCTAAGTCACAATTATTTCTTGAAAAAATGAGATTGGAGGACAACAGATAAAGTTATTTTGGGGACTTTAAGTGATTATGGAGACTTGTTAAATGTGGATAAAGGCCAGTTGGCATTGTGGAAAGATGAGTGTGCTGATCTCAGAGATCATCATTGAGAACACTGAGTTTGTAACTGTAAAATATTTGTCAATATGATACATGGCAATTCTAGAGCAGGATTAACAAACATTTTCTGCAAAGGCTAGAGAGTAAATATTTTCTGCTTTGAGAGCTATAATGTCTCCATCATGATTTCTCAATTCTGCCATTGTAGTGAGAAATTAGCTGCACACAACGTGTAAATAAATGACCATGACTGTGTTCCTACAATAAACCTTTATTCACAAAAATGGGGAGATGGCAGAGTTGGCACACAGTGTATAATTTTTGATCTCTGTTCTAGATTCTTATCTTTCACTGCCTATATCTAACCAATCACCATAACTTAAATAATCTACCTCTAAACAGGTTTTATCATCTTCTTTCTCTTCCTAGGTGCTTATTATGTGACATGCCTTGAGTTAATAAATGCTTATGCATTATCTCTTTTAAACTTTCCCAATGCCTGCCAGTTGTCCTTACCTTCCCAATTTTAAGGCTTAGAAAAATTGAGTAACCTGCCCCACACCATGCAATTGTTAAGTAGCTGGAATATGTCTCATGGGAACACCTATGGTTATAATAATCTCTAATCTCCCATCTGATTTTTTTGCCTCAATTCCCAGCCCTGACCAAAGCTATTAGAATAATTAACCAAATCCCAAACATACTCAGGTTCCTTACTTGATTAAAAGTCTTCAGTGAACTGGCCTCGGCTTACCTCTCCAGCTTTGCTCCAACAGGAACCTCCTTATTTTAACCCACCCCCACCGCATCACATAAACATTCCCACAGTTGAGTTTAGAGATCAGCCACACCAAACTGCTTTAAGTTTCATAAATAAATAAAGCAGCTTCCATGCCACCATAGATTTGTTCAGTTTGTTGTCAATTCCTGATTTCCCCTTTCCCTCCTCCCCTTGCTTTCTCTCACCTCTTTATTATTTTCTGCCTTTCCCTGTGTTTCCAATGTTTTTCCAAGAAAACTTTCTTGACACAACTGTTCAATAGAACCTTTATCATTGTAACCAAATGTTTTTTCTTCATAGCACATATATTTTTGTATGTTTGTTTGCTTTACTGTGTACAATTTTTGTTGTTTTTATATTGTATCTGCCTTTTCTATTATATAGACTAGTATATCATTGGTAGGGACAGAAGGCAGGGAAATTCTGGGCAGAAGAGGAAGAGTCCCCAGCAAGAGCCCCCACCCTCAAGCTGAAAAGCCTGGAACCACAGCCCAAAGTGAGAACTTACATCCCTGTTTTTCAACTTCAATGTTGCCTTTTCCAAAACCACCCATGGCCCACCCCACCCCCCATCTTGTGCCCATCAAAACCCCAGAACTCAGCCAGCAGAGAGGAGAAGCAGCCTGACATCAGAGACTATGGTTGGACGTAAGAGAGAAGCAGCTTGACTTCAGAGGGACAGCTTGATGGTGAAGTTTGGGAGAGGAGTCCTGCCAGGGATGGCCGGACTCCAGGGAAAGATTACCTTCCCTAGCTGTCCCCTTTTCAACTCCCCTTCCCACTGAGAGCCATGTTCACTGGCAATAAAATTCCCCACATTTACTATCTTCAGTTCAGTCGTGCAACCTCACTCTCACTGGATGCTGGACAAGAACTCAGGTGCCATGAGTGTGGGTGCAAAAAGGTGTCATACTGATCCTCCACTGGGCTGTTAACATTTAAGCTGTCCACAGATGGCAAAGCTAAGAGGGCACTGTTACACTTCCTCTGGTGATTCAGGGGTCACAGCTACCCTCCCCTAGACACTGCCACAGGGCTGGTATGAAATTCACTCTTGTCGGGGCTCAAAAGTGCTCACCCTGGCTCCTGCACAGTCTCACCTGTGCCCCCCCACCACAAGGGGTGGAGCAGTGAATAAGTGGAGTTCGCCCCTGCCAATGCCCATGCACTCCATTTCCCACCCATGACGGGGTCAGGGAAATATCCTGCTTCACCATCTAGGATGGAATTTTGCTCCTCTTTATGCAGCTAGAAACTTACATAATTTTTAAGAGAGTAGAGAGTCCTGTGGATGTGAGGAGGGTACATGAAAAGGGTGACAAAATAATCTGGGGTTATACAAAATATATATTAAGTCTTTGTAAATATGAAAGTGTACCTTGTTGAGAAAGGTCACAGATAGGTACAGATTTACGGGGATTTTATTTGTGAGTTTTTGTTTGGGGAGAGAAAGGAGAGCTATAATGTGAGAGACATGTATTATGATCTAAGCAATGTGACCGAGGTAGGGCTGCACCTATGGCACACACATTGCTTTATAGTGAAGATTTCATCTAGATAAAATAAGTATAGTCATATAATTAATACTACAGAACAGTTATTTCATATCAAATGAAAATATTGTATGAAATAAAATGTTCAAAGCACTGCATTTAGGAGCATTCAAAAACTCTGGTGCTGATAATGACCATCATGTGGAAAATCAACTGTTAGAATCTAAGATACAGATTTAAGAATGAAACCCTAAGCAAGAGACCTTTAAGAATAACTGAAACATCTTTTGAGATATTTATCATGTTCATTTTTAAACTATACTGAAAAATAATTTAACATGTAAAAGTACACAATGTTTTTATATCATTTAGGGCAAATGTTTTCATAGTTTATTAATTATGTATTTGTCTTGTTCTTTATTTTTCACAAGGCAGTAAATTTTACTTTTTTTAGAGTTGCTGTCCTTTTATCTGTGGGACTGATTCTTTAGTATTTCAGTTAAAAAAATTAAATTTAAAATTTAAAAAGCCCACTGATGCTACAAAGTAACATTGTAAGTTAGTTTGGAAGCTCTCCCACTAGATTTTTACCTTGCTGAAGGGGCCACATGGAGGTAAATAACGCATTCTAGAGAAATTAGCAAAAATCACAGTGCTGGCAGTTATATAGCTAGGGATCAGCAAGTTGGGGAAAAAGAAGCTTCTTTGTGAATTTACCTGAGAATAGTGTCTACTAATGAACTATTCCAAACACACTGGTGGCCTGAGAGAATCTTCTCCATGTCTCAGAAGTGTAGTGCTTGATAGCTCACACGCTTCACTCTTAACAACTGTAAGATGATCCCAGCCTGCAGTCCTCTCTTAACAAGTATGCAAGGAATTCCCCAGAGACACCCCAGGAGATACATTTCTGCATTATTGTTCACAATCTCAGAAAAGCAAACAGAACATAAAGAAAACTACAGTATCTTATAAATCCCAATTCCATAAAAATAGGAATATGAAGTGCCAGCCTTGAAATTGTCAAAAGATGTCTTTTTATCTTTTTTTGGATAATAATGAGAAATACTGTGTAAAGCATCATTATCTCATGAAGGGTAACATTGCCTCAAATCACTTAATGGGATACCGTGTCTAAGTCCATTGCTGTTCAACCATAATTAACAGGTAACCATGGGATACAGTGATTATATATGGTTTTTAATATGACTGACTTAATCTACATAAAGCGTGAAGGTAGACAATGACCTATTAGATTTGGTGGCAAATTAAGATCCATACATATATCAACTGATGGAAGTTTACTTCTATTTTACAAAAAAAATTTAATGGTAGTGGTGTGTGCTGAATTGGTGGGTTCTTGGTCTCACTGACTTCAAGAATGAAGCCGCGGACCCTTGCGGTGAGTGTTACAGTTCTTAAAGATGGTGTGTCTGGAGTTTGTTCCTTCAGATGCTCAGATGTGTCTGGAGTTTCTTCCTTCTGGTGGGTTTGTGGTCTCGCTGACTTCAGGAGTGAAGCTGCAGACCTTCGCAATGAGTGTTACAGCTCATAAAGGCAGTGTGGACCCAAAGAATGAGCAGCAGCAAGATTTATTGCCAAGAGCAAAAGAACAAAGCTTTCGCAGCATGGAAGGGGACCTGAGTGGGCTGTCGCTGCTGGCTGGGGTGGCCTGCTTTTATTCCCTTATCTGGCCCCACCAACCTCCTGCTGATTGGTCCATTTTACAGAGAGCTGATTGGTCCGTTTTGACAGAGTGCTGATTGGTGCGTTTATAATCCTTTAGCTAGACACAAAACTTCTCCAAGTCTCCACCAGATTAGCTAGACACAGAGCACTGACTGGTGCATTTACAAACCCTTAGCTAGACACAGAGTGCTGACTGGTGCGTTTACAATCCTTCAGCTGGACACAAAAGTTCTCCAAGTCCCCATCCGACATTTAGCTAGACACAAAAGTTCTCCAAGTCCCCACCAGATTAGCTAGACCCAGAGCGCTGATTGGTGCGTTTACAAACCTTTAGCTAGACACAGAGTGCTGATTGGTGCGTTTACACACCTCTTGCTAGACACAGTGCTGATTGGTGCATTTACAATCCTTTAGCTGGACAGAAAAGTTCTCCACATCCCCACTGCATCCAGAAGCCCAGTCGGCTTCACCTCTCAATGGCACTGGCTGTGGGACTTTGCAGCACCTAGCCCGGGCACTCTGGCAGCCCAGAGGGAGCTCTTCCCCTGATCAAGCCCAGCAGGCGCTGGCCGGTGGCTCCTAGTGTAGGGCTTGCCCAGCCCGCGCTCACTTGGAACCCGCAGTGGCCCATGAGTGCCGCTTGCAACCCCAGCTCCCGCCCGTGCCTCTCCCTCCACACCTCCCCTCGAGCAGAGCCAGCTCTGGCCTCGGCCAGCCCCTGAGAAAGGCCCCCACAGCACAGCAGCGGGCTGAAGGGCTCCTTGAGCGAAGCCAGAGCGAACGCCGAGGCCGAGGAGGCGCAAGAGCGAGGGAGGGCTGCTAGCACTTTGTCACCTCTCAGTGGGGTGATGAAATTCTTATGTTCATATTACAAATCTCTGCAGGGATGATTGGTGTTCATCAAAGCTAATACATTAAAAAACAAACTGGCTATGTTAGTAAACTTCATGCCTATGATTCTTAAGCTCTCCTTCCTGTCCCCAAACAAAAACTCGCAAATATAATCCCTGTAATTCTGTACCTGTCTGTGACCTTTCTAACAAAGAAATTCATGGAGATGTCACAGGATATTTTAAATGTTCAGGGGAAACCACAGATATATCATACAAACCACTAGACATTAGATTTTTCTACATTCATTTTGAAAATGTCATATTTACAAAGGTGGGATTTAAATTTTTGCTGTGATCTATAGCAAGTACTATAGGAAATGAGGGTGGTACTCTCCAACGTTTGAAAAGTTGTACAGTGCCCAACTTGTGCATTCATCCCACTAGTAAGTAATTTTGGTTATTTAAAAATAAAATAAGTATGTATTTTTTTCAATTCAGGTCTATTATTTTTTCAAATGGATACTGTGTTCTTAGAACAAAAATAATTGTTGTTTGGACCTTTCTACTTACTAAACATAACTGTTAGCTTTTTGGGGTTTTTTTTTTGTCCTGTAATCAGTGTGAAAAAAATATTGAGAGACTGAGGGTTCTGTGAATCCAGAAAGTTACGAAGTCTCTTCTCTGATCTCATACAACATGAGTGCTAAAAAAATATAACAAAACGACAAAGGAACAAAAATCTCTAATTGGATATTAGACATCAATGTCAAAAATATTTGATTCAAAACAAAAGGAGATAATTGTGCTATCAACATCTTCATCATTACTACGTACCTAATATAAAACTAATTACTACTACCTGTAATTTCTAATTCTTACGGCAATCCACTTACATAGATATGAATGATGTTTTTGAAGATTTTACCTGAGATTGAGATTATAGAACAAGCAGATGGTCTGTCAGAACAAGTAGATTGCCATGTCTTCTTTCTGCATCCCAACACCTATTTCCTGAAATATTTTTCTTTTATATGCTAAGCATACTTGACACTAAGAATTCTTAAAAGGATACTCAGTTCGTTCTAATTGTGTTTACTTTGGGAATTGAATTTTAAGAAGGAAGCTAATGAACTGAAATATTTGTAGAGTGATGAGGAGAGGAAATTTAATATTAAATTACTTGAAGAATTATTGAAAATGTAAGGATGTTTTCCTAGAAAGAAAATAGTTTTATGGAAACAAAATACTTTTCTAATAGTTGAAGGATGATTAATTCAAAGAAACCTCACGTTGATTTCATGTCGCTGGAGTAGAGGACCATCGGGGAGAAAGATAGTGGCTCGAGATAAATAAGGATTTGCTATAATGAGGGTTTTCCAAAATGATATGAGTTGCATTTGGAAAGTAATGGCATTTCTATCTTTGCAGGCACTTAACGCAGAGACTTATTGGGGTAATTAGTGGGTCAATTTTATATGTGATGCCTGTGTTGGAAAACATTTGAACTAGAATACATCTAAATTTCCAAAATTACTACTTCCCACAGTCAAGGTTGTACTGGCTACTAATAACAAAATTAGAAATATGATCAAATATTGGATTCCCTATGGCTCAGACGGACTCAGAGAGTTCTGACTGAGAGAGGAATTAGAGTCCAGAAAATCAATTTAAGACAACAACAACTGAAATAAGAAATAAACAAACAAATGCTATTGAGAATTAGGAAGAGTGCAGTTCAGAGGAACCAAAGGTTGGGATTAAAGTCAGGGTAATAGAGCCAAGGAAGTGAACCTGAAAGAAGAGTAAGTCAAGATCAAATTGAGAGTTGGGAGAAGTGAGGTGGAAGGTCTATAATTTAAATTTTAGCGACAATAGTTTGGTCCATTTGAGATCTGATTTAGAAATACTGTTGGCCTTGTCAAAATATCACATATTGTGATCATAATTTCATTAAGTTAATGATGTTGGCTGCCTTTTTTTGAATTGTCCCCCTGACATCAGTGTTTGTTATGCCTGAAAATCATGCAAGATGCTAGTTCTGAGAGTGCTGCTTTCCCTGTTTAATTGAAATGAATATCACTTTGCTAATATAGTGACTCAAGCAGGCAACTGTAGAAACAACATTTAGATAGAATTAGTCAAAACAAATGCAATCTCTTTCAGGCATTAATAGCTTTATTATCTGGTTTATGAATTTATTTGGAATACACAATCACATGGAGAATGATTTTGGCTAAACAATCTAGGCAAGAATAAGAACTATGAAACAATTCGAGTGTCTTTTAAGCATACATTGCTGGACAAAAATCTCTCCACACTTTCAGTAAGTATTGAACATTTTTCTTCCCTGGGCTAGAAAAGCTCCAGAATGCCGCCAGTTGAGGCATTCTTGAATAAAGCAGCAGGGGATTGCCAACAGTCTCAGGCCTTGTAATAGATTGTAGGGGACAGAGATGCCTCATTGAGAATCACAGGAACAACTGGCTCCAAATCATCTTGTCTTAGACTCTAAATCTTTTTAACAATGGTGGAAGAGGGTTGCCAAGAGGAAGACTAGAAAAGAGATGTGGGAAGAACTAAAAGAAAGAACCTGATTTCTACTTATGGTAATTTGTATTTTCTGAAGCCACACCTCCCTGTTGTTCAATGAAATGCTGAGAGCAGTAAATGAGAACAGGTTCTTTAACACAACACCACAGTGCCAGAAGCTCTTTAACAGTACTCTCTGCTTACTGTTGGGCTCAAAGTCAAATAAATTAGTTGAGAGGCAGCAATAATCTGATGAGCCAGCACAAACTCTATCTGAGTGGAATGCTGTGGTCATCAGGTCTACCTTGCTACCAGCAATTAAAAATTAACCATGGCATTTTCAAAAGAAGAACATAGCAATTCATATGCAGCTTCTTTTCCACTTGACATATGTCTAAACAGCATCTGCTTTCTCAAGTCAAGACAGATACACGCAATGAACCTCTTGTGTGTGCAATGTGCAAAGCTAGGTCATTAACACACCTGCCAGGAAAGCAAGGGGGAAGAAAAAAACATTCTTTCTCTTGGTAAACTCATTCATTTAAAACATCCAGGTTCTCCTGCGCTGTCCTTTGAACACCCCAATTATCTCCTCTTGCCCTTACAAACAAGTGGTGTGAATTTTAATCAGCTGGAATGCAATCAAGGGCTGAAATAAATAGTGTTGTTGAATCATTTTTACAGAGAAAAGACAGTTGCATACCTATACTATATGTGTTTCTGATTTTCACAAGGGTAGAATGCCCTTGCTATGGACTGAAACAAACAATGTTTTATTTTTGTTTCAACCTCTGTTGACTTTCCTCTGCTTTCCTTTCCCCTAGAATGCCAGGGCCTCAATTCCGAGAATAATTAGCAACACCCTCTGGTGATAACAGGGCCACAGCAACCCAACAGTGATATCTTACAGGCGCCAGCTGTGCTTCGGTATTTATTTATTAAGATCACAATATTTACACAGTATGAATTCATTGAGATGGTGGGGGATTGAGCAATGCTCTAGCAGCTAAATTTTATCTGTATTTTTAAATGAAGATGAAAAAACTTCTAGGCTGTGTACTGTTTCCTTCCCTGGACAAAAAAAAAAAAAAAAAAAAAAAAATCAAGCTTCTAATTCCAATCCAGCCCTATTTTGCTAGCAGTTTGGTGTATACGCCCTAGATGGGCTTTCCAGGCATGCACTGCAGTGACTACTACAGTGAAACCTGCTTGTCCAGCACAGAGGGGAAGCTTAACACTGCTATAGGTACATGGAATGACAAAGCAAAGAAACCAGGCAGTAAGTTTTTATTGGCTGATAACTCTACTCAGCCCAGAGCTGTGAATGAGCAATCTAGACATTTACTCAAAATCTCCACTTCACTTGAATTACTATAGCTTTTCATTGGCTCTTCTGTAAGTATTTGTTATCATGGCGATAGGAAACACATGTTCTGATGTTCCTCTGCAAAGTGATTTGCTCTGTAAAACCCTATCTTAGGGAGGGTTTTTGATGTAGATAGACAATTTTAGGAATTTAGTTTGGAAAAAAAATGTTCAATGTATATTTCAGGTGAGAAAGTAATGAATGGCTGGAACAAGGAATGCATGCATTTTTTTTTATCATATGGAACTCCCTGATATTTCTGTCTTGAAGTCCCTCAAGCAAGAGTTGGTTCTATTTTTAAAATATAAATATGATTGATTGATGGATAGGAATCATAGTGTTATAGGAACAACAGGTTCGTATGCCTGCTGTGCAATAACATATCCATTAAGCTGAGACAGCAAAGTTTGCAGCAGAGAAAGAGTTTAATGATTGCAGGACACTGAATGAGGAGAGAGGAGGAGCTCCTCAAATTCATCTCCCCAAAAAGTTCTAGGTTGGGTTTTTTAAGGAGATCATGGAATGTCAGGGGCTGGAAAATTGAAGTCATTGATTGTCAGTGTAAGGAGGGTGAAATCATCAGGATACAGAAACTGCATTCTTTGGTGAGCTGGCTTCTTGCAGGATCATTTTGACCAGCTGATGTCAGTACTTTCATCAGTATGCAGGACCTGAAGGAATAACTCAAAGAGAAAATTTAACATTTCAAAGTGTTCAAGTTATTATCTATAGAGCAGTTAAGGAGAATTATAATCTTGCAACACAGTCTACATGATTCTAGGACAATAGGCACCAAACCAAGCAGGTCAGAGAGTAAACTGACTTAATGATTTATACTGAATGTGCTGCAAAAATGATTTACTTTTATTTCTCCCTTTCTCTTTCCCTGATTAATTTTATAAAGTTTATAGGGGCACTTTCAATAAGATGTTATGGTAAGTGAAATAAGCCAGGCACAAAAAGACAAATGCTACATGATCTCACTTGTATGTGGAAACTAAAGAAATCAAACTCACAGAAGCAGAGAGAAAAATGGTGGGTTCGGGTTGGGGAGGGAAGAGGCTAGGGGAAGGGATATGGAGCTGGAGGAGAGGGAAATGGGAAGATGTTAGTCAAAGGGTATAAACTTTTGGTTATGCAGGATCAATAATTCTGAAGCTCTAATACAGCACGGTGGGCTATGGTTAATAACACTCTATTGTATACTTCAAATTTGCCAAGAGAATAGATCTTACATGTTCTTACCACACACACACACACAAACGGTAATGAAGGAAATTATAACATTTTACCCCAAAATGTGGCTCTCTGGAGTAATGGCTATTTTAAATTAAAAATTCTTACAGATCAACAGGCTCTGGAAGAGACTTTCCCATCTACATGAAGATAGGATGACCCACCAAGGGGAATGAGAACATTGTTCTTGTTATTATTCCTGTTCTACCTGTTATTTCATTATCCAGGACAGGAAAGAAGACCAAAAATGTAACCATACCTGAACAGACCCTTTTTCAAGATAATTACTGTCTCCAAGGATCATTTACATTCCAGAGAGAACTATTCACATGTTAATTTCTGTTCCAGATCCAATCACTCTTTTTAGTAATCAGTTATGCCCCTCAATAGAATTTCTCCTCCCCCATCTCTCATAACCTGTTTTACCAGGATCCAAGCCTTCATTCTTTCTGTAACCTTGAGATGACATATAATTTTCTGTACCTCATTAGGAATTTGGGTCTTTATTCTGAATGCTTTAATATACATATTAAATAAATTTGGATGCCTTTTCTCGTGTTAATCAATCTGCCACGTCCGACATTTTCAGTGAGCCCCCAGGGGCCAAGGGCCTTGGCCCCTACTGTGACTATGTTAGATGATGAATATGTTAATTTACTTTATAGTGGCAGTAAGTTCACAGTGTATACATATATCAAAACATCATGTTGTATGTCTTAAATATATATATATATATATATATATTTCTTTTTTGAGATGGAGTCTTGCTCTGTCACCAGGCTGGAGTGCAATGGCACAATCTCAGCTCACTGCAACCTCTGCCTTCCAGGTTCAAGCAATTCTCCTGCCTCAGCCTCCTGAGTAGCTGGGACTACAGGTGCGTGCCACCATGCCCACCTGATTTTTGTATTTTTAGTAGAGATGGGGTTTCACCATGTTGGCCAGGATGGTTTCGATCTCCTGACCTTATGACCTGCCCGCATCAGCCTCCCAAAGTGCTAGGATTACAGGTGTGAGCCACCACGCCCGGCCATAAATATATAAAATTTTTATAACTCAATTATGCCTCAATAAAGCTGAGATAAAAAAAGAAATCATAATATAATGTGAGGCATTTGAATTGTTCTTTTATCATGGTTACCCCAAACAAGTCACATTTTCTTCATTAAATTTTTACACATTATAAACATATAAAGATATTTGCCATCAAGTTATTAATAGTTCAATATATTATCATCAGCTTTGACCAGGTGTAGCGACTCATACTTTTAATTCCAGCATTTTGGAAGGCCGAAGTAGGAGGATTTCTTGATGCCAGGAGTTCAAGCCCAGCCAGCGCAATATAGTGAGACCCCATCTCTACAAAAAATTTTTCAAAATTAGCCAGGTGTGGTGGTGCATGCCTGTAATTCTACCTACTTAGGAGGCTGAGGCACTAGGATGGCTTAAGCACAGGCACTTGAGGCTTCAGTGAGCTATGATTGTACTATTGGGCAACAGAATGAGACTGTCTCAAAAAAAATAGCTTAACATTTTTAAAATATTTTGATTAAGAGGGCTTAATGTAGTTGTGCAGTCTTCAAAATTAATTAATAAATCATTTTCAAAAGTTAATATGAGACATTCTGTCAATATTGAAGAAAGTAGAAAGATTCCAAAATTGAGTTTTGTCAACAAGTAATAATAACGATCGGTTATCCTAATTATTTACAATATTACATCTAAGTATATTATATTTCTAATTATATTATATATAAAACATTGTAAATTATGAAATAATATAATTATTTAGAATAATATGATTATATAATCACACTTAACAAAGAATATTACTGACTAAAAAATCTTTCTTAAAATTGTTTCATATATTTGCATCTATTTTAAGAAAGACTTAGCAGACAATAATCTTGCACAAGGTCATAAATTATAAAGTTATCCTCAAGCACTGGTTGTTTTCATGCCAGCCTTCTCCTTTTTAAAAATTAAAAAGAGAATAATGCAGCAGTTCAGTTGACATTTAATATTGTATTGTCCATATTACTTTATCTTTCATAGAGCTTATTGCCTTTATTTTATTAAAATATCCCAGAATAATCTAACTTGAATAAGAAATCTAATTTTCTCTATCATTTTAACTTCTGTTTGGAAAAGTGGCTGCAAAGGAACATTTTTTTATATATATAAACTTACTAGTAAAGTAATATGTACACACAGAAAAGTGAACAGCAGATGATCACACAGATTAATGATTTACATCTGTGTATCCAGACCCAGATCAAAGAATGAATTAATATCAGAAAACAGAATCCCTCTTTGGCACCTCCCATATTCTGGCTGTGCCTTCCAGATAACTACTATTCTGATTTCCAAAGGTATAGATTAGTTTAAAGAATATTAACAGTCACAAAATTTGATACTAATTTCTACTTTAACCTTGTTAATATCCTGAATGTTAATGCACTAAAATGATTAAGGATAGTGTAAAGATGGAAAGGGGGTGGGTGATCTTTCCTCCTCATTATAAGGGTCACAGCCAACATGACTATAACAAAACATGGATTAATAAAAGAAAGGCATAACAGATTTACATACTATGGAAGCTTTCAGAATGAAGACCAAAGACCCTAGGAAAACTATCTTTATCCCTAGAGTTGATGAAGAATGGACAACTGTGTAAAACTGTGATTGGACAAAAAGGGTATGATCTAATAAGAACAGACTGAGGAGAGAACCCAGCAAGGCCTATCTGTTCAGATTGTTGATGGAAAAAACAAACTCCATAAAATATTTAGAGGCTTATTCTGAGACAATATGAGTGACCGCAGCCCAGGGAGCAGTCTCAAGAGGTCCTGAGAAAAT
The DNA here is from genome assembly GCF_000001405.40 of Homo sapiens. Lineage (NCBI taxonomy): Eukaryota > Metazoa > Chordata > Mammalia > Primates > Hominidae > Homo > Homo sapiens. Next base: position 141,159,972 of record NC_000006.12, on the reverse strand, counting down.
GTGTCTGAGACAGTTGGGTTATAGTTTGGTTTCATACATTTTAGGAAGACAGAAATTGTACATATAATTATAAATCAATACATGGAAGGTGTACATTGGTTCAGCCTAATGGGATGGAATATCTTGAAGCAGGTGCTAGGGGTTAGGGGCTGCGGGGGCAATTAGGTAGATTCATAGATTTTTCTAACTGGCAATTGGTTGAAAAAGTCAAGCTTTATTTAAAGACTTGGAGTCATTAGAAAGAATTGCTTAAGATAAGGGGGTTGCTGAAGCCATGGTTCTTACTATGTAGACGAAGCCTCATAGATAGCAGCCTTCAGTGAGAATAGATGGTAAATGTCTCTTTTCAAACCTTAAATGTGTCAGACTCTCATGTAATCTTTCCTAGATTCTGGAAAGACCTAGAAAGACAAGACCCGGCTGCATTAATGGAGATTCTCCACAGATGCAAATTTCCCCCACAAAAGAAGGGTTTGCGGGGCCATTTCTAAATATGTCAGAAAAATGTATTTTTGAATAAAACATTTTGATTTCCTTCAGGGTATGTTCTCATGTGATGCTATATCAGCTTCAGGTCAAAAGTGGAAACTTATTGCCACATAGAGTCTGTTTTGTTCATCTTATGATCAGCATATCAATGCTAGTCGGTTGTATCTAAACTCCAAAATGGATCGGGGGTATAATAAGATGTGTTGACCACCCTACCTGTCATGGCTGGCAATTAGATTTTTCAGGTTTTTCTGCAGTCCCCTTGGCAAAGAGGCAGTCCACTCATTTTGCTGAGGTGCTTAAAATTTTATTTTTGGTTTACAGGATTTTTCTTGGCTTCTCTGTGCAGCATTCCTTCCTCAGAGAAATACTTTGCTTCTGAGGCCTTTACTTTGGGGTGTCATTTTCTGAGCCCCAATAATAGCAAGAAAAATGGCTCTGAATTTTAAGTGGAAGAGCATACATGCGTCTGAATAGCAACTGCTGACAGGGAAAACTGCTGTGTTTATATTTAGAACAGAAAACAAGTCTGTTCTATCTTCACTTTACTACAGGCAAAATTCAGTAAGCTGGAAATTTACTGCTGCCTCAGACACTGAGGTTACCTTGTAAATTGCCTGCAAGTGATTCAGTTCAAAGTTACCATGCAAAAAGAGTTCTTCAGTTCTAGAGAGAACAAATAGAAAAGATGGTAATATAAACACTAGCTAAAGCTAACAGTGGCTCAGTCTTAGTTGTTATTTTGTTGTTGTTGTTGTTGTTCAGTTTTGAGTAATTATATAAAGTACACATTGAAAGATATTCAGGATTTTTTGATTCTCAAAAGCAGGCAGATTTCTTTAACTTTAATGTTGAGGATTAAATTCTCCAAAATAAGTCATGAGATACATTTCTAAATTTTGTTCATCTGATGTAGTTTAAGGACCATTTTAATACTCATGGCTTATAAATAATGGAGTACATGGAGCAATTTTCTACATAAAAAGCATAGTTCACCAATATTGATATATAAAAGATGGCTTAATAATCCCCTGTAATCCCATGCAATTAGGGAGTGTATTTTTGCATGTAAGTAGATATTTAGTGATATCCATTATTAAATATCTTCTTGCACTTGAGATCCTTGAATCTTCTCACTAATGAAGCAACACACCATTAACACTGTCTACTGAAACCCTGGAAATCTTAAATTATATAGAAATTAATGTATAGGCACAGGGTGTACAAACTGACGAGGAAGAAGTCTGCCTTCCTATTGTATATTCTGAGTCTTAGATTAAAATCCTCAAAATTCATCCACTTTTTGGCAGGTTATAAATGAGTGGTCTTAGGACCATGGGGGCAGACAGCCTTCAGGACAACTCCTAATGACTTGAATGTTTCAGATACTCATTATTTCAATAGGCAAGAACCTTCATTCATCAACTAGAATATTACCTCAAATGGAGATGATGTAGGATTATGCCAGCAAGCAAAAAGATAAAACTGTTTAATAATTCAGATTTTTTAAATGGTTTTTTTTCTCCATCCAAATAAATGCAGCTCTCCCTAATTTTTGTTTATTTCATCTCATCAATTGTTCATCAAAGATGAATGATTATTAACAGCCTCTGACAAAGTTTTAATGCTTGTGGTCAGAACTGTAGAGTGTTAAAAATAATATCCAACAGGTTAAATAGGACAAAATAAGAGTGATGCCATAAATGCTAAATGTCAATGCTGTGATCATTAAAAACATTAAATATTTTTCCAAAAGATTCACATTATATAATGTATATTTAATATTTTTGTTTGTTATATAGTCAAATAATCCAGGTCTAATAAGTTTTTCACATATTATCTCATTTTTTAGCATTATTTTTTAAATTGATTTATGTCCTCACATAATATGTTAAGGTCGTCAATTTTATGTGTCAACTTACAGGACTAAGGGATGCCATAGAGTTGGTGAAACATTATTTTTTAGTATGTCTGTGTGTGAGGATGTTTCCAGAAGAAAATAGCATTTGAATCTGTAGGCTGAGTGAAGAAGATGGTCCTCACCAATATGCGTGGGCATTATCCAACATGCTGAGAGACTGAATAGAAGATAAAAGCAGAGAAAAGGCAAAATTTGCTCTATATTTTTCAGTGAGGATATACATCTTCTGCACTCAGACATTGGCACTTCTTGTTTGGGGGATTTCAGGCTTGTTCCTGGATTTACGCCATTGTCCCTCCAACCTCAGTGGTTCTCAGGGCTTCTGATTTGGACTGGGACTTACACCATTGGGACCTCTGTCCTCAGGCCTTAGGATTCAGACTGAATTACACCACTGGTTTTCCTAGTTCTCCAGCAAACAGACAGCAGATTATGGCTTCTCAGCCTCCACAGTTGTATCAGCCGATTCCTATAAGTCTTCTCTTATATATATTATAATATATAATACATTTAAAATATTATATTGTATATAGCATTAGTTCTATTTCTCTAGAGAACCCTGACTAATGCATGTGTATGTAAATTTAAATAAATAACTCTGAAATGTATTCAAAATATTGAAATAGGCTGGGTGCAGTGGCTCACGCCTGTAATCCCAACATTTGGGGAAGTTCAAGGCAGATGAATTGCTTGAGCTCAGGAGTTCAAGACCAGCCTGAGCAAAATAGTGAGACCTTATCTCTGCAAAAAATTTTAAAAATTAGCCAGGCATGGTGGCATGTACCTGTAGTCCCAGCTTCTCAGGAGGCTGAGGCAGAAGGATCTCTTAAGCCTGAGAGGTCAAGGCTGCAGTGAGCCATGATTGTATCACTGCACTCCAGCCTGGCCTGGGTGACAAGGCAAGACACGGTCTCAAAAAAAAAAAAAAACCATTAAAAAAACTATCTATCTATCTATATACACACACACATACACACACATATGTTTATATTTACATATTTTTGAGACCATGTCTTGCCTCTCTCACACGTGCGAGAGAGATGTGAGGATGAGAGAAAGAAAGAGAGAGAAACCTTTTACTAGATTTCTTTTCTTTTTGTTTATCTTGCTCTGTCTCCCAAGCTGGAGTGCAGTGGTGACATTTCGGCTCACTGCAATCTCCACCTCCCAGGTTCAAGTGATTCTTCTGTCTCAGCTTCCCAAGTAGCTGGAATTACAGGCATGCACCACCATACCTAGCTAATGTTTTCTGTAGTTTTATTAGGGACAGGGTTTCACCATGTTGGTTAGGCTGGTCTCAAACTCTTGACCTCAAGTGATCTGCCTGCCTTGGCCCCACAAAGAGCTGGGATTACAAGCATGAGCCATTTGCACCTGGCCCTTTCTCTAGATTTCCAAAATTTAAATTTGAAAAACATCTCTTGAAGACAAAATACCCAATGCATTTATTTTAGTCTAATTTACTGCTACTTTCTTTATAAATTGAATCTTTTCACTTTTCCAAGAAGCCTGATCCACGTGATATTGCTTCTTCTCCCAATCTGGAATTTTATAGTAAGAATTCTAGCCATTTCCCTTGGACCTATCCTCAGTGAATGGTGTAGTTTATTCCTGGGCCATGTATGGCAGCATGCATGATCTTAAAAGAAGTGAAATGTTCTTTAGAGAACTTCTATCTAGTCTGTTGTTGCAGTTGTGAAAAAAAATCACTGAATCTGAAGTCTTGGGGTTATGTTCATTTTCTATCTGAGAAATACAAACAAAATTCTAAGTCCCACAACCTACTGAATGGACCCTTTCTTGGCCAGGCAACCTTGAAAACTGAGTTCTCAGCCATGACAACATGGGAGGTCAGATACACCTTGTTATAGCCTCTCCATCGATAACCACCATTAGGTTTTCTTCGATAAGGGCTAATCAGAAACCAGCCCTTTCGGAAGACTCCACCGTTGGTATAACCAACGGCCTGACTGCTGCCCCTTCCTTTTGCAGTTCCAACAAAACAACCCATCAGCATCTCTTCCTGGTAGGAGACCATCCACTATGGAGTGGGTCTGGCCGGTCTACAGAGGATGATCAGTAATGGTTTTCCCGTCCTCTGCTTCACCTTTTGACATGAGAGGGCCAGAAACTCCACCCTTGGATCATGCTAACATCTCTATGTTCTGAACATGGATCCCATAGAGAATCATGAAGCTCAATTGCACATGCGTATGTTTCTCCTTTCATAAATATTCATTACTCCTCATATAGCTTATTAAATACATATATTTGGTCCCCTTGCTCAGCATAAGTTCCTCTTCCCTCTGTCCCTGTCTCAAAGTGTCTGTTTCTGGCTTCTGACCATAGGCTACTCTTCTCAGTCTGCCAGAATGGCCACTCTTCAGGCCACAACACTTCATGAAAAATAAAGTCCTCCTTTTCAAATATATGAATCTTGTCATTCTTCAGTTGACAATCAGATAATTATTTTAGGTACTTGAATAAGTTTCTCAAACTCCCTGATCATTTCCTTCTTTTTTAATAAAATGAAGATCTTGAGAATTTATTTCACAGAGTAATAATGAGCTAGACTCTATTTTCCTCCGTTGAATACTCCATTCTTTTAGGAACCCTATATTCCATTTCCATTCAATCCTGCCCCTAATGCCACAGGTGTGGAATTATCAGATTCTAGGTGGAATAATCAGACTTGCTCACTCTCTTGGTGAAAAGGAATTGTGATGCAAAAGATGAGTTAATCGAATAATGGTGGGCTTTGTAGTTTCTTATATGCACAAAACAGTGACCAAAACAGACAGAACTCTTGTCCTCATGGAGTTTTCATTCTAGTTCTAAACAACAGTGTTTTTGTTTTTGTTTTTTTTTCCACACCAACCAATTACTTAATTATCAGCAAACACCGACTGGGTGTCCTACAATTTAACTCTATTCTGACCCTGACCACCTGGAATTAGAACAGGCCATACAGATTAAGGATTCAGTCTCACAAAATATTCCTTACTTCAGATGCCAGTTGCAAATAGAAGATCCCTTAGTTACTCACAACTTCTTTCCAACTTGGCTACAAGTCAGAGTTTCATGGGACTCCCTTCTCATGTTCAACAATTTGCTGGGACAGCCCACAGAATCCAGGAAAACAGTTTACTTACTATTTACCAATTAGAAATTTTTTTTTTTTGAGATGGAGTTTTGCTCTTATTGTCCAGGCTGGAGCGCAATGGCGTGATCTCGGCTCACTGCAACCTCCGCCTCCCAGGTTCAAGCAATTCTCCTGTCTCAGCCTCCTGAGTAGCTGGGATTACAGGTGCATGCCACCACACCCAGCTAATTTTTCTATTTTTGGTAGAGAGGGGGTTTCATCATATTGGTCAGGCTCGTCTTGAACTCCTGACCTCAAGTGATCCGTCTGCCTTGGCCTCCCAAAGTGCTGGAATTACAGGTGTGAACCACCACAGCCAGCCTACAAATGCTATTTTAAAGGATACAAATGAACAGTCAGAAGAAAATATACATGGGGTGAGATCCAGAAGGGTCCCAAGCACAGGAACTTCCATTCCAGTGTGCCACCCTCCTGGCATGTGCAGCCTTCTTGTTCACCAACCCAGATGCTCTCCAAACCCATTTTTAGGGTTTCTATGGAGGCTTTATTATTAAGGCATGATTGATTTAATCATTGGCCTTTGGTGATTAAGTCAATCTCTAACCCCACTCCTTTTTCTGAAGATTGGGGGATGGGGCTGAATGTTCTAACCTCTAATTACAGGATTGGTTCCCTTGGCAACCAGGCCTGTATTCTTAGGTACTTTCCAAAAGTCACCTCATTAACATAAACTCAGGTAGAGTTGAAAGGGGCTTGTTATGAATAACAAAAGATACTCCTTTCATCTTTATGCTTCTGAGCTATTTCAGGAACAGGGGTGTTTGCAGGGTAGGGGGGCGGGGGAGGGGGGGCGGATATAATAACAAAGACATTTCAATCACCCCTACCACTCAGGAAGTTACAACAATTTTAGAAGTTCTGTGCCAGGAACCAGGGACAAAGAGCAAATATATAATTATTATTATATCATAAAAATCACAAAAACAAACATTTCACTAGTAAAGGCTAGAGTATGTCAATAGTGAAAAGTATTGAGGAGAAAAATAAGGAGCAGTGGGGAGAAGAAATGCTAGAACTAGGTGTTTGCAATCTTAAGGATCAGAAAATAATATCCCAGAATATGATCCATTGATGTGGTGAAATAAAGAAGCAGGCTCAAGATCTCTCTGACCTCCCCCTTCCCTGCAGCCCTGTCTCAAACCCTCTGTTTCTCCCTAAGCACAAGGAAAGGCTTTACTTTAATATTCCTTTATGCTTTGAGATCACATCTGCCAAAGAAAACACAATTGCCTTCTACTCCTTCCCTGAAATTTTATTACCAGAAGACAGGAATGTAACCACATCTGGATGGACTTTGTCACAAGATACTGTCTGTCTCTGGGCTCATTGAAATTCCTAAGAGAATCATTTATAGGATAATGTCTCCCTCCCGGGCCCATTTATCTCTCCTAAAATTATTTACTACTCCTCTAAAATTATCTATAGGCCCCCACTACCCTCTCCCCTATAAATGGGATATTTATACTTCCACCATCTGGCTCTTCTTTGAGTCACATATTTCATATGGCTCTCATGGATACGTGCATGTCAATAAATTTGTATGCCTTTTCTCCTGTTAATCTGTCTATTGTTAGGTTATTTCGGAAGGCTCAAACCTTCAGAGAGGGAGAGGTTCTTTTAATTCCTATGACAATTTTAAGATCTTTATGGTTAAAGAAAATGAAAGCAATACCAGTACAGCATTTTTGGTGCTTATTTCAGTTAACGCCTTTGGTTGATACCTCTCTACCCCCAAAATAGTTTATGCTATCAGACTCAAAAAATAAAAAACTTAAATGTTATAGAAAAAATAATATTCTAGGGACACTCAATCTCCCACATTATTATAAGAGATCTCTATTGTGATTAATATTAGGTGTCAACTTGACTGGATTGAAGGATGGCTAGATAGCTGGTAAAGTGCTGTTTCTGGGTGTGTCTGTTTGGGTGTTCTCAGAGGAGACTGACATTTGAATCAGTGGACTGGAAGAGGAAGACCCACCCTCAATGTGGATGGGCACCATCCAATCGGTTGCCAGTGCTGCTAGAACAAAGCAGCCAGAGGAAGTTGGGATAAGCTGGCTTGCTAAGTCTCCTGGCTTTCATCTTTCTCCTGCGCTGGATGCTTCCTTCTGTCCCTCCTGCCCTTAAACATCATACTCTAGAATCTTTTCCCTTTGAACTCTTGGACCTACACCAGTGTTTGCCAGAGGCTGTTGGGCCTTTGGCTACAGACTGAAGGTTGTACTGTTGGCTTCCCTGTTTTTGAGGCTTTTGGACTCAGACTGAGCCACTGCTGGCTTCTTTCTCAGCTTGCAGAGAGAGACTATCTTGGGACTTGAATTGTGATTGTGTGAGACAATTCTTTCTAATAAACCCCCTTTCATACATACATATGAAAAGGAGTACATATATGATAATAGTATATGTATTTCCATACATATATCCTATTAATCCTGTCCCTCCAGAGAACCCTGACTAATACAACCTCCATTTAAAAATTGCTGACATAGACTATCAACATTAGAAAAATTCCCTGGGCACTGAGACCATGATAAGCTCCCAGCATCCCTGCAACACTAGCAATGTGCAAAATATAGATTCACGAGTTGGGAATTCAGTAGTTTCTAAGTATATCCCTACCAGTGTGACAACTTATTTATGTGTCACAAACTGAATTGTCTATTCAGTGTCAGTTATTACTTATTTCTTATATACATTTCTCAAAGAGTTACCAGAATTAACAAGTGAATGAGACCATAATTAACCTTGATCCCCAGCAACTCATATATATATTTTATACCTGCTATTTTGCATGCCAACTAGTATAAAACATAAACAGCTTTTTATTAAAAGAATTTTACACTATGTGAGGGTCTGTTAGCTAAAGAGAGAGTAGAGCATCTGAAGTCAGAGGTTACTATATCCCAATTATAATTAATGTGTTTGGTCTACTTTTAGCTGTTTTGATTCCATGCAATTTATTTACTCTGAATGTTTACATCTATATAAAGTCACATATAAATATTATTGTTGTAGGAGTTATAAGAGATTATTTTAGGCAGATAGAAAAAGGTGTCCTTGGGAAGTTTTTTATTTTTTAAAGCATCTCCGGAAAAGTGTCTTGTAAAGCCCTGGCTCTTAGAGCCAGGCTGGCAATCTTTGATACGCAAATTCAGGCCATTAGAAACTGGGTCCACCCAACATGGTGATTCTCATGGCCTTCTTGCCCAGGCTTTTAATAGCTTTGAAGATTGTAACATTGGACTAGAGAAGGAATGTACGGGACTCATAAAGCACTAACATGTTCACAAATATGAAGCAAAACAAGAGTTAACTAAATGGACTGCAATCAGAAAGTTAAAGCAAACTTTTTTACTTTTTCTTGGAATATTGCTAATCCTTGTTTTGGTTTTCAGAGTCAAGGAAACTTATTTAAACTATTTATGGCCTTTAATACTTCAGTAAGGTATACTCCTATGAACAAAATTTGGAGCATGTTTATTTTTCTCTGCCTGGTTCCTCTAAAATTTGGAGATTATCTGGGAGTACTCTTAACTTATGGCAATATAGTTGTTTGCATCAGTGCAATAAGAATCCATTTTTCTTTGTCAACAGGACACAATTGGAAAAACTGATTATTTTACCAAGCTTTGACTGAAAGGGGGTGTTTCCCTTTAAGGAATCAAGCTTGACATGCAGAGCCAATAAAAGCCCCTTTGGGAGAACTGGCCTCATACTTTGTCTACACAGTCCCTGTGCGGGGTTCCTAACCTGTGGTCAGTAAAGAATGTCAATTTCTAACAGGTCTGGAAGCTCCAAGTTTATCTTGGGACCTCAAGAGGAGAGGATCACCCAACTTACAGGCATTAGGGGATACAAACCTATGACTGGGCTCAGCTTCAAAAGTCTTATCTGAAATTCCTCATGGAACAGAGTTTCATCAAAGCCAATCCAAAAGGCCTGTGTAAAAATAACCATTCTTGCTGTACTTTATGCAAATAATCAGGACTAGTATAAGACTAAAGTTTATTCATAATTAGTTTTTACACAAAATGAGGACTGGAGAGAAAAGCTTTGCTCCAAAACTTTTCATACACATTGTCATTAAATCCTAGTCTCATTAATTGTTTTTTAGCTTTTTGCCTACATTTTAGACTAACCCTGCTTATTCCTGTGAATCAAGTGGTGATCTTCTGCAGCTTGAAAAAAAAAGAAAAGGATGAGTAATGTAAAAATGTGAATCAATATAATAGTTCTGGGTAATTATCTTGCAAATTCTGCCAGGTAATGAAAGTAAGTAAGGTGCCCATAACCCCGAGGTTTCTTTGTTTGGGAAAATAAAACCAAGGAGCTTCATAGACCCCCAAAGGGGAATTCTGTATCTTGGCAAGTAAAATTTTAGATGGAAATTATCTACTACACCACACTTGTGGGAATTGCTATGCTCGCTCTACTGTTTGCTATAGGGTTATACATGGTAGCACCTTCTAACTGAAATATTGGACAGAGAGTTTCCATTGCAGAAGTATTTTGCTTAATTATTAGCCTTATAGCAGGAATAATAGTTAACAAAAAGGAAGGATGAAAGTTTTACTACCACTGAGTCTGCGAGGACTTTTTGTTGGGTTTAGTGATGCACTTTTAAATGAAACATGCTGCTTTTAGATTAACACCTCTAGTAAAGTAGAGGAAAATCTACAGGTACTTAAAGATCAAATCAAAATTATTGACAGGCTCATGGAAAATGCGGCTTCAGCACCACATGGCTACAATCCCTCTTTAATGAATTCCGGTCTTCTTTATGAAATTGGTTAGCCCCTTTATTAAGTCCTCTTTGGCTTATACATCTTGTATTAACATTTGAACTCTCTATGCTCAATACTATTGAGCATTACATAAACAATGTTACATTGCTCAATACTATAATTCAAATTGTTTCTTCTCTCCTAGAAGCAATCAAACTCCAAATGGTGCTGTAACCTGAATCACACATGGACATGCCATTCTTTCAAGGACCCTTATATCAACCCCAGGAGGAGCCCTAGCTGTTGTTCCCCATTCAGTGCCCCTCTGCAGCAGGAAATAGCCAGAAAGAGTCATCACCCAAAACGCCCTAACAGCATTTAGTGTGGTATCTCCACAGGGGGGAATGTTGCAGGAATTATTAAGATATTATTTTAGGGAGATATAGACGAAAAGAGGTCCTTGGGAAGTTTTCATTTTTTTTTTTTTTTTTTTTTTTTTTTTTTTTTTTGAGACGGAGTCTCGCTCTGTCGCCCAGGCTGGAGTGCAGTGGCGGGATCTCGGCTCACTGCAAGCTCCGCCTCCCGGGTTCACGCCATTCTCCTGCCTCAGCCTCCCAAGTAGCTGGGACTACAGGCGCCCGCCACTACGCCCGGCTAATTTTTTTTTGTATTTTTAGTAGAGACGGGGTTTCACCGTTTTAGCCGGGATGGTCTCGATCTCCTGACCTCGTGATCTGCCCGCCTCGGCCTCCCAAAGTGCTGGGATTACAGGCGTGAGCCACCGCGTCCGGCCAGTTTTCATTTTTTAAAGCATCTCCAGAAAAGTTTCTTGTAAAGCCCTGGCTCTTAGAGCCAGGCCAGCAACCTTTGATATGCAAGTGCCAGCCATTAGAAACTGGGTCCACCCAACGTGGCGATTCCCACAGCCTTCTTGCCCTTTCCCCACATGCTACTGGCAACATGGCCAACCCCACATATCCCCACGTGCGTAGAACATCCATGGCGCCCTGCATTTTCTTATTAAAAGGCTAGGGTGGGAGGGCTAGCTTTTTTGCGGGCTACGTGAATGACATGCCTGGTCAAACCAATCCCCTGAGCTCTGTGCAAATCATACATCACCTCCTCCGCCTGGCTGGTGTCCACCGCATTTGGGGACCTCCTCTTTTGGCTTTGGAGCCCCCTTCCCTCTGTCTCTGTACGGGGCAGTTTCTTCCTTTTGTCTTCTCCCTTCCTTCTTGCCTATTAAACTCTCCACTCCTTAAAACCAGTCCAGGTACGTGTGTCCGTGTTGTTTTATCTAAACCGGCATGAGGACCAAGAACCCTGGTGTTCCTCCACTCATCAGAGCCGAATCATTTTGAGCTGTTAAATCCTATAGAAGGCAGGACTAAAGGCTAATGAGTGGGAAAATGATAGAGACAACACATTAAACATGTAGAATATCTCAGTTGTGGAATAATGGAAAGAATAAAGAAAGCTAAATAGGAAAATGAAAATCCCTCATCCTCTTCAGGATCCCTCATTGCAATGGTATTTCACACATGGCCTTAGATTTGCCTGCATTACAATTATCAAGTACCTGTTTTATTTCTTTTTACTCAAAAAATGGATCAAAAGCAAATAATATAATGTTATAAATTTTATAAATGATATAATGTTGTGAAATGCTATCCTAGAGTTCTATGTCCAGCAAAACTATGTTACAAATTTGTGGTAAATATAAGAAAATAATTACTAACAAAACAATATAGTAAATAGTGACTAATTTGGGAGGCAATAAGTATATATGTTATTATTTCATGCATCCACTTAAAGAATAAAGAACAGAATGTTTAGCTTATTTATTAAGGTAATGATGGAGGGTAATGAGAGGAAACAGAAAATATGTTGAAGTAAATCTCAATTTGCCACAAACATTTTGAAGAGGCTATCTCATAATTTAAAAGACAATTTGTGAGAATATTTTTAGAATGTTCAATTATGCTGTTTACAAAAATACTGGCAAATATATCAGATAAATAATAACGAAAACAAGGTAGATAATTTATAATCCAAATTATAAAATAAATATACATAAGTCCATAGTTATATAAATACATAACTGAATAAATAAGAAGAGACAAATGTTCCTTAGAAAACAATATATACACATGGAATATATACATAATATACATATATTATCTATATTATATTTTCTCTCTATATATTCTGCCCTTGAAGAGTTGGACCTTAATCCCTACACCTTGAGTATGGATTGGAGTTAACAATTCTCTAAAGAATAGACTATAGAAAGGGAAAAAAGCAATTCCTTTGTAGAAAACTGGCAAACACCATATTAACTAAGTGATCAAGGTTATATCATCAGTGATAAAGTATGTTGATATCATGTACTCCCTGACAGAATATAATGAGAATGGCTTGTAACTGAGGGAGTCTTCTTCCCCAAAACCTATATCTAATCCAAATACAAAACACATTAGACAAACTTACATTGAGAAACATTCCATAGATATCTGAACAATACACGTTAGCCCTCTTATCATCATAAAAACACGAAAAGTGTGAGAAACAGTCACAAAACAGAGGAGGTGAAAGATACATGATAACTAAATGGAATATGGTATTCTGTATTGGCTCCTAGTACAGAAAAAGGACATTAGTGGAAAATTGGAAAAATCAAAATAGTACTTGGAGTTTACTTAAGTAATGTACCACCACTGTTGGTTCTGAGTTTTAACAAGCATACCATGGTTATATAAGATGTTAACATTAGAAGATAGAAATAAAGGAACGCTCTATATCATCTTTGCAACTTTTCGGCCAATCTAAGATTAATCCTAAATTAAAAAGTTTACTAAAAGTAAGAATATAGAAATTTAATATCAGAAAAAATAGACCCCCCAAAATATTTTAGATAAACACATTAATGTTTAATGATAAAAGCAATGATTCACTAGAAATGTATTACTGTTACAAAATATGTACCTGATATCAAGTCCTCAAGAACTTAAAGGGATACAGATTATGAAGTGAAAATTCCAATGACACTCCGAAAACTACTGCTCCAAAACATGTGCCTGATACCAAGTCCTCAAGAATTTAAGGAATACAGATTACGCAGTGAAGCTTCCAATGAAACCGTGAAATATTAATACAGTTCTCTGGATAACAAGTAACTCATACAGATAAAACTAGAAATTTCATTAACATATTTAAAAAGTTGACCTTACAAGTATTAATAAAGCATGGTGTATAATAATTAGAGAATATACCCTTTCCAGTATCCACAAGAAGTGTTTACAAAGGTTGATTAAGTTCAGGACACAAAGAAGGTCAAACAAAGAGTCAAATGGAAATGAAAAATTCCTGAGAACTGAGAGATAAAGAAAATACTACATCTGCATGTTTTAAGATACACATAAAGATAAATTACTTTTATAGTGTACCCTTGAACTACATGAGAGTTAGGGACACTGATCCCCTGTACAGTCAAAAATCCACATATAACTTTTTTGATTCTCCAAAAACTTAAATGCCGATAGGCTACTGCTGACAGGAAGCCTTAATGATAACATAACTGATTAACACATATTTTGTAAGTTATATATATGATACAATGTATTTATTTATTTTTTGTTATATATTATTTTATTATTATATACTATTATTATTTTTGACACAGAATTGCACTCTGTCACCCAGGATGGAGTGCAGTGGTGTGATCTTGGCTCACTGCACCCTTCGCCTTATGGGTTCAAGAAATTCTCCTGTCTCAGCCTCCCTAGTAGCTGAGTTTTACAGGTGCCCGCCACCACACCCAGCTAATTTTTGTATTTTAGTAGAGACGGGGTTTCACCACATTGGCCAGGCTGGTCTTGAACACCTGATCTCAAGCAATCCACCTGTCTTAGCCTCCCAAAGTGCTGAGATTACAGGTGTGAGCCACTGTGCCCAACCAATTTCTTCTTATGATAAAGTAAGATAGAGAAAAAAAATATATTATTAACAATCATAAGAAAAAATATATTTACTATTCATTAAGTGGAAGTAGATCATCATAAAGGTCTTTATCCTTATCATCTTCAGATTGAGTATGATGCAGAGGAGGAGAAAAGGAGAGTTGGCCTTGCTGTCTCAGGGGTGACAGAGATGAGTGAGGTGGAGAAAGTGGAAAGGGAGGCAGGAGAGGCAGGGATACTGGGTGTAACTTTATGGAAATACATGGTAATTTCTGCCTGACTTTTTACCTTTTCATTTATCTAAAAATGTTTCTATGCAGTATCGATCTTTCCACTATTTGCTCTAGTTTTAGTGCCCATATCATAAAAAGGTGCACCCTGTGAAAGAAATCAAAGCAGTCTGGAATAATTAAAACTCTTTTGCCTGATTGTCTAATATCAATTTGTTTTCTGACACTGCTTCCTCTATGTCTTCTTCCCCATTGTCTGTTACTGATTCAGAAGCAGCCATCTCCATCAAGTGGTTTTTATTACTTCTTGAATTTTTCCAAGATCCATATCTTAAAACCCACACCCCCATTTTTTTTTTCTGTATCTACAATCTAGTTCATGGTTTTCTTGATTGGCTCCATTGTACATACTGAGAATTCATGTGCGACATCTAGACACTATTTATTTATAGAAGCAAATGATTAACACTGTGTACTAAATGGCAAAACGTTAATGTAAATGTTTAATACTTAGAAGTCACTCCTCCTGTAACTTTAAAATGCGCTTTGAAGTAGTTAAGCTTCAAAATGCATTTAAAACCTTTTTTTTCTTTTTTCTCCTTTTTCCCTAGTCTTGACATGTAACTTTGAAGTAAACTGTAGAAACATTTTTTTCCTTAGGAAAAAAAGAAGAAAAAAACGAAAAAAAAAATAAAGGGCATCCAGATTGGAAAATAGGAAGTCAAATTGTCACTGTTCACTGATGATATGATTGTATTCCTAGAAAACCCTGAAGTCTCATCCAAAAGGCTCCTACAATTGATAAGCAATTCTAGTAAAGCCTCAGGTTACAAAATCAATGTACAGAAATCAGTAGCACTGCTATACACCAGCAATGGCAAGGCTGAGAATCAAATCAAGAACTCAATTCCTTTTACAACATCTGCAAAAAAATAATAAAATACTAAGGAATATATTTAAGGAGGTGAAAGATCTCTACAAGGAAAACTACAAAATACTGCTGAAATAAGTCATGGATGATGCAAACAAATGGAAGCACATGCCATGCTCATGGATGAGAAGAATCAGTATTGTAAAAATGACCATACTGCCCAAAACAATCACAGATTCAATGCAATTCCAATGAAAATGCCATCATTTTCCAGAGAACTATAGAAAATAAATCTAAAATTCTTATGAAACCAAAAAAGAGCCCACATAGCCAGAGCAATACTAAGCAAAAGAACAAATCTAAAGGCATCACATTATCAGACTTCAAAGTATTGTATAAGCCTCTAGTTACCAAAACAGCATGGTACTGATATAAACATAGGCACTTAGACCAATGGAACAGAATAGAGAACCCGGAAATAAAGTCAAATGCTCGCAGCCAACTGATCTTTGACAAAGCACACAAAAGCATGAATTGGGGAAAGGACACCCTATTCAATAAACAGTGCTGAGCAAACCAGTAAGCCACATGCAGAAAAATGAAACTGTAAACCCATCTCTCACCTTATATAAAAATCAACTCAAGATGGATCAAAGAGTTAAATCTAAGACCTGAAACCATAAACATTCTAGAAGATAACATCAGAAAAACTCTTTTTGACATTGGTTTAGGCAAAGACCCCGAAAGCAAATACAACAGAAACAGAGAAATAAATAAATGGGACCTCATTAAACTAAAATTGCTTTTGCACAGCAAAAGAAATAATCAGTGGAGTATACAGACAACCAACCGAGTAGGAGAAAATATTCACAAACTACGCATCTGACAAAGGACTAGTATCCACAATCTACAAAGAATTCAAATCATCAAGAAAAAAAAAAAACTCCCATCAAAAAGTGGGCAAATGACATGAATAGATATTTCTCAAAAGAAGATATACAAACAGCCAACAAACAAATAAAAAAAATGCTCAACATCACTAATAATCAAGGAAATGCAAATTGAAACCACAATAAGATACCACCTTACTCCTGCTAGAATGAACATAATTAGAGTTTTTTGTTTTTTTTTTTTTTAAAAAAAGAATGTTGGCGTGGATAAGCTTGAAAGGAAACACTTTTACACTGCTGGTGGGAATGTAAATTAGTACAACAACTATGGAAACCAGTATGGAGATTCCTTAAAGAACTGAAAGTAGATCTACCATTCAATTCAGAAATCCCACTACTGGATATCTACCCAAACAAAAAAAAGTCATTGTACAAAAAAGATATTTGCACATGCATGTTTATGGCAGCACAGCTCACAATTGTGAAGAACCAACCTAAGTGCCCATTGACCAATGAGTGGATACACACACACACACACACACACACCATGGAATACTATCCAGCCATAAAATGGAATGAAATAATGTCTTTTGCAGCAACTTGGATGGAGCTGGAGACATTATTCTAATTGAAGTAATTCAGGAATGGAAAACCAAATACTGTATGTTCTCAGTTATAAGTGAGAGCTAAGCTATAAGAATGCATAGACATACAGAATGATAGAATGGACTTTGGGGACTTGGAGTGGGGAAGATTGGGAGGCAGTGAAGGATAAAAGATTACATATTGGGTACAGTGTACAGTGTTCGGATGATGGATGCACTAAAATCTCAAAATTCACCACTAAATAGCTTACCAATTTAACCAATAACCACCTATACCCCCCAAACTGTTGAAATAAAAATAAATAAATAAATGAAAATTTTTTTTAAATGCTCTGTGATACTAATTATCACTGCTTGAGCAGTTCCTCTCTCCAGTAAATTGCAGATTGCAGTAAAAATTGATCTCTCATGGTTCTTTTCTAAGATCCCTGTGTGTTTCATTGTGTTTAGTGCAATACTGTAAACCTTGACTAACACCACTGTACCCATACAAAGGGCCAGTATTGATGCTGAAAGCACTCCCAAGAAACAGTGAAAAGTCATGACATTACAAGAAAGAGTTGAATGCTTGATATGTACCATCATAGATTGAAGTTATGGAAGAATTGAACCCTTTACAAGATTTTCTAGTATATCTCCGTATCATGAAAGTTCTTAATGATAATTATTTAATTGACTCTTTATAATTACAGTTTAGGATGCAGTTCAATTATTAAAAGATTTGTAGATGTGAAATATTTTATTCAAAATGTTGTTTAAAAAACTTGTTTGGCTTCTGTTCTAATGGACATTATGTCTGCATCTAGCATTTTCACTTACTGAGTCCTGACACCTTTTCTCATTTGAATGATGTTGTTAGCCATTCTAAATGAAGTACATGTTCTTCGAAGCATTATAAATTACTCATTAAGTATCTGATAATGTGTTTAAATGGGCAACTCACCAACAAAGTCTAGGGGAATCAATAATGAAGCTTAATTCAATCTACTACAGCTCTGCTAGCTAGTATACCATTTAAAAATTTAAGAGTATTTAAACTGCTGAGACATTTCCTGGCATTTTAATAGGCTCTTTTATAACAATATTTTTCCCTTGTATAAGCAATCATGACTATTTTTAATGGAGTCAATTCAAAACTCATTGGCCTTTTATTTTTTGTTTTGTTTTCCTTTTCCTCCTCTTGGGAGGACATCCACCTTAGCCCATCGTTTATTACTGACATTCCTGGCAGAATAGAATCAGGTTCACTTATCAGAGATAACAGTAGAGTACATTTCAGGGGGAATAAAGGTGGAACCTTTATAGTATGGAAGATCAATCATATGGAAGAAGAGAAAATACTTCATTCCAGAATTTTAAATAAATACCAGTAGATAGCATTGAATCAAGTTTGGAGAATATCAAAGACTTTCATTTATCTGCCAATGCTCTATACACTGACAAACAAAATAAAGAGATTTAATCTGAGTTCCAGTTAAATTTGTCTTCACTTTTGCAGCTACATTAGGTTTTAAAACACCCAATTTGAGTCTTAAAGTTTTATAAGTCTACTTTCCTGCCTGAGAGTTAACCATTGATTACACAAATGACAGCATATCAGCTTTTTTATTGTAAATAATAATAAACTGCTGTGAAGAGCTGTGGAGGCAACTGCAGGCTTATTTGAAGTAATGCAATTAATATTTAAAAACAATTTGGGTAACAGGGGAATGTCCACATTGAAAAATCTGTGTGTGTGGGTGTGTGTGTGCACGCATGCAGGTATGTAACTCGTGTCTATCTCTATAATCCCTATGTATTTAAATAAACTTAAAATAGTTCAATAATTATTGATAATTACTGATAAGCTGAAGTCTTTTTAGTCATTTCTGGATGTAACTTCTGAAGCCTCAACTTATATTCAGAAATTTTAACCATGTGTAGAAAAAATTACAACAGTTGGTTTCTTTTCTGATTTCCACAAATAGTAAATGAAAATAACAATTCTCCCTATGTCTGCCAAAAAACAAACTCTGTTGTTTTTCTTATACATGCAAAAACAGGAAGTGGTTTCAAGCTAAATTAGAAGAAAAATAGTAGCTCTCATAATGTTTAATACAGTGTATAGTTTATATGTTTTTTTAAAAAAAAGCTTGGTAATTTAATGTATTCCTCTATTATATTTAGTATTCCTGTCTTTTCATTCTTTCTCTTACATTCAAGAACATTAGCCTGTACAGACATTTTGAGTGCTGACTCTCCAAATATTAAAAACTAAAAAAATAAAAAATTGTTTTCTTACTCAAAGATTAAGGTTAGTGTTCTATTAACAAGTACTCTGATGGCATTTTGGAGAAAACCATAATTTTTTAAAACATAGAATAGAAATGATTTGTTAAGAAATCTTACCATTTGGCTCATACTAAAAAGGGACCTCTCAGAAACTGTTGACAAGTAGGAGGCCAGTTGATTTTTTTTTCCTAATTAGAAGAGCCTATTAGTCTTGAAGCTTAAAAACTTTCTTTTGAAAGCTAGAATAATCATATTCTTGTAACTCAAACTAGAGTGAATGCAGCTTTTAAAAGGGGCACTTAAACATAATTATTTCAGGAGTGGTAACTCTATGAACTTGTAGGTAGTAAACTCTTAAAAAAATTTCCAAGAAAACAGTAAAGTTAATTTATTTATATACTCGTAATTGATTTAATTTTTTCTTTACAACAGTGCAGATTTACTCACTCAAGTTATATAGGCTTTCAATTAAATTCAATAAGTATACCTTAAGTACCTACCACATGGAAGGGTCTGCACAAATGCTTTAGGGAATAAAAATAATGAATGACAGTATCTGGTCCCAGGATATTTATATTTTTACTAGACAGGTTGATGAAATTTGATAAAATTTTATACTATATAAAAGTATTAAGAAATCTATAATTATTGCCAAAAATAATTGAGAATTAAAACAATTTTATTGTAATTTCATGTGATAGAAAGCAGCTTGAGCACTCTCCATATGCCATTTTAGCTGATCCTCCTGCAATATGTGTTACCTAACTATTCTATCAGGAAAGTGAGATTGAGTGAAATTAAGTACATTTCTTTATGCTCCTAATTACTAAGTGGCAGATCTAAGCTACAAACCCAGAACTAGCCGCAAAGACACTAGAAATTGTATTAGGTGAAAATGAACAGGTACAACTTTGGCTAGCAAACATGTTTAAATGATATTTGTTCTCCCACTAAGAGAAACAAGCAAACTTATAAGAATAAATAAATAAAAAGAAATATTAACAAAAAATGATTTTTAAAAAGAACTCGAAAAATCTTAAAAAAAAGAAATAAGTGGCAAGGAAGTATTATATGCAAATAGACTTTAAGATGTTCAACTTTTTTCATAGTCAAAGAAGTAAAAAGAAAAGTTGAAAGTGCAGAGCGCCTCTGCCCAGGCGGCAGCTGCACGGTCTGGGAAGTGAGGAGCGCCCCGCCCTGCCGCGGTGCATCACTCCAGGTGTGAAGTGGCAGCCTTGTGTGTGATGTTTCTCCCCTCCCCAAGTTTGCATTTTCGACAGTAAAGCTTGCTTTTAAATTAAAATATTTAAATTGGGGAAAAAAGAAAATAAAAGTTGAAATGTGACTATTTTTCATTTTAGCACGAACTACTTCAAAGTCAATGTTTGTCTATATATATATATATATATATATATATATATATATATATATGCCCATTCCCACACTGCTATAAAGAAATACCTAAAATTGGGTAATTTATAAAGAAAAGAGGTTTAATTGGCTCACAGTGTCGCAGGCTGTACAGGAAGCCTAACAGCTTCTGCTGCTGTGGAGACCTCAGGGAGATTTCAATCGTGGCGGAAGGCAAAGCAGGTGCTGGCACTTCGTATGGCTGGAGCAGGAGGAAGAGACAGAGTGGGGAGCTACTACACACTTTTAAACAACCAGATCTTACCAAAACTCACTCACTATGACTAGAATAGCACAAAGGGGGATGGTGTTAAACCATTCATGAGAAACAGCCCTCATGATCCAATCACCTCCCACCAAGCCCCACCTCCAACATTGAGGATTACAATTTGGGCAGGGACACAAATCCAGACCATATCAATATGCACATGGTAAAAAGTGTTATCTCCTCTATTTCTACTCCAATATTTTCCTCCTCCAATCTAAACATGCAATCAATGTATGCCATTTTAGGGTTTTTTTTTTCCTGTGCGTTATGAATATATAGTTTACTAGACAGATAAATATAAAGACAAACAAATGCTTATAAACATAGATATATAGATGAATAAATAGAAAAATAGAAAGACACATTGACATAGATCAAATATGTAATGAATTTTGTTTCACATGAATAGGTTTATACTGTATAGTTTTTGTTTTTTTTTAATCTCTGTCTTTTTATCTTCACAATACATTTCAGTGATGTTTTCACGTCAGTGTATCTACCATATTCTTTTTAACAACTATATAGAATGTCATGATATGGACGACCAAATTTACCTAAATGTTTTTCTATTATTTAAAAATAATAGTTATGTGTTACATAACTATTCTATCAGGAAAGTGAGTTTTTTTGGTTTGTTTTTAAAAATAGTTATTTTTTGCTTACAAAATATAGAATATAATAGAACTGACTTCCTTGATTTTCTAGGTTTAATAGAATGAAAGGTTTGGATTTGATAAATACTGCCCATTTGCTTTTCAGAAAGGCACTATAAATTTACAATATCACCAAAATTTTATGAGAGTTTATTAGTTCCTACATTATTTATGACAAGATTTATATTCAGCTTTTAAAAATTAGGTTATCTCATTAGTTTGTTTGTATTTCCCGAATGATTTGTTTATTCATCCAACCAATTTTTTAAATTGAAAATCTACTGTGTTCCAACTAACATGATTCTAAGACCTGGAGACATAGTGATAAGCTATTCAAGCCAGGATTCCACTCTGTTTTGGAATTTTAATTCTAATGACAGAAAATAGTCAAAACTTATGCTAGTAAAGTAGAAATTAAAAAAATTAATAACCATTTGATAATCTTTTATTATAAATTGTGTGTTCATGTATTATGCCCATTACTTAAGGGACAGTATTTTTTACTTAAGACTTTTCTTTTTAAATACATGTAGTTTTCCCCAAATTTTAATTAATGTTTACTTTACACTATTTTAATAATTAAATCTGATAGTAATATAAGAACTGATTTTCTCCAAAACTTGGTTCAACTTTGTCCTCTCTGTTCCATGATTTAGGGCCTCACTCTCAGAATACTTTTCACTTGTAATGGCAAGGTGACTTGGAGTCAATAAGTCTTGAATGCCCTGAGGTTAAATAAAAAACACAGAGACTCTTCCTAGTCGCTGAAGCAATATTCAGATTGGTTATATTTGGTTTGAATCATATGCTTATCCCTACACTTTCACTGAGATTAAGGAATAGAGTGCTTTAATCAGCTAGAAGTAAACTTCAGCCACAGACTCTACCTCTAAAGGAGGTGAAGAGAATTCTACCAGAATTCTGTCAACTAAATCGGGGACTATTTCTCCTGAAAATAAATTAGAGGGTGAAACCAGGAAACAAATAATAAGATTCTTTTGGAGAATAGATACAGTAAGGGTTTTTGTTAAATTTAGGGACACTATCATATTTTTCCATATGGAGTAAGCATAAATATCAAATGATAATAATAATGTACTTAGTACCATCAGAAAAATCACCAAGACTATATATTCAAAGCTCAAAATTTTAGTAAGAGCTTTATTGCTTCCTTTATTTCCCATAATTAATTTATTTACTTTGACCTTGACTGTGAACTCTGCATGAACAAAGATTACACTCATTCACTCATCTTCCATTTTCAGAACCCTAGCACATGGTAATTAAAAAGTGTTTATTGAATTAATCCAATGGCTCAAAAATAAACCCTTCATTGATTTATAAGCTCTGCCAATGCTCTCTATTCACATTACATTTACATTAGTGTATATCCAAAATAGATTTCATATTTCTCTGTTCTCCTTGTTTAATCTAGTCAAACTTAGAATCATGTAAATTTAAAGCAAAATTAACCTTAGAAATCACATTTCATTTTATAAATTAATAGAAAATTGACTGAAGGTAAATAGTTGAAACAAGAGAACCTAACAAGTTTCCTCTCAGCTAAGTACTTTATTTGCTATATATTTTGAAGAATGATTCAGGAATTTTAGTAATTCTTCCAGAAATTACAGTGCCTCCATGTTCCTTCCCCTAAAATGCATGTAAACTCAGAACCGTTATTATTAAAACTTTTTATCATCTAGGATCACTCTATTGGCTAAATCTCAAATCCAGTGTGGGTTTGCACTCAAAAGCCCAGTCTCCTCACTCTTTGTTAAAAATCCATGCAAGCGACATGTAATAATACCCTTGATTTCATAGATAATTAAGAACTTTGTTGAATAATACATACTAAGTCAAAAATAAGGCCATTATGGCCTAGTTTCCTTAGGCCCTAATGTAAAGGATTTGTGCAATGTGTGGGTAAATTTTATTTCTGATTTATATGTTAGTAATTCAACTTAACTTTAGACTTGAGTAAAACTTTCAAGGAAAAAATCTAAATTAACATTCTAGATATAAATAAATCATGGATCGTTGTTCCTTGGAAATATAAATTAAAATAGACATTTTCCTATATAGCTTTAGATGGTATGGGTATCATAAATGAAAGATACATATACATTCAAATCTATGAAAGTTAATTTAATGTTTCACATTTTGCTACAGAGTTTTTCCACAAGTTTTGACCAAACTACTGCTATAAAAGATGAATAAGAAATACGTATTGCGGACAATAGCTTTGTTAAAAGCAGTCAGCCAACCCGGGTAGCTTCACAGGTTAGGTATCTGGAAGCAGTCTCTGAAATATATATATATATTTCTTTTTGAGAAAGAGCCTCACTCTGTCACCCAGGCTGGAGTGCAATGGTGCAATCTCGGCTCACTGCAACCTCCACCTACCAGGTTCAAGCAATTCTCCTGCCTCAGCCTCCCAAGTAGCTAGGATTACAGGCACCTGCCACCATGCTCAGCTAATTTTTTGTGTTTTTACTAGAGATGGGTTTCACCATGTTGAGCAGGCTGGTCTTGAACTCCTCACCTCAGGTCATCCACCCGCCTTGGTCTCCTAAAGTGCTGGGATTATAGATGTGAGCCACCATGCTCAGTCTCTGGCCTCTGAAATATTTACATGGAAAAAAATGTTCATTCAGGCAGTTAACTGGGGAGTGTTCTCACTGCCAATACCTCTCTTGGAGTAAGAGTGGAAGGGTTGGGAGAAGGGAGAACATGGGCCACCATATAGCCATAAAGAAACAAGACAAAAAGACCTCTGAATATCATAGTAGCATGAAGCTAAGATGGACCTGCTAAATTGGGGCAAATAATTTGTGCATTCAATATCATGCATATTGATCAGTTATAGGACATATGCTGCTTCAGGAAGATGCCATGACCTTGGGTGGAACAGTTTCCTTCATCTGGGAGCAATCTTCATGAAGAAGTCTGACATGTAAAGTTTTCCTGCCAATAGTCCCAGCAGCTAGGGAATCTCATTTGCCAACTAGGTTCTGCTCTGCAACTAGATTGATGACACTGGGGTAGAATCTTGGGATTTCTCTAAGTACCCTCTAACACTCTAACATTAAACGAGATGAAAGCACACAAGTATTGCTGTAAAGGACAAACCATTTGTCTAGCAGGACAATGAAGAAACTCAAAAGATTACCTGTTTTTAAATGAGTATAAACATGCCCCAAACATGACATTTTTGATGCCATAAATATAATAATTTATACCAAACAGTACTCATTTGAAATGACTGACAAAAAAAAAATGGAATCCTGCAGAAAGAGATCATACTGAAGAAGCTTCAAATTCTTTCTGAACCTATTTCTCTGACTCACATAATTTAAACAGTCCTTTACTTTTAATTTTACAGTGTGTGCTTTTTGAGACCATGCTTTTCTTAATATATTCTGTATGTCATCATGGGCAGAACAGAAAGGAAATGAAGGCCTATGAAAATATGTAATACAAGTACACATTTTAGCTAAAAATATTTAAGACTTTCAATAATCCAAAATAAATAGTACAGAACAGCACAGGGGATCACTTAAAGGTCAGTTTTCAGTATCGAGTGCTGTTAGACCTAGCAAACTAAATATAATGTTCTTGCACTTATTAAGCTAGAACAGTTTAAACATGAGGCATGAACCAATTAGATCTGCCTGTAGTACATTATCATTAAAAACAGTAATTACCTTTACTGCTGAGTGAATTAGTAAATTGCTCCTGACCCACTTTCCCATCTATTCATAAGACAGGCCAGATTGCTATTGTTTTCCTAAGGATTATATCCAGTATGTTGTCCTCTGTGTAATAAACCTAAACTCTGAATGAAATTATCCCAATAATGTATGAGGCTCTGTCCTTATGGAGTTGTGTCATTGAGCAGAAAATTTCTAAGCCCCCGAAATGTCTGTTACTGCTCTACCTATTTCACTGTAAATCAAAAAACTGGTCCTCAGCCTTTTCCTCCAGAGATGAATAAACCTCTGATCCCAGAAAAGACGATCTGAAACATACTCTACATTCTTGTCGAGAATCAGAGTATTTTCATCAGATATCTCATTCTAATAAAAGATATTTACACGTTTTAATACACAGTTTAGCATGGATGAGATACACCTAATTGTTTACAAATATATACTCCTTCCCACATTTGTAATTGAAAAATTGACCTGATAGAAACACTTTTTGATATATTATAAGTGTATAATTTCCTTTAAAGTCAAGTGATGACACTAAATCATATGCAATGTTTTAATGTTGTGATTTTATGTTCATTTTGTCTACAGTATATATACAGAAATCATATATATGAGTACATTTCCATGGAAACCCATTTTATATAAATAGCATTTTATCAGTGACTTGAAAGAACGTTCACTTCTGGTCCCAAGAGACAAAAGGTTTGTTTAGGTTCAGGTTAGGCTTTCTCCTTCACCATGTGGAGGAGGCTGATTTGGCAAGAGGCCAGGGCGCAGACACATCATGCAATGGGAGAAATCTTCTAAGAAAAAAGAGCCATCATTGGCAGATATCAAAGATTGACTGCCCAGATGAAAATGTTGGCAGATTTTTAATGTAGTAAGTTAATGGAAGAGGAAGTTTGTTTCTCTACATTCCAACCGAAGACCCCTAAGTGCCCAATGACCTAAGAGACACAGGCAGTCAAGCATCTTAGCTATTTCAAATAGGACACTTCCTGCACCAAAAAGAAGTTACTTTCATGACCTTAAATATTTTCAGATTAATTCAAATTAACTTACTTCTGTTACTTCTGTTTGAATACAATTTTATTATTAATATCTCCATTAATACCTTCATGGTGGAAGGAAAAGATAATGGGTACAAGTGGTGTAGATTAGTTCAGTAATATTTCTTTTCTTTTCCAAATCAAGGAGGAATGTGGAATTTGCTAAGATGCCTGAGAAGTGGAGAGCATTCCTTGCAAGGGAATGGATGTGCCAAGAATCTGAAAGCAGTAAATCACTTGGTGTATTTGCGGACTGAAAAAGACTCATGGGGCTGAAATTGAGTATTTGAAGAGAACATGTAGTTGGAGGAGTATAAGGGTCCCTCCATGCAGACATTTATATCCCCTGATTAGGAGTTAAATCTTTATTTCAAGTTTATATATGATGTATCTTGTGATACAATAGTATTTCAACATACTAATTGAGATTTGTTTTAAAATTTTATGCGGTCATTTTGACATTAATTAATTGTACTCTGTCTCCCTCCTTAGCTCAGTAAGATAGGATACTTCATGCTCACTGCCTCAAAGAACGGGTGACATACCAAAATTCAGAGAAAAAAGAAGGCAAGTAAATCTTTGGCCTTTGAATTTCAAAATGAGAGTAAATTCCAAAAATTAGGGGATTAAATGCTAGTTTAAAGAAGATGTTCAAGTTCTTTGAACTAGGAAGAGCTCCCTTATATAATGTTTGCTGTGGTGGGAAAAGGAATATCAGGGATGAAATAGTGAAAGATGTGACAATGTAGCAAAGAAAGCAAGTTGAACTAAAGAAGTCAAGCCCTGGGAGTGGTCATGGTGAGGAGATCACAGCAGTGACCTGGGTGTCCTATTGTCACTGTCCAAAAGCTGGATGAAATGATGGATATCTTTGCATATGTCAGCTTCGATAAAAATGACCTTAACCACATCACACTGTCATTTGTCACGATTATTCCCCTACACAGTCTGCATTAGTGAAACATGGCATGTAAGCTTCCTGAACTGAGATGAACTCCTGGGGAAGGAAGTATGAGGCTCAATTTGACTGAGATTAGTTTCTCTCACTTAAAATTGGCCTTATGATTTCAGTCAGATCTTGGAAGGCACATTGCTAGCATCCTACCAGGCTTTCAAAAGACAATGAAGCCAAGAAATACAACCTTTTATATCATTGCTGATAAGAGATAAATATCATTTATAGACAATGCAGAAAGAAACCAAGCTGTTGTATACAAAATAGTAGCAGAACATGAATATAGTATTTACACATAATACAGTTGACCTTTAAACAGAGGTTTGGGTAATCTACCCTCGTGCAGTTGAAAATTAGTGTAGAACTTTTGATTCCCCCAAAACTCAACTAGTAATAGCCTACTGCTGACCAGAAGCCTTACCAAAAACATAAACAGTTAATTAACATATGTAGTACTTCACATGTTAAGCCAGAGAAAAGGAAATCATATGGAAAAGAAAATATATTTACTATTCATTAAGTGGAAGTGTGTTATCATAAAGGTCCTCATCCTTGTTATCTTCAAGTTGAGTAGACTGAGGAGCAGGAGGACAAAAATGAAGGGTTGTTCTTGCTGTCTCAGGGGTGGCAGTGGTGGAAGAAAGACTCATGCATTTGAAACTTGCATTGTTCAAAAGTCAACTGTATTTAAGAAATGTTGCTGTCTAAATTATATGACAGTGCTCTATTTTACATTTTTATATGTAAAAGGATAAAAACCCTCTCAAAAACTTTCCTAGAAAGAGCAAAGATTCCTCAGAATGTGTGTAGGTATATGAGCTTGTGTTTGTTTGTGCACTCATGCATTTTTTAAAACTCTATTTTTGGCACAACAATATTTTGGCAATCTATTTTATAATAGTCCTATTGCCTTTAAAATGTTATCTCCATAACACAAAAAGCCTGAAACCACCACATTAGAGATGTAAGTCCAATTTATTTATTTTGTTTAGGTTATGTACAGTGAAATGCACAGACGTTAAGTGCAAAATGCAATTAATGTTGACACATATATACCCTCCTGTAACTCGAACCCCATCAGTTTATAAAGCACGTACATCATGCCAGAAACTTTGCTCATGCCTCTCCTTCCCACTACTGCCAAGATAGCAGTAGCAACCACTATTATGATTTCTTAAATGTTGAATAAATTCTGTTACTTAACTTCATATAAATGGAATCATACCATATGTATACTCATAATCTAGATTTTATCCGTCAATGTAGTTTTTCTTAATTTTCATTCACGTTGTTTCATGTATCAGTAGTTTATTCCCTTTCATTTTTGAGTAGTAGTATATAATGGTCATAATTTGGTCATTTACTTTCCTTTTGATGAGCATTAGTTATAATTTTGTTTTGATTATTATCAATAAAACCATCTTTCTATTGACATATTTTTAGTTTTCTTGATTAAACACCTAACAGTGGAATTACTGGATAATGAGGTAGATGCATATTTAATTTTTTTTAATGCCAAACTGTTTTCCAAAGCGGTTGCACAATTTTACATTCTCACCAGAAATTTATGAGAGTTCAAGATACTCCATATCATTGCCAACTGTGGTGTTAATATCTCAATCTCTCTCTTTCTCTCTTTCATTTTAGCCATTCTAGTGTGTTTGTAATTGTAGCATTAACCCTTTTTCCGTTTGCCCCAGAATACAGGCTGGCAACACTTACAGCTCCAGCATTACCCCAAGATAACTTGGCCATGCAATATCTCACTTTTATTATTATTTTTGCATCACTCTAATATGTTGACTTCAGAAACAAAAGACATCATTCTATTTATAGCTTTCTGTTTTTAGTAGTGGCATTTTCATTTGCAAAGTATAATAACTCTCCATCACTGAAAATGTCAAATCCTAAAAAAGGTAGCATTCCTACCCATTATGTTAACATTGTTCTCCAACAGTTGGCCAAAGATTCATTTGATATATATTTTTCTGAAATAGACAATTTTGATGATTCAGGTGATTCTGCTGTTAGTTCTGCTTAAAATAACTCCAAGAACCGTTTTTATATTTTATTTTCATATTGCTTCAGCCTCAAAGAGCATGTTTATGTAAAATTAAATGAGCGCTGGCAAAGAACTATTTTTTTGTTTGTTTGTTTGTATGGTTTTTTGTATACAGGAAAAAGGTTGATTTGCATGCCCGACCTTTAATGATGGTAGGCATCTTTCTATGTACTTAATCATTATTTATAGATTTTCCTTTATAAAATGTATAACGTTTTGCAAGTTTTTATAAATTGTTTGCTCTTTAATTATTGATTTGAAGATTTTTATGTAATTCATATGCAAATCTCTTGTCAGACATGTGTACTGCAAATAATTTCTTCTTTTGAGCTTGGTTTTTCTTTTCTTTTGTATCTTTAGATGGGGTCTCACTATCTTGCCCAGGCTGGTCTTGAACTCCTGGCCTCAAGTGATCCTCCCACCTCAGCCTCCCAATTTGTTGGGATTACAGAAATGAGCCAATGCATCTCCTGGCTACTTGTCTTTTCTTTTTTTTCCTTTTGTTTTTTTGTTTGTTTGTTTGTTTGTTTTTTTGAGATGGAATCTCACTCTGTTGCCCAAGATCTGGAGTGCAGTGGCATGATCTTGGCTCACTGCAACCTCCTCCTCCAGTTTCAAGCAATTCTCCTGCCTCAGTCTCCCGAGTAGCTGGGATTACAGGCGCCTACCACCATGCCTGGTTAATTATTGTATTTTTAGTAGAGACGAGGTTTCACCATGTTGGACCAGGCTTGTCTCAAACTCCTGACCTCAGTTTATCTGCCTGCCTCAGCCTCCCAAAATGTTGGGATTACAGGCATTAGCCATCGTGCCCGGATACTTGTTTTTCCTTAATGTTGTTTTTGGATGAGAATTTTATAATTACGGTAGTAGAATTTATCCTTTTAAGATTTTCCTCTTAAGATTTGTGCTTTTATCTATCCCAGGATTGAAAACAGCATCTCTATGTTTTCCTACACAACCTTTAGTGTTTTAGCTTTTATGCATAAACCTATAATCTACCTTGAATTAGTTGTGTATGGCCCGAGTTAGGGGTTGACAATTAGGTTTTGCTGTATGTTAATTCAGTTTTTCCAAAACCATTTCTTAAATATACTTTCCTTTTCCTATTTCATTACCTTGGCACTTTTGTTGAATATTAATTGACTGTATATGTGTACATCATATTTCTAGAATTCCTACTCCTTTCCATGGATTAATCTATGTAATGTACCAGTACTACACCATCTTCATTACTGTTGCTTTAGGGTAAACGTCTGAATTCCCAACATTATTCCTTTTTCCAAAATTGAACTATTCTAAGTCATTCAATTTTCACATATATCTTAGAATTATCTTCTTTAATTTCTACATAAAATTCTGTAGGAATTTTAATTATTATGCTTTTAAATTTGTAATAAATATGTGGATAATTGATACTTTATCAAAACTGAGTTTTCCAGTTCATGAAGATGACATATAATTCCATTTTTTTACGTCTCTATTTCTCTCAGCAATGTTTTTAGTTTACAGTGGAGAAGTGTTGCACACATTTTTCTAATTTTTTAAACTACATTTGTAATCCAGTTCTAAATACAATTGTGATTATATTTTAATTCCAATTTCATTTTTTTTGCTGCAAGTATATAGAAAGTTAATTGATTTTTTAAAACTTGGCTTTGTATCTTTTGAACTTTCTAACTTCATTTCTTACGTCTAATAAGTTATTTTGGGGCTTTCTTAGGGCTTTCCTCAAAAATATTCAAGTTGACTGGGAATAAACATCTACTTCTTATTTTCTTATTTCTATGCCTCTGTTAGTTTTTCTTTTCTTACAGCATGCACGGTTAGGACTTCCACTGCAATGTTGAAAATATGTGAAGAGAGAGATATCCTTGCCTTTATCCATATCCCATTACACCATTAAGTGTAAAATTAGCTGAAGGTATTAGTACCTTCTTTGTATCATTTTAAGGAAGCTCTCCTTTAATCTTTGCAGAAATTTTTTTAAAGCAATGTATTGATTTTGTCAAATGCATTTCCTGAATCTGGTGAGATAATAATAGGTTTTTTCGATTATTCTGTTAATGTGGTGAATTATATCAATTCATTTTTAAATGTGGAAATCACATTGCATTCCTAGAGTAAACCCCAATTGTTTATGAGATATCTTTCTTACATATCAATGTACATGATTTTTTAATATCTTGTTCATGTATTTTGTGTCAATATTTGTTAGGAAGTGGTCTATAATTTTCTTAAAAAGTCTTTTTCAAGTTTTAATATGAAGTTCATGATGGACTCAGAAGATGGTTTTTAGATTTTATTTCCTCCTCTATTTTCTAAAAGACTATATAATATTTGTGTCATTTCTTCCTGAAATATTTTTAGAATTCATCAGTGTAACAACATGTATCTAAAGTTCTTTTGGTGGGACAGTTCTTAATTAAGAATTAAATTCCGGCCAGGCGCAGTGGCTCATGCCTGTAATCCTAGCACTTTAGGAGGCCGAGGCGGGCGGATCACAAGGTCAGGAGATCGAGACCATCCTGGTTAACACGGTGAAACCCCGTCTCTACTAAAAATACAAAAATTTAGCCAGGTGTGGTGGCGGGTGCCTGTAGTCCCAGCTACTCGGGAGGCTGAGGCAGGAGAATGGCGTGAACCCGGGAGGTGGAGGTTGCAGTGAGCCAAGATTGTGCCACTGCACTCCAGCCTGGGCAACAGAGCAAGACTCCGTCTCAAAAAAAAAAAAAAAAAGAATTTAATTCCATAGATAAAGAGCTACTGGGATTTTCTACTTTTTTCGTTGGTCAGTTTGGTGTTATGTTATTCAAAGAATCTGTCCATTTAATCTAAATTATAATATATATTGGCATAAAGTTGTTCTTAACAGTCTTTTTTTTTTCTTTTAAGGTCCTTTGGCCTTTCTGTAATATTCCTCGTGTACTCCTAATATTATATTTGGTGTTTTCTCTCTCTCTTTTTTATTTTTCTTCTCTACAACAGTCTCCTGAGGATTTCTCACATCCATAATGCTTTCAAACAATGAACATTTAATACTAATGATTTTATCCCATGTTTATTCTTTTTATTTTAATTAATTTTGGCTCTTTATGATTTCCTTCCTTCTATATACTTTAGGTTTAATTTTTTCATCTTTTTCGGGTCTTACAGGGAAACATGAATAATTGATTATTAAACACTTATTCTTTTTTAATATGAGTACTTAAACTGTACATTTCCATACATGCAACACTTTAGCAGCAATCAACAAATTTTGATATGTTTTATTTTCATTTTCATTCCCGTTAAGTTACTTTCAAATTTCCCTTTAATTTGATAGATCTTTAATCCAGAAGTTATTTAGTACTCTGGCAGTGGTCTTTCAAATATCCAGATATTCTAATTAAATTCTACTTTGGCAGAAAATATTATGTGTAATACTACATTTTTAAAAAATACATTTTGACATATTTTATTGTCCAGTATATGATTCACCTTGATCATTTCCCATGTGAGCTTGAAATACATTGGTATTGAGCTGTTTTCAAATTTTCTTTATCTTTAATAAATTTTGTCTGGTTGCTCTGTCATTTACAAAGTAAGGGTTGTTAAAATATTCAGCCATGTATGTTGATTTGTCTCTGTCTCCTTTTATTTCTGCCAGTTTTCGCTTCATGTATTTTGACACTCTGTCATTAAGTACAAAAATATTGTTATATCTTACTGATGAATTGACCCTTTCATCATTATCAAATGTCCCCATTTTTCTCTGGTAATAGTCCCAGTCTCAAAGCCTATTTGTCAGAAAATTATATAGCTACAATGACTTCCTTGTGCCTAATGCTTTCATGCTATAGCTTTTTCTATCTTATTGCTTTCAATGTCTTTGTGCTTATTATTAAACTGTATTTCTTGTAATCAGCATACACTGTGTATTCCTTTTTTTATTATCCTGTTTTATAATCTCTGCCTTTTTAATTGAGATTTTACCCTATTTGAATATAATTAACAGTGTGATTGTTTTTAATTCTATAATCTATACAAATTTTCCCATTAGTTTCTTCTCCCTCTGTTTCTCTTTTTCTGCCTTATTTTGGGTTAGCTAAATATTTTCTAGTACTTCATTTTACTTCCTCAATTGCTTTTTTGGCTATACTTCTGATGCCCTTTAAGTACTTGTGGTGGTTTTTGTTTTTTTTTTTTTGTCTTTTTTCTTTTGTGACAGCGCCTTGCTCTGTCACTCAGGCTAGAATGCAGTGGTGCGATCAGAGCTCACTGCAGCCTTGGCATCCTAGATGCAAGCAATCCTCTCACCTCAGCATCCTGAGAAGCTGGGACTACAGGTGTGTACTACCATGCCTAACTAATTTTTTAATTTTAATTTTTTGTAGAGACAAGGTCTCACTATGTTTCCCAGGCTAGTCTTAACTCCTGGGCTCAAGCAACCTTCCCACATTGGCCTCCTAGAGTTTTGGGATTACAGGTGTGAGCCACCGTGCCTGGCCAGTATTTGTTTTTAGATATTAACTAATCCCAAACAGGGTGCCAATTTCTGTAAAAAGTAAGAAACTTGCAACAATAAATCCCAATTGAACTTCTTTTAGTTATTGATGACACATATTTTTCACATTTATATGTAATAAAATCTATTATAAAAATATTATTATTATTATTATTTTTGAGATGGAGTCTAGCTCTGTCACCCAGGCTGGAATGCAGTGGCGCGATCTCCACTCACTGCAAGCTCTGCCTCCTGGGTTCACGCCATTCTCCTGCCTCAGCCTCCAGAGTAGCTGGGACTACAGGCGCCTGCCACCATGCCCGGCCAATTTTTTTGTATTTTTAGTAGAGACCGGGTTTCACCGTGTTAGCCAGGATGGTCTCAATCTCCCGACATTGTGATCCGCCCGCCTCGGCCTCCCATAGTGCTGGGATTGCAGGCCTGAGCCACCGTGCCCGGCCGCTAGTTCCAATTCAGGTTATTTCTTTTCAGCCCAAAAATTATTCGAAAAATTTTAGTAATATATGTTTACTCAGAATGATTGCTTTCAATGTTTGTTTATCTACAATATAACTTTGGCTCAAGCAGGAGGATCTCTTGAGCTTAGGTGTTAAGGGCTACTGTGAGCTATGATCACTCCACTGCACTCCAGGCTAGGTGACAAAACAAGACCCATCTCTTAAAAATATATATATATTTAGTTTTATTTACCTTAGTTTTTATAGGATATTTGTGGTAGTTGTAGAATTTGAGATTGACTATTTTTTTCTTTCTGCACTCTAAGATACTATTCAAAATTATTTTTGCTCTCTGTCAGTGTTGATGAAAGGCGGTCAGCCATCATTCCCATCATTGATCTTCCCTGATGTCTTTTTTCTCTGGCTGTTTAAAGATTTTCCCTTTATCTTCATTAGCATCATACTATGATATTCATATATACAATTCTCCTTATATTTGTCTTGTTTGGGTTTCACTGAGATATTTTGTTCTGTTAATTAAAGTATTTTCACCAAACTAGGAATTTTCAGTTTTTATCTAAATATTTTTTCTGTCACACTATATTTCAATTTTCACTTTGAGACTCAAATTTTATGGATGGTCCAGTGCTTGCTAGCATTTGATTCTTTTCTCACAGTGAGGCTCTTTTTATGCTTATAGTATATTTTTTCTTTTCTTTAGATTGAAAAATTTATATATATATTTTGAAATTACTCACTCTGTCTCCCTAGTCATCTACTGTGTTAGTCAATCCAGAAAATTCAATAAAAATATAAAAGATAAACAATTCTATTAAGAAAGTTAATGCAATTAACATTTATAGAACACTACACAAAATACAGTGTTTCCAAGGTTTTATGGACCATGCCCCAAAATAGACTACATTTAAGGCCATAAAACATATCACAATAAATTTCAGAGGACTTAAGTCAATCAAAGTATGTTTTACAGGCATAACAAACATTAAATGATACATTTCTAAATTACCCATGGCTCAAAACTAAAATTATAAGTGAAATTAGACAAAATTCTGAACCAAACAATCAAATATAAATGAAAAGAAAACATATCAACATTTATGTGATATATAAAAGTTAACAGTTTTTATGTGGAGATTTATAGCATTTAATGCTCATAATGGAATACACAGAAAGGTCCTAAATCAGTGACACAAGGTTCCACCTTAAGAAACCAGAAAGAAAATAAAAAATTAAGCAAAAGGATGTAACTAATAAATGCATGTTAGTCTGTTCTCCCACTGCTATAGACATAACCTGACACTGGATAGTTTTTAACGAAAGAGTTTTAATTGTCTCATGGTTCCACAGGCTGTACAGGAAGCATGGCAGCATCTTCTTCTTCGGGGGGGTGCCTCAGGGATCTTTTGCTTCTGGCAAAAGGCAAAGCAGGAACAGGCGTCTTACACGGCAGGACCAGGACCAGGACCAAGTCGGAGGGGAGATGCAACACATTTTTAAATGACCAGATCTCACGAGAACTCACTATCATGGGAACAGCACCAATGGGGAAATCCGCCCCCATTATCCAATCACCTCCCACCACGCCCCATCTCTAACACTGGGGATTACAATTTGACATGAGATTTACGCAGGGACACAGATTCAAACCATATCAAAACATAAGAGAGGAAGTCAATAAAATAAAATCGAAACAAAGCTTAAATAAAATCAATAATGACAAAAATTCTTTTTATAGGATCAATAAAATTAGTACATCTCTAGACAGACTGACTTTTTTAAAAACTGAAAATACAAATAACTAATATTTGAATAAAAATATCCTACAGATATTTTGTCTTAATACATTGATTGTAGTTTTAAATTCTAGAGTTTCCTTGTGGTTCTTTTTTGTTGTTTTCATTTCTCTATGGAGATTTCTCAAATATTCACTCACTTTTGCTATCTTTAGCTTTAAATCATTGAACATCTTTATAATGGCTGTTTAAAAGTTATTGTCTGATTATTCTAGAAGTTGGGGCATCTGTGTGTCTATTTCTATTGCCTTTCACCCACTTCCTCTTTGTAGTCACATTCACCTGCTACACTGCATGTTTAGAAATCTTTTATTTTTGGATTATACATTTTAGAGACTCAGGATTATGTCACTTCTTTTTATGGGTTGAGGTTTATTCTAACAAACTGTTGCAAATACTGACAGATACTTTTCATTCATTGAGCTTGTGTTTATTCTTTGGACACATCAATTTCTGTTTTACCCTTGGAATTTACATGTGACCTTTACTCTAGGGCATGGAAATGACTCTTACTCCTAAGGTGAAGTTTCCTTGGGTCTCAATTTTTTATCTTTGGTGCTCAGGGAGGTTGCTACTATTTGGCTATTCCAGAATTCTAATGTCTCCCAGAATTGCATGTCCTGTAGTATCTCTGTTCAACTCACACCCACACAGAGGCCATTTCTGTTAATACCTAGTCTTCTTTCCTTCTGCATGAGTAGCTCAGCCCTTGGCCAAAGACCAAGGTAAATTCCCACACAGACTTCTGAAACCCCCTTTGTGTAGTTCTCATTTTTCCAGAACACTACTCCAGAAATTCTGGCCATATGTTCAGGCTGGAACTACAATAACTGCTCCCTTCACTCAGAGGTGTACTTAGTTTTCCTCCCTGTAGCAATAAGATTATGTCACTAGGCAAACACCTGGAGAGAGTTCAGGGCTCATCTTGTGTATTTCCTTTCTTATGAGAGTCCTGTGCTGAGTTTTATTAAATACCTGAAAATAGTATGTTTTCAACTTCATAGTTGTTATGGCAGCAAGGTAACTCTGAACTCGTTTTCTCTGTGAGGCCCAATGGAAGTCAACACTCCATTATTACTTTGTAAAATATTTTTCACCCTGCTGCTTATTATTTGATAATAACTGCAGTATACCTATAACCAGTGGCCAGTTTATCTTCATTATATTGATGTATTTTTATGTTGGTAAAACTGTAATATTAGACACTCTTTTGTAATAAATAAAAAGTATTCATATGTATCCCATAGTTTGAGAATATCTGTTTAAAACATTTTAAATAGATCCAGGCACAAGAAAAAATAATTTAGAATTTGCCAAAAAATCTCCCTCTCCCTCTCCCTCTCTTGTCACATTTAGTGTTTCCTCAAACTCACAGCAAACTCATAAATTATTGTTGGCTGGCTTATGCTTATCCTCTCGGCTTTGTATAGTCAATTTTATAGAGAAGACTTTCTTTTTAGCTCCCAGCAGATATTCTTTCTATTTTCTCTACTTATAAAATATTTATTATTGTTAATGAAAATAACAATTTCTATATAAATATAATTGGACATTTTAGTCTCATTATTGTCTGTTATGACCTAGTCACTGTATTAGGTACTCGACATCTTGTGCAGGTTTTTAAAAACACTTCGTGCTTAAATTATTTACGCATCAATAAACTGGGGATAAATTAATTCCTATTAATAGGATCATGAGAATTTAGCAGCATAATTTTTACAAAATCATTTTGATAGTGCTTGATACATAATATGCATGCATACATTAAGTTATTAGAGGTTTATTATTTACATCTTACAAACTTTATGAATAGCTACCATTTTCATAACTCCACTACTAATCATCCCCTGTAATAACTCTCTTCATCATTCATTGACTTAAATTATTTACCACACATTTCCTAGAAAATGATGTTTGTCCATTTTAAACTGAACCTACTTTAAACTGTACCATAGTCTCCATCCAAAATACAAGAGTTTTGCTACTACGTGATTTGTAGGTACTAATGCTTTATTTTTATCATGACTTAAGTCAAGAATATTTTTTTCTTCTTTTGCCTCCCACATCTTCTCATCCTTCTTGTGAGTTACATCTACATTTTACATCAACTGTATTTTCTCTGTTAGCATTCTTGTTAGCCCTATACATTCTGTTTTGGGAAAGGACAATAATTTTCTTTAACTGTTTTGGATTCTTTTATTTCCTTCTCTTTATTTGGTAAACCAGAGATATGTGAGTCTTCACAAACTGTAAATGTGTGTTTTTAAATTATTATTCAGTTTATTCCTAATGACTTAAGGCTAGCATTTACACTGCCTTTCTTAGTATTCAATAACCAAAAAAACCCATTGGGGAATTAACTATTAATAATTATTTTAGGCTGGGTGTGGTGGCTCATGTCTGTACTCCCAGCACTTTGGGAAGCCAAGATGGGTGGATGGCTTGACTTCATGAGTTTGAGACCAGCCTGGGCAACATGGCAAAATTCCATCTCTTCAAAAAAAAAAAAAAAAATTAGCCAGGCATGGTGGCACATGCCTGTAGTCCTAGCTGCTCAGGAGGCTGAGATGGGAGGATCTTTTGAGCCTGGGAGGTTGAGGCTGTAGTGAGGCTGTAGTGTGGAAAGATTCTTTCCACATGCATATCAAGCAAGTATTACCAATCCCTTAAACAACTACCGTACATTCCTATTATTAACTGTACAATACAATTCAACCCACATAGATACTGACTGTACTAGATATCCTTAATATTACATAGTACATACATTTATTTAACAGACATAGCACATTTAAGTCAAGATATTTTTCGTCAGCAAGGTATCCCCTACCAACCCTGGTTTCTCAACCACCAAGCTTTGAGAAATCATCAACCCGCTTGGGAAGTTCTTCCCTCCTAGCTCCAGGCCCCTAACACTTGGGGGTGTCTGTACTGAAACTATACCTGGCATCTGGTTCTTACTTCAGGGACATAACATCAAGATCATCCACACATTCCCCTTAAATAAGATATCTCGATGGATTAGTGACTACTACCCTATTAACCAGTCATAGGAGCACTTTCATGCATTTGGTATTTTTTAACTTTGGGGGTGCTGTGACTCAGCATGGCGGGAGCCTGGTAACTGCCGAATCAGCTGTAGCTGAACTTACCTTGAACATTCCGAATCAACATACCAACAGGTGCTAATTCATTCATGCTTGCAGGACATACCAAATTAATCAATAGACGTTTGCGCACTGACGTTTACGCATGCATGTTTACGCACCCACGTTTACGCACACTATTTCAAGGACCACTTCCAATTAAATCCGCAAAACCCGCCTCCCCTGATATCTGAATTTATTATTAACTTAGGTAAAACGTACTCCTGCCAAACTCCAAAAAACAAAGACTAAAACACAATCTAGTCAGCGTCCTAAACAATCATATTTTAATCATGAACAACCTCAACACCATCCCTCAATTAACGTTATTTTCTAAAAATTCTAATGTTTTCTGACCAAATAGGATCTTCCTATTTTTTACGTCAGCTAAATGTCTGTCCTAGTACTTACATAATACTTCGAGCATACCTCTCTGAAAAGCGTGAACTCCACATATTATATTCCTAAACTAATACGACTAACTATAAATGACCCCTCAGACTAAACCTCTATCAACTCAACTTTTTTTAAATCCCCTAAACTTCCAGGACTGTAGACAACCATCATGCCACTGCACTCCAGCCTGGATGACGGAGTGAGACCCTGTCTCAAAAAATAAATAAATTATTATTTTAATGTGACTGCTAACATTTGTAAGCGATTATTATTTGCATATGTATAAATGCAAGTAGGTATATGTCCATACACATATTTATAAATATAAATATATTTATATTGTCACAGAAACACATAAGTAATATTTGCAATTCATGTCTAAGGAAATAGAAAACTAGATGAACAGTGTGCAATGTTTAATGGCCTAGATTCTGGTGCCATAATCCCCCTGTGCCTAGTTTTATCTTTATAATACAGTGGGTAATAATTACACCAATTTAATAAAGTTTTTATAAGGACTAATTAAATTAGTGTATGCAATAGCTCGGATTTGTGCCTGGTATGTAGTAAGTTTCAATAAATCATAGTTCTTATTGTTTACACAGATTTCAGTAACAAACGTAAGTAACAGGACTGGATACTGGAACCCATTACCCTGATACTGTAGCTCAAAGACCAGAGTTAGACTCTACTGTCTCCCTCAGAAGGCCTGGCATACTAGGTTGGTGCAAAAGTAATTGCAGTTTTTGCGATTAAAATTAATTACAGGCTGGCGCGGTGGCTCACGCCTGTAATCCCAGCACTTTGAGAGGCCGAGGCGGGAAGATCACCTGAGATCGAGGAGGTCGAGACCAGCCTGACCAACATGGAGAAACCCCGTCTCTACTAAAAATACAAAATTAGCAGGACGTGGTGGCGTATGTCTGTTATCCCAGCTTCTTGGGAGGCTGAGGCAGGAGAATCGCTTGAACCTGGGAGGTGGAAGTTGGCATGAGCTGAGAGGACGCCATTGCACTCCAGCCTGGGCAATAAGAGTGAAACTTCGTCTCCAAAAAAAAAAAAAAAAAAAAAAGTAATTACAAAAACCACAATTACTTAACATTCCAAGAGTTTTGCACACATTATCTCCCACATCCCCAATAAGCACATGTTCAATTAAGGCCAATTTATTTATTTCTTGAGCTCACAGTAAACCTTTTTACCTCCACTCACATGGGCACCACCCACTCAAATTTTTGTAAACCTCAGAACACTGCTCAATTTTTCATGGAGCCAGGATTCCCATAATACTTCATTATTTCTTTTATTACTACACAATTACCTCATTATTCCCAAGATGTCAAAGAACATGCAGTCAATAACTACAAGTTCCGTTTCTCTTTATTGTCTATAGTACTGTCTGTTATTTTTGAATCCATAACACTTAATATTTGAATTGATTTATGAATGTGCCACTTTCAAATATTAACAATCTATTGTGTGTTTACATTTCTTTACAATCCAATCTAACTCTGAGTTTAGAAACATTGAAGGCAGTGATTTCTTTGTATTTTTGCCACCCATTCATTGCATTTTGTACAGTGATCCCAACATGCCTGGTCATTATAAATACATATTTATAATTAATAATAATTAAATATATTTAGATAAATTCATAACTAATACATTGGTGATTTATATTTTATTGTTACACTATAATTCTCAGAAGAATTTAATGTTACATCATTTTACAAATATTCCTGTTTAAAATACTTTGAATCAGACAGACATTATCATATTTTTCTACTATAATCTGTGAAGCAATGAAAGCAAATCACAAATTTTGTAGTCAGATAGTAAAGTAAAATATTAAATTTAAGAACATAATCAGAAATCACATCAAGTTTTGCAGATAATGTTAGTGTTTCCTGACTTACACACCAGAGATATATTTTACCAGTAATTCTATTATAAAATATATAAATTCAAATATTATTACTTCATAGCAAGTGATTAAAATTCAATCCTTTCATTACATAACTTTGCCAAATCAATTTTTTTTGTTGGAGACATGACTTGGAAATTTCTCATTTGTGAGACATTTAATTTCTTTAGCAATAATATTAATTGTTGTTATTAATATCAAAGTTCTTAAATTATAGAAACAAGAAATGAAATGAAAACAAATTATTTCCCCCTTCCTCATAATAATAATAATAATAATAATGATAATAAAAACCATTAGCTGTCTTTACTACTCTACTTGGATGCAGCTCTAACATAAATTTGGCAGGGTTTCTAGAGAGTTCATTCTGAGAGCTTGCTTGTGCTGCCAAAAAATACTTTCTCATCTTTAAAAAATAGAAATGTAATAAGAAATATGATTTCCAAATATTTAATACAAATAACCTCCAAAGTTTCTGGCCTGAATCCAAATTAGTATTTTATAAAAGTCAACTCATCTAGAAAAGAATGTTGGAATCCTGACAAACATGGAATAAATCCCAAGTCTTATGACAGTTTCTACCTGAGTAAAAATTCTACTTTTTCTCTTAAGCTTATCTTTTAAAATGCTCCATTTTAGTTCTGAAAATTATGGCTAATGAAAAATAACCCTAATGCTTTTATTTCTCTCTGTAAAGTATCAAAAAAATAAGAATGACCCAGGCATCAATTTTGAAGAGTGTTACAGAAACAGTGAAAATATGAAAACTTAGAATTTTCTGTACTAAAAATCTATATGTTGATAGTTGAGTAGATAAAAACAGCAGATGAAAAACATGTAAATATAATTTTATATTTTGCTTATATTAAAACTTGTCTTCTTTTCTATAATGTTTTGATATGGAAATCTAATATATATTCACTCATTTAATAATATTAGGACTTATCTGGCTGACAATGTTTTTTCTGATTATTTATGCAATCACATTTAAATATTTAAAAATTATTTTGGACATACATTGCAATTAATGGTTTTAATAAGTCATATTTTTAGTTGGAAAGCTTTTCTAAGTGACTTCTGACATGGTAGATCCTGCAGAGTTTTCTTCAAGTTCAAAAACAAACAAAAAATATATAAAAATAAATTTTCACTTCTGGAAATGACTGATTCATTTCCAGAATAAGCTCATTTTGGCTTGCAGTTTTCTGCCCAATCTTAAAATCATCTGTGCCATTTTTATACCTGTGAATCTTATGTGGA
The DNA here is from genome assembly GCF_000001405.40 of Homo sapiens. NCBI lineage: Eukaryota > Metazoa > Chordata > Mammalia > Primates > Hominidae > Homo > Homo sapiens. The sequence goes on along the minus strand of NC_000006.12, from coordinate 141,117,249 downwards.
ATCAGTACTGGAGAAATATGTAGCAAGTATATGGTGAATTAATTATTCCTTTTTTCAAGAATCTCTTTCCTAGTCCAGCTACTGAGCAAATTCTTCACCATTATTCAAATTACTAGCAAACCAATAGCAATGCACATTTTCCTCTAGAGACAATGCAGCAAAACAGTGAAACTTATATTCTAACAATTGAAGTTTGAAAACATATTGAGAAAGCAAAAAATATATTATTAAAGAAGATACAGATTATTAAAATAAACAAAATATCAACATAGATGAAAACTAAGTTATATACATTAGGCAAAATAATTACAATTCAAATTGATTTTTCAAAAATAAAAGTAAAGCAGAGGGATATATTACTATATTAAGGAAAAACATAAAACTAGGTATAAAATTACTAATTTAAGTGGGGAAATAACACAGGTACATGATATGAAAATAATTTTAAGATACAAATCTATTCAACTTTATGCAAATTCTTCTAAAACATAAATTTTCCACAAAAATATAAATTACTTAATATGACTTTTAAAACAGGAGATAATATGACCCTTAAAAACAGGGCTTTTTTTCCTTTTCCTTTTTCTTTTGTTTTTAATGCAGGGTCTTGCTCTGTCACCCAGGTTGGAGTGCAGTGGAACAACCATGGCTCACTGCAGCTTTGACCTCCCAGGGTCAAGTGGTCCTCTCACCTCAGCTTTGCAAGTAGCTGGGACTACAGGTACATGCCACCATGCTGGTGGTCTAATATACATGTAATATATATGTAAATTATATATATATAATTTTATATATTTTTTTTATTTTAGAGACATTGTCTCTTTATGTTGCCCAGGCTGGTCTCAAACCCCTGGCCTCAAGCGCTCTTCCTGCCTCATCCTGCCAAAGTGCTAGGATTACAGGTGTGAGCCATTGTGCCCAGCCAGGAGATTCTTTAAACAGAGAAATTATCTTGGAAGAAATTGAAGATTTTGTTACAGAGTTAATTTTAAAAGCACCAGCCTAAATGCTTATATAGAATTCTATTAAAAAAAATGAGACAACCATGATTTTAACATTATTCAACTGACCATAGACAATGAAGTGTTTGAAGTGGAAGGGAGAATAACTTATTGCAACCCCTTAAGTGCTATTTAAAATGTTTAATTTTTCATTAAAATGTGATATAAACATTTTCATGTTAACTATTAAATAAAAGCAAATAATAGTCACAGTTACATTCATTTTTTAAATTCCAAAGTAGGAAATATTAATAAACTTAAAATCGTCAATCCTGGTAATAGGTTTTAGGAATTCAAAAATGCTTTCTCTGGAAATCAAGTATTTTGACAAAATTTATCTATCAAAACCGTAATTCTTTTATCCCAATATTTCCACTTGAAATTAACATTATAACAAAATATTAGTTTCATATATTTTTTCATAACATCATTTAAAAACAAAATATTCAAGATTAGCAAAAACTTTAAATGTCCAACAGCAGTAAAATGTCTAATCAAATCTCTAGCAAACTAACTTTAGTAGATTTTTAATCTTCATATGCATTATCATGCAGTATGTATTGTCTACTGTCATTCACTCAGCATTATCAGTTTTTCATATTATTAAAATAACTGTATTAAAATAACTGTAGTTTGTTATTCAATGTTTAGACTATTCTGTTATAAATATATAAATGAATTTATTAATTTATAATTTATTAATTCATTTCCAATTATTCCACTGTTGATGGATATTTAGCTTGTTTCTTGTGTTGCTATACATATTTTTCTATGTACATTGTACACTTTTTGGTGGACATGTACATGCATTTCTGCTTTGTGTGTGTGTGTGTGTGTGTGTTTGTGTGTGTGTAGAGAGAGAGAGAGAGACAGGAAGAGAGAGAGACATGAAAATACTGGGTGTTAAGATGTGCATTTATTTAAATTTAGTAGAAAATACCAAATAGCTTTTCCAAGGAGCAGTATCAGTTCATATACTGTCTGTGAAAGAACATATCTTCACCTACACTTGGTATTAGCAGACTTCTGAAGATAAGCCATTTTTGTTAATTGTAGTAGTATCTGTGTATGTTATTCTGTATTACTTTGAAACCAAACATGTTGAGCAAACTTTGCTATTTTTAAAGTTTCTATTCAAGTCTGCTGCCCATTATTTTACTGATTATCACCTTCTAATTGATTTGTAGAAATTCTGTTTTCACATATATGTGGTTGTAAATATCTTCAACTTTTTCAAATATTTTTCACTCACTTTATGATGTGTTTTCACAAACAAGTATTTCTTAATTAATCATAATTTAACTTCCTTGGTATCTCTCTGATTCCTTTGTGCAGATTTTATTTTTAATATTTTGTCTAGCTTTTCCAGTTGTTCTCACTGGGAGAGTTGGTCTCAATTACTCTGCTAACCCCTGCCATGATACAGTGTTTTTAAAGTATAATTCCAATGGTTACATGAGTATTTTATCATCCTAATATTTTGTTCAAAGTCTACATTTCATGATATATTCTGGTTTTTACTACTTATCTGATAATGGAAAATATCCTCTTTGAGGAAAGAGAAGACAAATGGGGAACTTCCTCAATGAGATGAAGAAGAAAAATTCAAATGCACACCAAAAAGCATACAATATCCTGTTATCTCAATTATTTAACAATATATTGAAGCATTATTTATGAATATGAGACTTTTAAAAATGTGTAAGTTTCATGTGTTAACCTTTGTATGAGTTGCATCTCCTTCCATGACAGTACTCAGCCCCCTCCATCTCTTTAGCATGACCTACCTTTAGGTCAGGAGTACTAGTGGAGGGGCTCCAGTGAATTTTCTCAGTAATAACAACAAATGGCTTACATTTCAAAAAAATTTCAATATTGATTGAAACATTTTAAAGGCTAACAATTATAGAACACAAGATGAAAGGTAACGAAAACTATTAAAGCTTTGCTATGTGTTTGCTTATTATTGAAAGAGGTTAATAGAGGGGAAATAGAGAATTTTAGCAAGAAATTCTGACTGCAATTCCAGGATAAAACCTGAAATTGTTTCCATAGCCAAACTTCTGTATATCTTAGGGACCAAATAATACCACTTTGGGTTTCTGAGAAGTAAAGCTTAGCAAGAATTTGACAGAACCTTCTGAAAGAATGTTAAAGTAAATTGACAAGGACAAAGCTTTAGACGCCATTTTGAAATATCGCAAAAGGGCATTCACATACACACACACAAAAACCATCAAATACAGCTGCTTTTTAAATTATATTAGTATTGCACACTTAAATAGAACCTGACAGCGTTCATAAGAGCTGTAGAATTCCTAATCAAATAATGCTAAACAATAATAATTATAGTATATTGCATTTATAATTTACGTTATAATATGTAGTACCTTTTTACATAATTTAAGCTCACTACAAGCTGTGATTTAAAAAATAGTCATCTCTGGTTGTCTGTTTCACAAAACAAATGCAAGGCTAGACAAATAGCTCCCTTATCCCCACCTCCCTGCTACCTCAAACACACACACACACACACACACACACTCTCTCTCTTCCAGTAACTAAATAATTTAACTCACATCTTGATAGCATCGTATGTTGGATAACCCAAAATATAAATAAGTACTCATTTCCAAGTTGTTACAGAAAGAAGCCTACAAAGGAAATAATTACCTTCAATATATGAATTGTCTGCTTGCAGTTGGGAAATATGAAAAGTGAAAGAAGGGGATGTGAAATCTACCTTCGTTTTCATAGAAGATAAATTCTATTCAAGGAACAGTATAACATTATAATTAGTTTCTTCAATCAAATATTTCTGTTTCTAGACATTTTCTTAACATAAAAAGTTAATTATCAAAAGTAGAATATACTTAACAGAGAAAAGCCAACAAATTTATGATTCAAAAATCTCTTCAATATCTAAAATACCTAATTGTTTAGCGGGGAATTACTGATTTCACTTTAGCAATTTCTAATTCCATTTCTTTCCACTAGTGAGCATTAATAATGTATTCAAATGTTTTATTAAGTAATATTATGAAAATTAGGCATTTGAGGCAAAAGTGGTAGATATGAAGCCAATTGACAAAACCTGCCCCTCTAAAACCTAGTAAATTAATAAAATCAATCTATTAAAGTCAGAAAAGAAAAAATAAAACCATGATAGAAACAGAAAAAGAAAGGAGGAGAAGAAGGAGGAAGAGGAAGAGAAAAAAACAACTTTATGGCATTTAATTTTTATTTTCTTTAAATGTTTGAAGCCATGTTATATTGTAAAAGTGTCAGGACAAGGTCAAGTTTGCATTTGACATACTTGTCAATAAATATTTCTATTTATTTTATATCTTTAAAAAAATTGCCATGATAAAAACCTACATGATACTCTTTCATTTGGTACCTTAGAAAGAAAACACTGAACCACAAATCTTTTTGATTATGTGGATTCTGGTTATTACACCATCATTTTTAATCTTCTGAATACTTCATTGCCTTCTGGCATTTTTTAAAAGGATTTCGAATTACAAACTTTGATTTAGGAACAATATGAAAAAGGTTAATGATAAAAATCCTGAGAAAAATTATTAATGACTGCACATTTTGAGAAAAGGAGAGAGACAATGAGCAGTGTCATAGCTTGTATCAGGTCCTTGTGAAAACACACACAGTGGAATTTTCATGAGTGTTATGGTACTGTGTAAAAGTGGAAGTGATGGTTGAACCTTTAAGAAATTTGCCTGTAAAGAGAGAAAGATGCAGAATTAAGGGAAGTGGGTTTTGTTATTGTTATTTGCTTTTTTTCTTTCCTTTTGTTTTGCTTTAAGAAGTCAAGAATGTCTACATAATGAAGAAAGGAAGTCACAAATTACCAGAAAAAGGGAATTTGAAATTTACTAAGGAAAGAAACAAGGAAAAGAGTTATAGTAATTTTGAAATTACAAAACATCAGACTTTGGACCAGCATAACAAAAAACTTAGTGATAGGTTAGCTGCATTCAAAAGATAATCTGAAACCAGAAGTGTTTTAATAAAGTGTAACCAAGTATTAAATATGATTTTAAAAAGAAGTCTTCCAGTAGAATTCCATTTACATGAGATTTAAAATACTTTCCAATAAATAGCTTTTAAACTCTATTATTTAAACAATACAGACTGATTAAACCTTCTATTTGGCATTAGAAAACTCTAGAGACATAGCAAGGAAATAAATATAAGAAATTGACAACAATGTTTGTAGTATTTGGATCAATTTTCCTAAATTCCAATAAGACACGAATAATTAAAGGAAGGAACAAGAGGAATGATATTTTTAATGAGATTAGTTTGCTTTTGTTGGCCTGAAAAAGAGTTTGACTTTCAAAATTCACAATAAAAACATAGTAAAAACAAAAAAACCCACAAAATACCAGCCATTTAAAATGAACTGTACTGCTTAAATGTGGCAAAAAAGCAATATATTTGACAAAATTAGTGTCACTCACAAAACAATATCAAGTATTGTTTCATATGTTTTCATTTGAATATATTTATTTCTGTCAGTAGTTACTGCAATAATCTCATGTGTGTGAGTATTCAAAGTACTATTCAAGTGAGGACTGGAATTTCTCAGATTAGCCTTATCAGAAGTTCTTGTCTTTTCATACTCCTTTCTATTTTGTATACCTTTTTGTTGTCCTTATTTTTATTGGCAATAAACTTGCTCTTTCAAAGTTATAAAGTACCAGTTGATTGATATATTTTTTATTTGAAGGAAACTGATTTCTTCATAACCTTGAAATTTAAAGATTCACTAGTAATTTGAAAGAAAAAAGAATGAAATAACTGGAAATGAATTCATTTTTAGAAAAAGATTTATTCATTTTCTTATCTATCATATAAATAAAATCCTTGCAAAAGTAGTACAATTGTTGGAAAAGTGGTATAACCAAACCTTTACTGTGAAATTATTTTCTCTACAAGACAGAGTCTTGTATTTATGTTAATAGTTTGTTCTGCATTTCTTTTGGTTGGTTTTATTTTAATTATTACTTAGATTGTAATAAAATAGTATCTTTATTCCATAGTTTACTACTTTCATTGCTTTTTCATCTACCACCTTCCTAACTTTTTAAATGCAGCACCATTGTTGCTTCTATAGAAATGACTCCATTGTCAAAATATAGATATGCTCAACATGGGCAAATTGACACTGTGATTCCTTATTCCATGAAGAAATACCTATTAAATAGTTGCTGATGTATATACATTTGATTGATTTCATCAAATGGGTTTATAAACAAAAGTTCATTTTAGAAAAGTAAATATTCCTGAAGATTTTCTAAAGTAGAGAGTGTGCTAACTTTCATGCTGCTTAGCAACTAACCAAAGGGACTTAGTCAAGGGCTGAGTTACCAGATATTCAAAATGGAACACACAAAGCCTGCTTTCTCCTTGCACACAAGGTCAGCAATGGAGCTCAAATTGAGACATTCTTGTATTTTCTCAGATAAATTTCCACATAGTTCCTGGTGAATATGAATGGGCTTGGAGCTGTGAGACATCACGGAGAGCCAGAGGACTTCCTCATGATGAATTTCACAGCCAAACAGTCTGAGCCTGCTTCAGACTGCCTTCCACGTGTGCATGGCAACAATGTGGAGACATGAATAGGCTGAGTCAGTTCTTCTCTTACTTCTGGAAAATTAGCTTTGGGAAAGCCAAGCAGCATCTAATGCACACACATTTCTTGGCATACAAAAGCAATTGGTCTTTAGGGAGATAACATTTTTCCTTTAAATCAAGGTGAAATAAAGATCTGAAATTAGCCATTTTAATGGCACATGCCTCAAAATGTAATTGCATTAAAAATTTCTAGATTGGCAATATATGAAAAAAGTCTCATACAAATCATTGAAAAAAAAAGAAACAAAGACAAATATTTTTCCTTCTATAGATTCTAGCATAAGTGTAGAAGTAAGTGAGAAAACATGTGGTATCTTTTGCTATTTTTTTCCCTTTTGGAAATTACTATCACTGTAGAGTTTTAAGGCAAGGTAAAAAATACATTTTAAATATCCTTACATTTTAGGGGAATGGGGAAGACGATTGTGGTTCAGCTTTATCACCCATTGGAGTTGCAAGCTTAGACTAAATACTTTGATTGAAAGTATTAAGAAAATGACAAACAACAACCAAGAATAAATGAAGTGATGAAATAATGTTGAATTTTCCTCTTCAACATTTTCCTCAGCCAAGCAACATTTTGGACTCCTAAAACACCAGCCCTCGGTTTATGCTAATTTTACGTGTCTTCTATGATTACACATTTTCTTAGACAATATCCAGGCTCCTGGATTTATTTCTCCAATGAGTCCCATTGTCTTCTTTCTTCCAGGTTTGTTCCTCTGCTAGAGAAGTATATGTTTGTTGATGGGTTCCCTTCTGGATCCTTTGTTTTCTCCTGTGGTTACTGTGAGTTTGTCTTATCTGTTTCCTTTTTACTACCTTTAGTAATCATGAAAATGTCTACTCTATAACTATTGCTTTTGCTGTGGTTTTTGCTGTATTCAAGACTTCAAACTAAAGGGTGATATATAGATATTCAAGTCAGACTCTCCCCAGATAATCATATCACCCTGGTTACATTTTAAATTGATTATCTGTCATTTCCAGATAGCCACATAACCAAGAGGGTATGATATACCTAGTTTAAAACACAGGGCATTGGGCAAAAAAATATATATACATCTATAAGTATTATGTCACAATTCATATACAATACATATAAGTTGTATGTATTGTGACATAATACATATAAATTATATATGTATATATACAATTTTTTTAATGTTTAATTTTTATTTTTTTGTAGAGATGAGGTCTTGCTTTGTTGCCCAGGTTGGTCTCCATATCCTGGCTTCAAATGATCCTCTTTCCTTGGCCTCCCAAAGTGCTGGGATTACTGGGATTACAGGCATGAGCCATTGTTCCCTGCTGGAAGAATATTTTTGAATATATTAGTTATTGATTGATTTTTAACCATGGCTTAAGTTGGAGTTTAGAAATTACACATTATACTTGTTGGGGTGATCAGACAAAGAAACAGGTGGTGAGGCATGTTCCAAGCCCTGCCTCAGCTTCTCTTCCAACACTCAGCTTTTCTCCCAACAATGCTGACTTCAAACTTAATATTTGGAAAGTGAAACCTTTGCTTTGGTAAATAAAATTTTATCTTAAATTGATAATTCTTCTTAGAAGAATTCAAAATTATTTGAAAAAAAAAAACAATTTTTTTAAGCCAGCTATTTAAGAAGATTGGTTTTATCTCAATACTTAAAGATGAATCTCAGAATGAGAACATATAAAAGAAAATTATATTTCTATATTCAAATAATGTTAAAACTATGATTAATTACTCAAAATAGCCATTATTTCTTACATTATTTTTACTTACAAAGTTACTATTATTATCATACATTTATATCATATTTAGAATGGCCCATGCAAAACTATCTCTTTAGGGAGTATAAGAATAGTCATTTAGAAGTTTATTATTTTGACCTCTATAATTTGTCAATTGAAAACTGCTTATGAGACATGGTTTGCAGAGTCATGTTTTTAATTCTCTTGAACTGTAAACATTTGTCCTTCAAAAAAGGAGACATTTTAAAAGATATTTAACTAAAACATATTTTATTAAACACCAAGAGCAAAATAACCACCAGAAATGACCAAGGCTGTTCATTCAAAATGAAAGTGAGCAGTTTGGCCCTGACACAGCTTCACTGTCAAATTTTCTATGCATTTAGTTTCCTTAGTTTAGAAAAAGAAGTGATCCAGTGGTCTTTTTCATTTAGGTAAAAAGTTGTCACTCTCTTCAATAATGCACTCTTCAATATCTCTTCAATAATGCAATAATGTATATGGAAGGCTTGTATTAAAATATTTATTAAGCTATTACATTCAGAAGCCTGGTATTAAAATATTAAATATTCCAAGCAAAAGCTGAATTAATTTACACTACTTTCAAATGTTTTTGTGCTAAAAGTACTTAACTGAAATATTTTAGACTTCTAAATTTAAAAAAAAATGTACACATAAATCGTGTGCATGAGCACCAATAGACACAAGGCACATACACTGTACCAAGCTATCCTGGGGGATACAAAGACAGCAAGGAGGATTCCTCCTCTGAGGTCAATAGTGTAGAAAAGGACACATTAAAAAATGTGTTGACTTTTACAATTTGTCCATAAATTCTTTGTCATTTCCTTTAAAAGATGGAACCTAATTTTTCTTTCCTTCAGTGTAGGCTGCATTAGTGGGTCACTTCTATTCAATAGAATAAGGTAAAGTGACTGTGTGTGACCCTGCAACTAGGAAAGGAAAGACCTTGTGGATGCCTCTCTCTCAGATTACTTGCTCTCAGGGACCCTATCATGAGGACATGTCATATCCTGAGGAAACTCAAACATACCCATTTAGAATCTCATGTGGTAAGGAACTGAGCCCTTTGGCAACAGCCATGCAGGTGAGTCATCCCAGGAGTGGATTTCGTAGTCCCAGTCAAGCCTTTAGACAATGACAGCCACAGATGACATCTTGATTCCAACCTCATGAAAAGTCCTGAGCCAGAATAAGTCAGCAGAACAACTCCTGAATTCCTGCCACACAGAAATTAAGAGAGAATAATTTTATTATTGTTGTTTGAAGCCACTGGGTTTGGGATAATTTGTTAGGCAGTAATAGATATTAATTAAAAGAGTGATGCAAGGGTAATCATGCTTACTGTTAGAGGAGAGTATAAGTGAAAATATGTTAGAGGGAAGTAATTACTTTTAGTTTGGGAAGCAGAAAGAACTCTGGAGAAGGTATGATATGAACTGGATCTTATGAGATTAAAGATGTGTAATAGTTGGATATTTCCAGACGGAGGAAAAGACATTTCCAATACTAGAATAGCTTGAGAAAAGACTCATATGAAGAAAAAGATACATATTTTTCCCATTTGTTACATGTCATAAATAACATTGTAATAAATAATAGTCCTACTTTATCAGCTTGCTGTAATAAATTGAATGTAATATGCCTATCATAGTGTTTTGACCATAGTAAGCATTCAGTAAATTTTAACAGCCATTACTGTTTTAAAATGAGATGTTGGAGTTATTTTAATGGTCATTTTAATCAAATGGATCCAAGACAAATCTTGGATAAATACCTCCACTTCAAACCCAAGTGTGAAGTCTACTTTCTACTGATGATAGTTACATGGTTCTGTATTCTTTTTCCCATTTGTTGCCTAACAATAGAGAACATGTTTAGCAAATAACTGCATTCTTCTCCAGTCCCCTTTCTCCAAAATTAGCCTCATCCAAATGCATTCTTTTTTTTTTTTACAGACCATAAAGTTAGCTTTAGCTCTCTTCCATCTACCCATCCCATCACTTCACCCAGGCCTACATCATTTTATAATGAAATCACTTCAATAGAAGCCCCCATCATGTGTGATACTTGATCTGCTGGAAACAAAGTACTCTTTGCTATATTCCTTAAATTCTACTCACCTAAACCATGCTTTGTCAAATAATTTATATCAGTCCCTAATTCATATTTCAATAGTTTTGTTTTAAAGTCCGGTCATAATGTGGCCTCCTTCTAACTATATAAAATGCATCTTCAGTATAGATTTTTCCCTCTATTCATCATGGTTTCTATGATGCCAAGCACACAGATGTTGGAAAAATACACACACACACACACACACACACACAAATACACACTTATTTCTTTGTTCATATTGTCTTCCTCACTTGATGTTTCATAGTCTATCTTCATTTACCTTCCATGACTCAGAAAAGTCCTCCTCTATGCTGAAGTTTTTCCTGACTCCTCTAGTGCATATTTATCTACACATCCTCCACAGCAGACAGAATCATAACTGTATTCTGTTATGTTCTTGTGTTGCTTGCCTTTATTTTTATCTCTCTAAATATATATTGTAAATTTTTTCAAATTGTTTTTCTCCAACTCCCTCAGTAAGTATTATAGATTTCATTTCAGATCAGCTGCATAAGACAGGAGGAAAAAAAACCTATTTTTTTAATTAATTGGAGTTATACATGAAATACAATTTATTGAATAGGTAATCTTTTTTCAAATCGTTTTTTACATAGAAACTAAGCATATAGTAGCTCATTTTTATTTACTATTTGTTTGTTTAAAGAAATAAAGAGAACAACAGAGGAGATTAGAAAGTCTTTTTGGAACCAGAATCATTAGACATGGGTGAGAAAAGGCAGGAGTTATGGACAATGGCTCTAAGGTTTCTGGCTTTGGTGATCACTGAATTACAGAGAACCACAGGAGGAAACGGAAGCACATTTCTAGCCAGGAAAAAACATTTTGATAAATGGAATCTTGGGATTTGTAGGTTTCAGTGTAGCTGTGACCAGCAAGGACATTCAAAGGCTGTTGTTTGCTGGTGGAGAAATATACATATGGAGCCAGCCCTCAGCAGGAGGCAGTTTTTCCAACTCACAATTACACTTTCAGTAGGGAGAGAAGCTGATGTCAGAGCTTTCTTCCACTGCTATTTCAGGCATGCAGCCATGGTGGCATTCTTATGCAGATTGAGGCATGAAATTGTGCAGTGAACCAGAAAGCAGTACAAGAAGAGTAAGTGAGCCCCCTTTCAGAAAAAGCCATTCCAGTTCAGCTGCTGGGAGAAATTAACTCTGGACTCTGATCATTTTTCTTGGTGAGGAAATACTGATTAACAGAACCCTATGCTAAGGTGTAAACACACATATGCATACACACAGACACACACACACACACACACACACAACACAGGATTGTTCTCATTTGTGGCAAAAATAAAAATATCTTCTGAATTATTGGTAATTTTAAAGCTAAAAAACTTGTTAAGCAAAACGAGTGAAGATTTGGGAGAGTTTATTTGGTAATTGACAATTTGCGTAGCTGTTAGCTATGTAAGAACGTGTTCTTTATCACCACATAAAAATCGCTCTTATTGTCTGTGAATATTACAAGATTTCAAGGTGTGGTAATAAATTTGGTGTTAGAAAAAGCATTAGAGAAAGATTAATGCAGTGAGTATATTTATGATTTAAAATATATAGAAAGAACACCACTATTTTATTTTAATTTTATTTTTTTTCTTCAACTTTTATTTTAAGTTCAGGGGTACATGTGCAGGATACACAGGTTTGTAACATAGGGAAATGTGTACCAAGGTGGTTTGCTGCACAAATCATCCCATCACCTAGGTATTAAGCCTATTGTCCATTAGCTATTCTTCCTGATACTCTCCCTTCCCCTGCAGCCCCCTCAACAGAACCCAGTGTGTGTTGTTCCCCTCCAGGTGTCCATGTGTTCTTATCATTCAGCTACCACTTATAAGTGAGAACATGTGGTGTTTGGTTTTCTGGTCCTGCATTAGTTTGCTGAGGATAATGTCTTCCAAATCCATCCATGTCCCTGCAAAGGACATGATCTCATTCCTTTTTATGGCTGCATAGTATTCCATGATGTATATGTACCACATTTTCTTTATCCAGTCTATCATTGATGGGCATTTGGGTTGATTCTGTGTCTTTGCTATTGTGAATAGTGCTGCAGTGAACATATGCATGCATGTAATTTTAGAATAGAAGGATTTATATTCCTTCAGGTATATGCCCAGTAATGAGATTGCTAGGTTAAATGGTATTTCTGTCTCTTGGTCTTTGAGGAATCACCACACTGTCTTCCACAATAGTTGAACTAATTTAACTCCAGCCAAGAGTGTAAAAGCATTCCCTTTTCTCCACAACTTCACCAGCATCTGTTGTTTTTTGACTTTTTAATAATAGCCATTCTGACTGGCATGAGATGGTATCGTATTGTGGTTTTGATTCGCATTTCTCTAATGATTAGTGATGTTGAGGTTTTTTTTTCATGTTTATTGGCTGCATGTATGCCTTCTGAGAGGTGTCTGTTCCTGTCCTTCGCTCACTTTTTAATGTGATTGTGTTTTTTCTTGTACATTTGCTTAAGTTCCTTATAGACTGTGGATATGAGACCTTTGTCAGATGAATAGATTGCAAAAATTTTCTCTCTTTCTGTAGGTTGTCTGTTCACTCTTATGAGAGATTTTTTGTGTGTGTGCAGAAGCTGTTTAAGAAACATCATTATTTAAAAAGCAATGTGTATATATATGTCAACAAAATAAAGAAAAATTTGTGAATGTTACCTTTAGATGGTATTCCAAGTAGTTTTCAAACTTCTTTCTAATTTTCTATTTATTACAGATTATTTTTTTAAAAAAATATATTAATTTATACTCATAGAAAGGTTATACTTTTTAGAAGTGCATGATGGAAGAAGGAAGACAGGATGATTTCACATACACATCTAACATAAAAACTGGGGAGATAGGCAGAATATTGATAAACTTAACTCCCCAAGCAAATAGTATAAGTGCATGGTTACACTTTTTAAATAATTTTTATATGCTTACACATCTGAAAATCTTCAAGTGTGTGAGATACAATTCAGACCTTTGCTTTGCCAATTCCTTCTGTTAAGATTTTTCAAGTTTTCCTTCTTATGAGAAGGAATAGGCCATGATTCACCTGGATGGTTTTTGATAGTATATACTAAAGTCAATATTAAATCTTATTTGAGCCCCATGGATGGATGATTCTATTTATCCACAAGCACCACTTCAGATTGGTTTGGATGCTAAATGAATGGTTCATTTCTACTTGCTAAACTTTCATGAGTCAGTGAATGCCCCATTAACTCCTGAGAACATTATTACTCATTCTTCCTAGAATCAAAACTGGAATAGTCCATAGCTGCTTTTCATTTACTGTGTGATGTTCATTCAATTATGACTGTTATGTTGTCTACTGTAATTGTTGAAAAAAAATGACTCATTTTCTTTATCAATACTATCATTGTGCATCCATTCCAGCCATTGTGTTCACTCCATTTTCTTTGCCTTTATCATTGTTGGTCTCTCAATACATTATGGTATTGATTAAGATGAAAGCTAAGCTACATAAGCCTCCTGGAATGAGACAGTTTTCACAATTACAGTCTTTGAGTACTTGTATAACTGCCGTGTTTGACATCTATAAAAGTCTATATATGTACAGATTTTACAAGGAATTTTGTCAATTAGTAAAAATCTCAGAAAGTATTATATTTATAGAGAGATAAAGAGTAATGCTATGTTAGTTTATGTTTGTAAATTATAACCTTTCTGTATCAGCTGAATGAAATTAAAGTAGAAAAACTTTAAATTTTATATTAAATCTATTCTTGTAAAAAGTAGGTTTACCCATCAAATTTCAAGTAAGACACCAAGGATATGTTCCATATATTTTTTCTGAAAACAATGTTATCTTATGAGATTTTATTTGATTTATATTTTATTATAAACTACTGAAGTAATATTTATGGAAAACACTATTTATAGGGAATTTATCATTATGAAATATAAAACTCTCAAGGAAAATAATGATGCTGAGGAAAACTTAGTTCACCATTGATACTGAAAGCATTTTGTCCTAATAATTTTATATTTGTTACAATTAAAGTGTGAAGATAGAATAGTAAGGAGAATGTGAAAATGTTTAATAACTGGGTTTCTATAACATCCATACTAATTTCTATTTTTATCCTACAGGGACTTTTCAATATCTATCTCAGTTAGAATAATTTTGCTTACAAATTTTAAAAAGCAACTTCAGTGGCTTAATCAGTAAGGATTTATGATATTTAACAGGAAGTCTGGAGGCAGACTTGGCTCTGTGGTTGTTAATTTAGAAGCTCAATGATATTATGAAAGATTCAGGTTCTTTCCATTTCTCCCTCTGGCACCTGTACTTGAACTTTCAATTCACTCTCACAGGATGGGATCTGCAGTTCCAGGGATTCATGCAGACATTATGCTGTCCAGAGGATGAAGTTAATTCATCTTTCTCTGTGTCTGTTTATGAGGGAAAGACAACATTTTTCAGAATCACCTAGCAAACTTTGTCATATCTCATTTGCAGATGATGGGTTGGTATAGCCACTCCTAAGCCACCTGCTTGTAAGGAAAATGAGGTTTAAACTGTTCAAGATTTCTACCCAAACTTAAGAGAGGAATAGTTAACATGAATAAAATTATAAGATTTTTTTTCCTAAGAAATTGGGGTAAATGGGTATTAAGTAGATAGTCAACAGGTCTCTTGCACCTCCAGAATTTCAATAAAATTATTGTAAATTTTTTTCTCATTATGTGCAATTTAAATTCTGTTTCTCCATTCTGTATTTGTCTCAAATATTCTTGGATTTTATTGTTTGTTAGGCATTATTTTTCTGCTAACACACATCTAAAGAACTATATGTATTTTGTCCTTCCTTAAGCACTTTATCATCCTACCTCCTTAAGTTAATGTGCTGTTTAAGAGCTTGGGTTCTAAGTCAGACTGCCTGGACTCATCACTTACAAGCTGATAGATTTTTGGTGAATGACATAGTACTTCAGTTTATTGTCATCATGCATGATATTGAAGAAAGTAACAAAACTCACAGGAGGCTGCTTTAGCCTGTTCAGGCTGTTATAACAAAATACCAAAAACTAGGTGGCTTAAACAACAAACATTTATTTCTCACAGTTAAGAAGGCTGAGGAATCCAAGACAAGGCACAGACAGACTCAATGTCTAGTGGGGACCTGTATCCTGGATCGTAGACAATCGTTTTTTTGCTGTGTCTTTTGCTGTGGATGATGGAGGTCTCTGGAATCTCGTTTTTAAGGGTATTAACTCCATCCATGAGGACTCCATTCTCATAACTCAGCCATCTGTGAAATAAATCACCTCCTAATACCATCACATTGGGGTTTAGAATTTCAACATATGAATTTGGGGAGGACACAAACATTCAGTTTATAATATTCTGCCCCTGCTTCCCAAAAATTCATGTCTTTCTCATATGTAAAATACATTTATCCCCTCCCAGCAGCCTCAAACTTCTAAACTCATTCCAGCACTAGCTCAAAAATCTAAAGCCCAAAGTTTCATTTATACGTTATCTAAATTAGATATGGATGAGACTCAAGGTATGTTTCATCCTGACACAAATTCTCCTTCAGCTGTGAAACCAACCATGTGGTGTGCTTCCAAAATATAGTGGTGGAACAGACATAGGGATAGATATTCCCTTTTAAAAGGGGAGAAATGGGAAAGAAGAAAAGAGTGAGAGGTCCCAGGTAAGTCCATAACCTAATGGAGCAAACAACATTAATCCTTAAGGCTCCAGAATAATCCTCTTTGCTCTTCACTCTGCCTGCCAGCTACACTGAGGAGGCAAAGTTAACCCCACTGTTCAGCAGGATGACTCCTCAGTGGCTCTCTGCCTGGGTCCTGTGGCTCTCCGTGGTTGCATCCTGATGATCTACAAATTGAATACAGTAGTCTATGCAAATTACACATCACAGTGCCTGCCACATAAGTGCTTAAGTAACAGTTATTCTTCATATTGTTATTATTTATACAGTTAATAGTTTGGTAAAATTCATATATAGACACTCTCAGATCCTAATTATAAGATTCAATCTTGTTTCTACTCTGCCATTTGCTGTGATTTGTGATTTCCATTTTTAGAGGCTACACATTATTCCTTTTCTTCCTAATTAATCTCAATTAATGTTGCTCACAATTTATATAACTCATGTATTTTATTACAGAACTCTGGATTTTTAAATGCAGATATCAGTAAAAAATACTATGATATACTACAACGTCACAAGAAAGGTTTGCTGGTAGAAAGATTATTGTACATGTATAAAAGCTACTATTTTATTTTCTTTTATTATATTCTTCCTGCAAATTCTTATTAAAATACTATTTGAAACAAAGACAATTTTTAGCAGTAGTGACTGTATTAGTCTGTTATCACGCTGCTGATAAAGACATGCCTAAGACTGGGCAATTTACAACAACAAAAAAAGAGTTTTATTGGACTTACAGTTCCATGTGGCTGGGGAGGCCTCACAATCATGGTGAAAGGTACTTCTCACTTGGTAGCAGACAAGAGAAGAGAGCTTGTACAGGGAAACTCCCCTTTTTAAAACCATCAGATCTCATGAGACGCATTCACTATCATGAGAACAGCACAGGAAGGATCCGCCTTCATATTCAATCACCTCCCGCCGGGATCCTCCCATGACATGTGGGAATTGTGGGAGTTACAATTCAAGATGAGACGTGGGCGTGGACACAGCCAAACCATGTCATTCCACCCCTGGTCCCTCCCAAATATCATACCTTCACATTTCAAAACCAATCATGCCTTCCCAACAGTCCCCCAAAATCTTAACTTATTTCAGCATTAACTCAAAAGTTCACAGTCCAATGTCTCATCTGAGACAAGGCGAGTCCCTTCTGCCTATGAGTCTGTAAAATCAAAAGCAAGTTAGTTACTTCCTAGATTCGATTCAATAAGAGTAAATACACTGGGTAGATACAGCCATTCCAAATGGGAGAAATTTGCCAAAACAAAGGGGCTACATGCACCATGCAAATCTGAAATCTAGCAGGGCAGTCAAATTCTAAAGCTCTGAAATGATCTTCTTTGACTTCATGTCTCATATCCAGGTCATGATGATGCAAGAGGTGGATTCCCGTGGTCTTGGGCAGCTCTGCCCCTGTGGCTTTGCAGGGCAAAACCTCCCTCCAAGCTGCTTCCACGGGCTGGTGTTGAGTGTCTGTGGCTTTTCTGAACACAGTGCAAGCTGTCGGTGGATCTACCATTCTGGGGGCTGGAGGACGGTGGCCCTCTTCTCACAGCTCCACTAGGCAGTGCCCCAGTAGAGACTCTGTGTGGGGGCTCAAACACCACATTTCCCTTCTGCACTGCCCTAGCAGAGATTCTCCATGCGCACCCCACCCCCACAGCAAACTGCTGCCTGGACATCCAGGCTATATTCTCTGAAATTTAGATGGAGGTTCTCAAACCTCAGTTCTTCATTTCTGTGCACCTGCAGGTTCAACACCACGTGAAAGTTGCCAAGGCTTAGGGCTTGCATCATCTGAAGCCATGGACGGAGCTGTACATTGCCCCTTTTAGTCACAGCTGGGATGCAGGGCACCAAGTCCTTAGACTGCACACAGCACTGGGATCCTGGGTCTGGCCAATGAAACCAATTTTTTCTTCCTAGACCTCCAAGCCTGTGGTGGGAGGGGATGCCATGAAGACCTCTGATATATTCTAGAAACATTTTCCCCATTGTCTTGGGATTAATATTTGGCTCCTCATTGCTTATGCAAATTTCTGCATCCAGCTTGAATTTCTCCTCAGAAAATGGGATTATCTTTTCTATCACATTATCAGGCTGCAAATTTTCCAAACTTTTATGTTCTGCTTCCCTTATAAAACTGAATGCTTTTAACAGTATCTAAGTCACCTCTTGAATGCTTTGCTGCTTAGAAATTTCTTCCACCAGATACCCTAAATCATCTCTTTCTCAGGTTCGAAGTTCCACAAATTTCTAGGTCAAGGGCAAAATGCCACCAGTCTCTTTGCTAAAACATAACAAGAGTTACCTTTGCTCCAGTTGTCAACAAGTTTCTCATCTCTATCTGAGACCACCTCAGCCTGGAACTTATTGTTCATACCACTATCAGCATTTTTGTCAAAGACATTAAACAAGTCTCTAGGAAATTCCAAAGTTTCCCACATTTTCTTGTCTTCTTTTGAGCCCTCCAAACTGTTTCAACCACTGCCTGTTACCCAGTTCAAAAGTTGCTTTCATATTTTCAGGTATCTTTTCAGCTGTGGCCCACTCTACTGCTACCAATTTAATGTATTAGTCTGTTTTCATGCTGCTGATAAAGACATACCCAAGACTGGGCAATTTACAAAAGAAAGAGTTTTATGTGACTTACAGTTTCATGTGGCTGGGGAGGCCTCACAATCATGGTGGAAGGTGAAAGCCACATCTCACATGGTTGCTGACAAGAGAAGAGAGCTTGTGCAGGGAAACTGCCCTTTAAAAATGTGGCACATATACACCATGAAATACTATGCAGCCATAAAAAAGGATGAGTTCATGTCCTTTGTAGGGACATGGATGAAGCTGGAAACCATCATTCTCAGCAAACTATCGCAAGGAGTAAAAACCAAACACCGCATATTCTCACTCATAGGTGGGAATTGAACAATGAGAACACTTGGACACAGGAAGGGGAACATCACACACTGGGGCCTGTCATGGGGTGTGGGGAGGAGGCAGGGAAAGCATTAGCAGATATATCTAATGTAAATGATGAGTTAATGGGTGCAGCAAACCAACATGGCACATGTATACATGTGTTACAAACCTTCACGTTATGCACATGTACCCTAGAACTTAAAGTATAATAAAAAAAAATCATCAGATCTCATGACACTCATTCACTATCACAAGAACAGCACAGGAAAGACCCATTCCCGTAATTCAATCACTTCCCACCTGGCTCTTCCCATGAGATGTAGGAACTGTGGGAGTTACCATCAAGATGAGATTTGGGTGTGGACACAGCCAAACCATATGAGTAACTAACCAATTATTTCACAACTCTGGACTTGAGTAATTGTCTTTCTGTTCAACTACTTTGAGAAAATAGGCTCTTAAGTTTTTACTTCAAAACCTGTTCTCTACTACCCTATTTAAGTAGATACTCCCTCACCCAGTGATTTTCAATAAGACCCATTTTTCTTATTCTGTAATGTGTAATCTTCTTTTCAGTTAGAAATCTGTTATCCTGTTTGTTTGTGTTTTCATTTTTGTTTTAAGAGATGGTCTTGCTCTGTTGCCCAGGCTGGAGTGCAATGGAGCAATCCCAGCTCACTGCAACCTCTGACTCCTCGGCTCAAGTGATCCTCTCAATTCGGCCTCCTCAGTATGTGGAACTACAGGCCCATGCCATAATGCCTCACTGCTTTTTAATTTTTTTTTTGTAAAGTTGGTGTATTAGTCCTTTCTCACATTGTGTAGGGAAAAGAAAGAGAGATCAGACTGTCACTGTGTCTATGTAGAAAGGGAAGACATAAGAGACTCCATTTTGAAAAAGACCTGTACTTTAAACAATTGCTTTGCTGAGATGTTGTTAATTTGTGGCTTTGCCCCAGCCACTTTGCCCCAGCCGCTTTGACCCAACCTGGAGCTCACAAAAACGTGTTGTATAAAATCAAGGTTTAAGGGATCTAGGGCTATGCAGGATGTGCCTTGTTAACAAAATGTTTGCAAGCAGTATACTTGGTAAAAGTCATCGCCATTCTCTAGTCTTAATAAACCAGGGGCACAATGCACTGCGGAAAGCCACAGGGACCTCTGCCCTTGAAAGCTGTGTATTGTCCAAGATTTCTCCCCATGTGATAGTCTGAAATATGGCCTCGTGGGATGAGAAAGACCTGACCGTCCCCCAGCCCGACACCCATAAAGGGTCTGTGCTCAGGTGGATTAGTAAAAGAGGAAAGCCTCTTGCAGTTGAGATAGAGGAAGGCCACTATCTCCTGCTTGCCCCTGGGAACTGAATGTCTCGGTATAAAACCTGATTGTACATTTGTTCAATTCTGAGATAGGAGAAAAACCACCCTATGGTGGGAGGCGAGATATGTTTGCAGTAATGCTGCCTTGTTATTCTTTACTCCGCTGAGATGTTTGGGTGGAGAGAAACATAAATCTGGCTTACGTGCACGTCCAGTTATAGTACCTTCCCTTGAACTTAATTATGACATAGATTCTTTTGTTCACATGTTTTTTGCTGACCTTTTCCTTATTATCACCCTGCTCTCCTACTCCATTCCTTTTTGCTGAAATAATGAAAATAATAGTCAATAAAAACTGAGGGAACTCAGAGTCCGGTGCCAGTGCAGGTCTTTGGTATGCTGAGCGCCGGTCCCCTGGACCCACTGTTGCTTCTCTGTACTTTGTCTCTGTGTCTTATTTCTTTTCTCAGTCTCTCGTCCCACCTGACTACAAATACCCACAGGTGTGGAAGGGCAGGCCACCCCTTCACATTGCTATAAAGAACTACCTGAGACTGGGTAGTTTATAAAGAAAAGAGGTTTAATTGACTCACAGTTCTGCAAGCTGTACAGGAGGCATGGCTTGCCAGGCCTCAGGAAACTTACAAACATGGCAGAAGGCAACGGACAAGCAAGCACATCTCACGGAGAGACAGAGAAGGGGGAAGTGCTATATACTTTTAAACAACCAGATCTCATGAAAACTCTATCATGAGACAGAACTAAGGGAATGGTGCTAAACCTTTAGAAACCCACTCCATGATCTAATCACCTCCCGCCAGGCCCCACCTCCAACACTCAGGATCACAATTCAATATGAGATTTTTGTTAGGGACACAGAGCCAAACCATATTAGTTGGGGTCTCACTATGTTTCATGCTGGTCTCAAACTCCTGATCTCAAGCTCTTCTCTCACCTTGATATACCAATGTCCTGAAATTATAGGAGTGAGTCACCACACCCAGCCAGGAATCTGTTTTTATGAATAGACAGAGATGCTAAGAGAACACCTTCCAGGAATGTTTACAAGGATGTTAATACTGCCCTCAATAAAGCATATCTTAATTATTGTCATCTAAAAATAACTCTCACAGTTTATCATTGGATGTGATTGCATCAAGTATTTATCATTGACTCAATCATGGGACGTTGTGTAATGGCAAGCTTTATTGTTTATATTTTTACTCCACTTGTCACTCCTGGAACTGGATTTGGAAGAAACCCTAAATAAACCCCACTGACTGAGTTTGAAGAAACAGTGATTTCCTCAATGCAAAATCAGGATGGTATTGATAGTCAATGGTAGAAATGAAAATTAATGTGAAGTGGAAAAACCCACAAACACACATTACATCAGGTACTTATTTATTCCATCATACTGATTAAGCAGTTGTTATACATCAGGTACTTTATTGTCAGTGATACATAGGTAGAAAATCACAAGACATATGCACTTTCAGAGTTTATATTGCATTGGATTTAGTGTTGCTTATAACTTTGTACATCTTAACAGTATGGGTTAATTGTAGGAAAACATAAGTTTTCTAAATTGTCTTCTCAAGAGTTTCTAATACCTTGCATAATTAAATGTGAATATGCCCTTTGACACAGCAATAGCACTTCTCAAAAGGTATTATAGATTTATTCATCAAGATTAAAAATAATGTAAGTCCAAGCTTATTTATTGTTGCAGCTTTGTATGCAATACAAAAAGGTTAAAAATATTCTGAAGTCCATCAAGACTCAGGAAATTACTTATATGACGGAATAACATGTCACCACAAAAAAGAATAGGAAAAAAAAATTCCTAAATACTAAAACAGGAAATTTTCTAAATATATTAAATAAAAATATACTTTTCTATAGATCATGGTTGTAGGATGCTACAATAAGAGTTTTTTTAAAGAGTGTATACAGTGTGAATCTGTGTATAAAATATTACCAGGGAATACAAAGTTAACTGGTAAGCTTGTTTGACTCAAGATCAGGAACCTAGGCATATGGAGATTAGATCTAGGAGAGTTTCCACACTTTACTCTGCTTTTAACTTCTAAACTTTTAATAATGTGAGTGTAAAACTCTTCATATAATAAAACTTTGAGAATATTTAAAGAAACATTATCTCACAAAATCCTTAATAAGGTAGCTAAATGGGGCACTTGATTTTGTTGAAAGTATATTCTCCTAGAATGTAAAAATGAAAGTTAAAATCTACAGAAAGCAATTTAGGAAACAGGCAGATAGATTTAGAAGTTTCAATATCAAGTTAACAGTGGTTCTTGAAAAATGGCACAGAAATAGATGAAATGAAAGGAGTAATCTAGAAAAGTGTGGAAGAAATATGCTAAAATGAATAAAAATATTTTTTTCAGATAAAAAGGGCATATAAAGTACTGAAGAGAATATGTGAAAAACCCATTGTAATAAAATTTTGAAATCCTCAAATTAAAGAAAAATACTATAATATTCTAAAACATTAATAATAAAATGAACAAAAATTATTCCAAATAAGTAAAAATAAACAATGATAAAAATTTAATATGGGCATGATATAAATTTTTAACTATCTGACATGTGATTAAAAAAAAAACCCCTGTGTATACATACTTCTGGTGTTTTCCTGTGTATTCTAATCTCTTCTTATAAAGAGGCCAGTCAGATTAGATTGGGGCTCACCCTAATGACCTAATTTTAATTTTTTACCTCTATAAGACCCTATCATCAAATATGGTCACATTTTGAGGTACTGGCCCTATCATTACATATAGTCATATTCACATGAACAAATACAGATGAAATTTGAAAATGAAAACAATGCCATTTCCATTAGCAGCACAAAAATACAAGGCTTAGGTCTAGACTGAACAAAATAAGTACAAAATCTGTATGAGGAAAATTACACAGTCTGATGAACAAAATCAAAGATGAATTAAATAAATGGAGAGATATCCTATGTTCATGGATAGAAAGACTTAATATCATCGAGATGTCAGACTTTCCCAACTTAATCTATAAATTCAATGCAATACCAATTAAAATGTCAGCAAGTTATTTTGGGTATATCAACAAAGTGATGATGAAGTTCTTTTGGAGAAAAAAAGAGACTCAAATGATTAAAACAGCATTGAAAGAGAAGAACAAAGATGAAGGAATGAAACTAGTGGACTTTAAGACACTCTAAAGTTACAGTAATCATGAAAGTATAATATTGGTGAAAGAATAGACAATTAGATTAATGTAACACATAGATTCAAAAATAGATTCACATATATACTCAACTGATCTTTGACAAAAAGCAAAGGCAATACAATAGAGCAAAGATAGTCTTTTCAACAAATGATGTGGAAGTGACTGGACAGCCACATGCAAAAAAAAAAAAATCTAAACACAAACCTTATACTCTTCACAAAGGTTAACTCAAAATGAATCATAAAATTAAATATAGAACACAAAACTGTAAAACTCCTAGAAGATAATATAAGAGAAAACCTAGATGATGTTGGATACAGTGATGACCTTTTAGACATGACATCAAAAATACAATCCATGAAAAAAAGATTGATAAGCTGGACTTATTAAAATTAAAATTTTCTGCTATAAAAAAGATAATGTCAAGAAAATAAAAGACAAGTCCCAAATGAGAAGAAAATATTTTCATCAGACACATCTTATAGAGGCTTCTTATCCAAAATATAAAATGAACATTTAAAAGTCAATAATAAAAATTATTTAAAATGAGCCTAAGACTTTTAATAGACACTGTACCTATGTGTGTGTGTGAGAGAGTGTGCATACATACAAAATGCAAATAAGCATGTGAAAAAATGTTCCACATCATATTTCATGAGGAAAGTGCAAACAAACAATTAGATGCCACTACAATGGCATACATATGGAACACTGATAATACAAAATGTTGTTGCAGATGTGGAGCAACAAAAACTCTCATTCATTGCTGATGGAATGCAAAATGCTACAGCCATTTTCCAAGGCAGTTTGACAGTTTTATATAAAACTAAAGATTCTCTTAACACATGAATCAGCAATTTCACTTCTTGAAATTTCCCCAAATGAGTAGAAATTTTATGTCCATATGAAAAGCTGAACACATATGTTTATAGCAGCATTCATCATAATTTTCAAAACTAGGAAGCAACCAAATTTTCCTTCAGTAATGAATAGATAAATATACTATGGAACATTCAGAGAGTAGAATATTATTTAGCACTGTTAAAGCAAAAATGATTCAATAATTGTTGTCACAGCACAGCAAGGAAGATTTTGTTCAGGACCATTACAATACATATGGGGACTGCTTGCAATAGATTTTGCAGTGGTAGGGGAAAAGATTGGGATCAACTCCAAATATAGCATGGAAATTGGGAATTTATAGCCAAGGAGCAGAATGAGGCTCAGTGGATGGAAAATTAATAAGAGGAAACATGAGGGGTAAGGAGAATTCTGACTACATAGACCAAATTGGATTCTTGATGAAGACAGGCCAGAGTGATTAGATATGACATTGGGGGATGGTGGAGAATGACAAACCTGATCATATATCTAGGGTGATCAAATATTGAGAGTAGGGAGTTCTTGCTAAAACTGGATTTTACAAGAAAGTGCACACATGGAACAAGAAGAAGGTTCAGGAGTCTGACCAATGTATGGTGAAGCAAAGAGTCTTTATCAGCGCTAAAAATAAATGAGCTATCAAGCTATGAAAAGACATGGCAAAATCTTAAATGTTCATTACTAAGTGAAATAAGTGAACCTGAAAAGGCTGCATACTGTATGCTTCCAACTATATGACATCCAGGACGAGGCAAAACTGTAAAATTAATAAAAATATCAGTTGTTGTAACGGGTTGGCAGCAGGAGATTAATAGGCAGAACACAGAGGATTTTTAGGCAGTGAAAATACTCTGTATGATACTGTAGTGATTGATACATGTCTATTCATCAAACTCATAAAATGTACAACAACAACTGTGAACCCTAATGTAAACCTTGGACTTTAAATGATTATGATGTGTTTTCATGGGTTTATCAGTTGTAACTATTCTACCACTCTAATGGGGAATGTTAATCATGAGAGAGGTTATGCATGTGTGTGAGCAGGGATGTGTGGAAAATCTCTGTACCTTCCTCTTAGTTTTGCTGAGAACCTAAAATTATAAAATGCCTAATAAAATAGATTCATAATAAGTAAAAAAAAAAGCCATAGGCTTATAAGAAAAAGTAAACACATCTTTCTCAATTATTGATCAATCTAGAAGATAAAATATCAATAAAAAGATTTCAATAGAGTTTGCATGCTTTACTTAATGGCTACATGTAGATGTCTACATTCAACATTATTCCCATGCACATAAGAAATAGTCACAAAAATCATTTGTATACCAAACTATAATAAACAGTTGTACAAATATCATATGTTTAAACATTAAATCATTAGTACTCCAAACTATAATAAATAGTTGTACAAATATATTTTTAAACATTAAAAATGTTTTAAAATACTTTTGGATCATGAAGCAAATCATAATGGAAATATAAAAATCTTAGAACAGAATGAAAAATATCAAAAACTTGAAATGTAGTAAATATGAATGCTTCAAGTGAAATCTAAATTTGTAAGCTTATATTGAAAAAAGCTGAAAACCAGCTTGATATATAAGAAATTAGAAAAAAACAAAAATTGCAATAGACCTAATAAGATATACAGAAGATTAAAAAATTATAGCAGGGATCAATGATAGAGACAAGAAAAATAGATTAGAGATAAACACAGCCATATGAAAATTTAAAAAGACGTACAAAGCGTAAATTTTCCAAGACTGACCAAATGAAACAAAAAAGAAATAAATATAAACAAAAATGTGAACATAACTACAAATAAAAGAAGTATTACAAAAAATTTATGCAAACAAGGTAAATGCTTAGACACAAAAGACTAAATGAAAGGAAAAAAAGTTGAAATTGACTGAAGAAGAAATACACATTGTGAATAGCTGTATATTTATTTATGAACTTGAAGCAGTGGTTACAAATCTTGGTATAAAGAAGATACCCATCCTAGAGGGTGCTTAAGAGAATTTTCTACAAACTTTCAAATGATAATTCACTACAGTGTTATACAAAATCTTCTGAAGAATAGAGAAAAAGAAAATATTTCTCATCTTTTTTATGTAGGATCACTATAATCTCGAAAATAAACAGCAATAGCACACTACATAACAATGTTCTGGTCAACTATGGACTGCACATACAGCAGTGTTCCTATAAGATTATAATGGAGTTTCCCTATATAGGTGTACCATGTTTTATCTTTCATACCATATTTTCACCGTACCTATTTTATGTTTAGATATGTTTAGATCCAGCAAAACTTACCGTTGTGTTACAATTGCCTAAAGCATTCAATAAAATAACCTGTGGTACAGGTTTAAGCCCAGGAGCAGTAGGCTATTTCATATAGTTTTGGTGTGCAATAGGCTATATTATCTAGGTTTGCATAAATATACGCTATGATGTTTGCACAATTACAAAGTCACCTAAGGGCACATTACTTAGAATCTATTCTCATCATTAACGATGCATGTATATATGAAAAAATATGTACACACATATACATATATATGATGAATATATTTACATCAATTTAAATTTACAAACATAAAAATTTATATATAATATATTTATGTGTTCACTTACATTTATAGACAGATATCTGTATATATCTGTTCATATGTTATTAAACATATAATTTATCTAGAAAGATAAGTAGATCAATTTCTGTACTTTTTTACTTTTATCAACATAATCAAAATTGTCAGTCTTTTTATTTCTACATAGCATATTTGTCTTGTTTAAAAAATCTTAAGAAGCACTTAAATCATATTTCTTGAAGGAAAACATAATATTATAAAAATAGCAATTGTTATCAAGTAAATTTATAAATTCATTACAATACTAATCAAAACTCCAAAAGGACTTTCTTAATACAAAACTTCACACGTTGATTCTAAAGTTCTGTAGAAGAGAGGAAGGTCACTAGCAACCAAGAAAGATTTTGAAACTAAATCATAGTGAAGAGGGACATATTTACAGAGAAAGAAGTGATATTTTATGTTAATGTAAATTTTACAAATGAAATTGTATAATTACAGAAAGAAACTAATATAATGTGTGAATGTAGTTAATGAAAAAGATTTAGATTTTATACCAGTGGAGGGAAGTATAAGCTATTCATAAACGGTTTGGATAAAATTAGGTATCTATTAAAAATTACTAAATTCCTCTTTACAACAAAACTTCAACAGATTAAAATTGTGAATGTGAAACAATACTACATACCAATATAGTAGAAGAATATATAGTCAGCCATTAGAAGAAAATGTAGGGTAAAGTGGGCCCACCTAAATTGCTAGGGTATTCTTAGTAGCAACAAAGAAAAAAATTATAATTTACCCTTAAGAAAACTTTTATACTATAAAATATACATTAAAGAAAAGTTAAATACAAAAATGAATTGATAGATAATATTTACCAGAGATTTAACAGGTGAATTTTATAACAAAATACATAAATACCTCCCAAATTTTAATTTTTTAAATTTAGAATATATAGAAAGAACCTGAAGTGATATTAAACTCTCAGACAGCTATGACCTTTAAAGAACGGAGCAAATATGAAAGGTAGATGTGAAAGAGACTGTAGTGTTTCCTTCATATTGACCAAACCTTGGGCAGTGAAGAACTTCTTGTATCATATGAAGTTTGAGGGTATTTTGAAGAGTGAATCTCAGGCATAGTGTGTGAAAGTGTGAAACAGCATGAGAGTTTGATGTGCTAATGCTAGTTCTATAAAGTTGACGATTACTGAGGGCAAAGATGTGGAGATGAGGTTAACCAGCTAATAGAGGGAGAAATTAAATAATAAAAAATTCTTTCTTCAAAGTAAGACAAGAAAGGAGAAAAAATTACAACAAAACCGATAAATACAAAACAAATAAGATTGTAGGTTTATATTCCAGTATATAAGTAACTTCATTAAATATAAATACTTAGCCAAAAGACAAATGTCAGATAGGATAAAAATTAAAATGAACCAGATAATTAAGTCTTCCTGCTAAAGTCCCTGCAGTTATATGGAAAATCACTAATGTAATGAAGCAGAAGGATAAAATCATTAGATTTGTGTTTTGGAAAGATCATTTTGGCAGGGAATATTGAATTAATACAAGCAAATTAAACATGATCCCTGGTCTCTGGTACTTTGTTTCTGGCCCCTGTACTGAAAGAGCTCACAATCCAGGGACACAGACAAATCTGTAAACAGACAAATTACAACACCAGGCTGCAGTTAAAGTTTTTAGAAACAAAGTTTGGATTGGCAAACTCAGTTTGGGGAAAGCATCACAGACAAAATAACATTTAATCTAGGATATGTGTATTTATTTGGTGAGCTACTCTTTTATTTGTGTGCCAATGAAATAGAAATTTTGTATCAAATCACAGAACAGTTCATGGGTGACATGAGTTGAGTTTTGGTGTGTTACTTAAGCATTTCCTTTTTATTGTTTAGTTGGTATGATATCCTACTTCCTAAATATTTAAACTATGTTTCAAATGGTTAAGTAATTCACATATAATTACTAGACTCAAGGATTATATATTTGATAACATAAAATAAAAATTTACATCATTTTATGATAAAAAACGAACAGAAAGAGCAAATACATGCAGTTTTTTACCATTTTTTAAAATACATCGATTATTTCAAATTAAGTAAAACAAAAATTGATATATGGGATGGTAGCGTCCGTTGTTTGGAAAAGAAAAATGTACACAATATTAATTTTATCTAGTCTCTGCTTAGTTCATCTGATCTCACATTAATATTAATATTTGGAATCTCAATATGTAATGGTAGATATGCTATATATTGAAGAAAAATTATGACTTTTTAATATTTCCAAGGTAATATTTTAGCTTTTTATAAACATCTACCCCAAGGAAACTCAATATAGAGAACTTTAAGACCTACATAAATAAAAATGCATATTCCAGTTACAATGATATAGATTAGTATATGTAAGTTGCCCAGTTGTGATATGTATATACCACATAACTCAAAAACAGGTAATCTAGAACATAATGCTGAATATCATTTAGAGATTTCAGTTTAAAAAGTCATTTGAAGTGAATTATCATTGCATTATTTTCATATCTATAAAATAAAAAAGATATATAAGACATGAAGGACACATAAATTTAATATTTATTTCACGAATTAAACTTATAGTGATTAATGGGACTCTCAAAATTTTTTCCATTTGGAAAGAGATACTCTTGCTGGTAAAAGTATTAAATACTAAGATGGAAAATAAAATGCTTGTTTCTGTTTCCTGAAAGATTAAAACATTATATGGAACACATAACTCTGATGGGTCTTTCTCCTTATCACATATTGCTCTGTATTTTGTGTATTCAAATTATGGATTTCATGTCATTATTCTGTTTGCAAATGAGCACACTACATATCATAGTTGGATCTCCTATAGTTATGCTGCAGAAACATAAAAATCCTGTTTTCTGTTAAAGATTGTGCAATGAATGTTTAAAAATAAGTGTATGCACACATTTTTAATGTGTAGATAATTTGCATTTATTTGCACTTTGAAATAGTCTTATACACTCACATTTTCTCTACTTTTGTTACTTTTGATCAAATTTGCATAAAGCATGAAAATTCCCCAGCTGTTCAGTGGAATACATTATTTTCTGCTTTCAAAGAAAGTGTAAGTGACATTTCCTTTCTTTAATTTAGCACCCATTTTATTAAATTTCAAGTTAAAGAAACATAAATACCACATAAACAAATGTATGCCTAGAATGAGGAAAGATAAGAAATAAGACTCCACATAAGGTTTGGAACTCAAGGGCTTAATGAGATGTAATTGCATTGTAAATGCAAATACGTCACAGAAAAGTCATTAATTATAATAGAAAAAAAGTTTACAAATAAATAAAAACCATCATGGTAGATTTTAGAGATTGCTTCTTAAAATTTAGGCCTAGAGAGTCTTTGTGCTAAACAGGTAACATTAGGTAGCGGGCACATAAACTAAATGTAATAGAGCAAATAAGACTCCATTGTAAGGCAGTTTTGTTTTCAGCAAATACCTGTTTGACGCATCTATCATGTAACTCTTGAGTAGCAAAAAGCTTTGATAGTTTCTCATGCCTGTCACATTTGTTTGAAATTCAGCATTTAGAAGCAAAAAGTTTCCATACTTAAATATATTATTTTCAACTTCATCTTACTAACTTAAAATATTATATTTTGAAAGGAAATGAACACTTTAAGGTATCTACCTGTTCAATGTATTATGCAAACCAATTTTCATTGTATAATATTTTATTGGATAGTCTCTACTGCTTTGAATTTAAAGTAGTTGTCAGCCATTTATTGACAATTTTGCTTTAGATGGTTTGTATACAGAGAGTTATTCCCTATAGTCACAAATAAATATAAAAGTTGAAATTACAATTAAAAGTAATGTTTGGTTATAAAATTTTTCATGTGAAACAGTAAAAAAATGGTTCTCTTTGGACTAGTAATCAAGAATAAGATACATTTTTCTGAAATCATTTAAAACGTTGGTTCTATTAGCTGGTCAAGCTTGCTAAAACTATATAATTTTACAATTATTAAATGTCAACTAAAAATGAAAGGGAAATCTTTTTTAAAGGGAAAATGGATGTCCAGTAGTTTATTGTGCTAGAAGTTTCAGAATGAAAACTCATAGCTCATGACATTGGTAATACTTTATTATCTACTCTCAACTGATATATCTATTAGGCAAATCTCATAGGTTAATTTTGATACACCAAATAAAAGTGCTTTGAGCACATTACAAATGTGTGTATGTGTAAAATTCAGTCAGATGTCTAAGGATCTGATACAATAATATATAATAAATACTATATCTCAGCTGAAACAGAGTTTTTAAAAAGTAGATTGTATGAAAGATTACTGTAGTCAAAAAGTAGATTTTATCTCTATAACACATATATAAATATAGATATGAAATCTAAAATACAAAGTATTATATGTACATGAATACGCATGTGGACTTATATATGGTGAGAGAGAGGGAGTGAGAAACAAAGAAAGAGAGATGCAGGGACGCTGTGACAGAGAAGAGAGATCAATAAATTACTCATACAAGAATAATTTTAGAGTTTAACTCCATACCAAAAATGGCACTTGCATTTTCTCTATCCTTTTTTTTTTTTTGGTATTAGAAATTTTATATAAAATTTTTTCTCAGCTCATGGAAATGTATTTGTGTATTCAAGTCATCTTTTTATTTTAAATTTTACTGTCATTTTTTTTAAATTTAAGGATTCAAAAAGAAATTGCCATGTATCCTCTTTTTTATTTATTTTTATTTTATTTCCATGGGTTTTGGGGGAATAGATGGTGTTCGGTTACAGGAATAAGTTCTTTAGTGGTGATTTCTGAGATTTTGGTGCACCCATCACCTGAGCAGAGTACACTGTACCCAATTTGCCGTATTTTATCCCTCGCCACCCCCCATCTTCTCCCCCAAGACTCCACAGTCCAATGTATTGTTCTTATGCCTTTACGTCCTCATAGCTTAGCTCCCACGAGTGAGAACATGCAATGTTTAGTTTTCCATTCCTGAGTTACTTCACTTAGAACAATAATCTCCAGTTCCATCCAGGTTGCTATGAATGCCATTATTTTGTTCCTTTTTATGGCAAAATATTATCCCATGGTATACATATACCACATTTTCTTCATCCACTCATTGATTGATAAACATTTGGGCTGGTCCCATTTTTTTTTTTTTTTTTTGGAGATGGAGTCTCACTCTGTTGCCCTGGCTGGAGTGCAGTGGCGCGATCTCGGCTCACTGCAACCTCAGCCTCCGCAACCTCAGCTGAGTGGTTCCATATTTTTGCAATTGCAAACGGTGCTGCTATAAAAATGGTTGTGCAAGTATTGGGATGCTGGATCAAATGGTAGATCTACTTTTAGTTCTTTAAGGAATCTTCACACTCTTTTCCATAGTGGTTGTACTAGTTTACACTTCCACCAGCAGTGTAAAAGTGTTCCCTTTTCACCACATCCATGCCAACGTCTATTTTTTTTATTTTTTGATTATGGCTATTCTTGCAGGAGTGAGGTGGTATTGCATTGTGGTTTTGATTTGCATTTCTGTGATAATCAGAGATGTTGAGCATTTTCCCGTATGCTTGTTAGCCATTTGTTTATCTTCTTTTCAGAATTGCCTATTCATGTCCTTAGACCACTTTTTGATGAGATTGTTTGCTTTTTTTTTTTTTTTTTTTTGGCTAATTTGTTTGAGTTTCTTGTAGATTCTGGATATTAATCTTTCGTCAGATATATAGATTGCAAATATTTTTTTCCCACTCTGCGGGTTGCCTGTTTACTCTGCTGATTGTTCCTTATGCTGTGCAGAGTCTTTTTAGTTTAATTAAGTTCCGTCTATTTATCTTTGTTTTGTTGCATTTGCTTTTGAGTTCTTGGTCATGAAATCATTGCCTCAGCCAATGTCTAGAAGGGTTTTCTCAATGTTATAGTTTTTTTATGGTTTCAGGTCTTAGATTAAAGCCTTTGATCCATCTTGAGTTGATTTTTATATAAGGTGAGAGATGAGGATCCAGTTTCATTCTTCTACATGTGGCTAGCCAATTATCCAAGCACCATTTGTTGAATAGGGTGTCCTTTCCCCACTTTCTGTTTTTGTTTGCTTTGTCAAAGAGCAGTTGGCTGTGAGTATTTGGCTTTATTTCTGTGTTCTGTATTCTATTCTATTGGTCTATGTGCCTATTTTTATACCAGTATCATGCTGTTTTGGTCACTATGGTCTCACATATATTATAGTCTACAGTTGGGTTATGTGATGCCTGTAGGTTTCTTTTTGTTTTTTTGTTTTTGTTTTTGTTTTTGTTTTTGTTTTTTTTTGCTTAGTATTGCTTTGGCTATTTGGGCTCTTTTTTGGTTTTACATGAATTTTAGGATTGTTTTTTCTAGTTCTGTGAAAAATGATGGTGGTATTTTCATGGGAATTGCATTGAATTTGTAGATTGCTTTTGGCAGTATGGTCATTTTCACAATATTGATTCTACCTATCCATGAGCATGGGGTGTGTGCCCAGTTATTTGTGTCATCTATGATTTCTTTCAGCAGTGTTCTTAGTTTTCCTTTTAGAGGTTTTTCATGTCCGTGGTTAGGTATATTCCTAAATATTTTACTATTCTTATTTTTTTGCTGCTATTGTGAAAGGGGTTGAGTTCCTTGATTCGATTCTCAGCTTGGTCGCTGTTGGTGTATAGCAGAGCTACTGATTTGTGTACATTAATTTTGTATCCCGAAACTTCGCTGAATTCATTTACCAGTTCTAGGAGCTTTTTCAATGACTCTTTAGGTTTTCTACGTATATAATCATATCATGAGCAAACAGTGACAGTTTGACTTCCTCTTTACCTGTTTGGATGCTCTTTATTTCTTAACCTTGTCTGATTGCTCTGCATAGGATTTCCAGTACTATGAAGTGGTAAAAGTGGGCAACTTTGTCTTGTTCCAGTTCTCAGGGGGAATGCTTTTAATTTTTCCCCATTCAGTATTATGTTGGCTGTGGGCCTGTCATAGATGGCTTTCATTACATTTTATCCTCTCTATGCCAATTTTGCTAGGGTTCTAGTCGGTGACAGATGCTGGATTTTGTCAAATGCTTTTTCTGCATCTCTTGAAATGATTGTGTAATTTTTGTTTTTAATTATCTTTATGTGGTATATCACATTTCTTGACTTGCTGATGTTAAACCAACCCTGCGTCCCTGGTATGAAACCCACTTGATCATGGTGGATTATCTTTTTGATATGCTGTTGGTTTTGGTTAGCCATTGTTTTGTTAAGGATTTTCACACTGGTCTGTGCTTTTTTTTTTTTGTTATGCCCTTTCCCGGTTTTGGTTGTTAGGGTGATGCTGGCTTCATAAAATGACTTAGGGAGGATCTCCCTTTTCTCTTTCTTGTGGAATAGTGTCAATAGGTATGGTACCAATTCTTCTTTGACTATCTAATAAAATTCAGCTGTGAATTTGTCCAGTCCTAGATGTTTTTTTTTTGTTGGCAATTTTTTTAATTACCATTTGTATTATTTCATCTTCACACTGATAAAGACATACCTGAAACTGTGAACAAAAAGAAGTTTAATTGGACATACAGTTCCACATGACTAAGGAGTCCTCAGAATCATGATGGGAGGCAAAAGGCACTTCTTATGTGATAGAAGCAAGAGAAAAATGAGAAAGAAGCAAAAGCAGAAACCCCTGATAAACCCAACAGATCTTATGAAATTTATTCACTATCAGGCGAATAGCATGGGAAAGACCAGCCCCCATGATTTAATTACCTCCCCCGGCTCCCTCCCACAACACGTGGAAATTCTGGGAGATACAATTCAAGTTGAAATTTGGGTAGGGACACAGCAAAACCGTATCATTCCGACACACCCCTCCAAATCTCATGTCCTCACATTTCAAAACACAATCATGCCTGCCCAACAGTCCCCCATTCTTAACTCATTTCAGCATTAACTCAAAAGTTCACAGTCTAAAGTCTCATCTGAGACAATGCAAATCCCTTCCACCTATGAGCCTACAAAATAGAAAGCAAGCTAGTTACTTCCTAGATACAATGGGGGTACAGGTATTGGGTAAATACAGTCATTTCAAATGGGAGAAATTGGCCAAAACAAAGGGGCTACAGAGCCCATACAAGTCCAAAATCCAGCAGGGTAGTCAAATTTTAAAGCTCCAAAATGATCTTTAACCCCAGGTCTCACATCCAGGTCATGCTGATGCAAGAGGTGGGTTCCCATGGTTTTGGGCAGTTCCACCCCTGTGGAATTGCAGAATACAGCCTTCCTCCTGGCTGCTTTCGTGGGCTGGCATTGAGTGTCTGCAGCTTTTCCAGGCACATGGTGCAAGCTGTTGGTAGATCCACCATTCTGGGGTCTGGAGAACAGTGGGCCTTTTCTCACAGCTCCACTAGGCAGTGCCCCAGTAGGGACTCTGTGGGAGGTCCCTGACCCCACATTTCCCTTCCACACTGCACTAGCAGAGGTTCTCCATGAGGACCCCACCCCTGGAGCAAACTTTTGCCTGGGCATCCAGCTGTTTCCAGACAGCTTCTGAAATCTAGGCAGAGGTTCCCAAACCTCAATTCTTGACTTCTGTGCACCCACAGGCTCAATGCCACCTGGAAGCTGCCAAGGCTTGGGGCTTTCATCCTCTGAAGCCACAGCCTGAGCTCTACATTGGCCCCTTTCAGCCATGGCTGGGGTGGCTGAGACATCGGGCACCAAGTTCTTAGGCTGCATACAGCACAGGGAACCTGGGCCTGGCCCATGAAACTACTCTTTCCTCCTGGGCCTCTGGGCCTGTGATGGCAAGGGCTGCCATCAATGTCTCTGACATGGCCTGGAGACATTTTCCCCATGGTCTTGGTAATTAAAATTAGGCTCCTTGCTACTTATGCAAATTTCTGAAACCTGCTTGAATTTCTCCTCAGAAAATGGATTTTTCTTTTCTACTGCATCATCAGGCTGCAAATTTTCCAAACTTTTATGCTGTTTCCCTTTTAAAATGGAATGCTTTTAACGGTACCCAAGTGACCTCTTGAATGCTTTTCTGCTTAGAAATTTCTTCCACCAGATAACCTAAATCATCTCTCTCAAGTTCAAAGTTCCACGAATCTCTAGAGTAGAGGCAAAATGCTGCCAGTCTCTTTGCTAAAACACAAGAGTCACCTTTGCTCCAGTTACCAACAAGTTATTTATCTCTATCTGAGACCATTTCAGCCTGAACCTTATTGTTCATATCACTATCAACGTTTTTCTCAAAGCCATTGAACATGTCTCTAGGAAGTTCCAAACTTTCCCACATTTTCCTGTGTTCTCAGCCCTCCAAACTGTTCCAACCTCTGCCTGTTACCCAGTTCCAAAGTTGCTTCCACATTTTTGGGTCTCTTTTGAGCAACACCCCACTCTACTAGTACCAGTTTACTGTATTAGTTTGTTTTCATGTTGCTGATAAAAACATAGCTGATACTGGGATCAAAAAGATGTTTAATTGGACTTATAGTTCCACATTGCTAAGGAGGCCTCAGAATCATGCTGGGTGGCAAAAGGCACTTCTTACATGGTGGTGGCAAGAGAAAAATGAGGAAGAAGCAAAAGTGGAAACCCCTGGTAAACCCATCAGATCTCAAGAGAGTTATTCACTATCATGAGAATAGTGCAGGAAAGACCAGCCCCCATGATTCAATTATCCACCCACCCCCAGTTCCCTCTCACAACATGTGGGAATTCTGGGAGATACAGTTCACGTTGAGATATGGGTGGGGACACAGCCAAACCATATCACCATTTTAATCTCGCTGCTTGTTATTGGTTTATTCAGAGTTTCTATTTCTTCCTGGTTTAATCTAGGAGGGTAGTATATTTCCAGGAATTTATCCAACTCTTGTAGGTTTTTTAGTTTATGTGTGCAAAGATGTTCATATTAGCCTTGACTGATCTTTTGTATTTCTGTGGTATCAGTTGTAATATCTCCTGTTTTGCTTCTAACTGCGCTTATTTGGATCCTTTCTCTTCTTTGTTAATCTCGCTAATGGTCTATCAATTTTGTTTATCTTTCCAAAGAACCAGTTTTTGTTTCATTTATATTTTGTATTTTTTGTTTCAATTTCATTTAGTTTTTCTCTAACCTTTGTTACTTCTTTTCTTCTGCTGGGTTTGAGTTTGGTTTGTTCTTGTTTCTCTAGTTTCTTGAGGTGTGACCTTAGATTGTCTGTTTGTGCTCTTTCAGACTTTTTGTTGTAGGCATTTAATGTCATGAACTTTCCTCTTAACACCACCTTCACTGTATTCCAGAGGGTTTGATAGGTTGTGTCACTATTATCATTCAGTTCAAAGAGTTTGTTTCTTTCCATCTTGATTTAATTGTTGACTTAATGATCATTCAGGAGCAGGTGATTTAATTTCCATAATTTGCATGGCTTTAAGAGTTTCTTTTACAGTTGATTTCCAATTTTATTCCACTGTGGTCTGAGAGAGTACTTGATATGATATCATTTTAATTTTCTAAATTTATTGAGACTTGTTTTGTGGCCTATCATATGGTCTATCTTGGAGAATGTTCCATGTGCTAATGAATAGAATGCATATTCTATAGTTATTGGAAAGAATGTTCTGTACATCTTTTTTAAGTCCATTTGTTCTAGGGTAAAATTTAAACCCATTGTTTATTTGTTGATTTGCTGTCTTGATGACCTGTCTAGGGCTGTCAGTGGAGGATTAAAGTCCCTTATCATTATTGTGTTGCTGTCTGTCTCATTTCTTAGGTCTAGTAGTTATTGTTTTATAAATTTGGGAGCTTCAGTGTTAGGTGCACATATATTTAAATTGTGATATTTTTTCTGTTGGACCAGTCCTTTTATCATTATATAATGTCCTTCTTTGTTTTTTTTAACTGTTGTTGCTTTAAAGTGTGTTTTGTCTGATATAAGAATAGCTACTCCTGCCCGCTTTTGGTGTCCGTTTGCATGGAATATCTTTTTCCACCCCTTTACCTAAAATTTATGTGAGTCCTTATGTGTTAGGTGAGTCTCCTGATGACAGCATATACTTAGTTGGTGGATTTTTATGCATTCTTGGTTGGTGGTTTTTTATCCATTATTCCTCAGGAACACCAATTATTCTTAGGTTTGGTCATTTAACATAATTCCAAACTTCTTGGAGGCTTTGTTTTTTGTTTTGCTTTTACTCTTTTTTCTTTGTCTTTGTTCGATTGGGTTAATTCTAAAACCTTGTCTTTGAGCTCCGAAGTTATTTCTTCTGCTTGTTTGATTTTATTGCTGAGACATTCCAGTGCATTTTGCATTTTCCCTCAGTTTTTCCATTATTTCCAGAAACTGTGATTGTTTATTTTTATGCTATCTATTTCCCTGGGTGCCTCCCTGATTAGCTTAATAATCAACCTTCTCAATTCTCTTTCTGGCAATTCAGGGATTTCTTGTTTTGGATCCGTTGCTGGTGAGCAATATGAAAAAACAAGGTTCTTTAACATTGCCAAAAGTTCACCACTTTAAGAGGTGTTAAAAAAACCTTGTTTTATCATATTACTAGAATTGTTTTCCTGGTTCCTTCTCATTTGAGTAGACTATGTTAGAGAAAAGATTTGGGGCTCAAGGCTGCCTTTCAGATTCTTTTGTCCCACAGGGTGCTCCCTTTATGTAGCGCTCTCCCCCTTTTCCTAGTGATGTGGCTTCCTGAGAGTCAAACTGTAATTGTTTGACTGTAATTGTTTAAACTGTAATTGTAATTGATTGTTATTTCTCTTCTGGATCTAGCCATCCAGCAGAGCTACCAGGGTCTGTGCTGATACTGGGGGGTGTTTGCACAGTCCTGTGATGTGAACCATCTTCAGGTCTGTCAGCCACACATAGCAGCAACTGCTTCAGTTAAGGTGGCAGGGCAGTGAAATGTACTCTGTGAGGGTTCTTAGTTGTAGTTTTGTTTATTGCACTAGTTTTGTGCTGGTTAGCCTCTTGCCAGGAGTGGAGCTTTCAAGAAAGCATCAGCTGTGGTAGTATAGGGATGATCAGGCAGTGGGTGAGGCCCTACAGCTCCCAAAAGAATATTTCCTTTGTCCTCAGCTACCAGGGCGGGTAGAGAAAAACCATCCAGTAGGGGCAGCGTTAAGCATGTCTGAGTTCAGACTCCCCTTAGATGGGGCTTGCTGTGGCTGCTGTGGGGATTGCAGTGTGGTTCTCAGACCAATGGAGTTATGTTCCTAGGGGAATTATGGCTGCCTCTGCCGTCACACAGATCACAAGGGAAGTGGGGGAAAAGCTGGCAGCTACAGGCCTCACCCGGCTCATACACACAGCCCAGAAGGCCAGTCTCATTCCCACCATGCCTGCCGCCCAACAGCACCAAGTTTGTTTCCAGGCAGCAGGTGACCAGGGCTGAGAACCTGCCACAAGCTACCAGACTCCTGATTGTAAAAGCAAGCCGGGCTTTCAGGTTTCGTGCCTCCCCACCTGCTGCAGCTTTTGTGCTGTGTCTGCACTCTGGATTCACCCCCGCCCCTGAGTTCTGTCCAGGAAACTTCACATTAGGTCAAAATTATTACAAAAATCAGCTGGAACTGTCCTCCCTGTGGTCTTCTCCCAGGTCCTCTGACAGCCCTCCCTAAGGAGCTCTGAGACACAATGTCAGAAATGGTTTCTCTAGGGACTGAGAGAGCCCACAGGGCTCCCTCCACTGCTTCTTCTACCCTTTTATTTCACTTGGCTCTTTAAAATTGTCTCAGCTCCAGGTAAGGCCAAATCCTTCTCCTGTGATCTGGACCTTCAGGTTCCCCAGTGAGGGTGTGTGTTCAGGGGTGGATGATTCCCCCCTTCACACTTTGGCACTCACCGTTTTTCAGCTGTCTCCCAGGGTCTGCAGGTGCAACCTGCTACCTTCAAAGTATCTGTGGATTCTCTTAGCTTTCCTGGTATGCTCCTGCTGTAGTTCCTGAAGCAAAAGTTCACGATGTGAGTCTCCACACGCTGCTCTGTCAGTCTGAGTGGGAGCTGCAATTTAATCCTGCCTCCTATCTGCCATTTTCCTAATCTCCTCCACTTGGTAAGTTATAAAAATTGCCATATATTCTCTTTCTAAAGTTCACCAATCGTTAATAACCATTTCTTTGTGTTTTGTGACCTAAATATTGTGTGATGAAGTTATTCTGCAAAATGTCTCTCCACTTGGTTTTCCCTGTTGTTTTCTCACAATTACATTTAGTTACTCTTTATTTTTTTTGCATGAATATTGCAGAAGTGATGTTGTATCTTTCTAGCTGCATCTTATTGGGCACATAATGCCAGTGTTTCACAGTGCTGGTGGTTTTTACATCAATTTCTTGGTTCACAGTTTTTATCACTGTAAAATAAAGATACAGGAGTCCATAGTAATATACATAAATAGAAATAAAGTTATTGTTTACAATAAAACATCAATTAATATTATATCTAGTAATAAATATTATATAAATTATTAAATATATTGCATAATAATACAAATATTATAAATTATAATAAACATATAAGTATAGATATTTTATTATATATTATATATTTTTATATTAAGTATTCTGTCATTTAATAAATATAGGAGAAATAGCAGAGTTAGAAAATCATCAATGGAGGCTCAAAAGAGTGATTGAAAGTTTGATAAGAAATATGATCTCAACCTCCCAGGTTGACGTGATAAACTCTTATGTCCAAAACTTAATAATAGGCAAGGGAATTAGAAAGTCATGTCTTCTATTTAGAATTTTGCTGAAGATTCCAGCCATTGCAACGAGGCAATAGAAAAGTAAAAGACATGAAATTTAAAAAGAAGTAAAACTACCTTTCTTCCAACATGGCACAATAATTTGAGAAATTATTAAGGAATCTACAATAAAAGGTGGCTTTTTCTTTCAAGGTGATGGGTTAGAATCTTTCAATTATGATTAAAAGCATTAAGATAAACTCTGTGAGTTTTAATTCAAGAAGAAAAATGGTAGTCCACAAAAATCATGAAGGACACCCCAGATCCCAGAGAGGAGAATGCTAACAAACAGCCTCTGTGACAGCATCAAGCTGATAAAAGTGAGTGAAGCCCCCTATATGTGAGAGAGGCAGACAGCCTACCTCTGTCACTCACCTTTCCAGTGGAGATCTGAGTAACCTAGGCTGAGGGAGATTACTTAGTTTTTCCCAAGCCCTAGAGCTAACCTGGGGAGAAGACTGGAGATGTTGTAGGGAAAGACACCAGGAAAAGCTGCAGACATTTTCCCAAACCCAGGACTGAGAGCAGAACACCACTTTTAATTGACCAAAGTCAGCTGTTCTTTGGTGACCCAGCAGTGTGCCAGCATAGGCACTTTTGTCTTGAACCAAGGATTGGAGTGCCTGTTCTGGAGCGGGGTGGTAGATTTCACAAAACTGCAAAAAGTGCCTCAGTAGTAGGCACTGGAATTGTGCTCTTCCCTATTGCCAGCCTAGGGCAGGAAGAAAGCTACTATAGCTGCGATTTCTTCTGGGCAGCGAGACTTGTAGCCAGAGTCAGCTTGGTGACCCAGAACCAGTCTGCATGTGTCATTGCTGGATGCCCCAGCCTGCTTCCCTGAGATTATGGTACAGAAGAGCCCTCTCTGATCCACCCCCAGGCAGAAATTTAGGCACTGGAAGTGCCTGATTGCTTGCACCGGCAGCCTGAGATGCCCTGCACTTTTATGGACATGGATCATGGAGCAGTGAGGCCCTCTCCATTCCAAGCTCAGGTAGTTCTCCAGGCATACAGGGCACTCATTCACTTGGTACAGCAGCCTGAGCTTCTTCACCCTTCCTGTGCAGACAACTTGGTGCAGGGGGGCCTTCTTGGTTCCATGCCTAGGTAGATCTCCAGGCATTCAAACAATTCATTCACGTGGATCAACAGCCTGACACGTTCTGTACTTTTGTGCAGAGATTGTGGTGCAGGGAGGCCTTTTCTGCTTCACACCCAGGAAGATTCCCAGGTATTCAGAGTACCCACTCTTCTGGTTCAGTAGCTTGAACTCCCTCACACTTCCTCCCCATCGATCATGTTGCAACGAGGCCCCTTCTGCTCCATGCCCAAGCAGATCTCCAGGCATTCAGAGCACCTGCTTGCCTGACTCTGCAGGGTGAAATGATTCCTAGCACACCACGCCCGGCCTGATAGGAATCATTTTACCCTTCCTATGCAGAGATTTTGATGCAAGAGGGCCCTTCCCACTCCACGCCTAGGCAGATCTCCAGTCATCACAAGAACTCATTCTCCTGGAATAGGAGTTTAGACTTCCCCATATTTCCATGCAGAGAGTTTGGGACCAAGTGAGATTTGCAGCTCCACATCGAGGCAAACTTCTGGGAATTGGTGGCTGCCCACTAGATTATCCCTTGGCACTGGTGCTTGTGCCTGCCATCAGGGGACCTATGAATGGACCTGCCCAGTCCAGCCCTGCCCATGGTGATTCCTGCCTCCCAGGGACTGAGCACGGAGCTCAAACCACTGTGAACTCCAGGAATCAGCCCACTGCCTGAGACAACAGAGAGCTTCTACCAGTAAACAAGGATCAAGTATATACCCAGTCACATTGGCCACAGCTGGCTCTTACCTGTAAGCACTATCTACTGGCTCATAGGTTGAACTGCACGGCCCAATATAAAAACTGCTGACAGAAGTGCATGGAGCTATAGAAGCAAAGCCAAAGGAACCTACCAAGAATTCTTTATGGTTACATCACTTGAGTCAGGGAAGGAAAGAAGAAAAATCAATAATACTATAGGAAAAGAAAGAAAGCATCCTACCTGCATGAAACTGATCACAAAAAGTAGAATGCTAATGTCTCCAGATAAGAAAGAATTAACACAAGATTATTAGCACCATGAAATACCTAAATATAGTAACACCACCAAAGGACTGCACTAGCTGTCCAGCAATGGTCCCTAACCAAAATGGAAACTCAGAAATGACAGATAAAGAATTCAAGGCATAGATTGCCAAGAATCTAAATGAGATTGAAGACAAGGTTGACAATTACACAAATAAACTTTTTTTTTTTTTTGAGACAGAGTTTTGCTCTTGTTGCCCATGCTGGAGTGCAATGGCGCTATCTCAGCTCGCCGCAACTTCTGCCTCCTGGGTTCAAGTAATTCTCCTGCCTCAGCCTCCCAAGTAGCTGGGATTACAGGCATATGCCACCACGCCTGGCTAATTTTGTATTTTTAGTCGAGACGGGGTTTCTCTATGTTGGTCAGGCTGGTCTCGAACTCCTGACCTCAGGTGATTCACCCACCTCGGCCTCCTAAAGTGCTGGGATTACATGCGTGAGCCACTGTGCCCAGCCTACAAATAAACTTCTAAATCAATCTAGGAACTGAAGAAGGAGATAGACATCTTAAAAAGAAATGAGAGCTTATGGAATTGAAAAATGCACTTAATTAATTTCAAAATGTAATTTAAAGATTTATCAATAGACTAGACCAAGCAGAAGAAAGAATTTCAGAGT
Organism: Homo sapiens; assembly: GCF_000001405.40. Lineage (NCBI taxonomy): Eukaryota > Metazoa > Chordata > Mammalia > Primates > Hominidae > Homo > Homo sapiens. Next base: position 141,073,505 of record NC_000006.12, on the reverse strand, counting down.
TTAAAAACCAGACTTTTGAACCAATACGATCAGATCAGAATTTAAAGAAAAGAATTTTTAGAAAAAGAACAAAGTCTTCAAGAAATATAAAATTATATAAAGTGATCAAACACACAAATTATTGTAATTTCAGAGAGAGAAAAAGAAAAGTAAATAACCTGAAAAATATGTTTGTGAAAACAATTCAAGAAAATTTTCCTAATCTTGGGAAAAAGGCAGACATCCATACACAAGAAAGTCAGAGAGCACCTGCGAGATTCGATATAAGATGAACATCACCAAGACATGTATTTACCAGCCTGTCCAAGGGCAATGCTAAAACACAATCTTAAAGGCAACTAGAGAAATAGTTCAGATCACATACAAAGGGAACCCCAGAAGTATAACAGCAAATTTCTTTACAAAAGACTTACAAGCATTGAGATATTGGTGACCTAATATCAACATTCTTTTTCTCAGACAGGGTCTCACTCTAGTTGCTCTTGCTGGAGTGGCATGATCTCAGCTCACTGAAGCCTCGACCCTCTGGGCTCAGGTGATTCCCCGTCTCAGCTTCCCATGTAGCTGGGACTACAGGTATTCACTACCATGCTTGGTTAATATTTTGTATTTTTTTTTAGTAGAGATGGGGTTTTGGAATTTTTCCCAGTCTGGTCTCAACCTCCTAGACTCAAGCAATTCACCTGCCTCAGCTGCCAAAAGTGATGGGATTACAGGACTGTATTGGTCCATTCTCACAGATATAAGGATATACCTAAGACTGGGTAACTTATAAAGGAAAGATATTTACTTGACTTACAGTTCCAAAGGGCTGGAGAGGCCTCAGGAAACTAACAATCATGGCAAAAGGATAAGCAAACATGTCTTTCTTCTCATGGCAGAAGGAAGGAGAAGAATGAGTACCCAGAGAAGGGGGAAACCCCTTATAAAACCATAAGATGTTGTGAGATCTAACTCACTATCATGCAAGCAGCATGGGAAAAACAGCACCCATGATTCAATTATCTCCACTTGGTCCCTCCCATGACTCGTGGGGATTATGAAAACCACAAATTCAAGATGAGATTTGGGGGGTGACACAGCCAAACCATATCATTCTTCCCCTGCCCCTCATAAATCTCATGTCCTTACATTTCAAAACAGAATCATGCCCTTTCAACAGTCCCCCAAAGTCTTAACTCATCCCAGCATTAACTGAAAAGTCCAAGTCCAAAGTTTCATGTGAGACAAGTTAAGTCCCTTCCACCTATGAGCCTATAAAATCAAAAGCAAGTTAGTTACTTCGTAGATACAATGGGGGTACAGGCAATGGGGAAATACTCCCATTAGAAATGGGAGAAATTGCCAAAACAAAGGGGTTAAAGGCCCCATGCAAGCCCAAAATCCAATAGGGTAGTCATTAAACCTTGAAGTTCCAAAATGATCTCTTTTGACACCATATCTCACATCCAGGTCACACTAATGCAAGAAGTGGGCTCACACAACCTTGGGCAGCTCCACCCATGTGGCTTTGCAGGGTACAGCCGCACTCTGGCTACTTTCATGGGCTGGTGTTGAGTGTCTCTGGCTTTTCCTGGTGCACAGTACAAGCTGTCAGTGACCTACCATTCTGGGGTCTAGAGGGCAGTGGCTGTCTTCTTACAGCTCCATTAGGCAGTGCCCCAGTGGGGACTCTGTGTGGAGGCTCCAACCCCATATTTCCCTTCCTCACTGTCCTAGCAGAGATTCTTCATGAGGGCCCTGTCCCTGCAGCAAACTTCTGTCTGGACATCCAGGCTTGTTCATATATCCTCTGAAATCTAAGTGGAGGTTCCTAAACCTCAATTCATGACTTCTGTGCACCTGCAGGTTAAACACCACATGGAAACTGCCCAGGCTTGGGGCTTGCACCCTCTAGAGCCATGTCCCGAGCTGTACCTTTGCCCCTTTTCACCATGGCTGGAGTGGCTGGAACTTAGGGCACCAAGTCCCTAGGCTGCACACAGCAGGGGGTCCCTAGGCCTGGCCTATAAAACCATTTTTCTTCCTAGGCCTCTGGGCCTGTGATGGGAATGGCCACCAAGAAGGTCTCTGACATGCCCTGAAGACATTTTCCCCATTGTCTTGCTGATTAACATTTGGCTCCCTGTTACTTATGCAATTTTCTACATCTAGCTTGAATTTCTCCCCAGAAAGTGGGTTTTTCTCTTCTACCACATCGTCATGCTGCAAATTTTCTGATCTTTTTTTTTGCTCTGCTTCCCTTTTAAATATAAGTTCCAATTCCAAACCATGTCTTTGTGAATACATACAGCTCAGTGCTTTTAACAGCACCCAAGTCATGTCTTGAACACTTTGCTGCTTAGAAATTTCTTCTGCCAGATACCCTCAATCATATCTCTTAAGTTCAAAATTCCATAGATCTCTAGGGCAGGGGTAAAATGCCACCCGTCTCTTAGCTAAAACATAGTAAGAATCACCTTTATTCCAGTTCCCAACAAGATCCTCATTTCCATCTGAGATGGCCAGCATTCGGTCAAAGCCATTCAACAAGTCTCTAGGAAGTTCCAAACTTTCTCACAATTCCCTTTCTTCTTCTGAGCCCTCCCACCCTTCCAACATCTGACTGTTACCCAGCTCCAAAGTCGCTTCCACATTTTTGTGTATCTTTACAGCAGCATCCCACTACTCATTACCAATTTACTGTATTATTTTGTTCTCATATCAATAAAGACATACCTGACACTGGGTAATTTATAAAGAGAAAGATGTTTAATGGACTCACAGTTCCACATGGCAGGGGAGGCCTCACAATCATGGCAGAAGGTAAAGGAGGAGCAGGCTCATGTGTTACATGGCAGCAGGCAAGATAGTGGGTGCAGGAGGACTCCCCTTTATAAAACCATCAGATCTTGTGAGACTTACTCACTATCATGAGAACAGCATAAGAAAGACTTTCCCCCATGATTTAATTACCTCCCACCAGGTCCTTCACATGACACGTGGGAATTATGGGAGCTATAATTCAAGATGAGATTTGGGTGGGAACACAGCCAAACCATATCAACAGGGTAACTATGCGTTGGGGAAAGGGCAATGATCAGACATGTCAGGGACTACTGGACACAGGCTCTGAGCATATGATGATTCCAGGGGACCTAAAACATCACTGTGGTCCTCTGGTTAAAGTAGGAGCTTATGGATTTCAGGTAATTAATGGAGTTTTAGCTCAGGTTCAACTTACATTGGATCCCCTGACTCATCCTGTGCCAGAATGCATAATTTTCATAGACATGCTTAGAAGCTGGCACAATCCCCACATTGGCTCCCTGACTGGTAGAATTAAGACAATTATAGTCAAAAAGGCCAAGAGAAGCCATGAAAGCTGCCTCTACCTAGAAATATAGTAAATCAAAAACAATATTACATCCCAGATGGGATTGCAGAGATTAATACCACCATTAAGGACTTGAAAGAATTTGGGGGTGGTGATTCCCACCACATCCCTGTTCAACTCTCCTATTTGGCCTGTGAAGAAGACAGATAAATCCATTATTATCATAAGCTTAACAAAATGGTAGCTCCAATCGCAGCTGCTATACCAGATGTGGTTTTATTGCTTGAGCAAATTAACACCTCTCCTAATACCTGGTATGTAGTAATTGATTTGGCAAATGTCTTTCTCCATTCCTGTCTGTAGGGACCACCAGAAGTAATCAGTCTTCAGCTGGCAAGGCCAGCCATATACCTTCACTGTCCTACCTCAGGGATATGTCAATTCTCTGGCTTTGTGTCACAATGTTGTTTGCAGAGATCTTGATTGCTTTTCCCTTCCACAAGATATCACACTGGCCTATTACATTAATGACATTATGCTAACTAGATCCAGTGAGGGAGAAATAGCAAACAGACTGTACTTATTGGTGAGACATTTGGCATGCTACTGGATGGAAAATAAATCTGACTAAAATTCAGAGAACTTCTACCTCAGTGAAATTTCTAAGGGCCCAGTGGTGTGGGGCCTGTTGAGATATTCATTCTAAGGTGAAGGATAAGTTGCTGCATTTTGCCCCTTCTACAACCAAGAAAGAGTTACAATGCCTAGTGGGCCTATTTGGATTTTGGAGGCAACACATTTCTCATTTGAGTGTGTTAGTCTGGTCCATTTATTGGTTGCCAGTTTTGAGTGGGGTTCAGAACAGGAGAAGGCTCTGCAACAGGTCCAGGCTGCAGTGCAAGCTGCTCTGCCACTTGGGTCACATGACCTAGCAGATCCAATAGTGCTTGAGGTGTCAGTGGCAAATAGGGTTGCTCTTTGGAGCCTTTGGCAGGCCCCCATAGGTGAATCACAGCAGAGGCCTCTAAGATTTTGGAGCAAGTCTCTGCCATCTTCTGCAAATAACTACTCTCCTTTTGAAAGACAGTTCTTGGCCTGTTACTGGGCTTTGGTGGAAACTGAACATTTGCATATGGGTCATCAAGTCACCATGTGACCTGAACTGCCTGCGTATCATGAACTGGGTGCTTCCTGACCCATCTCACCATAAAGTTGGGCATGCAAAGCAGCATTCATCATCAGGTGGAAGTGGTATGTATGTGACTGGGTTTTAGGAGGTCCTGAAGGCACAAGTAAGTTACATGAGAAAGTGGCTCAAATGCCCATGGTTTCCACTCCTGCCAATCTGCCTTCTTTTCCCAAGCCTGCACCAATGGCCTCGTTGGGAATTCCCTGTGATCAGTTGACAGAAGAAAAGACTAGAGCCAGGTTTATAGCTGCAACACTGCAGCCCCTTTGTTTTGGCCAATTCTTCCCATTAGGTACAGGTGTATTTACCCAACACCTGTACCCCTATTGTATCTAGGAAGTAACTAATTTGCTTTTCATTTTACAGGCTCATAGGCGCAAGGGACTTGCCTTGTCTCAGATGAGACTTTGGACTTGGAGTTTGGGTTAATGCTGGAATGAGTTAAGAATTTGAGGGACTGTTAGAAGCTCATGATTGTTTTGAAATGTGAAGACATAAGATTTGAGAGGGGCCACGGCAGAATGATAAGGTTTGGCTCTGTCCTCACCCAAATCTTACCTTGAATTTTAATAATCCCCGTGGATCAAATCGGAACCAGGTGAAAGTAATTTGATCATGGGGGCAGTTTCCCCCATGCTGTTCTCATGATAATGAGTGAGTCTCTCTCACAAGACCTGACGGTTTTATAAGCACGTGGAATTTCCATGCTGGCACTCATTCTCTCTTCTGATGCCCTGTGAAAAGGCCCCCTCCACCATGATTGTAAGTTTCCTAAGGCATCCCCAGCCGTGAGGAACTGTGAGTCAATTAAACCTCTTTTTATTTTTTGACAAATTACCCAGTCTAGGCTATTTCTTCACAGCAGCATAAGAACAGGCTAATACACTTACAAAGGATGAGACAGATTGGTTTTTAGGATGCGGAGCTGAATCTACTCTGTATGGCTTTAGAATACAAAGCTGGCACCAAATAATGGATGTTATTAAAAGGTAGATTTTGGTATAGGTGACACTTTGTTTCCTAATTTTTAGACTTGTTGAAAGAAGATTATTAGTAGGAATTGAATCAAGCAGAAGCAAAGAAACCACTTGCCAGGATGTCACAAAGAGAATCCAAATGAAGACACAGAATAAATTCTAATGCCTTTCACAAAATGCTCAGATTTTAACAAAAAGTTTTAGGTTCTATGTTCTTAACATATTACACTTTTGAAGGAAGAGAATGAAATAAAGATTGGCATAGACAGGGAGGATTCTGAGGATGTAAGAGAAGTTGAGTAGAAACATTGCAACAATTCAATTAGCAGAAAATTTGTTGAAGTGTTTTTTTTGTAAAAACAATTTTCTAAAAATGTTAGCTCCCTCAGAAACATCAGAAAAAAATATTTTGCAATATTTATGGCATGTTTTGTTCTTAGAAACTTAATGTCTCTATTCACATAGTATCTCTCTTTGTAAGTTCCAGTAACAATCATTCAGGAGAGTACAAAGACATCATATTATCTCTACAGCAAACATCCTAACCTGTGACAGGTGCATACACACACCAAGTGTAAAACAGTTGAAATCTCACTAGAAAAATGTGTTTTCTGATTAGAGTGACTGGTAAGTGGTTTTAAATAAATTTGTGCATGTAATACATACTTAAAAGTTAATATTTTGAGATGGCAGATCCCTTAAGCAAATATTTTACTAATGAAAGCAACTCCATCAAATGACAAGGTGGGCATTTAACTTACAGTTCATTTTATGTTCAGAAAATTAGGAACGTTTTTAGTTTCCTAATACCTTTTTCTGAGCCTCTCTCTCATGAGTGGATATGTGCATTTACCTGTGCATACACATACCTCCCCAGGTGTGTATATCTGTATATGTAAAGGATTTGGAGAATTGGAGTGGAGTAATATGAAAAGAAAAATGTCTCCTCTTTCTGTGATTAGGGATTCTTTTTGGTGGTTGGGGAAGCTATTAAAGTTGATTCATCTGAGCTTTTCTAGAATAAAGAATAAGGCTGCTTTGAATGAAATATTTTTTATTTAATGAAAATGAGAGCTCACTTCTCAATATATATGTACGAGATTATAAATCAATTTCTCTTTCTTTTCTATCTGAGTTTCTCCTTAACCCGTTGCCTTTACCTTCACTATAAAAGAGGAAAAATTAAAATGTATGTTTTGTTTCCAAAACCAAATTTTTTTTCTAATATCAAAGGCTTACAATTCAAAGGAGAATATAAAAATTACTCAGTCCTTTTCATAATTATTCAAATGGCATTAGAAAGAAAAATAGACTTTTTCATAAGTAAAATATGGTCTATTTTATTAATATTTCAAGCTTTCATAGAAAGCTTTGCATGCGTGAGTCAGAACCTCAAAGCAAATCTCATTTACAATTCGTGACATCTTTTCATCCCAATTATTTAGTTTCATTTTCTTTGCATTTTATTTCTTTTAACTTTTAGGTTCACATTCATTTAGCTGAAACTATTATAATCCTTTCTCCCTTTACCAAAAATTCATCTTTATCTGAGACCTGTGTTTTTTTTTTTTTTTCTTTCGTGAGGTCGTTAAACTCAAATATGGATCTGAGTTAGTAATCTACTAAGGAGGAAATGCTGGAAAGAACTTACATAGTTAACCTATTTGTGCATTTTATCATTGGTATCCAGGTTAATTCACACAAACATTTATTTCAAATTGTTATGTATACAATTTAACAATTTTATCATCTCTACCACATTTAGTGAGTGATTCTAATATTTTCTGTTTCTTTGTTGTTAGGGTTTACTTACCTTTCTTTATTACACTTTATTTCATTTATTTTGAAATACTACTTCATTCCCATCCTCAATTGTGATTACGAAGATACATGCTGTTACTGTTAGATTTTTAAATGGTGTATTTTTACAAATATATTTTTAAATGAGTTTGAGCCATATATATATATACATAAGAAACTAAAAGTTTAAGTAATACAAGATATTACTTGCTTCTTGAATCATAAATACACTCTATTGATTTTATTTATTTACCTTACCTCCCACAATTCTAACAAGTCTCCATCCTTTTAATTCAGACCAAGACATCAGATTCCTCTGTAGACCTAGCAGATCTGTCCACCCCTGGAAACTTGCCTAATTCTTTCTTGTTTCTAAATTACCAATTCAGGCATCCAAACTTTTTACCACAGCCTACTCTTCTTCCAACACACTGTTCAATCACTGTACCATGATTATTAGTAGATTTGAAAAGATATCTTCTCTAATAATACCTCTATTGTGTCATAGTAAAACCATTCTCTCTGTATTTTCTCCTCTTTATGCAGTACAGATTTTATTGTCCACTGCATCAACAATACATTTTTTAATACTTTAATGTTCCTTAACTTTATACATCTTGATATGGCTTGGCTGTGTCCCCACCCAAATCTCACCTTGAATTGTAATAATCGCCACATGTCAAGGGTGGTGCCAGGTGGAGATAATTGAATCAGAGGGGCGATTTCCCCTATACTGTTGTCATGGTAGTGAATAAGTCTCTTGAGATCTGATGGTTTTATAAAAATTGGGGTTCCTCACACATGTTTCTCTTTCCTGCCACCATGCAAGATGTTACTTTGCTCTTCATTCACCTTCTGCCATGATTGTGAGGCTTCCCAGCCATGTGGAACTGTGAATCAATTAAACCTCTTTCCTTTATAAATTACCCAGTCTGAGGTATGTCTTTATTAGCAGCATGAGAACAGACTAATATACATTTATTGTCAAAAACCCTGCTGTTTCCTCTGTTCTTGCTTTTGAACTGCCAATTATTGCTAAAAAAGTTTTGCAAAGAGGCAGATTTAGACCACTGCAAATTCACTATCATCAACCTCAAATATGCTTTGAAATCTGTCAATCTTTTTGTTTTCTGGTTCACTTTTTTTCCCACTTTTTTGAAGAATATAAACTTTAAACTGCTTCAGCTCTCTTCTAAGCTCCAATTCCCCTTTCACTTTTTCTTACTCTTCGAAGGTGAATTCTCTTGCCTTCCAAAGAAAGTAAAAGGTACCACTCTGGAAACTTTCTCATCTTGATTTACCAGATCACTGGACAAGCCTGCATTTCTTGTATAAATAAACTACTGTCTTGATGTGGATCTCAATGTGGATATTTCAAAGACATCTCACACTCATTGTGTTCAAGATCAATCTCATAATCAAACATCTCTCCCTTCACTCATTTTTTTTTCAGTATTTCCCATCTCAGATGAAAACATCAGCATCATTGTGGCAGCCCACGTTTCAAACTTGGGAGTCATCCTTGAATTCTTCCTCCTCAACCCAATTTTTCAATTAATTACCAAGTCTCACTGATTTAATTATTTAAAATGTCTCTCAACACTATCTCCTCTCTAGAACACAAGTTTTACAAATGCAGAAAATTTAGAACTGTTTTTGTCTTTAGAATTACAAAAACAATCATTGCCCCTCCATATGTTTACTAACTATACTTTTCTCTAAATGACATCTCTGTTAATAGCTTGTTTTCCTAAATAATTTTTTACATTTCTCTTCCATCATCTAAAATCTATACTTACATAGTCAGTATTTGACAACTTATTCTTGGCTTGACCTAAAAGATGTAATTAATAAAATGTTAATGTGCCTTCCAATCATATTTCTTATAGATTTTCTGTTAAATATGGTGCTTCTTCATTGATATTTATAATACAGTAGAAAATATATTACTATGAATATAAGCCATATTAATCTCACCTTGAATTTCATTTATATTTCTAATACATAAAAGTGTCAATATTTTGGACTTTGGGTAAATGTGGTTACTTAATTGAGACTTTGGACCTACGTTTTACTGCAACTCATCCTTTAGGTATTTTTCTGTCTCCTTGATACTTATTACATCAGTATGTTATCTCAGATCTAAGCAGCTAGAAACACATTATAAATTAAATGGGCTTTTCTTTGAAGACTATAATTAGTTCATAATAAATCTTGACTTTAAAAGAATATATGGATTTAGATCAAAGCAAAAAGTTTTCATTTATTTTCATTTTGTGAAATTCTTTTTATTCTTTGAATTTATCTTTTATTTGGTCACTTTTTTCGCCTCAAGTAATACTCTTTTTCTTTGACGTTTTTCTCTCTAAGTATAAAAGTATGAAACATAAACAAGCTCCTGCATTAGAAGTGTACAACTCAAGCACTGTAAAGCTATCTACACACGGACAAATCCCATAACATGGGAGATAACTAATTAATATACAAAATGTCAGGGCACAGAAATAACTAAAATCCACTTATTTGTGTTAAACATAAGATTCAAATATTCAATCCAAAGAAAAACACTTAATCATTTTTCTCTCTTCCACATTTGCCTGTTGATACACTTATTAAAATATTCTTGTATAATCACGTTTGATCTTCCCATTTCAAGTCAGTTTTATAACATCGAAATCTGCCATTCGGACAAAACAGGCAATCAGAAAGATTATTTCCTCCCCACGCCCTAACCCTAACAACTATGAAGTCAATTTTATGACACAGCTCTAAACACTGGATTCTGATGATAAATGCTAAGCCCAATTTCTTCATAATCCAAGAGGATTTTGGAAACTGTATTCCGTTCTACTTCCATGGCAAATATTAGCAAAGCACATGGAATACCACATTTACAGCTGTGTTTATTATAGACATAAGTATGTGAGGAGTTACTTATTTTAAATATCAACATGAATTCTGTGGAGAAATGTAAGTATTTATATCTCACCAAAATACTTATAATTAATTTAAAAAGTAAGATTTTACAAAAGTACTATGAGCACATTTAGACCATCTGGAAATCATTTATGAAGTTATGGAAAAAAGCAAATTTCTAACACTGCAGCATAATTAGCTGTACTTCTATTGAATATACTTCTGCTTTTTTTCTAGGAAGATATTATACATTGTTTTAACCATGTTTTTACAATTTTGAACAACGCCCTTTTTATAGATTGAAAAGTTAAAATGTTTGCATTTTACTTCCTGTAACATTTAAAATTGGTTGTCATTCCAAAGTCTCCCTTATTTATATTTTATTACAATTACATAATATATAGGTGATGTTCCAAATGCACTTATTGTCTAATACTAAACTAATTGAACAACTTACTTGAAATGACTATTAAAACAAAAAGTTTTCTTAAAGTTATGGATTTGTCTCTACAAGAAAATAGTATGTAGTCAATCATAATATAGAAGTTCAAATACTTTATTTTAAAGTGGCTTATGTTCACAAGGTATCTTCACAATAATAAAAACTGGTAAAATCTTAAGCCAGAAAATATTTATTTGAAACAAAATTTGATATAATTAGCTATTTGGTAGAATGGCAACATTATAATGAATGATATCTATACAAGTCTATTTTTGTACTTCATCTCTCCTTAGCAATCTCACTCCAGATCCTCACAAATACTGTTTGCAATATTACCTCCTGATCTATTTCATGGACATAATGAACAGAGAAATAAAAGTTTTTAATTCAAAAGATAAATAGTGATTGAATTCATCACTTAGCCTCCTGCCCTTGTAAATCCATGGTGCCTCCTGACTTCAGTTTCTAAATTTTATTGCAAAAACAATGAGCCATTAAACCCTTTTACCTGCTGTTTACATTTTTTTATGTATTTGTGAAAATAAACATACTGAGTGAAGTAAGACTAAGCAAAATGTTGAAGTACAGATGAATTTTTTAAAAAGACAGGTTATCTATGTATATGTTTCCCTCCATCTTCCCCCCACCCCCACCTCTAGTCAGTCTCGCTCTGTTGCCCAGGCTGGAGTGCAGTAGTGCCATGTTGGCTCATTGCAACTTCGTCCTCCAGGGTTCAAGGGAGTCTCCTGCCTCAGCCTCCAGAGTAGCTGGGGCTAAAGGCATGCACCTCCACACCTGGCTTGTTTTTTTCCCTTTTTGCTTTTTGTCCCATGCACTTCTTTTTCAAGACTATATAGATAGCGACAGTAAAAAGTAGAAAGGCGTGATATCTTTCGATATTCAGCCTCTAGTTTTAGGTTTGATGCAATGCCATATAGAATGTTTTCACCTGTTTCTTAAGGAAAACTTAAATACATAGAACCCTATGTAAAATGGTCTGCTTTGGCTACTACCTAAGAATAACATATATGCTGTAACTCTTCTATCCTCATTAGAAAGAGTGTAGTTCTATTTATTATGACCCTGAATCAAATGAAAAGAAGCTCTATTTTCTTTTTTTCTAGAAAATATACCTACTTAAGAGTTCAAGCTGAAAATTAGTTTAACTGGGAAAAACACGAGCATCATAGTTACCTGGGATAGTAGCAATCAGACATTACCCCTGCTTGAAACCAAGCTTCAGGATTTTCTTATTATTATTCAGGATAAAATGTATAAATTACATACATTAAGTTTTATAATTATATATATAATTATTTTATCACTGTGATAACCTGTGTCTCTGCATGTATATATGTATATTAATAGTGCATTTATGTTGCATGTTTTCACATATTAAAGAAAACCATAGGTAAAGTTTGCATTCATCATTAATCGAATTACTTAAATTGAACCATACTTAATGGCAATCATTTCTAAGATGCTGTTATATGTGCTCCAAGAGGTACAAAGATGGTGAACTCCTAGAGAGGTTTCTAAAGTTCATTTCATGGTGACATTTGAGATGGAAGCAAAGAATAAAGTAACCAAGTGCAAAGAAATATACTAAAACTGTTATTGAAAATTAAAGCACGAATACATGTGAATGAAAAAATACAAACAACAGGCCATGGCATTTCAGAGAAAGCAGAGTTTACTTCTTAATAACTCAAGAAAAATACACATTGAGCCATGGAAGCTCATTATAATTTAAAACATGGATTGGTGGAACAGAATAGAATTCCTCAGGAATGTACACAATTACTAAAGAATGTAGTTGAAAGTAAATGGACAATGGTAAAGAAAGGTAGAAAGATAGTTTGGAAAGCCATTATACATCTCTGAATTTCAATGGGATTATGAGCCATCAATCATAATTTTAAAATGTAATAAATGTCGTGAGGTGTTTTCATTTATGGAAAATAAATGTTAGGTTTAGAGGGTTGAGAACTGTATTTTAGAGTTTCCGAAATGTAGGACTGAAAACTTATATATTTCTATAAAAAATCATGTGGTGGTGTATTTCTATAAACAAGGATGAAGCAGTCTATATATATTTTACTGGAAGACATTTTCATATAAAGCCTGTAACTTATACAAATTTTAGATTTAAATAAATTATGAAGATTCTACAGATAATTCCAATATACTCTCCACACTGATCCCCATTATTAAAATATTGCATGAGTGTATTATACTTGCTAAAATTAATGAAGTAATATTAGTATAATATTATTAAAGAATATCAAATAAAAATAATATTTTAAATTTCTTAGTTTCACCTAATGTTTTTACTGAACCAGAGTACCATTCAGAATACCACAATGTATTCAGTCATCACATATTTTTACTCTCTTCTTAGCTGTAATAGTTTCTCAGACTCTTTGTTTTTGATAACCTTGACAGTTTTGAAAATTCCTGTTCGGGTATTCTGTCGTATTTACCTCAGTTGAGATTAGTCTGCAATTTTGCTCCTGATTATATTGGGTTATGTATTTTGGAAGGAAGACTACAGAGGTAAGGTCAGTTTTTATCACATAATACTATCAATATCATAGTACATGCTACCAGCATGCTTACCACTGTTTATGCCAACTTTGAGAACCTGGCTGAGGTAGGACTGTAGGTTTCTACACACACACACACACACACACACACACACACACAAAACAAAAAAACCCTTTTTTTTTTCTTTTTCCCATACTGTACTCTTTGAAAGGAAGTCACAATTAGTAGCCATAGTTAAGTTTTGGAGAGTTTTGCACTACCTCTTGAGACGAGAGACTCCAAGAAAATTTTTTAGACTTCTCCTGCATCGGAGATTTTGTCTAACAGCTTTTGCTTCATTCCGATGATCTGCTTTTGGGTACAGACATGTTGAGAGTTGTTAAATCTTCTTGGATAATTGTTTTCTTTCTCATTACATAAGGTCTTTTCCTAGAAGACAGGGCTCCCCTAAAGAGTGGCTATCTTGGTTTATGGCTACTCTTGATGGGACCTCAAGACAAAGTTAGAAAAAAAGCCATAAAAAGAAAAATCAAAACGTAGAAGGACATGGCTTTTTAGAACTGCTTTTTAACCCAGTACCACTACCCAATTAAAATAACTTTCCCTCAGAAAAATATCTTCCATAAAATTAGTGCTCTAAGACAATTTGCCATTTCTGTCTTATTTATCAATGGCTTAACATAACTCCAATAGAAATGGGTATGCATACTTCAATAGGATGAGCAAAGCTGCTGATTATATGAAGGGGAATCAAACCAGATTTCAAAAAGTTGAGGAATAAGTGAAATAAAGCATTGAATTAGAGGAGTCAGACCTAGAGCTTTCTCTTGGTCAGTGAAATGGAAGGATGGAGGCAAGATGAATAAATCAAGGTCTTTGTAGAAATACAGGAAGGGCAATTTTTGGAAGTGAAGCTTAAGCATATTCTTAAGAAGAACGGAGACACCTAGCATAGAGAAATGTTTTTAAACTAAGAAAAAAATTGATAAAGTCTCAAAGGAGCAAAGGGAAGTATAGCAAGAATAAGTCAGAAGTTCAGAGGGGTTGTCGAGCCTTGAAAAGGAAACTGTACTTCAGAAACAAAAAAAAAGAGAAAGGAAGCGTGTGTTGTGGAATCACTGTGGGCAAAAGAATGGATGTGAGGGCAATTCTATCCACTATCAATTCTGAGGATTTTCGATGCTAGCTTTTTGAAAAATTGTAAACACTTGTTTTTTACAAAATAATGTATCTACTTCATTCGTATATGGCATTTTCCAAGCCACCTTGCTGAATAAAAAATAAACAGAAACAAAATGCATGACATTTTTTAATTAAGTTGGTTGGATTCTGTTGACTTGTTTGTGGAAAAATTGTCAAAAGTATTTGTATATGGGAAACTATTTGCTTTAATATTTAAGATTTTAAGATATTTACTAATTTAGACCAAAATAATCAATTCTTCTGAATCTTTTTAGGAATATATTCATTACAGTTTTCCAGCTACAAACTTTCTCTTAGATTAACAGCAAATAGCGTTTCTTGTTTAGGGCCTGTAAAGCAGTTCTAATGATCTGTATATGCCTAGAGGCCCTTCAAAGGCTTTATGAGGGAAATTAATTGAAGATTCACTGTTCTTGGAATTTACTGCTATTGGTACTTAATAGCTCAGACAAATTCTCTCTCGTATGTGAATAAATTACTATTGCATTTTTGGCACTTCTCTTTTCTCTCCTCTTTTCTCCAGGTATTGTTCTTGTATCATCACAATTATATTCATATTTATATAATTCCACATACCACCCATGACTGCCTATTCACTGTTTAATCCATAGGAATTTTGAAGGATTACAAATTTAACCTAAGCATTTTGCTGTGTGTGTTATCACATAATACTCAGTGTTAATTGGCAATTGTTCTTTTCTGATTCAATTATATGTTTTCAACTTGAGATTTGCTTAAGGAGAATTAGCCTGACAGTACAAACAACAAACAGTAATACTTGAACATATGAGAGACGCACACAGTAGCATTCACAAAGGTCTAAAAAATGTTTTGTGTTTCTGGCAGTGTAGTTGTGTTTCTTCTCCCTGCTGCCTTCTTGTCCTAGGTTATTGATATTTAAAGACTAGAATAAGATAAAGAGCTGTTGCTTCTCGCAAATTCATTTACCATGATTATTTTTCAGAACTCTTTTCATTAACTCAAGTCCCTACATACATTTTGCTTTTTATCAAGCATTCTGTAGCCATGAAAATAAAAGTCTTCTTCAATCAAACAACACTTTCTACCAGAATTTAAAGTAGTCATGTTAATCCAAAGAAGACAAAACCAGTCATGTATTAAAATAATTGCCACATCCTAAGCAAACACGGCCAACACCGTCCTATCTTTGCATTAGTCTAGATCTGTGCATTTTTCTATGCCTGTGCTGGGATATTGAGGTGACAAAGACATTGAAATGATAATGAAGTAGGTCACAAGCTCAAACACAACTCTAGCTTATATATTGAAGTACAGTTTCTTGGCAAAAGTGAATGTAGTAGAAGCAGACAAAGAACTCACAAGCATAAAACAGAAAAAATATCTTTAAAAAGGGGCATTGAGCTCAAATACCCTTAAATTCATTGGCTGAGTAGAAACACAGGGAGGGTCTTCTGTATGCGCAAATTAAAGACTGCCACAGATTGTGTGGTGGGAAGCCTTAGGGCCACTCAGGAGGAGAACAATTTTTTTTTAATATCATTAAGTAGTGTGTCAATTAGATTCAACACAGCTTAAATCTACAGAGCTATTTGGAAACCACACATTTCTGAAAGTGTTGCCTACATTTCCAGTTTCTGACTCAAGACTTTTCAGCAGCATGGGTTTTGCATGACCTTTCTCATTTTGATAAGAACAATTTAAGAATCAGGCTGATTTCTGCTTAATCAGCAAGGATGTTGAGAAATCACTCCTGCAGTTCCTGCTGACACTTATTTATAGGATTTGCTGATGCTAGATAAGGAGATGTGAGGATGTGAAAACCCATGGGTGGGAGTGAGAAGAGTGGATAACAAGGCAGATACACTATCTAGTTAATTTCAGTAAAAACCCAAACTTTAAAGTTAAATGAAATATTGAACTAAGGGATGTATAAGATAGGAGATGTGAAGACTCATGCAATTTCAAAACCGATAAGTCTCTGAGTGGTGTACAGAAGAGAATCTCCCATTTAACCACATAGTAACTTTAGGAAAGTCCTTGTCTGCAGAAGGCACGCTATAAGAAAATGTGTTCATATTTTTAAAGCAAATATATTGGTGTGTTCCTATACTCTTTGGTGAGTTTGAAACACCACTGCTTCTTGTTAACAAACAGCAAATTTTCACTCCACTAGTAAATGTTAGAGAGCATATAGCCTATTTTTATATTTTTCAATTTTTATTGAAAAATTAATACTTGTCTTTACATGTTGTTCTACCAAATTGACAAGTGTTTTTTTTTCTTCTTTGCTTTTTTTTAGAAACTGTTAAACATGCATGAAAAGCAAAAAAGGTATGCTGAATGCCCATATGCCATTCTCTGAGCTTCAACAGTTCCTTACTTTCTGCAAACTTACTCTCATCTGTCAGATACACCTGTTTTCTTAGGAATATGTTAAAATAAGTCATGTCATCGATAATTCTTCATATTTATATCTGAATGATAATAACTATTTTAAAATAAAAATTTACCATTATCATACAAAATAAATGAATAATAAATCATTCATATCATCTAATACACAATCTATAATAAAAATTCTCCAAATGTCTCAAAGATAAATTTACAGTTGGTTTCCTCAAACCACACAAATTATATAAAGTCCATGCATGACCACCCCACATTTGGTTATTCCACCAGTCTCTTTTGTGCTCTATGGTAAGTTCTGTGTGTGTGTGTGTGTGTGTGTGCATGCATGTGTGTGTTTGTGCATGTTTGTGTGTACACACGTGTGTGTATATATGTACATACACAATTTAATTGAGAAACCAGGTCATCCATACTGTAGGATATCCTTCATTGTGGATTTTATTGATTCCCTTGGCATGGTGTTAACCTATTTCTCTAACTCCATGTTCCCTATAAACTAGATACTTGAATTTTTATTATTATTATTATTATTATTGAGACTAGTTTCAGTTTCGCTCTTGTTGTGCAGGCTGGAGTGCAATGGCACAATCTCGGGTCACTTCAGCCTCTGCCTCCAGGGTTCAAGAGATTCTCCTACCTCAGCCTTCCAAGTAGTTGGGATTACAGGCATGAGCCACCACACCCAACTAATTTTGTATTTATAGTAGAGACAGGGTTTCTCCATGTTGGTCAGGCTGGTCTCAAACTCCTGACCTCAAGTGATCCTCCTGCCTTGGCCTCCCAAAGTGCTGGGATTACAGGTGTGAGCCACCTCGACTGGCCTAGATGCTTGATTTGATTCAGGATATTTTTGTTTCATTTTATTTGAGCAAGAACCTTTCATAGGTACTGCTTTGTACCCTGTTAGATCACACCATGATGCATGTAAACCCTAATTTCCTACATCCAATGATCTTAATATATTGTTAGCCAGATATTATCATTATATTTTTTAATATTTTATGTAATAGTTTTAGCATCCATTGGTGATTTTTGCCTACAACCATTGTTTTTATTATTCTATAATGTATTGCCTTTTAGTATATTTCTATTTTGATTATCTCTTTTTTATTTATTAGCTGGAATTCTTCTATTAAAAGTACATTAAAGCTGTCTTATTAACTATTTCTTGCAATCAAATTTTATTAGGGAATGCGGGATAAATAATTTTTTCCTTTATTAATTTTCAGAGTAATGAGCCTATCACTGACAAATTCTAATAGGACTGATGGGTTTTTTGTAGTATCATAATGAAATGAACTCATGGGTATGTCATATATATTTGCCAGCAGTGTATTTAAAAATTCTCCACTGTAGATAGCAGAGTCTTTCTCAGGAATTCTCGGTGTCTTCATTGTTAGTATTCCATTGAGACTTGCCCTAACCTCCACAAGGTATGCTTTAGTGCCATGCGTGCTTCTAACGGCAGTGGGTCTGCCAGGTCACATGTGCTACTTGTGCAGTCTGAATCTGTTACCAGTTCTTTTTCTATATCTGTGCCCAATCAACACTGGCAGACATTAATGTCAACTCATATATAAATCACAGCAAAATTCACAGGTGTGGAATATCCTGCCTGAAGAATCCCATCCATCCACGGTTGTGGTTTCTTCTTTCTGGTTGGAGGTACAAGATGAAAACTGTCTGTTAATATGGAGGGGATAGACTAGCATGTCCCAGATGATTAGACAAACACTTACTGATGTAATAAGCTTCTGAACATTTTTAAGGATTATTTCCCACTTTCTAGAGCATATGTACACTACCAAGTCTTCCTGTATGAATTCTTGTTCAACCAATCCATTAAATATTAATTTATTGCTAGCATTCACTAGAGTTATGTTCTATAGTGGGTCCAACTGATTGAGGCCCGTATAAGTTTAATATGACAGACGGTAAGAAAATAACATATTCCTGATGCAAGACATTCAACATTTACACTTGTCCACTTAAAGTGAATGCCAACTGATTTTCAGTTAAATGCCTTTGGGAGATCAGTGCCTGTATATCAACTAATCAAGACTGTGATAACCTACTTTATGAAAGATAACACAATATAATCATCAGCTTGAAGTCTCCAGTTGTCTTTCATTCTATGTCCCCTAGCTGAAGAATTATCCCTTAAAGTCTGAAGACTCTAAACCTGCAAAGCCCAGAGAGAAAGTAAGTACGATTCCACAAATGGGTCCCCTGAGAGTGATATTAAATGCAGGCAACTGTACTTGTACACCTTGATCCTGAACTCAAGTATTCTACTACAAGGGACATTGTACCATATGGTGTTTGCTCATTTTGAGGTTATACTGTGTCTAAGAGGATGATGCCCCCATTTTCACAGGATATAGTCTCCAAGTTGTGCCTTTGAAAATCTGTTTTACTACTCTCTCAGGCCAACAGTTTCTAGATAGGCTTATGTGAAGATACAGCTAGTGTATTATATGGTCAAATGCTTAGTCCCTCACCTCCCTTTGTGAAGTTTGGGTATGATTTTATGTGGGATCTCATGTTACTGAAAAATACACTGAAATCCTTGGATAGTGATGCTGGTGAAAGTCCAGCAGGCAATAGAAATAAAAACAAGTCAGAATTATCTGTGATTTTAGAAAATATGATTTGTATCCTGCATATGGCATTGTATGGCTCTAGAAAACTATGTGCCTGTCATGGTTTTACTATTGGCATCTACATAAACTCTATGTAGCATCAGTTTCTACCACAGATGGATTTAATGCTCTAAGGTTTGCTAGGTTGCATGGCCCAAGTGATAGGATACTACACCATGGACCTACTGCAGAGTCTTTTTCTGCTCTGGGCTCTAGTCAAAGCTGACAGCCATTTATGCCAGCTGGCATAAAACTAGAACTATGTCCTAGCATGGAATATATTGTCTACAAAAACCGAGGAGGTCTAACCGGCATTATGTTTTCTGATGAGATGAGTCAAATGTCATCATTTATTTGGGGAAAGGAGGAGAGGGGTGGTATAGCATATCCCAGACCAATGGACATCTGATAATGTTATTGGATCTTTGTAAAGCTCATAAGGTTTAACTCCTATCTTCTGAAGTCCATGTGTCTTACCAAGGCATTCAATGTAATAGCCCCTTCTTGACCAACTAGCCCTAATAGAATGACCTCATCAATCTTGCAGACCATGTGGTGCTTTGAAAGAAGTACAGTTGATCCAAATTTAGACTATATGATTAGATGGCAAAGGTATAGGTTTAGGGAAAGCTAAAATATAGACTGTGGGCCATTCCAGGTGAATGCAAACTGCTTCTGATTGTCATGTTTGTTTGGAGTAGGTAGAAATGCACTCATTAGATTAATGACTGCATAGACCGCATACATAGTACTTCAGAATGTGTTAATCTGCACTAGCAAAGATGCTGCTTCTGGCAGATAGTTTCAATTATGTAGTTGAGTATGAAATATTGTACTTTTTCATTCAGGATATTTCTGGTTTATGTAGGGACAAAACTGTGAATTAAATAGATAATTAGTGGAGACTCCACCTCTGCATCCTTCAGGTCCTTAAGGGCAGCATTTATCCCTACCATCCTTTCAGAATATGATGTAAACAATAATTTTTGTTATTGGCCAGAGGTGGGAGCAGAATCAGCTCTATTAGGCCTTCTCCACTACTATAGTTTCTTAACTATAGGTCACAAAACCAATGAAGGCATGGTCTCACCTATCAAATATATATATTTTACATCCACACAATCAGAGATGGAGGAAATGCAAGTCCTTGGGTATGGTGGGATGCTATAAACTACACTGGTCAGTAGTTCATTAGATACCTGGCTCATGTGCTCCCTCACTCTAAATTAGAGGCTAATGGTGCTTGAGTCTTTGGATACCAACATTAATTCAGATCCTTTTACCAAAAATACCTAGAAATATTTTTGTGTGTTTCTTTCCCCAACATGTATTTAGACAAGTAAATTGTTACAGATCCCTATCGGGAAGAAATAGAGACTTATTAATATACACAATTGTCATAATGCTGAAAGACCTCGATACTGGAGTCATGATCTCACTGTGAGCAATGGGTTCTGGATCAAAAGTTGGCTTAGGTTCAGAAATTGGGAAATGAATAATGTCTTTGACTGGAACTGATAGCTGTAACCTCCTGATCATCATCCTTGATTTATTTTTTGTTGAATAGAATAAGTAATACCATTCATGGATGTCAATCTATTTGCCTCTAGGGATGCCATATTCTATTGATCATCTCGATACCTTTCTGCCTGTCAGGCCTCACAGGCTGCCACTTTTACTTTGCATGAAGCACAGTGATTGTGTCCATCTTGATTCCAATGATAAAGTATTCTCTTTCCCTTCTCACCTTTCCCTGTCTTATTTCTTCAATTGCCTTGTGTCAGTTCTAACTTATAGAATGAAAGCATTGTTGAACTTCTTCATCATGCTCGTGCCCTTCTCATC
This sequence comes from Homo sapiens, assembly GCF_000001405.40. NCBI lineage: Eukaryota > Metazoa > Chordata > Mammalia > Primates > Hominidae > Homo > Homo sapiens. The sequence goes on along the minus strand of NC_000006.12, from coordinate 141,052,237 downwards.
AGTGTATTGATTTTTACTGTAATCAGTAGTGCCTCTTCTGGGACTACCTACTGACCACAGTCCTCTGCTATTTGAATTTATGTAATATATCTGCTCTGCAAAACCACTTCTCTATGCCTTTTGATCTCTTCTATTCTCCGCTCCAGCAGTTCTAAAACTTCTGAATTCACATAGAATGTGCCCTAGCTTTTGTTATCTTCCTAAGAACTATCCTAGAAGCATGTTTTCTCTCTCTCCCAACATCCTTTTCAGGTTGTTAAGTGCTATATCTGGGGTGAGTGCTCCCATAGCAATACACTCTTCTTTATAGTCTACTTCTGTGTATTCAGCACTCTCAGAATCTAGTCCCGTATGTAATTTCCCATCTCTTGCTAATAAATGTTCGTCAGCTTCTCTAGCTCCTTCCACGTATAGGATCTTTATTTCCTTAAAAGGCTTAGCATGTCTCTGCCTAGTTTATGTTTGGTTTAACCCCAGTTATTAGGGAAGATGGGGTAGATCCTGGGATGGTAGGCATGCGTTGTTTTGCAGGTGAGAAGCAATGAGAACTATTCTTTAACAGGGTGAGCTGGACCATTTCTCTAGGCTCAGAGGATTTGGGAAATTTGGAGGACTCAAGGTTTTTAAGTGACCCAAACCATGGTATCTGGGTCTTCATCCCATATAATAGGGTACTGTTCTTTCCCTTTCAGGGTTCTCACTTGGCAGGACTGATCTGCCAAGTTGAAAATTTGAGCTCTGGAGCATCTCTACTCTTATGACAAAATCCTGGACTTTTTTTTTTTTTTTCAGTTTTCTATGTTTTCCATCTAAAGGAAATGAGAGTCTCTTTAGATGCTATGGCAGTTATAAAAAAATTGACCTTAACCTGGGCAAGTTGGCTCATGCCTATAATCCCAGCATGCTGGGAGGCAAAGGCAGCAGGGTCACTTGAGCTCAGGAGTTTGAGACCAGTCAGGGCAACATAGCAACAGCTCATTTCTACAAAAAACAAAAAATTAGCTGGGCATAGTGGCACGTGCCTGTAGTCCCAGCTACTTGGGAAACTGAGGTGGGAGGATCATTGAGTCTAGGAGGTCATCCTGAAGTGAGCTATGATTGTGCAACTGCACTTTAGCTTATGCAGCAGAGCAAGACCTTATCTCAAAAAAAGACCACAATAGTTTGACACCATTCTTATTGAATATGGGAATTATGCACTTCTCTTTTATTCTGACTGGGCTTATGATTATTTTGTCCAATAGACTCAACAGAATTGATGCTACATGACTACTGTTTTCTCTGCTGGGACACTCATTTTGGAGGACTGAGTTATCACTTAAGATGTCTGATTGCCCTGTAAGGTCACATGGATGAACTATGTAAAAGAACTCTGAACACCAGTCTCAGTTGGAAACATTTTTTATTCATCTCAACACAGGCACTAAACATATGGGTGAAATGCCTCTTGATGATCATAGCCTCCTCCACTTCTTGAGTCACTCCCTGCCAAGTCTTCAGAGAATTGTAGCATTGATAAGATAGGCCTCCTCTGTTTGACAGTTCCTGGCCAGCAGAGTCCATGAGCCAGTGTAATAAAATGGTTGTTTTATCCAACTAAATTTTGTTGTGATTAGTTACACAGGAGTAGTTACTACAACATAATTTGGCAACTGAAATATATGGCTTTATCTTTGGGACCAAATGCTGGTGGGATGCTAGAAGTTATGAGGTGACTGAGAGCCTGGACGAAACTGTTGCTGAGGGCTTATAGTGAAGAGAGTGATTAAAAGCTGGAGGAAAGGAAACTCTTGCTATGTTATGGGAAGATTAGCCAAACTCTTATCTGCGTTAATGTAGAAAATAGAAAATGTAATAGTAAACACATGGATTCGGTTAAGGAGGTTTCCAAGCAAAATGCTAGGAATGCCACCTGGTTATTTTAGCTTTATATGATAAGGTACAGATAGAATGACCCAAGCTGAAAAAGAACTGTTCCATTTTGAAACAAATTTCAGAGAAGATATAAATTACTATTCCGTCTTGTTAGCAAAAGAACATCCAATTAAGAAATGGTTTTGTGGAACAGATAAAATATAGAATGCAACTGCAAGATTCTTAGAAAAATACAAGGTGGTGTCTCATAGAAGCTTTTTGTTAGATAGAAAAATAAAAGAAGGGACTTTGAATAACCTAAATGGCATGACTACTTAACCCCCATTAGAAAATTGAGCCTCTGAGAATATTAGGGATATTGTCACTCAGTGTCATTACATTGAGCTGAAAATACACACAAGCTCATGTTAAAGAGATTAATTCATGTGGCTTTTGCCTAATGGAGTGGATTATAAATTGATTACTAGAAACCAAAAAAGATTTTAAAGGAATTATACCTGTTTGTACAAAAGGGCATTGAGATCACACAAAATAAAATAAAAAATAGACCTTTAGTTCCCCAAATTACATGGAATTTTGCCTCAATTACAGGCAACTGTAAAGAAAATGGAAAGATGACTAAAATAGTGTAACCAAGAGCTCAAAAGATAGAACCAAGAACTCCGAAGAATCAGTTCCAGAGAACATAAATGATTCCTAACAAAGAAGCTGTCAACATGTGCCCTGTTTAATTTCAGAATTGGTGTGGACTAGTCATTGCTGTCTGCTTCCCGTCTCTCCATCATTTGAATAGGTAACCTGATTGCAGTCATCTTTGCCTGTCTTACCATAGTATGTTCGAGTATATGGGGTGGATATCTTGTCTCTTCAATGCACAGATTTTCAGATAAGCATGATGGACATTCTAAATATTACACTAAAGGAGTGTGATCTGCTTATAGGCCTATTTAGTTGATACTATCCTGGAACTTCAGCCTGAACCTGAATTCAAAATGAAATGAATTATGGGAGATTTTAGAAGGCAGTGAGTATACTTCGCAAATGTAAAGAATATAATTTGTTGCACAAGGGTCGATTGTGGCAATTTTTTAAAAAGACTGCAAACTTATTGGACACTCTGACACTGAAAATGAGATTGACATCAAATTCCTTTGAATCTGACAGGGTTTGTGTCTGCATCAACCAATATAGTACAACAGAAGTGACTTGGCTACTTCTGAGGCTAAGCTGAACAATGCATCTGCTTCCTCAGATACTGAGATACTAACTTTTGGCATCCTAAGCAACAATTTTACAAGTCTGTTTACTCTGAGACCATTATGCTGTGAGGAAAGCCAGTCAACATAGACCATGTCCACATGGATAGTCAATATTTTGAGATGATCCAAATGTTTATGCCAACCCGGATCAGGTGCCAGACATATTAGTGAAGACACCCACAGATAATTCCAGAACTCAGTCCTAGCATTACTCCCAGCTATTCAGTATTCCCAAATATTGTGGAGGAGAAAAACACTCCCCAATGTGCCCTTTCTGAATTTCAGACCAGAGAAATTGGGAGCATAATAAAATGATTGTTTTTGTACTCCTAAGTTTTTGGAAAATTTTTTATGCTACAAAAGTAACTGGAACATATGCTGCCAAGGAAACCCTCTGGCTTTCACACTTAACATTTAGTTGATGATTTATAGCTTTGAGGAATTTTTCATTATCTACCTCCGGGACAGAGTATACCAAACAAAACCCCAGGGGCAAATTTGTCCTGGCTTTCATGTTGGAAGGCCTGAGAGTCAAGAATAGTTTTATATTTTTAAAGGATTGCACAAAGAAACAAAAACTTACAAACAAACAAACAAACAGAATAAAGGAATGAAAAAAAGAAAAATATGTTCAGAGGTTTTATGTAACCCTCAAAGCCTAAAATATATACTATATGGCCCTTTACAGAAAATGTTTATTGACCTCTGCTCTACAGCATCGCTCACTCAAGCAATGGCCATCTAGATTCATTGTCAATATAATTAAAATTTCCCGTGTTACTAAATTAGTTAGTTTACACACCAGCTTTTAAATTTATGTCTTCCAGTTTTACATTGCAGTTCACCACCAGTGACAACTTTCAATTGCAATCTATAAGCAAACTGGGAATAGGCAGGAATATCTTCAACCTAGTAAAGGGTATTTCACCAAAAGGAAAAAAAATATAACAATAGTATTAACTTTAATGTGAAAGAGAAAACAAGATATGGCTAGTCAATGAGTCTTACTATTTCAATTAATTTTAAGTACTAGACAGTGCAATAAGACAAGAAAGTGATTTAAAAACATGTAGATTAAAAGAAGTTAATTTTGAATATTTGCAGATACACTGTGTGATCATAGAAAATTCTGAATAATTAAAAAGAGCTACTAAACCTAATAAATAAATTTAATGTGATCACATAATACAAGATCAATTTCCCTAAGTAATTACATTTCTAAATTACAGTTTAAAAAATTATAACATTGAATTTTAAAAATTGATTTATACAAGTTTAACAAACATGAATAATTAGGGATAAATGCAACAAAATATCTGCAAGACTTGCACACTGAAAACTATAAAACATTGCTGAAAGAAATTTTCCTTTTTTTTTTTTTTTTTTTTGAGATGGAGTCTCACTCTGTCGCCCAGGCTAGGCTAGAGAGCAGTGGCACGATCTCAGCTCACTATAACCTCCACCTCCCAGGTTCACACCATTCTCCTGCTTCAGCCTCCTGAGTAGCTGGGACTACAGGCGCCCACCACCATGCCCAGCTAATTTTTTTGTATTTTTAGTAGAGACAGGGTTTCAGCGTGTTAGCCAGGATGGTTTCAATCTCCTGACTTCGTGATCCGCCTCCCAAAGTGCTGGGATTACAGGTGTGAGCCACCGTGCCCGGCCTGCTGAGACAAATTTTTAAAATAAACTCAAATAGAACAATATACAATGTTTAATTGGAAAATTCAGTGATTTACAGGGTTAATTGAGCTACAGATTTAACAATAGGTCACATTCAAAATTTCATTAAGCTTTTTGTAAAAATTGGTGAGCTGATTGTAAAACTATTTGCAAAACCAAATTGCCTACAACTGACAATACAATTTTGAAAATGAAGAAAGTTTGAGGACTTAATCAAGTATGACTTGATAATTTTCAGATTAAAAAAATAGTCTAAACAGTGTGGTATTTCTTAGGGATAAATTAGAAAACAAACAAAAATAGTAGTACATATTGCAGGTATAGACCCCCACATAGCCAGCTGTTTTGAAAATGGTGTCAAGATAATTCATGGAAAAAATAAGCTCTTCAACACACGTCTTAGCACAATGTTACCCCCCAACCAAAAAAAAAAATTGAAAAATGTTGAATTTCATTATTAAAACAAAAACAAAATAAACTTTTGTTTTTCTAAAGAAACCATAAAGAAAATAAGAATCTATAGAAGTTTAAACAAATCAACAAAAAATAAATACATAACTCCATTAAAAAGTGGGCAAAGGACATGAACAGACACTTCTCAAAAGAAGACATGCATGCAGCCAACAAATATATGAAAAAATGGTCATCATTACTCATCATTAAAAAATGTAAATAAAAACCACAATGAGATATCATCTCATACCAGTCAGAATGGCTTTTGTTAAAAAGTAAAGAAATAGATGTTGGCAAGGCTAAAGAGAAAAGGGAACACTTACACACTGTTGGTGGGAATGCAAATTAGTTCAGCCACTGTAAAGAGCAGTTTGGAGATTTCTCAAAGATCTGAGAGTTGACCTACCATTTGACCCAGTAATCTCATTACTGGGTATATACCCAAAGGAAAATATTTTTTTCTACTAAAAAGACACACTCAATTGCATGTTCATTGGAGTGCAATTCACAACAGCAACATGGATGCAACTGGAAACCATTATCTTAAGCGAACTAACATAGGGACAGAAAACCAAATATTGCATGTTCTCACTTATTAAGTGGGAGCTAAACATTGGGGTACACATGGTCATAAAAATGGGAACAATAGACACAGGGGACTACAAGAAGGGGAAGGAAGTGAGAGGAATAAGGGTTGAAGAAACCTACCTGTTGGGTACATACTATGCTCACTACCTAGGTGACAGGTTCATTCATACTCTAAGCCTTAGCATCACACAATATACCTCTGCAACAAATCTGTACATGTACCCCCTGATTCTAAAATAAAAGTTGAAAAATAAAATGCCTAATTAAAATAAGAAAAGCCACACATTATGAAAAAATATCTTCAATAGACATTTCACATGTGTATTCAGATTATAAAATAACTATTAAAAATGAATAAAAAGACAAAACTCAGTAAAAATATGGAACAGCTAAGAATAGTTACTTCAGGTACATTTGCAAATGGCTATTAAAATGATTATTAATAGTATCCTTTTTCTTCTGATAAATATACGTAATTACCACAACTAGGTATTACTACTTAACCCCTGAAATGATCAAAATTAGAGACCAACATTACCAAATGCTGGCAAGCATGTGGAGCAACCGGGCCTCACATACATTGCTGGTTATAATGAAACATGGTATAAACACAAGGGCTGTTTTGTGTGCATGCAACCTATGCAGTTACATAGGGCTTAGAAGAGTCTTGTGTTTGGCTTAAAACTGTGTTGTCACCACCTTGAAATTTTTGATAACTTTTTGACAAGTAATTCCAAATATTCATTGTGTCCTGGTCCCCACAAATTATAGTTCTGAAAACCATTTTAGTAAACAATTGTGAGTTTCCTATAAATGTAAGCATACACTCACCATATGATACAACTTTTCTACTTCTAGTTCATTACCAAATGGAAATAAAAATGTGTGTCCAGAAAGTACTTGTTTATAAATTCTCATAGATATATTTGTACATAATAGTTATATACATCATGGCTTAAGCTCAAATAAGAAAATTTTGGCATGGCCCTATAATGAAACCATTTAAAAATAAAAACAAATTACTGATCTGTGTAACACAAAAAACAAAAACTAAAACTAAAAAGTGAAAACTAAAGTATGAGAGAAGAAAAGCCAGTCACAAGTATACACATACTACATGAATTTATTAATGTAAAATTCTAAAAGTAAAACTAATCTGTAGAGACAGAAAGATGATCAGGTATAGCCCTGAGCCAGGAATTTAGAGGTGGGCAGATTAACAAGAAAAGAGAAGGAAACCTCTGGGTGGACATCAATATCCTGTGTTTATTGTATTGATGGTTCCATGGGTATATGTATTTATCAAAACTCATCAAATCCCACTATTGAGCATATACCCAAAGGTAATGAAATCAGTCTGTCAAAGAGATAACTGCTCTTCCATGTTAATTGCAGCACTATTCACAATAGCTAAGATATGGAATAAACCTAAGTGTCCATCAGTGGATGAAAGGATAAAGAAAATGTGGTAGGCATGCATGTGGAATACTATTCAGTCCTAATAAAGAAGGAATTCCTGAGATTTGTGAAAACATAGATGGACCTGATGGACATTATGGTAAATGAAGTAATCCAGTCCCAGAAAGACAAATACCATATGATCTCACTTATATGTGGAATCTAAAAATTTTGGACTCATAGAAGACTCATAGAAGATAGTGGTTACTAGGAGACTAAGGGAGTGGCGGTTTGGGTTGGGGAGATGTTGGTCAAAGGATATACAATTTCAGTTAAATAAAAATTATCCTCAAGGTATCTATTATACAACATGGTGATTATAGTTAACAACAATATATTTTGTTTTGAACATTGCTAGGGATGTAGATTTCAAGTGTTTTAAGCAATTTGGGAGGCCAAGGCAGGCGGATCACTTGAGGTCAGGAATTCAAGACCAGCCTGGCCAAAATAGTGAAACCCCGTCTCTACTAAAAATACAAAAAAAAATAGCCGGGCATCGTGGCACTGTAATCCCAGCTACTTGGCATAAAAATGTCTATAATTATAGTTAATAACAATATATTGTATTTTGAACATTGCTAACGGTGTAGATTTTAAGTTTATCATCAAAGAAGATAAATACTGTTCCTGTTAATTAGCATAATTGAGCCTTTCTGCAATGTATATATATTTCAATACATTATGTTGTACACAGTAAATACATACAATTTTTATTTTTCAAGTTTTAAAAAAGTAATGCATAACCAGAGATCCAAAAAATAGCCACAAAAAAACAAAACTTATCAAACTGTATCCTTAAATGGTTATATCAGAAGTAAGTTTTACTGCAACACATTTGATTTTTAAAACTAACTCAAAAAATACAGAGAAAAATTCTTAAAGTGGAAAATAAAAGAAAACAAATGAAACATATATCATGTTGAGAGTATAGTCTCGTAGGAGGAAAAAAATAGTCCAAGAAAAATTTGAACACTGATTGTAAACAGTTGAGACATACAAAGAGGAAGAATAAACAAACTACAAAGTGATCTTGAACTTTATCTAGTAAATTGATTTTTTGGCATAGGCATTAGTGCTGTAATTGTGAATCTATTTTGTGCATATTGTAAGCCTAAGTGAAATATTAAGTATATTAACATTTTTGGAGAACGACATATTCCACCATGGTAGAAGAAAGATAAAAATATGGATTTGTATAAAAAGAGAAACAATTCCATTGGGTTGGGATTTGAGATATCTAAATGAAATTTTATATATATATAAATATATAAAAATATATTTATAAATATATAAATTATATAATATATATCATATTAATATATTTTTATATATAATATATATTAATTTATATATATATTAATTATATATATAAATATATATATTTATATTTATATATAAAACCATAGCTGTGCCCTAAGAAAAGAGTAAAAATTAAAAATACAAGTGGCCATTAATTACTCAAAAAAATCCTGGGCTCCTTAGAGAAATGTCTGATTTTATGTCTGGGGCAGAAAACTGTAAGAAGAACCTGAACTATCGTTTATTCCAAGGATGGAAGAAGTACACATACACCTATGTGAACTTGTCAAAAGATGCTAGTATCCAGCTAAAGTGTCTCTTGGTGGCTCATACAGGGATAATTTAAATGACACAATGAATAATTTATAGAAGCATAAAAATGTCTGTGTCTAAATTGGCAATAAAAATCATGAAAATAAAATGTGTTGATCAGCTTGTGGTAAAAGCTTTTATTTATAGAAAATAGCAACTAAGAAATGTGAAATAAATAAAATAATTAGGAAATCATTATATGTAGTCACCCTGGTAATAGATGATTAAGGGAAGAAATATAAATGGAGACTAAAATATTATATGAAAATTTATTGGGGAATGGGATATTCTTAGGGATTCAAATGATTAAACTATAAATTAGCTATTTATAATAAAGTGGAGAAAGTGTCCAATAATAGATAAATTTTGTGATTTAGCCTTAACCAAAGTGGTCAAACTCAGTATTTTCATAACTGACATCAGTGTAAACCATGATGAGATATAATGAACAGATAAATCACCTATGTAATAGTTCCTCCAAAACTCTTTAACCTGTATCTAATTATGAAGATACAATGGACAAAGACAAATTGAAGGATATTCTATAAAGCAATTGGCCTGGATATATAAAAATATTAATGACATAAAAGATAGAATAAATAGTTAAATTAAAATAAATGAGAATTTGTAAACTCTTCCAACCACTAAATCCAGTTCATGCATAATTCTTGATTGACATAATTCCTGATTGATTCCTGGATTAAACGACAAACAAGAAAAACATCAAACAGCTATAAGTAACATTATTGGAGAAATCAGAGAAATTTAAATATTGACTATTATATATTAGTATTTAACATGGTTAAATTAACTGAGTATGATGATTTAATTATGGTTATATCAGATAATCTTTTAAGGAAATATATGCCAAAGCACTTAAAGGAGAAGAAATTTATTACCCTCAACTAGTTCAAGAAACACCCACACATAGAGAGAATGCACATGTGAAAAAATGTTAATGATTAGTGAATTCTGTAATTCACTTACAGTTGTACTATTCTTACAACTTTTCTGTAGGTTGAAAATTCAAAGATAAAGTTGATGGAGGATTTTTTGCTCCTTAGCTCAACTAAATCTGGGTTCTTGTCTGACAACTAGAATTAGGTAGGCAGAAACATTGAAGGGTGAGGAGGGTGGAATTTATTAAACTAAAGGAGATCTTTTAGCAAAGAGAGGGGTCTCGCTGAGAGGTGACAACATGCTGGCAGCCCTCACTTGCTCTCAGCACCAGCCCTCACTTGCTCTCAGCACCTCCTCGGCCTCGGCGTCTGCTCTGGCCAAGCTTGAGGAGCCCTTCAGTCCACTGCTGCACTGTGGGAGCCCCTCTCTGGGCTTGCTGAGGCTGGAGCTGGCTCCCTCTACTTACAGGGAGGTGTGGAGGATGGGAACCAGGGCTGCACGTGGAGCTCACGTGCCAGCACTAGTTCTGGGTGGGCATGGGCTTGGTGGGCCCCGCACTCGGAGTGGGCCGGCCCTGGGCAGTGAGGGGCTTAGCACCTGGGCCAGCAGCTGTGGAGGGGGTGCTGGGTCCCCCAGCACTGCTGGCCTGCCTGTGCCATACTTGAATTCTCACCAGGCCTTAGCCACCCCCCCACCATGGGCTCCCGCGCGGCCCAAGCCTCCCTGATGGGTGCCACCCCCTGCTCTGCAGCACCCAGTCCCATCCACCGCCCAAGGGCTGAGGAGTGTGGGCACGTGGTGTGGCACTGGCGGGCAGCTCTGCCCGTGGCCCCTGTGCGGGATCCACTAGGTGAACCAGCTGGGCTCCTCAGTCAGGTGGAGACTTGGAGAACTTTTATATCTAGCTGGAAGATTGTATGTGCACCAATCAGCACTCTGTGTCTAGCTCAGGAATTGTAAACTCACCAATCAGCACTCTGTGTCTAGCTCAGGGATTGTAAATGCACCAATCGGTGCTCTGTGTCTGGCTAATCTAGTGGGGACTTGGAGAACTTTTGTGTCTAGCTAAAGGATTGTAAACGCACAAATCAGCACTCTGTGTCTAGCTCAAGGTTTGTAAATGCACCAATCAGCACTCTGTGTCTAGCTCAAGGATTGTAAATGCACCAATCAGCACTCTGTATCTAGCTAATCTGGTGGGGACTTGGAGAACTTTTATGTCTAGCTAAAGGATTGTAAATGCACCAATCAGCAGTCTGTGTCTAGCTAAAGGATTGTAAATGCACCAATCAGCAGTCTGTGTCTAGCTAAAGGATTGTAAATGCATCAATCAGTGCTCTGTGTCTAGCTCAAGGTTTGTAAATGCACCAATCAGTGCTCTGTGTCTAGCTAATCTAGTGGAGACTTGGAGAACTTTTGTGTCTATCTAAAGGATTGTAAATGCACCAATCAGTGCTCTGTGTCTAGCTAATCTAGTGGGGACTTGGAGAAATTTTACGTCTAGCTAGAAGATTGTAAATGCACCAATCAGGACTCTGTGTCTAGCTCAGGGATTGTAAACACACCAATCAGCACCCTGTCAAAATGGACCAATCAGCTGTCTGTAAAACGGACCAATCAGCTCTCTGTAAAATGGACCAATCAGCTCTCTGTAAAATGGGCCAGTCAGCAGGATGTGGGTGGGGTCAGATAAGGGAATAAAAGCCGGCTGCCAGAGCCAGCAGTAGCAACCCGCTCAGGTCCCCTTCCACATTGTGGAACCTTTGTTCTCTCACTCTGCAGTAAATCTTGCTGCTGCTCACTCTTTGGGTGTACACCACCTTTATGAGCTGTAACACCACGAAGGTCTGCAGCTTCACTCCTGAGGCGAGCAAGACCATGAACCCACCAGAAGGAAGAAACTCCCAACAAGTCCGAACATCAGAAGGAACAAACTGCGGACACACCATCTTTAAGAACTGTAACACTCACCATGAGGGTCCACGGCTTCATTCTTGAAGTCAGTGAGACCAAGAACCCACCAATTTCGGACACGTGACCAGGAGGCTTCCACCTCACAAATTGAATACCAGGCCACCATATATGAGCTGAAGAGGCCAAGCTCCTTCCCTGCCTAAGGCCCAAATTCCTGGTGCCTCCATCCCATTCCTCCAGTGCATGACGGTCTCCAGTCTGTTGCGGGCATGCCCAAGCAAGACCCTGTGCAGGTTCCTTTATCTGCGCAAAAACATCTGGTCTAAACACCTGTGGGGTGGGGCAGAGATTTTTAAAAGTGTATAAGAAATGAAATCGTAAATGTAATGTATATTTCTGATCATTAATCACAGTTATAAAATATGGTAAATATAAAAATAATTATTAAAAACGTATTTCTTGGTTGGGCATGGTGGCTCATGACTGTAATCGCAGCAATTTGGGAGGCCAAGGCGGGCGGATCACTTGAGGTTGGAAGTTCAAGACCAGCCTTACAGTAAAACCCTATCTCTATTGAAAATACCAAAAAAATAGCCGGGCATTGTAGCACATGCCTGTAATCCCTGGTATTTGGGAGGCTGAGGCATGAGAATTGTTTGGAGATCACGCCACTGCACTCCAGCCTGGGTGACAGAGCGAGACTCTGCCTCGAAAAATCTCTCTCTCTATATATATATATATGTGTATGTATGTATATATATGTAAAACAAAATCATACTCTATTATTAATAAATTATCAGAACATATCAATAAAATCTATGCATTATGGGGATAATAAGATACACAAGTATGTGCAATTGTTTTATTTCAAATATGGTGGGGTAATTTAATGAACAACTTGCATTTGTGATAATAAAAAATCAATCATGTATTTAAATACAAAATGCGTTTTTCAAATCTCTGCAATTAAAAGAATGTGAAGTTGTTTTTTAAAAGCTATATAAGTTGCCGAGATTGCCCCACTGCACTCCAGCCTGGGAGATGAAGCCAGACCCTGTCTCAATAATTTAAAACAAAAAAAAAAGTATGTAAGTCAAAAAGGGAAACTAGAAAAATAAAAAAAAACTGTGAAGAAGGCTTTAGTTATAGCAGTAACAAAAAACAAATCAAAACAAATCTTTTATAACTAATGTGAATGTTTAATATTAAAATTCTCTATTGATTTCATGTGACTGTCAATCACCCAACTGTATGAGAGTCCACAAAGAAATAAATCTAACAGATATTGAATAACTGAAAAACTTGAAGTGACACAGCAGAAACTTTTATAAGTGGCATTCTGGTTCACGATGACATGTGGAACAAACATTTCTTCTTTATCTCTCTGGAGGAAAAAGCCTGAGGTTTTAAGTACTCTAGAGTAAATAATGTATCAACTCTTAAAAGCAGCTTGAACATTATATCAAGAATACCAGGATAAAAAGGCTTAAAAATGTTTATGCCTTTTTATTGAGCAATTGCTTTTTAAAAATTTTAAAAAATCAAAGGAAATAAAAACATGTTTAATGTTATGTAATAAACATTTATTGCAGAAACATTTATTGTAGAGAAAATGTGATAAGGTAAGTGTGTAAAAGTAAGAAATTGATTTAATAATTATGAAACTGGAATGAAATGCCACATGGTTAACTGTAGACTATTATGTAGATGATAATAATGAGGTTTTCAAATATCTTAATACAATAAGAAATTTTATACTTTTTTAAATTTAAAAAGGTACAAAATCTTATGTACTACATAATCACAATTAGATAATCAAACCCTATCCATTTAACATGTATAAACCCATTAATTAGCTCAATCGTGTGAACATACATATGTGAAGGTATATAGGGTATAAATACTTACTATGTACAGAGCTATGTATAAAAATAGCAAAATTGCATCAAATATTTCATAGTCATTATCTGTGTTTGATAATATTTTGTATGATATGTATTATTTTCTTTTTACCTTCTTGTATTTTCTACAATAGACAAATATTACTGTTAAAATTAGAAAATGACTAAGTGTAAGAGAAAAGAGCATAAAAGAAAGAAACACGAAAGAATTTTACTAAGCAGTTGAACCCAGTATAAATTATCCATAAATGTGCAATTGATATTTTGACCAAAAATGTAAAAGAATAGCAAAATAACTAAGTAATAGAATAGTATGTAAAATTTGGCATTATAGTAAGAATTAATGCAATTAGATAGAATATATCTGAACTCCCTAGGACAAAAATATAAAACACTCCTTAGATTATACTAAAATCTCCAAGGATATCTATAGATTCACATAGCAAAATGCAATTTCAGAAAAATGAAAGGAGAAATCTATTATCTGCTGGTGACATATGGTGAGACTATGGTGTGTGTGTGGACGCTCAGTGGAGAAAATCCATAGCATTCTTTTAGGATATAAATACATCTGATCAAGCTTCTGCACAATAAAGGAAACAATCAACAAAGTGAATACACAACCCACAGGATGAAGAAAATATTTGCAAACTACCCATGTAACAAGTAATTAGTAACCAGAATAGATAAGAAGCTCAAACAACTCTATAGGGGGAAAAAAAACCCAGATAATCGGATTAAAAAATGGGCAAAAGAACCTGAATAGACATGTCTCAAAAGAAGACATACAAATGGCCAAAAGATATATGAAAAAATGTCAACATCACTAATCATCACAGAAATGCAAATCAAAGCCATAGTGAAATATTATTTCACCCCAGAATGACTTTTATCAAAAAGACAGGCAATAACAGGTGCTGGTAATGATATGGAAATATGGGAAACTTCATACACTGTTGGTGGGAATGAAAATTAGTACAGCCTTTATGGAGAACAGTATGGCGGTTCCTCAAAAAGCTGAAATTGAGCTGCCATATGATCCAACAATTTCGCTGTTGGGTATACATCCAAAAAAAGAAAGAAATCAGTATATCAAAGAGATATCTGCACCCCGGCATTTACTGCAACATTATTCACAACAGCTCAGATATGGAATCTACCTGTGTCCATCAATAGACGAATGGATAAAGAAAATGTACATATACAGAATGAAATATTACTCAGACATTAAAAAGAATAAAAGATGTCATTTGTAACAACATGGATGGAACTGGAGTCACTGTGTTAAAATAAACCAGGCACAGAAAGACAAACATCACACATTTTCACCTATATGTAAGGGCTAAAAAAAAAATGAACTAATGGAGATAGAGGGTAGAATGATGGTTACCAGAGCCTGGGAAGGTTAGTGGGAAGGCAGGGTTAAAAAAGGCTAGAAAATGGGTACAAGATACAGTCACACAGGAGGAATAAGATCTAGTGTTCAGTAGCACAATATAGCAACTATAGTTGACAATTGTTTATTGTATATTTCAAAATAAATGAAAGAGTGGGACTGGAATGTTCCTAACACAAATAAACGGTCAATGCTTGAGGTGATGGATATCCCAGTCACCTTGATTTGATCATTACACATTACTTGTATCAAAGTATCACAGGTACCCATATATGTACAACTATTATATATTCATAATAGTAAAAAGAAAAAAACTTAATTAAAAATACCTGTGATCAAAGTCCTATTGTATCTCAAATAATTTATTTGGTAAGAACACAAATTCAAGAGGAAGGAAAGGGCACATAAATTCACATAGAAGAGAAGACGGAGGAAAGAGTACCCAGATTCAATGGAGTTGCTTTAAAAATTTTTATAGATTACTAGAAGATTATGTATATTTCAGAAGCAGTGCTTTCCATTCTCCAAAGTCTCAATTGAAAATGAATAATGGGAAACACAGTTTCTGGAAGCATCACATTTTTTAAGCAGGTACTAGGCAGAGTGCCAGATCTAAGAGATCCATTGCATGTGTACTTCCTCTAGATCAGGGTTTGGAAAACTACGGTTTCTTGGCCAAATTTTGCCCATAGTCTATTTTTGTATGACTCCAAACTAAGAATATTTTTACATTGTTAAAAGTTTATGTAAAACAACAAAATAAGAATACTGTATGACAGAATCAGAGGTAGCCTGCAAAGCCTAAAATCCTTACTATCAAGTTCTTTATAGAGAAATGTTTGCTGACCCCTGATTGAGGTAGTCATTATATAGCAGAGAAATATGCAGTGGCACCTGCCGACAAACAATGTGTATGGTGACATGGTTTTGGGCTTTAGTGTTGGGCCAATTTAACTTCAAACTCCAGCTGAATCACCTTATGGCTATATAAATCTGGGAATGATATTTCACATCCTTTGTAAAATGTAGCTCAGTACATCTTCTTCAAAGGGCCCTGGTGGTTAAATTCAAAGCTAGATATAAAAGACTTAGCTCATTATCACCATTATCACGTACTGTTGGTGCTTTTCTTATCCATAGAGACTGAGCAATTCTGAAACTCGTTGGCATAGGAAGTTATAAGCAGTGGCAGCCAAAGAAGAGAAATTAGTTGAGCAGTGAGATGTGGCAGGATATATATTCTCAACTGTCCAAAACTTGGCTGAACACAATTCAACATACAGTCCTAAAGAAGCTTGTTCAGGCCTATCTGCTGCCGATGCTCTGACTGCATTTGGAAGTCAATGCTCAAAGTTACTCACCTTCATTCTGAGCAGAGGGAGACAGTGAGAAGTTACCATGGCAAAAAGAAATAAAAGTCTGTGCTGTGGCAATGGGTCTTTGCCAGAAGCAATATATAATGTAGTAAATAGTTACGTTGTTTCAAGATTTCAGTATATCAATACAGGGAGTTACGAAAATCAGATTAGAAAATATGAAAAATAGAACTACTGAATAATATACAATAGTAGATTTAACCACAATTATTTCTTGGCAATAGTATTTCCCTTTTTAACTGAACTTTGATTTATTTTTCCAGAAAGGTCATTATTGTGTGGTTATGGAGAAATCAAATTTGTTTTGCTACCAAGAACAAGGTTCTTTCCTCCAAAAAGAAAGCAGAGTATCCTTTAAATGCTGTGACAGCTTTGTTTTGCTTTTGTTTTGATCTTTAGTATTTTTGTGAATATCTGTGACAAAGATATTCACAAAAATACTACATAGTAATATATAGATATAGCAATACAAAGATATTTGTCACAGATATTCACAAAAATACTAGTGAATATATATATTGGTTAATATCATTGTTAATATCTATGTTTCTTTGTTTTATGTTTGGTTTGGTTTTCTTTGCTTTTTTTCTTTTATCATTTTGGACAACAATTGTAGATACCACTAAGAATGAAATATAATGTCCTGAAATTTTTCAAATGATTTTTATAATTTTATCTTTAGTTCCCTTAGTAGATATTTCAAGAAAGAAAGAAGCAAACAAAAACCCCTGTAACACAGTTAATCGAACAGTTTTTCTTCTCACACTGGTTTAGGGAAGGCTAAAATAGATCATGTTCGCTCCTATTTACACATTTGAAGCACATATTTTCCTGGGCCTCACTGACTGACTATACGACTATTCATCCAATTCCTTTAGCTGATAAGGCTTTGCTTTGGGATCTTTTTTGCCACCCCTTATATTTTTTTCTTATATTTATAGCAACATATTGAAATCTATTCCATTTAGATGAATGGTTCCTATTTCATCATGAAATAAATGTATGTTTGTACCATAAAAGGGACAAAAACAGAGAAATAAGGCCCTGAAATAAATGATGCATAACTATGGGAAATTCATCTTTTAAAAAAGATACATTTGCTTTCAATTACATAAACTCTTTTATAAGTAACACAAGTAGATGCAGCTTGAATTTTTCTTAATATTTTAAAATCTAATTTTTATATCACATCATGACTAATACATATTTAATAAGAAAATTGTAAGCATAATTGAACAAGTTTAAAATTATCAAATTGAGTTAGATAAGCTGCCTGACCACATGTATCTATTATTAACTCTTTTAAAAAACAAACAAGAATACATTTAAAAGAGGCATTGTAGTAATATATTTTAAAATATTAGCCATTGTACCAAGCCTTTCAAGAGCTAATATCTTTTTAAAATAAGGGTATTTAAATAATGCTTCCATATTCCTAAATAACATTTAAAATATAAATTATAAAATAATAGTTCAACATTCTAGAAAAATAATGTATTTATGCTATTAATATTTATGCTAGTATTTAAAGCATAACACTATCACAATTTATTCAGGGGTTTATCATAACCTTGCTACAATGTTTTACATAACAAATAAATGCATTCTAATTCATAAACATGGACTAGATTTTTCACACACATTTTGAAAATAAATTGTCAAACCAGTAACATTTAAGTACCATATTCTTTTTTATCTATGTTACAGATTTATTCATTAATCACAATGACTTCATGCTATATCTTAATTGCATTTTGTAAAATATAAATCTAACAGATTCTAATACAACAAGAAATATTGACTTGAAATTTATATCATTGACTAATTATAGCCATAGAGTAGATAATTTTTAGGTTGGCAATGTTCAAACCAGCACAAAAATAAATCTATATCCTTTTATAACTTCAAGACTCAGCCAAAAAGAAATAGATATAAATCCCATAACTTCATTTCAAAGGTCTTGTAATGGTGAATGTTAGAGTAAGCACCTACTAAAATTTATTAAAATTGTCATTATAATCCTCAGAAGTTATTAAAAATTATGTATAAAAATAACAAGAATTATTCTTTTCATATTAAAAGAAAAGGAAGCAAACAAGAAGCATAAGCGAGTAGGTTCTTTGTCAAACACTCATCTTTATGACTGTATGAAAACTTGTCTTTTATTCTCCCAATGACGACAGGTGGTGAACGATAATCATTATGGTAGCCAAGGGCTTTGAAGAATGGGAATGATTTTATCATCATTACAATGATGTATTTTCAACTCATAGAAAGTCTTTCCTTCCTCCTCTCCAACTTATTTTTTCTTTACAGAGTTTCAAAACTTCTATAAGAATACCTTTTATACTCACAAATTTTAGTACTGTGTATTACAACAATTTTTTGGAATCCCTCAAGTGTTACATGGGAAGTCCACAGAATGCCCAAGACAATAAATATATTACTTGCTTTGTTCTGTAGGTAAGGCCCTTCTGTTGGGTGGAAAGGCTGATTTTTAATTACACTTAAGCTGTGGTAATAATTGTGATTCATAAGGATATTACTCAACCTGCTATGGCATTCCATTATCATCATGTCTTTGGTCTACTTGTAGAGATATGTTTTTAAAAATCTTTATATTAATTGTAATAATTTGAGAATTCATGAGTTCACATTTGTAAAGCTATTCTCAGAGACAATATTTTTTGCTCTCCCTAAACTCTGTCACAGTAGAAATCAGCTGGTGCCTGTCCCCCCCATTCCTGACTTTCACTTTCAGAGAAGGGAATGAGGACATAGTGTATTGGCACCCTGAGTTCTTGGCATGTTCTTAATCTGAAAATTTCCAAAAATATATCATTGGCACGTAACATACACTTTAGATGTAATCAATATGAGCTCAGCTAATTGCATTGATTTTTATATTTCAAACAATAATTAGAATTTGCAGTGACCTACTTAGCATGAAATCATATGTTCTGGCTCCACCTTGGGCAAGAGGCAAGATGCTGAACATTTCTGCAATTATTCCTTCATTTATAAAATAAGCATAATAACAACATCTAACTTACGGAAGGGCTGAGAAGATTAAGTGGGGTGATAAATGTCATATGAATATAACACTGCCCAGCACTAAGTACTCAATCAACATTAGCCATTATAATAGACCTAGAAAGAAAGAAAGAAGCTGAAAACAGAAGTTTTGAAAGTCTTTTGACTCCATGATCTCCTACACTTAGTTATTTCTATTCTCTTCCATTTGTGTATTTTACTAAAAATAGCTTTCACTCTATTCTCTAAAGAAGAGAGGATTCAAACCATTCTTAAATAAGTCCGATGCTATGCATCAAACACTCAAATATAGAAATGAGGCATTCTAGCAACAGGAAAGATTCCAAAAAAAAAACTAAAAGTTTTGAACTAGGCACAAAAGGTTGATGTTGCATTTTATAAAAATTATTTTGCTTACTGGATTTATTTATTTATTTAACCAAACATCTGAAGTACTTAAAGCAAAAAATAACAGGCCAGTCATTCTGTATTCGTCCTCTTTAAAATTCCATGTCTTAAATTTTCTTCTGATTTTTCTTTTGTTTTTTCTTCTTCTCCCTTCCTGAATATTTATTGCTGCTGAATATTTATTGTTTTTATTATTTATTTATTTGTTATTTTATTATTTTATAGAGACAGGGTCTTGCTAGTTGCCCTAGCTGGTATCGAGCCCCTGGGCTCAAGCAATCTTTCTGCCTCGGCCTCCCAGAGTGTTAGGATTACAGGCGTGAGCCACCATGCCTGGCCAGGAAGTGTTTCTTGATTTTAAATCTTTCAATCTAACTTCTTTCCACTGGTTTACAAACTATTTAGTAGAAAAATCTCATCTTTTCTGAGCTTCCTTGCGGAAACTAAATACGGATGAATTAGTGAAACAAGTATGTATATACAAGGAATAGAGAAATAGTAGCTAAGAGAAGTATAAAGTAGTACAAGGTAATCTCGTCTCAATTTAGATAGGAATATAAAATACGTTTATGTGTGATATGGTTTGGCTGTGTACCACCCAAATATCATCTTGAATTGTGGTTCCCATAATCCCCATGTGTCATGGGAGGGACCTGGTGGGCGGTAATTGAATCATGGGAGTGGTTACCCCTATGCTTTTCTTTTTCTTTCTTTCTTTCTTTTCTTTTTTTTTTTTTTTTTTGAGACGGAGTCTTGCACTGTTGCCTGCCCAGGCTGGAGTGCACTGGCACGATCTCGGTTCACTGCAACCTCTGCCTCCAGGGTTCAAATGATTCTCCTGCCTCAGCCTCCCAAGTAGCTGGGATTACAGGCACCCGCCACCACCTCCAGCATTGTGTGTGTGTTTTTTTAGTAGAGACAGGGTTTCACTATGTTTGCCAGACTGGTCTCAAACTCCTGACCTCGTGATCCGCCTGCCTTGGCCTCCCAAAGTGCTGGGATTACAGGCATGAGCCACCGCGCCTGGCCTATACTGTTCTTTTGAGGGTGAGTGGCTTCTCGTGAGATACTATGATTTTATAACGGGTTCTTCCCCTTTTGCTCAGCACTTCTCCTTTCAGCTGCCCTGTGAAGAAGACGCCTTTCTTCCCTTTCACCTTCCACCATGATTGTAAGTTTCCTGGGGCCCTCCCAGCCATGCAAAACTGTGAGTCAATTAAACCTCTTTTCTCTATAAATTACCAAGTCTCAGGTATTTCTTCATAGCAGTGTGAAAACGGACTAATACAATGTGCAAAGGTAACAAACAAACCACAGTAGGACAAATGATAACTGGATGCTATGAAAATTAGTATAGGTTGTGGCCTGGAGAGAAGGGATAATTATTTTCAGCTTTGGTGAATATTTTGTAAATATTTGATATTTCTTGTAACTGTTTCATATAAGTTGATTGTTTTTGCTGCAAAATATCAGAACTGCCAACTACCAAATATTGTAGGTAGCTTTAAAAACTACGGATGAGATTTTTACCACCTAATAAAACCTATCTCTGCTTGTAAAACTGTGCCATGTGATTTTGGGTGTGATATAATATATGAAACATGGATCTGTTTTGCTATTTTAGGTACTATTTCTTTAGATTTGACAGTATTCTGCTGTAAGAGAAGAGAAAAAGAGCAGAGAAGCTAGAAAATTATCCAATAGTAAAAATCATGTACTTCCCAAAGATTTTCATAGGATATTTCTTCCTTTAATTTTGGTTTAATTTCTATTTAAATTTTATACAATCTCCTGATTAATATTCTTCATATTATAATATTACTGATGAGGTTAATGCTATTAGAATTTATAATTTATATAATATTATTTCATGAAATACCAGCCCTAGTGAAATACATCTAATTTCTTTTTGTTCTTACCTATTATTTATGCTCCTTCCAAATATTTTTATTCTGAACAAAACTGATGTTAAACACGCTTACTTGATTTTACTTTCTAAATAAGATTCCATTACACTATGTTGAGGAAATTTCTAATTTACAAGAGTATAAATTCTTCTTCCAAGTATTTCAGGAAATAAATTGACTATAATTGATTTTTATAAACAGATAGTCATTTAAAAAAGCACATTATCTTTTAAAAAGTTTATCTCAAAAATTATGAGATGATAACTACTAAAAGGTAATTATTTAGAGCTTACTCTTTTTTTTTGAAATGGAATCTTGCTCTGTCTCCCAGGCTTGAGTGCAGTGGCGCAATCTCAGCTCACAGCAACCTGTAATCCCAGCTACTTTGGAGGCTGAGAAGGAGAATGGCTCAAGTCCAGGAGTCTGAGTCCAGTCTGAGCAACATAGTGAGGGTCCATCTCTAAAATAGTAATAATAATTATTATTAATAATAATAAATAACCTAAAGATCCTGCTGAATGGCCTGTTTCTTATTTCTCTTTTTATTTATTTAATTAAATTTTTTCTTTTTTTTTTTTTTTTTAAGACAGAGTCTTGCCCTGTCGCCCAGGCTGAAGTGCAGTGGCACCATCTCAGTTCACTGCACCCTCTGTCTCCTGGGTTCAAGCAATTCTCCTGCCTCAGCCTCCCAAGTAGGAGGTGGGATTACAGGTGCCCACCAGCACGCCCAGCTAATTTTTTGTATTTTTAGTAGAGATGAGGTTTCACTATGTTTGCCAGGCTGGTCTCAAACTCCTAACCTCGTGATCCACCTGCCTTGGCCTCGCAAAGTGCTGGGATTACAGGTGTGAGCCACTGTGCCTGGCCTCAGTTCTTTCTATAAATGATTCAGTTCTTTATAAATTCTACAAACAAAGCTAATAAGCATTTCTTGTCTGGAGTCTCTATCTTAAATTTTATAAATCTACATTGTTGTACTAATCATAATATATTCATATTATGACACTAATATTATAATGTATTAGTTTTATAATGCTAATATTATAATGGTCAATATATATACTTTATCATAAAATGTATAAAATAAAAATTTATCTCTCTCACTTCTCCCAAATCATTTTTTATAAAAGCCTTTCTTTGCCCCTAAGCTCACAGTTTTTTTTTTTTTTAAAGAAACTGGTCTTTGAAATTGAAGGAATAATTCAGTTTAAACCCTTGAGTAATCTAGACATGAAAATGCAATAATGAGAAACAGAAACATAGAGTCTTGTTAAAACCAAAGCAGGATCCCAAAACCATTGAGTAGTTTTCAAGAATGGGTACTGTAAATAAGAATAGCTTGTAGCAGCCTGCAAAGAAAAAGAACAGCTTATTACAGTTGGCTAGAATATTTAAAGCAATTGCTGGGGGGAAAAAAAAGCAAATTGGGCTGGACAGAAAGCAAGTAGACTCAGACTTGCCAGTAGACATTTTATAGGGCTAGTTTTGACAGGAGACTTGGACTAAATATAATAGTAAGATAATTACATTGACAGAAACAATGGAAAAAAACAGGAGTCATGAAATTGTCAAGAGTGTCAATCTAAAATTCAAAGCGTTCCCTACAATTCATTGAGTGCTTTGAATTTCCTTTCCAACCGAAACACTCATATTTTTGGCATCAGTATTTTTAAATGGTACCCAAGAGATATTCAACACGTAAAATTTTGATTTGTTAGAAATGTTGATACTGAATAACTCAAAGTACAAATGCCTTATTTTGGTATATTAAAATTTCTCCAAATATTTGAAAATTTTAAAATATTCTTGTTTTATTTAATGTAAGAATAGTATAAAATGCTTTATTATATTTACTATAAATTGAACATATTTTTGTTGTCCATTTGCTATTTACCTTTTTTTTTTCCAACTCGGTTGAGTGGTCATGGAGAATCCTGACATTCTACCAAAAATTAATATCCTTTTAAATTAAATAGAAAAATAACTGAATTTGATGAAAACGTTGTTTTTCTTATTTCACTTTTATATCATTTTTCACTTTTATATCATTTGTTCATACATAGCTACTTTTTATGTGACAGATAAAATGAAGGGATCTTTTATGCAAATGTTTTGTTTCCGCAGATTTGCTTTATTTGTGTTTTATCTTCTCTGGCACATTTTCCTCTCACTTTCCAAACGTAGTCTATGCAAAGCACCACAAATGAAGTAGTTGATATTTTCACTGGCATAAAAAGGTATTGCCTTCATGTGGGTAACCAGGGATTGAACATAAAACTACAAAAACGAGCCTCAGAATGTGCAAGAAAAATGCTCTCAGTAGATATCAATAAGAATGGAGAGAGAAAAAAAAGTTACAAAAGAATGTTTACTTTTATGTTTGCAGCACGACAAATCAACATTGCCTGGAAGTTTTCATAAGTGAACTGAATTGGAATCTTTTTTATTTCTCTTGAGCTAAGCTCTACTTTATGGTAGGAACAGATGGAAGACAGCTTTTAAAAGACTGTCTTCTCCTTTGGTGATATCATAAATTTGTTGTTGGTTGTGGCTGTAATTACTGTTGCTGTTTTTATCAGACTTTGTCTATGTTCCGTGTTTGTTGACTCTGTCCCTCCATTACTTTTTTTCCTTCCAGTAATTATTCTTTTTAATAATGTTACTGTTTTAAGAATCTAACCTTAACTCATTTTGGACTAAGAGAGATATTCTACAGTTTTTCCTCTTTCACTTTTACAATAATTGTAATTATTTGTGTGATTATTGTTTAGTTTATTTATATTACACTAGACTCTAGGCTAAGCAAAGGAAAAGATGTTGTCTGTCATCTTCCCTGCAGAGTTCACTTTTTTTCTGGCACAGAGTGGGCATCTGTAAATACCTGTTCAAACAACACAAATATTCACCGAATCTGGGATGTTAATTTGATTTTAGATTTTTTTTGTAAATTTAAAAAAAAGGAACTGGACAAAAAAAAAACAGAACATTTTTTAAATGACAGTCACAGGTTGGGCCTTCCAGGAAGCAGACCCTGAAACAAAATGCAATGTTTAGAATGAATATTAAGGAATAGCCATGACATCAAAACCTATGGAAAGAAAGGGAGGAAGCATGATTGGAAAGAGAGATAAGGTTGCACTACAGAACAGGCCTAAGGGCTTCAGCCAAATTCATGGAGAGCTCTGGAAGTAAGGGATCCCACAGAATGTTCTTACACCGAGAGCAAATAACTAGATCTTTGAATAACCCTTACCTGAAACAGGCATTAGATATAGGCTTCCCCTAGAAGGGCATGACCTTAGGCAACACAGATCTCTGCAGCTGTGGAAATCCCTGAGGAACTCAGAGATGAAGGCTGTCTATTGAGAGCCCTCCCAACAGATGGCACCATAAGTGCTTACCTGGGGATGTGTATGGGGGATGCGTTTGGATCTACCATAGTTCATCCCTTGTATCGCAATCAGATTCATTTTTTCACAGATGTTTGGTGGACAGCTTTTCCTGTAGTTCATGTGGGCCTTTCAGTCTGGGGAAAATCTAGAATGGAAAGATAAATGGAACAAATTATAGCCTCACTTCCTACAGCTGATTTTGGTACAACTAATACTTATTATCTCTCTTCTCCATTATTCATTCTAGAGTCCTTTCATCCTCAGGTAATAGTTCTGTTGGTTTTAGTGGCGTGGATGATCTGTGTGCCAAACATATTCCTGCCTGCCCCATTGTGTAACAGTGCTACAACATTCTTATGATGATCAAAGTCAATTACCACTGCCAAGATGGTTATTCATTAACTTACATTTAATCCCTCAGCAGGAGAAACCCAAAGCTCCCAGGCAATAGCCAAGGTATAAAATTCAATGGGACTTTTTTGTGTTCCCTGGTAGAAGTGTTCCCCCACAGGGAACTAGGAACTTTAATCATGTAGAACATAGAATTATGGAGACAGGGAGAAAATGGTCTACAGGTAAGGCACTGGAATGATGGCAGTAGGCTACTCCTATTTCCAACCCTTAATTCCCAAACCTGTATATTTTACTTATGAGAAAATAACCAAATCAATATCTTTGATTTAGGTATATATTATGTCTTAGAAGACAGTGTCTTATTATTGTAAGGTATGTCCAACAAACTGGTACTCCATCCATGCCTTTGTAGTTTTCATAAGACTATAGCTTCTTGATGTGATAGTGGATATAATATTGTTTTTAATTTACTAACTTGGTTATGTGTGTATGTGTCAGGGGTAATTTCAGAAACTTCAACTTGTTTTTACTCACAAGTCATAAATTAATATGGGGCTTATACTAACTACCAGGTATGCATATTTTGATTATAAATTCTGGAGCTACAGTGACAACTACTGACTGGCTCTGTGGGCACAGCAAACTCACTGTGATCTGGACCTTAGCCAGGACTGCATTTATTGCTTGGCCTCCTAAATTAACGGAGGGAACACAATGAAGCCCTTCATTTCCATGTACCTTTGTCAACTGTGTAACATAGTCAACTGTGTACCATCCTCAGCTCTGTGTTCAACAGTCCTTTAACTGTTTGGATATTTCCCTTTCCCCAGTGTTCAGTCATCTAAGTAAATGGCCATGTTTTGGCAAAGGACTGCAGGTATTATGACCATGTACAAATGGCAGGGTGTTATAGGGTCCTCCCTTTTGGGGACCTGGCCTCTGATGAAATCAATATGTTCCAAGTTCAAAAATTGGCTAATACCCAGACATAAGGCAAGAGATCCTGACTATTTTATTGAGGCAACAGCCATTGGCCTCCTGATCATCCAATCATGATCTATTTATTAGTATATGTTGAGTAGGGTGCTTATTGGCTGTCGATCTAATTTACCCACAGGGATCCCGTATTCTATCAACCATCCTTATAAATGTATCTTCGTAAATACCTGTAGGTCAGTCTCCCCTGGCTGCCACACTAACTTTGCTTCTGTCTATCTTCTAGCTTCTGACAGTTAAGTGTTACCACCTTGCCTTTCTTATTTTATGAGCCTATTATCCCCATTGTAAACTACAAGGCTAGGTCTGTAAGAGTCTCTCTTACCATCAGCATCAACCTACTGAAGGAATTCACCTTAGGCATGATGAAATTCTAGGGGTAGTGCTTCTTCTCACCAGTGTATTTTATGTGATCTCATTATATGATGTACCACTAGGCCTTCACATAGAACATCTGATGGTTCCAGCCTTACAGTATATACCTCTTGCATAATAACTCCTCTGAGTCTTTTAATCCTTTCTTTCATCAATTAACATGACATTGGAAGCAATATGCCTTCATTGAGCATAAATCATCATTTTTACCTATTTATCAGACCTACTAATAATGAGTTTACTTTTTTTCTGGGGTTGAGTTGTTTTTAGGTGATGAATCCTGAATCTCAAAAGAATGAATCTGAATCAGTAAACATGCCCTTTCCAAATTCATGTTTTCTCTCTTTTTCAAATCCTTTTAGAAGGCAGTCCCATATATTCTCCCTCAACTACTGCTGGGGTATACATTTATGTCAAGCAGCTCCTTAGTGGTATGTTCCCTTTCCTTTCTTCTCAGGCCCTGAATATCTCCAGCTGAGTTTTGCTACAATTTAACCCTAAGTATAGATTTAGCAACCAAGAGAGAAAGTGGAGACAGATTCAGAGAGATTCATATACAGATGCATACATAGAGGTCCCCAGTTGTTTTCAAGCAAGGGAAATATATTACATCCTGACTGTCAACTGCCTCTGACTCATCTCGGAATTTCATTATTTTTTCTAGATCTCCAGTTTAGTTTAGCAATATTGGCAACGGCCAACAAGTTCCATTGTTCTTATAATTTCTATTTTCTCCATGTTTTTCAAATATGTGAATTATCTAGTGAGATAGCTATTTTTCCACCATTATATAATCCTAATTAACCATTAAAATTTGAACAAGTGTAGAAATACCTTATGCCAAGGTTAACTGTGTTTGACCCACCACCATAATGAGTTCCTCATTGCCAGCCAAGGGCCTGCTGATCCAGCTCCAAGACAACAACTTTTCACCTGCTTTCTGGGGATACTCCAAACAGAAACTTTCACTGTTTGGAAAACCCAGGAAACAGTCTGGAAGCCAAATTTAGTGTTCAGGATATTTTTGAGGGAGGCCATTATGATCAACATCTTTGCTATGAAAGAAGAAGAAGCAGGATTGAGAAGAGAGAGAAGTTAGTTTGTAATGTGATCTGAAAGCCTCTGTCAACTCCATGAGAAGAACAGAACCTAAAGTGGCCTTCAGGGTGGTCCCGGGTCAAACCCAAGTAACTGGGCCTCCAAACCCACACCTGAATTTGTCACCAGAAGTGAGCTTCCCCAGAAGGCCATGGATGTGGGCAAGGAAGCTTTATGAAGCTGAGACAATTCTTCAAGGTGCTAATAGCCAAAGCCTGACAGCACTCCCAGCAGCTGGGGCAGTAGGCCCTTCTTTACAGATTATCTGGTTAGCAGATCCCTGCATCCACCACAATGACTGAAATTTTATCCTCAGGTATAGAAGTATAATATCCACCAGTTTCTGTGTTACTACATTCCATGTTTTCTTAAATTTTAAAATATTCTGTTTAATAACATGGTTTTACTTTCATTTTAACAAAATTAACAAACTAAGCAAAAATATATAAAGTGAATTCAGCCTCTAAAGACAAATGTCCATTATTACAGTTATGAAAATATAGCTTTGAGAACAAAGTTAATATTCAAAGAGGTTTTGAGTTCTGACAGCAACTTTTACAGTTGTATCTTGTCGGTTTCTTAAGTTTGGTGAAACTCATTTACTTAGATATAAAATGGAAGTAATTTTACTTAAAGCATAGGATTTTAAACACTGTATAAGAAACTTGCTTTCAACCTAGAGCTGAGCACATGCTTTATTCTTTTCATACACACCCCAATGACATACAAGAATATCAAATGTAATGACTACTAAATCATCATTTCTGCCAGGTCTTCTAAGGATCTCTACTCATTTTGCTCTGATCACTACCTAGAACTTCTAGATATGTCACCTGAAAGGAGATGCTCCCTTTCCACAGATGCCATCAGAAGAAGATATGGGTCAGGTTACTCATCTCAATTATTTAAATTTAATAAAGACCAGAACACAAGACAATACTAGCATATATGATATTCTTTACTGTATACTGTGGGACTAAAACAGGGTGTTATGGTCTGAAAGTTTGTCCTTCAAAATTCATATGTTGAAATCCTAACACTCAGTGTTACAGTAGGAGGGCATGAGGCCTTTGGGAGGTAATTAGATCATGAGGGTGGAGCCTTCATGAATGAGATTAGTGCCCTTCTCAAAGAGACCTCAATGAGCCTTCTTACCCTTTTTCTGTCTTGTGAAGATATAACAAGATAGCAGTCTGCAATCTGGAGGACAGCCTTTAGCAGAACTTAACCATACTGACACCCTGATTTCTGACATCTAGCCTTCAGAACTGTGAGAAATAAATTTTTGTTTTTTATAAGCCATCCAGTCTATGGTATTTTGTTATAGCAGCCTAAACTGACTAAAACACATGGAGAGAAACTTAAATACACATGAAAAATGTCACATTTTCTAGATCAAAAGGAGATATCTTTATAAAGTCTAACTTTTTACAATGGGTTTAATTTGTGTAAATATTCTCAATCTGAATCTGGTTCCTCCACTCTGAATTCCTTCTCCACCAACGTACCTCAAATGACTAATTTAACTCCTCTCATCTTCCAGTCTCCACCATCTATTAGAAACCCAACTCTATGCATAGGGTTTGAACTAGCCCTATCTGCTTCCCCTGCATTATGTTTTCCCAAACCTAAGTAATTTAGTCTAGAGCTACAATGCCCTAGATGACATTGATCTTGATTAGCTATGGTGATTGTATTATTAAACCTCACTAAATTTCAAAAGCATGGAAGGATAAGATTTTGGTACCAAAGTCATGTAATGTCATATTAGGTTTTCTTCACTTTCCCCACACTAATCTGAATCTCAATCAAGCCTGTACATTTTCCCATTGTGAATACTCCCTCTATTAGTAATAGTTGTCCAAGATGATTGTTGTTCAAAATATGACTTTATTTTCAGAGACGTGCCAAAATTGAAGGACAAAATATTTTAAAATTTCCTTCTAATTTGGCAAAATCCTTTATCCAATAACAAAGTTAATATTGCTTATAATGATACAGAGCAGAGTTTGTAACTTTTCTTTACACTTATTCCAACTTGAATTTCTTGTGTTTTTTCTTTTTTTTTTTTTAGATAAAGAAAATGCCCAATACTGTCGAGCAGGCATTAAAATGTTTTAAATTTGAGAATTTTATTATTTTGTTTATTTATTTTTGCCAAGGACCTAATTCTTCTAAGGAGAAGAGATGCTGTTTTGCAATTTACAGTTTCTTGCTCGCTTGTGAAAAGAATCCTACAATAGATAAAGAGGGCATATTTTGAGGGGAGAAAGGGTATGACTTTTGTAAGTACAGTAGTTACAGTTCTTACAAATAAAGTGTTGAAGAGAAAAAAGCCGGCTAAGCTGTAATAGCCAAATTATACCAACATACTCAGAGGGGTCTGTTGGTTGAAATATTACTATAAATTGTATGAACATTGCCTATGAAATTATTCCTTTCTGGGATATGCATTATAAAGGTCATTCATAGTTGGATGTCCTAGAAAGCAACTTTTAGTAAGAAATATGATAGATATAATGTAGAATCTAAGTAAGGCTTGAATCTCCTACTATTCAGTTCTGCAATGGATGTGGGCATTTCAAATGGTACATCTCGATGTGCTAAAGCCAGACTTTGACCACAGACCATGGATAAATCAACACCTCCATGAACCAAATCATATGAACCAAAATCGTATCTTCAGTCGCGTTTCTGACTATAAACCACAACCCTCCAATATTTATAAAATACATATATACTTATAAAAATAATCTGTTGTTATAATGATTATTTTTACTATTCTCTGTATATTATTAACTTAGGGAAAGCAGTTTGAATTAGATTAGTTACCATCTAAATAATTATTTAGCTAAAAATAAGAATTTTTGATACGAGATTGAAAATTTTGTAGTTTGGAATAAACTTTATTAAACTACTTCTCAAGTAGTACAACTAGAAGAGAAAACTTTCTAGAAGAACCTGGCTAACCCACATTCTATTGTGTTTCTTTATTAACTCTCAAATTGAATTTATGTGAAATCACTCAGGAGATGGAGAGGAATGTCTGATATTCCTCAGGAAGAAAGTTCCAGCCAGTAAATTATCTGTACTACTCCTTTATTTTTTTTTCCTACTCAAGAACCACTTCCAAAGGAGATGGAGAAATTGAAACAGCATCTTCCCTATTACTTCATCCACATGGTTGGAAAAATATAATTGTTAGAAAACAGAGCTTCTCTATTGCCTGTCCAGTAAAAGTCTTTTTGATCTTAGAACAGATGAATAGTTTTGTTGGGTTTTTAAAAATTATACGATTTTGGCCATTTCTTTTTTTTTTTTTAGGTGGTGGGAGAAAATTTGTGCTGACCCACATGTACACTATTAAATACAGTTTAAAAATATTGTTCAATATAGAAATAAAATTGTTAAAATCCCACAGTATTTTAATGAAAAATATTTTTTATTCTGTTATTTTTAACAAAGTAATATATTTTCTTTTCTGGAGTCCTTTCAAAACTAAAGGAATCCTTACCTGTCTACACTGTTTTGGTCTTTAAACAGAAAGATAAAACGAATAATGCCTTTTTTCCATCTTGATCTTTGACTCTGTAAAAACAAAATTATTTGTGTTGATTCATTCTTTTATGTATTAAACATACAAATTATTTGGAGGTAGGAGAGATTTCACGGAATGAATGTGTAAACAGATTGTTTCTTATGGAAAATAGTCATTGCTGAGGAAGAAGATATGTTTAAAAAGAAGCAATCATATTTAAAAAACTAGTTGCTTAAATACAGTCATGCATCACTTAGTGACAGGGGTACATACTAATAAATGCATCCTTAGGTGATTTATTCAATGTATAAGCATCAATGAGTATAATGACAAAACCTAGATGGTATAGCCTACCATCTAGCCTACTACATACCTAGGCTATTTGGTAGCCTAGGCTATTGCTCCCTGGCTGTAAGCCTGCATAGCATTTTATTGTGCTGAAGACTGTAGGCAACTGTAACACAATGTTAAGTATGCATGTATCTAAACATATAATCTTATTGGACCATGGTCATATATGAAGTTAATCATTGACCAAAACTTTATTATGAGTCACATGACTATATGATTTTTAAACAGAAAACAAAGAAAAGGAAAATAAAATCTTTTTAGCTTCAAGGATACCTCTTAGTATTTTACATAATATTTGAAAATCATCAGAGGGTTAGAGATGGTACCTTAATTTCAAATTATGATGGAAAATATCAAGCTGTCCGCCTCTGGACATATGAAGGAGGTTATGTAGTCTTCATGGAAGTTATGAATAAACTCAGAGAAAAATTGATAAATTCTGTAAAGCAGGAAGCAGTATGCTTCACTCTAGGAAGTATCAGCTGCCATTGGTATCCAGTTTCTGGAATGAGCCTTACCCTCTAAGAATTTAATATATGTTAAACTCAGATCTCAGTAATTTACAAGGAACCATGAGTGAATGGACAAAATTACTCTTTCAGCACAAAATAACAACTTCTTCCCAAATGTATCTATGGATTCAATATAATCTCTGTCTTACTTTAGCAGGCTTAGAGTAGCTAAAACAATCTTGAAAATGAAGAACAAAGTTCTCTGGCTGACTTCTACATCTTAATTTCAAAACTTACTATAAATCTATAGCAATCAAGATAGCTTGATACACATGACAAGTGAGATATAGATCAATGAAACAAGATTGAGAATCCTGATATAAACCTTTACATTTATAGTCCATTCATTTTCAACAGAGATGTCAAGACAACTTATTGGGGAAAAAATAGTATGTTCATAAAATGGTATCAAAGCAACTGGAAAATCATTGCAAAAGGGAGAATTTTAACCCCTAACTTACACCATATAGAAAAGTTAATTCAAAATGGATTATAGACCTACACATAAAACTATGAAAGTTTTAGATAAAACCAGAGAAAATCTTTGTGACTTCCAGTTAGAAAAATATTTCTTAGTGCAGTATCAAAAGCCTAATCCATAAGAGGAAAAGCTGATAAATTGGACTTCACCAAAATTAAAAATACTTGCACATCAAAGGACATCAATAAGAAAATGAAATTATAGGCCATAGAATGATAGCAAATATTGACAAAACATATTATAAAGGACTTGTCCCCAGAATACATAAAATATTCTTCCTAATCAATAATCTGAAGGCAAATAACCCAATTAAAAATAGAAAAAGATTTCAATAGTTATTTCATGAAAGATATATAAAGGGCTAATACATTAAAAGATGCTCAAGTCATAGTAATTAAGGTAATGCAAATTTAAACCACAGTAAGGGCTGGGTGTGGTTGCTAATGCCTGTAATCTCAGCACTTTGGGAGGCTGAGGAGGGCGGATCACTTGAGCCCCAGAGTTTAAGACCAGCCTAGACAACATGGTGTGTCTCTACAAAGAAAAAAAAAACAACTTCAAAAATTAGCCGGGTTGGTGGTGCATGCTTGTAGTCCCAGCTACTCCAGAGGATTACTTGAGCCAGGGAGATCAAGGCTGCGGTAAGCTGAACTGCACTTCAGCCTGGGCGACAGAGCAAGACCTTGTCTCTAAAAAACCAAAAAAGAACAAAAAAGAAACAAACAAAAACCACAGTAAGATTCTACTTCATATCTAGTAGAAAGGCTATAATAAGAAAGACGATTTCAGTGTTAGAGAGGATGTGGAGAAACTAGAACTCAAAGAATACTAGTAGTAATGTAACATGTTACAGATAATTTGGTATACAATTTGGCAATTTCTTAAGCATAAATTTAACGTACAACCTGTAATTCCACTCTGATGTTACAGAAGAAAAATGAAAACATATCCACACAAAGACTTCTACACAAATGTCTATGGTAGCATTATGCATAATAGTTAAAGGTAGAAACATTTTAAATAGCCATCAATTGATGAATGGATAAGCAAATGGATAAACAATAAAATACAATTCTGAAGTGTACTACTGATACGTGCTACGGCATAGAAAAATCTCAAAAACTTGTTAAGTAAAATACGTTAGATAAAAAAGACATGTTGTATGATTCCACTTATGTAAAACTTTCAGAAAAGGCAAAGTTACAGACACAGGAAGTAGATTAATGATTTATTGGGCTGGGGTTGCGAACAGGGAGTAACTACAAATAACAATAGTGATCTTTTGGGGTACCCTTAATTTTCTTCTACAAGGTTACCTCACACACATCTTTACATCATTTTTTTGGATTGCTGAGCCTAAAATTTTAGTCCCTTTGCTTCTCTCCTCTGTGCCCCGTTTATGATGAGTAAACAACTTTGGTTCTACCTTCAGCATAGAATCTACTTAAGTTTAATTGGTGTGAGCCACCACCTTCTCTTGTGAATTTCTACAACACCCCTTAACTAGCCTTGCTAATTTGACCCTTGCACCTCTTGCTAGTTATTTCAATACAGCAGCCAGAGAAATGCTTTGAAAATATAAGACAGATGATCTTGGAATAAAAGCTATACCCTTTCATGATCTGCCCCCACCCTGCCACTCTGACTGATCTCTCACTGCTCTCTCTAAATGACTCTACTCCAGCCACTTGACCTCCTTGTTGTGTCTCAAATATTATGAAGCCACTCTCTGTACCTAAGAATCTTACACTGCCAACTTCCTCTGCTGGAAGAAAGCCCTTTTCCCACATAAATATCTGTATCACATCTGGGTAAGGTGGCACATGCCTGTAATCCCAGCACTTTGGGAGGCCGAGGTGGGCAGTTCACCTGAGGTCAGGAGTTGGAGACCTTCCTGGCCAACATGGTGAAACCTCATCTCTACTAAAAATACAAAAATTAGCCTGGAGTGGTAGTACATGCCTGTAGTCCCAGCTACTGGGGAGGCTGAGGCAGGAGAATTGCTTGAACTTGGAAAGCAGAGGTTGCAGTGAGCTGAGATTGCATCACCGCATGCCAGCCTGGGTGACAGAGCAAGACTCTATCTCAAAAAACAAATAAACAAACAAAAAATCTGTATTGCTAACATCTGTATCACTTTACTTCCCTCACCTTTCTCTTCAAATAGCTATATTTTATTCTGTCAATTATAGGTAAACTAGAAAGTGATTTGAAGGTGAAGTTATGGATAAAAATAACAGGAAAAATATAATATTTTAAAAAGGAGTCTAGCACTGTAGCTCATGCCTGCAATCCCAATGCTTTGGGAGGCCAAGGCAGGGAGATGACTTGAGCCCAGGAGTTCAAGACCAGCCTGGGCAACATACAGAGACCCTGTCTTTCCAAAAAAAATACTAAAATTATCCAGGCGTGGTGATACACACCTGTAGTCCCAGCTACTCAGGAGGCTGAGGTGGGAGGATCACTTGAGCCTGGAACATCAAGGCTGCAGTGAGCTGTGATCATGCCACTGGAATCCAGCTTAGGTGACCAAGGGGAACCCTGTCTCAAAAAAAAGAGAAAAATATAGATAGGCATGCACATACATATATGGCGCAAAGGACATGCAGTTCTATAATCACCTTTTAGATATAATTCAAAAGTAATTAAATGGTGATATTTTTCTTTTAACGCAATCAACGCATTAATGTGATGATCTTAAATTGATAACATTAACCAGTTCATTTCTGGTAAGATTTGGAGTATTTTTAAGCCAAAAAATTACAACTGCAAGTCAATATAAAATTAAATGCTTAAAATTAAAAGTTATTTAAAACAATGTTTGATTGTTTCTACATTTTTGGTAGATTATGAGCAGTATTTTCTGATTGGCAATTCATTTTGCTGACTTACTTTGAATATGTCTATATAAACAAAAATTTCAAAGATAAGTAAAGATAGGTAGTTCATTTTTCCTAACTTACTTTGAATGTGTCTATATAAACAAAGGTTTCAAAGATAGCTCCTTAACTATAAGTATACTTTGTAACAGGAAACAGTGACAAAGGGAATGAGATAACAATGCAGACATTCACCCTAATCATGAATGGGTTTAAAAAATTTACTCTTAGCTGCTGCCTTCCAGTCAAAGAATTTTAAGGGTGTCAAGCTCTCATTAAAAGTTATGTTTCTTTCAAAGCCAGGTACAAATTCCTTTTCTATACTGTGATTGTAAAAAGCAAATAAATGCACACATAAACTACAAACCAAAGTAAATATACAGTTTATTCACACTCATACACACACACAAATACACACACACAATTGTGTTTCTTTTAAAATCCAAAACTTCCTATTCGATATAAGGATAACATCTTTCATCAACCAAATATAATTTTCCTGTTCATGAGGATATCTGTAGTAGGAGAAAAGACTGGGGAAGATAAGTTTTCAAAGCAGCAGGTCCTTTGTAGCTGGAAGGCAGATTGAGCAAAATTGATCTGAGCATAAAACTATGCTGAGAGCTATCTTAAGGTCCCAGGATTTGTTTCATTGTTGGGTAAGAGTCTTACAAGAAAGAAGAGAGAAAAGAAGATATTTATTTTCTTGCTTACTGTGCTGATTTTAAGTCATGAGTTTTCCAAGCCAATTTTTAAAATCAGTTTTGCTTAGGTATAATTGACATACAATAAATCATACATTTTTAAAGTCTACTGTTTGGTTTTGACTTATGTATATACATCTGTGAAATCACTTCCATAATGAAGATGATGAACATTTCTAGCTCCTCTCAAAGTTTCCTTGTGCTGCATTGTAATCCATCCTTCCTATTCCTCTCCATGCCCAAGGCATATGCCAGTCTGTATGCTATCACTGATCTTTATATTACCACCAAATATATACCAGTTAGGGTTTTACTTAATGAACATATAAATGGAATAATACACTATATTCTGGCTTATTTGAATCAACATAATTAGGCTGAAATTAATCCATGTTAATGTAGATATTCATTTTTCATTACATTTTATTAGTGAATAGTATTCCATTTCATGAAAAGTCACAATTTGTTCATCCACCTACTTGCCAAGGAAAATTATTTGGTTTTATGTTGACCATTTTTTCATGTGCTTTTTGTATCTGTTTATCTTTTTTGGTCAAGCGTATGTTTAAATCTTTTGTCCATGTTTTACTGTGTTGTTAGTAATTGTTGAATTTACAGCGTTCTTTATATCTTTTGGATACATGTCTTTTGTCAGATATATGTCTTGCAAATATTTCATTTGTCTGTAGTTCATCTTTTTATTCTCTCAACAATGACTTTCAAAAAGCTGAATTCCATTCCTGATAAAGTGTATCCATACTTAAAATGTATTCTGGTGGTGTTGGTGGAGTGTTCGGAAAATTTTAACAAATCAAGTTGTTGATAGTGAGAGGTGAAGCCGGCTGGGGTCCGGGGTTGGGTGGGGACTTGGATAACTTTTCTGTCTAGCTAAAGGTTTGTAAATGCACCAATCAGTGCTCTGTGTCTAGCTAAAGGTTTGTAAACGCACCAATCAGAAATCTGTAAAAACGCATCAATCAGTGCTCTGTGTCTAGCTAAAGGTTTGTAAACGCACCAATCAGAAATCTGTAAAAACGCATCAATCAGCGCTCTGTGTCTAGCTAAAGGTTTGTAAATGCATGATGGGCCAATCAACAGGACGTGGGTGGGGCCAAATAAGGGAGTAAAAGCTGGCCAGCTGAGCCAGGAGCAGCAACCCACTCGGGTCCCCTTCCACGCTGGAAGCTTTGTTCTTTCGCTCTTCACAATAAATCTTGCTGCTGCTCATCTTTGGGTCTGCGCTACCTTTATGAACTGTAACACTCACTGTGAAGGTCTGCGGCTTCACTCCTGAAGTCAGCGAGACCACGAACCCACCAGGAGGAACAAACAACTCTGGACATGCCACTTTTAAGAGCTGTAACACTCACTGAGGAGGTCTGCGGCTTCACTCCTGAAGTCAGCAAGACCACGAACCAACTGGAGGAAGAAACTCCAGACACACCTGAATATCTGAAGGAACAAACTCCGGACACACCATCTTTAAGAACGAACTGTAACACTCACTGCAAGGGTCTGCGGCTTCATTCTTGAAGTCAGCGAGACCAAGAACCCACCGGAAGGAACCAATTTTGGACACATTTTGGCGACCCAGATGGGACACAATAGCATTGTTCAAATCATCTATATGCTTACTTACTTTCTGTCTACTTGTTCTTTCAGTTATTGAGACCAGGATGATGGCATCTCCAACCAATATTATGGATTTGTCTGTTTCTTATTGCAGTTCTACGATTTTTAGTTTTAAGTATATTGGACTTCTCTCATGTGTGTTAAAAATTTAAATTATGCCGTCTAGGCGAATTGACCGCTTTTATTATTATAAAATGACCTTTCTTATCTCTGATAATTTCTTCATTTTGAAACCTAATTTGTCTAATTTTAATATAGCCACTCTAGCTTCCTTTTGATTACTGCTAACATAAAATATCTTTTCCCATTCTTCCACTTATAAGCTATTTGTCTTTATATTTTAAGTGGATATTTCTAGAAGGGAGCATATAGTTAGGATTTTCTTTGTTACACATTCTGACACTCTTTGCCTTTTAATTTGTGTGCATATGCCACCTATATTTAATGTTATTTTATATAATTGAATTTTAAGTCTGTCATTTTGCTGTTTGTTTTCAATTTGTTCAATCTGTATTTGTTCTTTTTTCCTTTTTTCTACTTCTTTTCTGATCTTACTATGATTCCATTTTTCTTCTGTTTCCGATCTATTAGTTGTAACACTTCATTGTTTTATATTAATGGTTATATTGATACAAACTTTAGTTTGTATATTATTGATCTTTAATTTATCACAGTCTATGTTCCGTGGCAGGCATAATATATCTCACAACAGTATAATTCAATTTCCTCTTCTTGGCCTTTGTGCTGTTGTTTTGCATCTTGCTTCAGAATATGTGATAAGCCCTATATAATGTTGTTTTTATTTCTGTCTAAACAGCCAATTATCTTTTAAATATCTCAAATATTAGGGAAAAAGCTTATATATTTATTCATGTAGTTACCAATTCTAGTGGTCTTTTCTGTGTATAGATTCAGATTTTTTCTGGTACCGTTTTTCTTATGCTTGAAGGTCTTCGTTTAATATTTCTTGTAGTACAGATCTGATAGCTATCAATTCTTTAGATTTTCTGTCTGATTAGTGTTTCTTTTACCTTCATTTTGAAAGCTATTATTATTAGGTGATATTAGGTGAATAATTCTTGTTTTGTTTAATCATGTTTGTTTTTTTCTTTTAGCACCTTGCAGATATTGCATCACTGAAATCTGACTTTTATTCTCTCTGATGACAAATCAGCTGTCATCTTTATCTTTGCTTCTCTGTGTATATAAAGTGTCTTTGCTGTTCTTAAGATTTTTTTCAAGATGACTAGTTTATAATTTGAATGTTATGACTATGATATGACTTTGCGTATTTTTCATGTTTCTTGTGATTAAAATTTATTGAATTTCTTACATGTGTGAGATTGTAGTTTTCATGAAATTTGGAACATTTTTGTCCATTAATTTTTCAAACATTTATTTCTTTCTTCTCTTTCATGGATTCCAAATATGAGTGTACTTGGAGTATACTCCAATTATTACTTGAAGTTGTCCCACAGTTCACTGTTGCTCTGTCAATATTTTAGTCATTTTTTCTTAATGTGTTTCATTTTGAGCAGATTTTATTCCCGTCTCTGTAAGTTGACTACTCTCTATTCAGCAATAATTAATGTTTTGGTAATTCTATAAGTGATTTTTTCAGTCGCAGAAAATGTAATTTTTATCTCTACCTATTTGTGTGAGTTCTGGGGATTTTTCCCCTTTAATTACTTTGAGTGGTTCTCTTTCCCAACTCAGGTAGTTTCTTCATATGCATGAGCTGGCTCATCAGTACTCAGTGGAATACGAAACTAGGACTCATGATCTCTGAAATGCTCTCCCTATGTAGCACTCTATTTTCTGGTTCTCGGGGAACTCTAGCCACCTTAATCTCTGCTTTATCTCAGCTCTGTCTACTTGTCCCAGGGGACTTCAGAGCACTGTCTGTCATCCCCCTCGTTGCTCTAGGGTCTGAAAATTTTATCCAGGCAGTAAGCTGGGACAGTCATAGAGCCTATATATTTTGTTTTATATCTCCCATAGATCATTGTTCTTAGTTGTTTCATAGCCAATGTATTGACAATGGTTGTTTCATGTAATTTCTCTGTTTTCTTAATTCTTTCATGTTGGAAGGTAATTCCAGTCCCTGTTATTTCACGTTGATCTGAAGAGCAGAATTTCTGAATAGATCCCTAGTTTCATTCTTTTCCTATTCAAAATGGAATATTCTCAGAAGAAGTAGGGATATACTACAGAGAATAAAACAGCATTTCTAAACTTATACTATACTATGTACCATTTATTCTTAATTAATAGGCAGCATTAAGATTACCTTGGACCTATTCAATGTCTCAGAAGGCATACATTGAAGTTTTATTTTATATTAACACTAATCTCTGTTTATGTGTGATTAGTCAATAGAGATTGTTGCTTCATAGTATGATTATTTGTTCTCAATTTAAAACATGCTGGCAGGAACTATCATAGCAGTTGATGTCGTTAAACTGACTTGACAAGTTGATTTAAGTCAATGTGTTCCTAATGAGCATGAATTATTTTCCAATTTGTGAGCTATGTTCTAGAGCAACCAAATCAAACTTTCTAGAAACATGATGTAGACATTCAAATTAGAAACAGAGAACAAAAGAAAGGTAATATTATCTTTCTAGAATAGTGAGTATCAGTCAGGTTTGAAAAGCACTAACGAATACATGTGATCATAGGTATTTCAAACATAAGAAAGAAGATCTATAGGATGCTGTATCTTTTGACAATACTCAAATATGGCTACAGAGGCTCCTATTCTCCAAGTTAATTGTGCTTTAGTCAGTTATGTCTTCTTTTAAAATGTGTAGAATACAATATATAAATATAGAAATGGGAGTATGGTAAACAGCTTATATACAGATAGCTTTCATTGCTGTTCTGGAAAAATAAAAACTACAAAGCAACTATTACAACATTACCTTCAAAATTACAATATCAAAAATAATTGGTTTTCCTCTCTGGTCAATAAATTTTATAAAACCACAAGACATTTAAATTTTCTTCAGTCTATTGCACATACAATACCATGTTTATATAACCATGGTATTTTGAGGATAAAAAACAGCCTAAAGATCAAAAAAGAAAAGAAAAGTCTGACTTTTATAATTTCAAATACTCTATTCTATGGCCTGAATATGTCTCCACAAATTCCTATGGTGAAATTTAAACTTCAATATGATGTATTAAGAGGGGAAACTTTTAGGAGATGATAAAGTTATGAGGCTCCACTCTCATGAATGGGATTAGTGACCTTATAAGAGGTTGAAGGAAGCATCCTTTGCCTTTCCACTCTCCGCCCTGTGAAGACACAGCATCAAGGTACCATCTTGAAAGTACAGTGAGCCTTCATCAGACGCCAAATCTTGGATTTGATCTTGAACTTCCCAGCCTCTAGAACTATGAGAAATAATTCCTCTTATATATAAATCACTCAGTCTGTGGTATTTTGTTTTAGCAGTGGGAATGGACTTAGACACCCAGATTCAAATTACTTAATTTTACAGGTCTAAATTTAGTTTCTAGTATAAAACTGGGGCAATGAACAACCTACCTATGGGTTATTGTGAGAAAGCATGTGTAAAAGTACCTAGAACAGCACCTATTAAAAGGTATGTGCTCAATAAAAGTTTATTTTCATTTTTGGCGAGGCACGGTGGTTCAAGCCTGTAATCCCAACACTTTGGGAGGCTGAGGCAGGCAGATCACTTCAGGTCAGGAGTTCAAGACCAGACCAATATGGTGAAAACCCATCTCTACTAAAAATACAAAAATTAGCTGGGCATGGTGGTGGGCACCTGGAATCCCAGCTACTCGGGAGGCTGAGGCAGAATAGCTTGAACCTGAGAGGCAGAGGTTGCAGCAAGCCGAGATCGCACCACTGCTCTCCAGCCTGGATGACAGAGTGAGACTCCACCACAAAAAAAAAAGGTTTATTTTCATTTTCTCTATTTCAAGATCCCACATTATTTAAAGATAATTAAAAGTATGTGTACTTCCAAGGTAAGTTTAAGATATTAGCTATAATACCAATTAAGAATATGTCAAAAGGAGGATAATTTTATCAATAAGGCCATTCTGAAAGTACATTTCTCATTTTAAAAAGTATTAATACAAATAAGATTGAAAATAATACCTTCTAACTTTTCACAACTTACTATATGCTACTCACTTTAAAGATGTTGTATCTAGAATAATTAAAATGCCTAATAGTGTATATTCATATTATCTTATGGATGATAATGTTATTAGAAATCATCTAATCTAAAGTCCTGTTTTCTTTATGGAAGATGATGTCATGATGTTAACTTGATATGGGTTTTCTACTATGATTCATAGAAAATAATTATAATTAATAGAAAATGTTTAAATGTTAAATAATTAATAGAAAATAATTTATAAATTATTTTTGAGTCTCAACAGATTGAAACCTTTTTGAAAGTAATTTCAAATCTACCATGACATCTGGTAAGGTATTCACAAAACTACTGATGAAAAGAAATAAAATTTCAAGCCATTTACTAACTATATTTTCTGTTTCCTTCAAACTTTATTGTACTAATTAAAAATATTAAAAGTAGTTTGAAGTCCATTTAAGTTTGGATTATGCCAAAATGTAAGCTCCATTTAACAAGAACTTTTTAATTGTTTTAATCACTTCTATAATCAAAGCACATAAGAGAGTGCTTGACTCATAATAAATGGTTAGTAAATATTTGTAAATAACAGCAAATGAGTTATTAAATGATACTAGTTTAAAAATTTCAGACACTGTACAATTACAGCAGAGTTATAGTTGAACCTCATGTTACTTTAGCTATATTCTATTTTAAAGGTATCATTTGTTTTCAATAATGGTTAAGAAACTTCAGAATTGACTTTGTACAATTTGACTCCACCTTATCTCTTCCATCAAATCAATTAAAAACAAAAATGATACAAAAGATGAAATGTTCTGGTATGTGTGGGTGTTGAGGAATGAGTAGTGATAATGGTGGGCTTAAGGATTTTGAAAAACACTTAAAAATATACTCTAGGAAAGCTTTTGGTAACTTGGGATATTTATCAGCAATATTTTCAGTTTGTTGTGTTTTCAATGCTAATTTAGTTTCAAGTGATGGAAGCATAACTTCACCAAGCTTAAGAGAAAAAAAATGAAAAAATACAATATAGATATAAGTCAGAAGTATGATATTTAAATAAACTATACAAACTTTAAGAAACTTGGAATCAAATATTTTAGGACTTGCTTTTCCTCGCCTCTTCCTATCAGCAATATTTGCAATTTGTTATATTAATAAGTACTCTTAGTTGCAGGTGACACTATCAGCTGCATCGGTTTTTTCTTTCTAGTTCACTTGGCAAGAATTCTAGATAACTCCAGAACTTTACATTCACAATTTAACTTAATGCAGAGTAGCTCACTGTTTTGAATTTTAAATCTGATAATCCCAAGGAGGGGCTTTCTTTATACCAGGTTGAATTACATATGTGCCTCTCAATTGTAAACCATGACAAGGGTCTAGGATCTGCATAAATGACAGGACATAGACCACCTTTGGTGATGGACCCACTACTCTATCATTCATCAAAGTGAACATGGGATTGGGTGGCATTGAAGAAGCCGATAAGAAATTGGGTTTATGATTATGATACAGATTGAAGTGGGCCAGCTCACAAATAAAAGAATACATTGGAAAACACCACCATGGAAATCTACTACTTTTTGTGTCTAAATTTATTTTTTGTTGTTGTCTACCTGAGGGTACATTGAGT
Organism: Homo sapiens; assembly: GCF_000001405.40. Lineage (NCBI taxonomy): Eukaryota > Metazoa > Chordata > Mammalia > Primates > Hominidae > Homo > Homo sapiens. The sequence goes on along the minus strand of NC_000006.12, from coordinate 141,008,385 downwards.
GTTCTGAGCCAATAAATACCAATAAATACCTCTAAGAATTGAGTGTTTGATGGCTTTGTAAAGAAGCTAGAAATTTGAGGGTTTTTTAAACCAATGTTTTTCTTATCATCAAGGCATTTTACTTTTCTATGTGTAAATAATTTGTATTTTCTTAAACTGTGCAACATGATTATTTTCTCACATCATAATCAGAACTCCACCCTTACCCAACAAGAAATTTTTTACTGAAAGTTTGTTAAATTTGGTGTGGAGACAGTTAAAAAAAGAGTCCTGATCTATTTGGCAAGCAAAGGCACAAAGGTACAAAAGCACTTTTTGGCACTTATTCTGTATGTCTAGAATAAAAAGGAAAGTCCTTATTCACTCATTGGCATCACAAGTGGCATCTGTTGAAAGCATATTAATTATCTTTGTTAGCAGTGCCAATGAAAATGCTTATGAATACTAATCAATTCTACCAGCGGAGATACATTAATTCTTAGAAAAATATCATTTTATTATAAATTTGGCATAAAAATATGTCAAGTGTTTGCAGCTTCAGTTGAACCATCTCATCAGTCAAAGACACCAGGAAGCAGGTTAGGAATATTTTAGAAATGACGTGTTTCATATTTTATAAATTTGCTATGCCTCTATGGACAGAAGCATGGAAGAGAAATTATATTTTCTAAGCTTCCAAAACCCCATGTAACTTTCCTAAGAAAACTGGAAACATTATAGACAAAGTGGTACAAGGAACACACTGATGTCTAATATATCATGTGTAACGCAGAAGACGAGGATAGTAAAACTCTAGGGATATGCTTCTATAAACCTTCAGACTCTGTAAGTGAAGCAAATAAACTTTAAGCCCCTAGAGGGTCAGCTGTGGCTTGGCCAGATTAATAAGGGAAGCTCTTGTTTCTCAGAAATATTCAGACCTGCCTCTTCCCTGAGTTATGCCCATGACTTTATAGAGACCCCAGTAGGAAGGCAGAATCCCATGCCATGCCCTGCAGCTGACCCACAGCTCAGCACTTTCCTAAGAGTTTACCCAACTACACAACTAGGCATTTCTCACCTGCACAATATCTCCTTTTTCTACCTTCAGACCCTACTCATGGGCTATTTAGACGGTTTCCTATATGCGGTGGCTTCTTTATGATAATGAAAACTAGTTTAATCCTGCCTATGTTGGGTTCCTTTTAACTAGTGTAGGATGGTGGGGAAAATAATAAGTTTAGACATTAATAGAGAAATGTGTTTTGTATTTAAAGAATATGGATTTTCAAGTCAGTGTGACATTTATTAAAGAGACTTTAATTTCACTTAAATAGTGAGATGTAAATTAAGATAGACATAAATTCTGTGAAAAAAGACAATGAATTGCTGAAATGAACAATAATTACACCAAATCACATTACAAGATCCCAAATGAATGTAATGCTACCTAATATAGGTCAAATACTGTTCAATAATTTAATCAACTGATTGGGAAGTAGAGAGAAACATATGCTGATTACCTTAGCAGGTGAGGAAATGTGGAGGAAACTGTAAATTCTTGGGTAGGTCAGATTATGATACCATCATCCTCTCTTGAAATTAAGGATATGCTTTCATGCATAAAATTAGATTTCTCTAAAGGAAAGAAAAATTTTTGAAAGAAATGACAAGCAAATCTATGGTTGAAGAATAACTGTTGTTTTCTTTTCTCCCATGCCCATGTCTATTGTCTAATGTGTGTCTATGTTCTCTCTGACTGTTCCATATGGAAAAAAAGTATTACATTTTATTTCATAAATTCTACTTGGAAAAAAACCTAAAATAATTAAATATTTAGGAAAACACTGACATGAAAATTGTAAAAGAAGGTACAGTATCTAATGAAAATAAAACCTATGGAATGTAATGTTTGCACTGGGTTATTGTTAGACACATCAAGCTTAAGCCTTTCTTCTTGCTTATTAGGAAATTGGGATCGAATGTTTCTAAAAGGCTCGTCAAGATTACAGTGAGGAAGAGAAAGGACCATGGGTGAAAATAAGCCCATTATACCGATTTTACCTCAGTCTGCCTTTTTTTTTTTTCTCAAAATAGATACTGGGGAGAGGTACTAATCACTAGAAAGCCCTCTGAGAATATGAGCTCTTTGTTTCATAAATAAGACCAGTATGCATTTTCACAGGATTTATAATGCTTTGGTAATTAGACCTACACAATCAGTCTGTTGAAATTGTCTTGTTTTTTTTTTCTATTGCTACTGCACAAATTAATGTTTAAATTGTCTTAAAAGACGAAAACACATGGTCACACATTTTATGGCAGATTAGAAACAGGTTGTAAAATATACTAAAATGCAGTGTATGGCACCTTCTTTTTTTCCTGGGATTCTAGTTGATGACGCAGGTGTTTTACTGGTGGGAAAGTATGGTAACATATTCATTAGTGATATTCTGGTATGTTTAAGAGAATAGGATATTATTTAGATATCAGAAAGAACTTGATTCCTTTCAGTTAATTCTCCTACATTGTGTTGTCTGTCAAGGAGACATAAACACAATTCTCAATAGAGGTAAAAAGACTGGAGAATAGAAGGGACAAGTTGATTATTATAACCACATCCAGCATAAACATTCAATATCTTTTACCACCTAAAATCTTGTCTCCTTCCCAAGGCAAATATGTTTTTCTCTTATTTATGTATAATTCCCACTAGAATGTTGAATATATATTCATGTACACATTTGTATTATTTAATATGTTGACCATAATAAGGATATAAAAAGGAAGAATAAATTCAGGTTCACAAACTGTACCACCTTTTATCAAATAAATAGTTGGCACAATGGCTACACAGGTTGGGAGATTAATCTTAGCAAAATAGAATAATATACCCAAAACAACACTAAATTAATGGGTATCAGTCTTCTTACAGCTAAATCATCTATGGGCTTTCCTTTATCATTTGCTATATATGAAAAGAAGTGCTTAGTGTTTGATTTCTGTTATGACAAAAAGCTGTTAAGCTCCTTTTCCTGAGGAGTAAAGATAAAGTCAAAATTGTAGAAAAGACTATCATCACAGGTTATTCACCATGGATTTTTCCTCCCTTTGTTCAACAGAACTGAAATTGCTTTACTTAACTTTTATGCAAATGTAACTATATGCAATAAAAGAAATTTAAACTCCCGAACATATTAAATCGCTCTAGAATTTTGGATTTTTATAACTCTTAATGAAATCCATAATGATATACAAAAGTATATCCCAAGGGATTTTAAAATTTCTAAATGTTATTGTCACTTAGAAAATCCTACTTTTTAAAAAGACCATGCCTTAATTTTCTGATAGGATACTCTTTTTGAGAAATGTCTACACAATAATAGCATGTACACTAAGGTATGCAAAAGTAAACAAATAAGGGATTATTATATATGTTTCAATAGGAACAACAAATATATTTTTCAAAGGCCAAAATTTCTATTTATAGGCAATTAAAAAGTGGATTTTGCCGGGCGCGGTGGCTCACGCCTGTAATCCCAGCACTTTGGGAGGCCGAGGCGGGTGGATCATGAGGTCAGGAGATCGAGACCATCCTGGCTAACAAGGTGAAACCCCGTCTCTACTAAAAAAATACAAAAAATTAGCCGGGCGCGGTGGCGGGCGCCTGTAGTCCCAGCTACTGGGGAGGCTGAGGCAGGAGAATGGCGTGAACCCGGGAAGCGGAGCTTGCAGTGAGCCGAGATTGCGCCACTGCAGTCCGCAGTCCGGCCTGGGCGACAGAGCGAGACTCCGTCTCAAAAAAAAAAAAAAAAAAAAAAAAAAAAGTGGATTTTAAGTTTGCCCACTAGTTAGTTCCCCTGGTCTTCAAGAGTAAGACTACCTCAATAGAGAGCTCCACTGGGAAGCCACATGCTCTCATCACTAAAATTGTCCAAATAATGAACTGATATATTAATATAATATGCTGAAACAACAAACATTCGAGAAAACAAGAGAAATACTGCTGATTTGAGACAACAAAATTAGAACTTGGATCTTTTCATTAAATAAAACATTTTTTAGATGATGTTTTCAACAAGATTTGTGTAAGAGAGGGCAGTAAGATTGGGTACAAAATCATAGGCTAAATATCTCTTTTGATTCCTTGAGAGAGAGAAGACAGGTGTGATGTGGATTTCATGGATTTTAGATCATTTTCTTTCTTCGACATTGACTCCAATAATTAGTATGTTGTAATGTCCAATGTCTCAAAGATCCCTTTATTTGGAAATAACATGGTTGTTACCTATGAGGACAATCCTAAAGAACCAACTAAAATTTATTAGAAGTAAATTTGGCAAGGTCACTGTTCTCAGGATGTAGGTTTGTTATATAAAAATAAATTGTATTTTTATATACTTGTAACATACTTCCTGATAATAAGGTTTAAAAACAATTTCATTCACAATACATCAAAATAAATGCTTAGAAAAACTTCATTAAAATATATAAATATCTATACAATGAAAATTACCAAATATCACTGAGAGAAAATAAGGTCTAAAAAAATTGATACACCAAAAAATAGATATACCACCGAAAACTAATACAGCTAAAATGTTCTCCCCAAGTTAGTGTACAAATTTAATATCATCCTAATAAAAATCCCACTAAGCTTTTTAAGAATTACAAATAATTTAGAAATTTATGTAGAAATCATAACGTATTTTAACAAGAAAACAAAATCAGATAACATGTACTATCTGTTTTGTTTTTTGTTTTGTTTTTTCAACTTTTAGATTCAGGGAGTACATGTGAAGGTTTGTTGCTGAGGTTTTGGTGTACTACGTGATTATAAGACATTATAAATCCTCACTAATTAAGTCAGCATGGTACTGCCATAAATATAGGCATAGATCAATGAAAAATTTGAAAGAAATGAAATACACCCACACGTATAAGGTAAATTCAGATTTGCCAAAATTGTCAAGGAAATTCAAAGGAAAAAGGATATTTTTCAGTCAATGGTACTAAAAAACTACATGGAAAAAGAAGAAACTTATTCATCTCCATACAGCATATGCAAACATTATTCAAAAATTAAGCACATCTCAGAGACACAGGACACTGAAAAACTAAGATTTAATTGGAAAATTATTGAATGCTCCATACTTGACTAGCATACAATCAAAACTTCAGCATAATTATAGCTAACAGAGTTACAAGACTCAAATTCTCTGAGAGGAGGAATACATAGGGATGACAAGAATTAAGCATGGAGACAAAAATAAGGACACTAGAGGAATTTGAAACCCCTGGTACCTGTGGATACAACAAACATTAAATAGAGCCTAGCTCCTATGCACGTTAATGTAAATCTTCACAATAAAGGCTTAGGCACATCAATTTCTAATACAGATACCGCATTAGTCTTTAAACAAAAAGTTAGAAGACACCAAAATACAAGAAAAAGCAGTTTGGAGAGACAATGAAAAGATTAGAATCTGATTCAGGTATGACACAGATGTTGTAATTACTGAAATTTAAAACAGCTATGATTAACATGTTAAGTGCTCTAAGGGAAAAAAAGTAGGCAACATGAAATACATATGGTTAATGCAAGAATAGAGAAGGGAACTCTAAGAAAAAATCAAAAGAAATACAAGAACTTGAAAAACTATTTAACATAAGTGAAGTGTGCCTTTTACGGGCTCATTAGTAGAGTTGATGTGGCCAAGAAAAGAATCAGTGAACCTGAACATAGGTCAAAAGGAATTTCTCAAACTGAAATGCAAAGAGGAAAAAGAAGGCAAAAGCAGGACAGAACATCTAAGAGCTGTGCGGCAATCTCAAAAGATGTAATATACACATTACATTAGATTACCAGAAAAGTGAGATAGAAGAGAGCAGAAGAAATAATTTAGAGTAACAATGACTGAGAATTTTTCAACATTAATGAAAGATACAAAAATCAGAGAACAGCAAACACTGTAACTACCTCCCCCTAAAGAAAACAAAACAAAACAGAATAAAGAAAAGCAAAATGAATAAACTATAACTAGGTATATCATACTCAAACTGTAGAAAACAAAAACCAAAGGAAGAAGTCATAAAGTGGGAAGGGGCACAATGTTAGTTCCTATAGAAAAACCCAGATAGGAATTTCAGTGAACTCATCAGATACTATGAAAGGCAGTAGTAAATGGAGTGAGAAATATTTAGGTGATTGAAATAAGAAAAAAGCCACCAATTTAGAATTTTATATTCAGCAAAATTATCTGTCAAAAGTGGAGAATAAATACTTTCTCAGACAAACAAAACCAGAGGAATTTCATTAGGAGGAACTGTCCTGCAAGAATCTAAAACAAGTTCTTCAGGTAGAAGGAAAATGATATAGGTAAGATATTTGAATATTATTTATTCTCTCTAAAGGGAGAATTTTATAGAAGAAATAAATGCAGACAAAATGAAGTGTTTTCTTTTTCTCATTTGTAATTGATTTAAAAGACATCTTTTTGTTGAAAGCTATGTTACTAATAATATATTGGATGAATATAACGTATGAGTAAGTGAAATGAATGAGAACAATGCCGCTTTACCCAACAAGGTACATAATATTATTTGAAGGTATACTTAGGTTAGTAGGAAATGTATATTGTAAATTCCATAACAATTATTGAAAACTGTTTAAAAGGTGAAGCATACAAAGAAAGCACATAAAATAGAATCTTATAAAAGCTTAAATTAAGTCAGAAAGGGTAGAAAATAAGGATAAAGGGAGAAGAAACAGAAAATAAATTCAATAAATAGAAAACATGGATCTGATAGATATTATTCAATCTATATTAGTAATCACATTAAATATGAATGGCCTAAAGACATCAATTAAAAGACAGATTGTCAGAATTGATTTCAAAACCCAAACTATATGTTGGCTACAAGAAATGTATTTTAAATATAAAGACAGTTTAAAAAAAGAGATGGCGAAATATATGCTATATTAATGCTACCTAAAGAAAAGCTGAAGTAACTGTATTAATTTCAGACAAGGCAGACTTTGAAACAAAGAAAATTATCAGGGATAAACAGGAATGTAACACAATAATAAAAGTTGCAGTTTTTTAAAAATACATAACAGCTCTAAATATATATGAATTTAACAGTAGTGTCTCAAAATACATGGGCAAAAAAAACTAACAGAATTTCAAGGAAAAATGGACAAATTCTTTGTTATAATTGGAAACTTCAACATCTCTCTGCCAGTAATTTATTCACCAAGCAGACAGAATGTCAGCAAAGATAAAGTTGACGTGAATAACACCATCAATATACTTGACTTAACTGACATTTATAGAATACACCATCCAGCGATAGCAGAATACACATTCTTTAGCTCAAATGGAACATTTACCAAGACAGATCACATTTTTAGCCAGGAAACATACTTTAACAAATTAAAAATAAAAACAAATCATATAAAGTATATTCTCAGACAAAAACAAAATTAAACTAGAAATAAAAAACAGATAGCTGGAAGAAATCTACAATTATGTGTAGATTAATAAACAAGCTGCTACAAAAATTGGCAAAACAAATCTCAAGAGAAGGTTTTAATTAATTGAAAATGAAAATATACTGAAAGCATTGCTAACTAGGAAATTTATAGGATTAAATATACATTAAAAATCTAAAAAATAATTTAATCTTAGAAAAACTAGAGAAAGAAAGATAAAGAAGATAAAACAAAACATGAATCAACAGAAAAAGAAATAAAAAGAAAATAAAGTTGGAGTGGAAATCAAAAGAGAAGTAAGGAGGGGAGAGAGGGAGAGAGACAGAGAGAGAGAGACAGAGAGAGAGAGACAGGAGGTACACATTACCAGTGTTCAATGTCAATTAAAAAAATTAAAAGGCTCATCTGTGCTAATCCTATGAAAAATATAGAGCTACAATGAATAGAGCTATATCCACAAGTTTAATAGCTTATATTAAATGGAACATTTGCCTGAAAGACACAAACTACCAGATGTACACCAGAACCAGAGAGTGAGTCTATCAAATATTTAAGGAAGAAATGCTTTCAATTCTTTACAACCTTCTCCAGAAAATATAGAAATGGTAAACACTTTCAGACACATTCTATGAGGATGGTGTTACCGTAAGAAATGACCAAGTAAAGATATTACAATAAAAGAAAACTGTAAACCAATATCTTTCATCAACTTAGACATAAAAATCATCAACAAAATATTAGCAAATGAAATCTAACAACAGAAAAAAAATTATGCACCAGGATTAAGTGGGACTTTTCCAGATATGTAAGGCGGTTAAACACTCAAAAATAAATTGGTGTATGTACAAGATCTATGTAAAGGAAACTATAAAACTTCAATGAAAGTAGTCAAAGAAGAACTAAAGGGAGAGATATTCCAGGATTATGGATAGAGAGACTCAATATTGTTAAGATGTCAGTTCTTCCCAACTTGACCTATAGATTCAACATGATCCCAATCAGAATCCCAGTAAGTTGTTTTGTGGTTATTGAAAAACTGATTCTACAGCTTGTATGGAGAGGGAAAATACACAGAATAATTAACACAATATTGAAGGAGAAGAACAAAGTCAGAGGAGTGACACTGTCCTACTTATCACTGTCCTAGTGATAAAGACAGTGTGTTATTGGTAAAAACAAACAAACAATAGACAACTTGATGAATAAAACACAACAGGGAGCCCAGAAATGGATCCACACAAATATAATCAACTGAATGATTATATTTACAAAGGAATAAGGACACTACAATGAAAAAAAAATAGTCTTTTCAGCAAACAATGCTTTGAACAACTAGACATCCACCTGAAGAAAATTAAAGTATCTAGACACAGAATTTATACCCTTCTTAGTACCTATCTCAAATGGTAGTTGACTTTAGCAGTACCATCACAGACCTAAATGTAAAATGCAAAACTGTGAAATTCCTAGAAGATAATATACGAGAAAATCAAGATGACTTTGGGGATGTCTATGATTTCTTAAATACAACACCAAAGGCATGATTTATGAAAAAATAAAGGAGCTGAACATCATTAAAATTAAAAACTTCTAAACTTCTGTTCTGCAAAATGCATTGTCAGGAAATGAGAAGATACGACACAGACTAGGATGACATATTTACAACAAACATAACTGATAAAGAACTGTTATCCAAAATATACCAAGAACCATGAAAATTCAACAATAATAATAATTTTAAAAAATTATTTCAAAATGAGCCAACGACCTTAACAGATACCTCACCAAAGAAGATATACAGATGGCAAATAAGCATGTGAAAAGATATTCCAGATCACATATCATCCGGGAAATCCAAGTTAGAGCAATGAGATACCACTACACATCTATTACAATGACCAAAATCTGCAACACTGACAACACCAAATGCTGACAAGGATGTGTAGCAATAGAAACTCTCATTCATTGCTGGTGGGAATACAAAATAGTACAGTCACCTTACCAGACAGTTTGGCAGTTTCTTACAAATCTAAATATACTCTAACCATATGATTCAACAATTGAGCTCATTGCTACTTATCCAAAGTGTTTGAAAAATTATGTTTATACAAAAACCTACACACGGATGTTTATGGCACCTTTTTCACTATTCCAAATTCTCAGAGGCAAACCAGAAATCCTTCAGCATGTGAATAAATAACTAAACTGTGTTACATCCTGACTATGGAATATTATTCAGTGCTAAAAACAAATGAGCTATCAAGTCATGAAAAGACATAGAACAACCTTAAATGAGTATTACTAAGCGAAAGAAACCAATCTGAAAAGGCTACATACTGTAGAATCTTAACTATGTGACATTCTGGAAAAGGCAAAACTATGGAGATGGTAAAAAGATCCATGGTTGTCAGGAGTTAGTGGGGAGGGAAATATAGGTAAAGCACAGTGAATTGTAGGGTGGTGAAACTATTTTGTGGGATACTGTAGTAGTAGATACATGTCGTTATAAATTTGTCCAAACCCATAGAATTTATAACACCAAGAGTAAACACCACTAATGTAAACTGTGGACTTGGGCAGATAATTTGTCAATGTAGATTAATTGATTGTAATAAACCTACCACTCTGTTGAGGGATGTTGACAGTGGACGTGGATGGGGGTGGAGGGTCAGGCCATATGTGTTACTCTTTACTTCTGCTCTTTTTTGCCGTGAATCTAAAACTTCTTTAAAAAAGGTCTATTGAAAATGTAGACATGCACACATATGTTCATATATGTCTGTTTATATGTATATGTAGACATACACATATTTTTTCACAATAGTCATGCTGAGATTTTTATGGGGATAGTCTGGGTGGTGTGGGGAATGGGATAGGATGCATATTGGTTTATTCTTTCTGTAGGCTTGTTTTATTTCTGAATGTTGCCAAGTGGGAACATCTATACTAATCCTCAAATGCTTCTAGCTTAGTTTATTCAGATTGTTATAATAAAAATACCATAAATTGCATCAACAATAAACACTTATTTCTCATAGTTCTGGAGGCTGGGAATTCCAAGATCAGTTTATCAGCAAATGGGTGTCTGGTGAGGACCTGTTCCTTATAGATGGCAACTTTGTGCTGCTTTATCCTCACATCATAGAAGGAGCTAGCTAAATGTGGTCTCCTTTACAAAGCCAATAATGCCATTTGTGAAGGGTTCTACTCTCATGGTCTAATTACCTCTCTCCTCCTAATTCTATTACATTGGAGGATAGGATTTCAACATATGAATTTCCATATGACATGGCAGCTTCTTAGCAAAAATAATATATTTTAATCTAAGATGCAAGACTAGGTTTTAATAGAGAACTTGAAAATTTGGACTAAATAAAAGTGGCTGTTTGAGAAAGAAGCCCACATACTCCATTTTAATGTTTTCAAAATACACTCTCCCAATATTAAAAAGTGCTTATTTAAAAGTAAAATAGATATTGGTACATGTAATATGACTAATTTGTCATTTGCTTTTCAAATCTTAGAACTGAGTGACCTCAGAGCAATGTAATCAAACAGCAATGAACAAATCACTATATTTTAGCTCTACATTTAGTATAATAGTCCCCAACTAGAAATTAATGAAAATCCCATCAACAGTAAAATGAAGAGCTAAAATATTTTGTATTATACATTAATGAGAATGAGCAGTCTAAAACTACACATAACATACAGGCAATTCTTACAATGATAAAGAAAGAGATAAGTCAAATTTAAAGATTATATCTTGTATAATTCCATTTCCAAAAAGTACACAATAAACCTCATTAGATGTTAAGATATTGATTTTCCTTGGGGATTGAGTCTTGACTGGATAGAGTTATGAGGATATTTCTGAGGGTACTGGTAATGTTTTGTTTCTTAACCTAGAAACACTTTACCTGAGTAAGTTCAATTTGTGAGAAATTATCAGCCTATATGGTGCCAATTTCTGCATTTATATTACTGCAGCATACTTATGATATGCCTGGGAATGAACTGAAACTGGCAGAGGGGACAAAAGAAGTGTAGTACAGGGTATGCTTTTGAGCCTTACAGCCTGGATAAGAAAAGGAGTTTAACATATGTGGAAGCATTAACATTTGCAACTGAGAACTATATGATTAAAGGTCAAGTAAGTTTTATAAATGCATTGTCTGTATAGATTAAAGGAATACACCAGTTGAATCTAACATAGGGAGATAAAGAATGTTGGAGAAAATTGGACTTGACATAGACATGAAAGTACTCCTTAGAACAATTCTAATCTCAGCTTAAGGACGTGGCAATTTAAAGGTCTTCATTATAGTTCCTTTGGGTATTAAAAACTATAGAATTAACAATTCGCCTGTAAAACAATTCTTACTTGTAAGATATAATACTTATTACATTTTCAATTGTTATGTAGTGTCTTTTCCATTCTGTAACCTACTGGTTTGCGTAGAACTAATGAAGCCAAGGTTTATTAGTAGTAGAACTATTGACTTTATTTTTACCTCAAAGACTTATTCTGTGTTACCTAGTAACTAAGTTGATTCACCATCCCAATGGCCAACAACAAAAAAATGACTTGAGATAGAATTATGATGTGCTATATATATTTCCTCTAAAATTAATTTGGGCTGAAAGGGAGTAATGTCATTTTCATATATAAACCAAAGTATTTTAAAGCATGTTTCCATATCTTTGTTCTACCTTCCATCTTATATTCTAGTCTATTTAAAACTAAGATTTCTTCTTGCAGGTTTACAATATTATCTGTTCAATTAAATCATTCCTAACAAATATATATGAAAGAATTGGCAATGGTGATATTGTCCACCTTCATTGAATGAGCAAGTCCCAAACTACAGATCAGATCTGTTTTTATGCTTCTGGCTTACCCAAACCAGAGATTATCTGGGCAACTTAATTGTTAATCTTCAGTGACTTCTGTTGGGCTATTGTATCCACCAGAGTTTTTAGTTCTCCATAGCTTTCATTAGTCACCTTGATCATCACTCATCTGTTACTTTGCTCCCCCACTCCAAACTTGGTGTTATACTCAGATTAACATCCTACCCAATTCATCTCCTGATTTACACAGATGCTTATAAAAATAGTCAAAGTCAAAATTAACAAAGCTGCTTCATATCTACACACAAACAAATATATTCTATGTAAGTAGAGAAAATCAGATTTGTATGTAGTGAAATTTCTTGGCTGAATAAACAAATTTAACTAAGCATCAAAGTATGTAGTTAAGAGTAAGCAATAATAATTATAATAAACTACTATTGATGCGTTAATGTTTTATCTTAAAGCTATATGCCAAAAATATGAATTAGAAAAATTGATAACAACATCTGGAGTTCTCCCAGTAACTCCAATATTCATAATTATATGAACCATGTCCTTGATTAACAAAACTTTTTAGTAAGTAAATTGAAACTTTTGAAATTGATACTATTGGAAAATCATGCTAAATGACATCAGAGTTGGTTACTTTTCACAGGCATAATAATGGCAGTGATGGAGGAAAAAAAGAATAAATTTCATCCTTTAAGAAAGATCTACAATTCAAGATGAACAATGTTTTTATAGGAGAAAATTATTATTCAAGATATATTCTGAGCTACACATTTATTCTCATTTTCAAATAAATTAACTTTGAAAAAGCATTAAGGGTTTACCAAGTTTCGTGTACATGACCTAGACCTAAGCCTTGGCAACCTGCTGGGAGACCACTTATATCAGTGCAGGTTATGCACTGCACAACTTCATGCATCCCTATTAGTCTGCTAGGTCTGCTATAACAAAATGCCACAAATTCAGTGTCTTAAACATAGAAATTTATTGTCTCACAATTTTGGAGGCTAGAAGTCCAAAACCAAGGTGTCAGCCGGGTTGGTGTCTTCTAAAGTTTGTGAGGGAGAATCTGTTCCATGCTTCTCTCCTAGATTCTGGAGGTCACTGGCAATCTTTGGCATGCCCTGGCCTCTGCATTACTTTAATCTTTGCCTTCATCTTCACTTGGTGTTCTCCCTGTGTGCAGGTCTGTCTCCAAATGTTTCATTTTTTTAAGGATACCAGTTCTATGAAATTATGGACCTACCTTACGTGAATATGACCTCATCTTAACTAATTACATCAGCGATGACTTATTTTCAAATAAGTCCACATTGTGAGGCACTAGAGGTTAGGATTCTAACATTTAAATTTGGTGGGGGACACAATTTAACCCATAAAGGTCCCCATTCACATAAATCCTATCATATCTATGTGGTATGTACCTCTTTTATTATTATAGCACAATATTAATTGTAATGAGAATCATGAGAAAAATGATATTTTCAATTCACTTTTTTCCTCTCAACTGGAAGAGCCCATGTTCACCATGTTCAGTGGACACCTTCGTATTTGATAGTAGTACTAACTTTCAGAAATATATATCATAGTTTACTCAGAGGCAGCATATCTGGGTTTAAGAACTGCTTCTACCATTTACAAAATATGTGACCTTGGCTAACATCATTTTATATTAGATAAGTTTTATTATGATATAATATAAATGCCATAAAATCCACCCAAATTTTAAGTGTAAAATTTGATGAGATATAGTTGTACATATTCATGTGACCACCATCAAATTATGGCATAAGACACCTCCAACATTCTAAGAAGTAACCTCATGCCCTTTCACAGTCAATTCTCTTTCCTAATGTCCCAGACTCTGACAGCAAATGATCTGCTAGTTTTGCATTTCCTAGACATTTATGTAAATGTAAACATAAAATATCTCATGTTTTCTATATCATTTATTTGTTTTAGTATATTGCTCCTGTTATTAATCCATGTCACTGCATGTATCAGTAGGTAATTATTTTTAATGCTGGGTATTGTTGCTTAACGCAGATATAGCACAATTTAAATATACCACAATTTTCACAAATTGGCGACTATTAAGTTTCTTTCCAGTGTGAAGCTACTATGCATTAAGCAGCCTTAAATATTTGGGGACTTTTTTTTTTGTTTTTATTCCTCTTTAATAAATACCCGACAGTGAAACTACTGGTTATATGACAAATATATTGTAACTGTATAAGAAATTTCCAAAATGTTTTACCAAGTGTTTGTAATATTTTACATTCTCACTGACAGTGCATGAGTTAAAATTACTCTACTTTTTCACCAACACTTGGTATAGTCAGTCTTTCTAATTTTACCCTTTCTAAGAGTATGTGTAACAGTATATCATTATAGTGTCAATTTGTGTTTTCCAGTGATTAATGATATTATATGTCTTTTTATGTGCTCATTGGTTATCAGCATATCTTCTTTAGTAAATTCTCTGTTCAAATTGTTTGTTTATTTTTCAATGAGGTTGTTTGGTTTCCTGTAAATTTACAAGATTTATTTATAGATTCTGTATACATAACTTTTGTCTTACAAGTTTTGCGATAATCTTCTAGACTATGAGTTTGCAGTTTATTTTTAAACAAATATTTTGAAGAAAAAAGTTTTTAATTTTTATGAAGTTGAATTTGTCCATTTTTTCTCTTATGACATGTGTTGGGTCCAATTTAAATCATATTTGCCTACCCACAGTTACTAGATTTCCCACTGTATTTTCTTCTAGAGCTTAATAATTTTATAGCTTTTTATTTTATATTTGGAGTCATGATCTATTTCTAGTTAACTTATGTATGTGTTGTTAGGTATATATTCTAGATAAAGGTTCAATATATATATGTACTTGGATTCCTTTGACTTGATAGTTGACATCTCAGATATACTGAGTCTTCTGATCCATGAACATTGTGTATCAGTCATTTAATTTAAATCTTCATTGATTTCTCTATGTAACATTTTGCAGGTTTCAGTATAGATGTTTATACGTATTTCATTAAATTTATGACTTAGTATTTTACATTTTTGATGCAATTTTGATGCTGTTGTGAATGTTAGTATGCTCTGTCTCTATTTGAAATTGTGTGTTGCTGTTACATAGATTTATTTTTGGGTATGCACCTTCTATTGTGCAATCTTGTTAAATTCACCTATTTTTATTGACATTTTTATAATCTTCCTTGTAATTTTACAGAGTCTGTCATGCCATTTGCAAACAAATAATGATTTATTTTTTCCAATCTATATCTTTTGTATTTCTTTTTCTTGCATTATGGTATTTGTTTGGGTTTCCAGTGTAGTTTGGAATGGAAGTGATGTGAGTTGACCTCCCTACATCCTTCCCAGATTTAGGGGTAAATGATTGAATCTTTCACCATACATATGATGTTAGCACAAGATTTTTTTACAACTTTACTTCATCAGGTTGAGAAAAGTTTCTCCTATTTCGTTTTTATCAAGAATAAGTGCTAAATTTTGTTGAATGCCTTTATTGAGATGATAGTATGGCTTTTCTTTTTTTAATCTACCCTCTGAATATGGTTATTTGATTAATTGTTTTTAGGTAGTAAACTAAACTTGCATTCCTGAAGTAAATTCCACTTCATCATGATGTATCATTCTTTTTATGTATTGCCAGATTCAATTTGTTAATATTGTGTTAGGGGATTTTGCATTTATGTTGAGAAATGGGGTTGGTGTATATTTTTTTCCTGTTAAGTTTTGTCTAGTTGTTGCATCAATGCAATGCTGGCTTCATAAAATGAGTGGTAAGATTCTTTTTTCTTATATTTGCTAGGAAAAGTTCTATAGAATTGATATTATTTCCTTCTTAGACATTAGATAAATTTCTAAAAGAAAGCTACCTGGACTTTGAGTTTTTCCTGTGGAAAGGTTTTTATCTACACATTCCATTTTCTGAATAGACACTGGGCTATTAATTTATCTAGTTGGTCTTCAGGGAGCTTTGATATTTTGTATCTTTCAAATAATCTGACAATTTCATCTATATTACCTAATTTATTAATATAAAATATATATCATTCCTTTATTTTATTATCTGAACTGATATTCCTTATTTCTAGTATTGATAAATTCTGTCTTTTGCCTTATTATCATCAGTTAGACTAAAGTTTTAGAATTTTAATAATATTTTCAAAGAACTAGCTTTGTGTTAATTCATAATCTATATTTTTATAGTTGTTGTTTGTATTGTTAATTTCATGACTTCTTTGCTTATCTTTACTGTATTTCTCCTTTTATTTGTATTTAACATCTTTCTAGTATTTTTTTGGAAGTGAAATGGATTACTTTTTAACTTTTCTAGAATGTTTCCTTGTTCTTAATAAAACACCTTGTGTGATATATTTGCCTTGTTTTTTGTGAAAAGTATGAGAAAAAGAAATAATTAGAATTACATGAACTGTTACATGAAAAAAATTGTATTTCTGACCAAGGAATTTTCACCACTTTTATATGGTGAAAAAAGTGATGCAGCTTCCAAATTTGCCAGATGCCTACATAATTTTTAAGGTGAGAAATATACTATAGTGTACTAGGAAGACAACAGAAATTGGAGTCAGAATGAACTAAGATTAAGTAAGCATGAACTCTAGTGCTTTTTAGCTGTTGGACCTTGAACAAGTAACCTTATCTTTTTGCACTTCAGTTTCTTCATCTGAAAAACAGAAAAAATATTCTGACCTGGTAGGGTGTTTGCGACTATTACGTGAAATAAATTGGGTAAATAAATTGGCATAGAATCTCATCTAAGTACATAATAAACCCAAAATTAATTAGTCCTCCTCTTGTCCCTTAAGATACTGAATTTTCATGCAAAAATATGTTTGTTTCCCTTAAGATTTTCATGTTGCTTTCTTCCATAAGAATCAATACTCCTTAAAGTTTGTCAAAATTAACTGATTTTTATTGTTCCAATGATTTAGAAAGATCTTTAAGGAATATGGGTATAAATGTATTTCATTATTTAAACTTCAAAAATTCATTAACAACCTTGATTATTCTGAAAAGATAGGTATTGTAAAACAGCACAAATACTCAATCTAACTTTATAATTATGTTTATATCTTCCTGAAATTATGGAAGCCATTATAACATATATTAAAATACATATATAAATACTCTACTTAATAATCTTTTTATTTTGTTAATGTAGACTAATGGAATTAACTCAAAACTGCAGTATTCTCTCTTTCTAAAACAGGAACTAATATTATTCTTTAGCATATTAGAAATATAATCAATTCAAGATGAATTAAAGACTTAAATGTTAGACTTAAAGCCACAAAAACTCTAGAAGAAAACCTAGGCAATAGCATTCAGGACATAGGCATGGGCAAGGACTTCATGTCTAAAACACCAAAAGTAATGGCAACAAAAGCCAAAATTGACAAATGGGATCTAATTAAACTAAAGAGTTTCTGCACAGCAAAAGAAACTATCATCAGAGTGAACAGGCAACCTACAGAATGGGAGAACATTTTTGAAATCTACTCATCTGACAAAGGGCTAATATCCAGAGTCAACAAAGAACTCAAACAAATCTACAAGAAAAAAACAAACAACCCCATCAAAAAGTGGGCAAAGATATGAACAGACACTTCTCAAAAGAAGACATTTATGCAACCAACAGACACATGAAAAAATGCTCATCATCACTGGCCATCAGAGAAATGCAAATCAAAACCACAATGAGATACCATCTCACACCAGAATGGAGATAATTAAAAAGTCAGGAAACAACAGGTGCTGGAGAGGATGTGGAGAATTAGAAACACTTTTACACTGTTGGTGGGAATGTAAACTATTTCAACCATTGTGGAAAACAGTGTGGTGATTCCTCAAGGATCTAGAACTAGAAATACCATTTGACCCAGCCATCCCATTACTGGATATATACCCAAAGGAATATAAATCATGCTGCTATAAAGACACATGCACACATATGTTTATTGCGGCACTATTCACAATAGCACAGACTTGGAACCATCCCAAGTGTCCATCAATGATAGACTGGATTAAGAAAATGTGGTACATACACACCGTGGAATACTATGCAGCCATAAAAAAGGATGAGTTCATGTCCTTTGTAGGGACATGGATGAAGCTGGAAACCATCATTCTCAGCGAACTATCACAAGGACAAAAAACCAAACACCGCATATTCTCACTCATAGGTGGGAACTGAACAATGAGAACACTTGGACACAGGAAGAGGAACATCACACACCACGGCTTGTCATGGGGTTGGGGGACCAGGGAGGGATAGCATTAGGAGATATACCTAATGTAAATGACGAGTTAATGGGTGCAGCACACCAACATGGCACATGTATACATATGTAACAAACCTGCACGTTGTGCACATGTACCCTAGAACTTAAAGTATAAAAAGAAAGAAAGAAAGAAAGAAATATAATCATGATAGTGGTTATTTTAGAACTGGGCCGGAGGACATTTAATAAGATTCATGAAAATAAATGTGCTTTTAACAAGGAAAGTCATTGGTCTGTTTCCAAAAATAGGGCAGGATATTTTACTTTCTCATTTTTTTAATTCTAAAAACATTTACTATGTTATTTGTCAGATAGGATACAGCAGAATAAAATGACACAATGTTTTTATTAATATTATTTGCTTTTTAAATTAGTTTCGGGAAACATGCTGCCATAAAAATACTTTTAGCATTCCCAATTATTGACTGTTTTTTTACAGCTTATTTTTCTCATAAAGGAGCTCTGATTGCCTGAAAAAAAGTTGTTTTCCTTATACTATTTAGATAAATACGTTTCATAGGCATTAAAAAATGACAACTATGCTAGTTTGATTGGCATT
The DNA here is from genome assembly GCF_000001405.40 of Homo sapiens. Lineage (NCBI taxonomy): Eukaryota > Metazoa > Chordata > Mammalia > Primates > Hominidae > Homo > Homo sapiens. The sequence goes on along the minus strand of NC_000006.12, from coordinate 140,989,151 downwards.
TTCAAAATCAGCAGTTTCATGCATGTGCTCATATTCCTTGAAATATTTTATTGTGAAATTAAATGCCATTCAAGGCCAGAGACAGCTGCTGAAGGTAGTTTCAATATAGTGTAATCTAAACCTATTGTTTTTCCACAGCTCATTAAAATCTTATAAAGTTGGAAAGCAAATACAATAAAATATTTGTGTGGCTGTTGCCATGGTCAGTAATCTCCTTCCTCTGAGAGCCTTGTCTTTTTGATCTTCTGATTTTGGAAACAATTCCTTCTTTATTTGACAGATTTGCCTTTGATTGACTGCTACTGTTACCATTTGTCAATCTTTCCACATGTTAAGCTTGCTGAGTGTAACTGAGCTGTTTGTATGGAGAACAACAGCTAAGTGATTATTGACTTGAAAACAACTCAAACAGAAGCTTAATTTGCTCAATATATTTTAAGTACTAACATGGCAGCCCTTAGCTGATTATAACTGTTTCACTGTAGATTTTCTCTACTATCTCTAAAGTTAACTGACATTCTCATATACCCCTTCCTCCCTTAGCTGTCTCTTTATCTCTCTGAATTTGATAAAATCCATTCTGGATTCTTACTATAAATTCGTTCTGAATGGTATAGTGATGTTGAAGGGATATCAGACTCAACATGCTACTCACTTGCTTAGTGTTCATAATTAGGGCATTGATCTAATTAAGTCAAATTTCCCAGCTATACATTGATAACAATCATAGCAATAAAATAATATGTATAAAATCACAGTCTATGTGTTGGGTAATGCAAGGTATTGCAAATTAGTTTGCATGTTCAATGTTCATTTCATTGGGATCTTTAACACATATTTTGATTGAAACAGTGGTTTCTGAAGTGTCAGTAAAATTTTACAAACTCATAATTTCACATATAATCATAATTCCCATATTTATAGAATAATAGGACTCAAATCTCCACAGTCACAATTTATAAGGAGGGAAGTTAGATGAAAAAAAAATGTTAAGCTGCTTGTCTTCACATTTTAAAAGGCTTTTCTTTCTTTATAAACAAAATCCAAAAGCGTTCACCCAACTGGAATCTTATCTTTTGATATTTAATTCCAGAGGTCTGGCCTGTTGAAATTAAAGCTGATTTCATTTCCTGTTTTATCTTTTTTCCATATGCCCTACCACTCATCACAAACTACCATCAATATTTATAATAGAATATGAGAGAACCTCTCCTGTCCCCTTATTTCCTTGTTTATGCAACATCTCATTATAAAAGGCTGTAGAGGCTCTGAATAGTTTTGTTATGTTTTTGCCCCATTGCATTGCTTTCTTCCAATGTCACTGCCACAGCAGGCAGTGTCCCTGCCACAGCACTTGTCCTACATAAACAGTAGGACTCACAGCTCTTTTTATTATAACAAATCATAAGCTATGTTTTATCATTCCATTTTGCTACAAATACAATGGTTATATAAAACTATGTAAGCATTCATAGCAGGAAGAAAGGTCAACCAAATTTTCAGAATAGAAATAATGATTTAAAAATAGCTGTTCTTTCCTCCCTTTCTTGCCAGTAGATCTTTCCATTGGCATCTATCTAAGGGTGATTATAACATTTACAAATAGTGCACCACAAGCACATAAGGTGCCTTGAAATGGTAAAGAGGGCAAATCCTTGGTAAGGGATTTCAAGATTTCTTCAACGTCTCTCTTCCACCTCCCTCCTTCAAATTCAAATAGTAATATATTTCTTCCCTTATATACAATCTATCTGACTTGACAAACTTGCTTGTTTTGTTGTCCTGGTTCCTCTTTCTTTAATCTCTGTACCTTTGTCCATGCTATTCCACCTCTCCCTCCAAATTACTTGCATTTATCCTAGGCAATTATCGAACTTTCCTGAGTAAGTAGAGCCTTTCCTGATTAAGAACAGATTTTACTCACATAGTGACTCTGATACATCCTAAAGAATGGCCATTAATATGTATTTAGGTCTTAAGAGATTTCCACAACTATAATAAGGGTTCTGGAAGAGTCCAAGGAGCTGAATCTGAGAAAAGTCTAATGGTAACAAAAACAGCCCATTGGCCTTTGATGTAGGGTTATTAAAATTATGTCAGTGGATTCATACCCTGGAGATAGTTGTTAAAATGTAACTGCTATCTACCCAGTAAATTTAAACTTTGCAAGTCTTTATCTTTCTTTAAACATTTTGCATAATTTAGGCTGAAACTGTTGAACACAGCATAATTGTTTCTCTTTGTGAGCAGGAGAGAAATAGAAATAGCTATATCTTGGGAATAGCTGTATGTGTATGTACATACATATATGTATATCTGTATATATACATATCTATTTGTATATACACACAGGTATATTTACATGTAAATACATATGTGTATTTACATATACCTGTGTGTATATACAAATATATGTGTGTGCATGTGTGTGTATACATATATACACATATATGTACATACATACACACACAGCCATACCCAAGATATACCTATATCTGTCCTTCTGTTTCTAATTATGTTCATATGATTAATCACCTTACCCAGGTGTGCAAGATAGTGGCATAAGTCTGGAAAGTGAAGTACTCATCAGGAAGACACAGGGTATTAAGGTGATGGAAAAGGTGAAGGGGTTCATAAGTAGCGATAATAAAATTGTCATCACTCATTTTATCCAGGTCTGGAACAATTGTGTGTGCAAATTATTTTACATATGAATTTACTACTGAAGACATAATTCTGGCATAATCTGGAATAAAGGTATCACAGATGAACAGTGTATTAAAAGAATCTTAACATAGTTGAGAGAAAAGCCTCCATTTCACATTGTAAATTTATTTGCTGTATAGAGAATTAATGCCTTCATTAACATTAGCAAGACTAAGTTTCTGAAAGAAGATGGTCATTTATCCTTATGTTTGTTTCTTTTTTTAGGAAAGGATAAGCTCTAAGTTTGAATATTGATTTCCAAAAAGCTCAGCTTCTTCAATGTATAACCAGAGAGCACAACAGTCCTATTTCTAAACATAGTATCCAAATACTCCAGCACCAAAGATAATCTTTTTAAAAATAGCACGCATGATTCATGTTTTATACCAGTATTTAACTTAAAATTTTCCATTGTTAATACTGAGCTGGAAACTGGATATATTAAGCTTTTTGAAGAAATGTGGAGTTGGTGGTGGTGGTAAATTTGTTTATTGGCCAATGTTCAAGTCCCGACTTGTATTTACTTTATATGGACAACAATCTTTATGTTAGTTAGATAAGCAAATGTTAAATCTTATCAAGAAGAGAGCTCATTATTTAGAGTATGTTAGAAGAACTCATCCCCACAAAGTAATGCTAGCAATGCTGTAAATTAAATTTGCTATACAAAGTACTATATAAGCCAAATTTAAAAGAGGAAGGAGCAGCTGCTCTTTCCCCAGAGAGGCAACACAATTTGTCTTGTAAACTAGAGCTGGTATTTCTTCATCACATGTATTAAGTGATTCTCTCTTTCATTTTGCTTCCATCATTGACTCTTCTTCCCTCAAGGAACCCTCATCCACTCTGCTCATAACCTTCTGAGTTCACAAATATATCCATGCATCCCTTAACTTAAAATACAGTCACATGCCACTTAACAGCAAGGATACATATAAGAAATGTGTCATTAGGCAACTTCATCACTTTGCAAACATCATACAGTATACTTACACAAACCTACTAGGAGGTACATACAGCTTACTACATACCAAGAATAGATGGTATTGCTTATTTTTATAACATGCGACAAACCTGTACAGCATGTTGCTGTACTGAACACCGCAGGCAATGGAACACAATAGTACATATTTGTGTATCATTTAGATATAATTAATATCTAAACATAGGAAAGATAAAGTAAAAATACAGTATTGTAATCTTCTGGGACCACTGTGGTATATGTGGTTAGTCTTTGACTGCAATGTCCTTCTGCAGTGCATGACTGTATGCCAATTTTCAGAGGTAAAATCTGTCGTCTCCTCCTCTCATCTTCTCAATATTTTATGTCCTAACTCCTCACCTCAAATGTCTTTTAAAAATGACATTTTTTTGCCTAACTTAACTCTTATTTACCAATTTGTATCACTATATCAATTATTGATGTCCATCCCCTATAATACTGAATATGTTTATTTATTTTTTTGTTATTATTCTATTCTTTTGTCACCTTAGTTTTTTCCTATTTAGTTATTTTTCTTGACATTGATTGACAAAAAGTACTAAAGTGAAAACCTGGAAAAAAATAGGAAAACCTGGAAGACTAGTCACTAAAAAGCTAAAAACAAATAAAATTCTAGTAAAAATTACTGATATTTAATGAATTTTATTCCTGATCAATGGAGAGACAAGTGAAATTTACAGCAGAAATCTCTTTCTCTGGCCCTAACAGGCAATTTAGATTATTTCATACAAGGTGAGAGAATCCTACTTGTCTCTATTTCTCAGCCCAATGTTCCCATTGCTAAGCATTATTTTTTTGAATGCTTTAATGGCCTTCAATACCACCACTGTGCTAAGATCTAAATATATATAGTTTTAAAGACTTTTGACTGTTGAATGCAGCAATAGGGGAAACATAAAATACATGTTGGTTACTATGATATGAAAAAACAATAAAAGTTGAAATAAAATGCCTGAGCTATGAGTGAAGCTTCTGTCTCATTTAGGCATATACCAAGCAACTGCAGAATTGGATAGGGTCTATTTTCATAAACGGAAAGACAGTTCCATTTTCTATAAGCAAATGTAACCCAGAAACAAAAATCAAATGCAACCCAGAAACAAAAATCAAATGCTTTCACAGGCTCAGAGAAATAATAAGAAAACGAATCAATGCTGGGGTTGAAGCCCTTTAGTTTCTAATTATTAGATACCCACCGATTTCTGTTTAGCCAAAGGTGCACAGGATTCAATGTTGGGGCTTAACTATCTGTGAAATTAGACAGTAATCTATGGGGAGCTGTAATGCTGAAGGCAAAAGGTCTAAATTATCTGAAAATTATTTAAGTGTGTGTATGTGGATTGGTGATGATGCCATACAAATACATGATTTAAAAGAGACAATCTGGTTGAACTGTATTTAGTTTCCTACAATATTTCTGCCCAATGAAAATATCTAATACGTCTATAAAAATAACTAATTAGGAATTATTCATAAATGTGTTCTAAGATAGTCTAAAGGCAGAACAGAGTAACTAAATAATTATGTGGAGAGAATATCTAATATAGTTCCATGGCATGATTTATCAAACTACTTCTTGCGAAAAGCAGGGGAATCCACAGAGTAGAAGAGAATGAGGAAGAGGTTGCAGGTTCACATTCTGTTGCCTTTAAATAAAACAAATACTCAAATAAGGTATAAAAGGGATCTCTTCCTATATCAGTAATAAAATAAGAAAATTGGCAAAAATATTACGGAGTTTAAAGCTTGTATTAGAATTGTATTAAAAATAATGAGCTTTAAGGAGGTTAGTGGACAATTTAAAACAAATATTTGTAGTGAAATCTCAAGGTATGTTCCCAGGTATGTGGAGAATAGAAAAACTTATCAGGTTATTTGTGGACATGATGACCTATAAGGAATAGCGAGCCTAGCAAGAAACAAAGCTGGGTCTGCTGATGGAGAAGCTGCCTATTCATTACTAAGGTTTCCTCCTTTTTTTTTCAGAGAAAATTTATTTCATAATTAAAAACAGATGTAAACTAATTTCAAAAGTACAACAAGGCAATCTATTGATTTAGGCAGCAGCTTATAATATAAAAGACAACAGAGCAATCTATTGATTTAGGCAACAACTTATAGCAGAAAGAGAAATACCCTTAAATCAGGAAGCTTTCATTTTGTTAATTCCAAGCTAATTGATGAACTTTTAGTTGAAAATCCATTTTTAGCTTCAAGATCTTCTTCAAAAAATTGAGGTAATAACACAAACTGTTCAATAAAATTATAAGAAGTCATTGTTGTGAACTGAGCTACTATGCTAGGCATCAGTAGACCAAATCAAAATCAAGTTTCTTAAGCTAAGTGCCATGCAATCAAACTATAACTTTACCATGGCACATGTATACCTACGTAACAAACATGCATGTTCTGCACATGTATCCCAGGACTTAAAGTATTAAAAAAAGAAAGAAAGAAAGAAAGCAGGAAAATCCCCAAAAAGACCTTTTTTTTTTTTTTTTTCCTAAAATCAGGTGATTCCCAACAACCAATCAGAAAGGGCCTACTCAACCTGAACCAACATGAAAAGGAAGTCCCCTCTGCTTTATCCCTTGCGAGGAAAGTCACTGAAGCAAGCTAATGTTAACTAATCCATTTTTTTGGTATTATTCTGTTTCCTTGTTCCTCCTCAACCTACCTTCAAAAACCAACTTTTCTGACATGCCCAACAGACCACATTTTATTTAGGTGGGAAGATGCCTAATTCATGAATTATTAATAATGACAATCAGATGTTTATACTACATTTGTTGACATTTTTTGTTTTTAACTCTACTCAAAGTGTAATTGTAAAAATTACTTGCAAAGGCATCAGGCACAGTTAAGTGGCAGATTAACTTACCTATTTGTTCTTAAAATAAACATTTATTAAGTGTCTCCCTGAGGGAGAAATTATGCCAAGTCCAAGAAAAGCAAAGCCTAATAAAACATAGATGCTCCCTTCAAAGAGTTCATAGAAGAGGAAAGACATATGGGAAAAAAGGGTATGGAATGTCACAGAGACCATGATGAGAGTTATGGCACCCCAAGGGAAGAGTCAATTCTTACATGTAGGGATGAGGACATTACCTGGTATCCAATAATTCTGAGTAATTTATTTATTAGTTCTAGTAGTTTTATGAAGATTCCTTATGAGTTTCTAGGTATCACATATGATATATCAGCTGTGAAAAAGACAGTTTGTTTTTGTCTTTTCAGTCTCTTAATTTCTTCCCCTTGCCCTATAGCGTGGGCTAGAACTTCCAGTACCCTGTTGAATAAAAGTTGAGTGACTATACTTGCCTTCCTCCCAATCTTTGAAGGAAACCATACCATACTTTACCATTAAGTAAGATGTTAGCATTAGTTTTTTGTTTTGTTTTGTTTTGTTTTGTTTTTTATAGATGCCCTTTATCGAATTCAGGGAGTACTCTTTTATTTGTACTTTTCATTAGGAAATGTTGAACTTTGCCAAGTGAATTTTCTGCACCTATTAAAAAGATTGTATGTTTTTGTTCTCCGTCATTCCAGTCATGCAATGAATTATACTACCTGATCCTCTTACTTTATTTTATCTTCTTTTTATATATTGATGAATTCAATTTGCTGATATGTTATGAAAAGTTTCTGCATTTGTATCCATAATAATTATTGTTCTGTACCTTTATTGTAATGCTTCTTTTTTGTTTTGTATCAGAATGATGCAGACCACATAAAATAAATTTTGAAGTTTATTCTATCATCTGCTTTCTGGAAGTGTTTGTGTATGATTGATATTAGTTTTCCTAATGTTTGATAGAATTTACCAGGAAAACCACCAGGGCTTAGAATTTTTTGTGGGACATTTTATAATGACTTATAGTAAAGTCATTTCTTTAACAGATATACAGTTATATAGTTTTCTTCAAAAATTTCTTCTTGTGTCAGTTCCAGTAAGTTGTGTTTTTTGGGGAGTTCATACAACATCATAATTGTTGATTTTGTTGACATGATTTGTTGACATGTTAAAAAAAATCTTGTGTTTATTAATACCTATAATATGTTTTGTAGTAAATCTTTTATTTATGATATTGTTAATTTGTATTCTGTCTCTCTTTTTTCCAAATCAGTGTATCAAGGCACTTTTCTATTTTATTAATCTTTTCATTAAAATAACTTTTAGCTTTGTTCACTTAGACTATTGTTTTTCTGACCTATGTCATTGATTTCTGCTCTTAGATTCATTATTTGTACTTTTATGCTTATGTGAGTTTAATTTGCTTTTTTTCCTCTAGCTTCTTAAGGTGAAAACTTGATAGCTGATAGTAAACATTTCTTTCTCTCTACTAAAAGTCTTTAAGATTATAAATTTTTCTCTAAATATTTCATCAGTATTGCCCCAGTTTTTAAATGTTGCAATTTTATTATCATTCAGTTTAAAATATGCTTTACTTATGCTTGTGATCTCTTTGAGATATATTCATTATTTAAAATTTAGTTTTTAATACATTTTAAAGGCCAAGTTTTATGCTGCAAGAATTATATCTTAATAGATGTTATAAAATGAGGTGTTAAATTTCCAAACAGTGTGGCTTTTTTATTTATCTTACTTTTATCAATTAAATTTAATTGCATCATTGTCGAAGAAGGGATTTCGTGACATTTCACTGCTAAAAGCAGTTACAAAGATGAGAGGACAGAGGGAGCTGCAGTAGGAGCTCAAGAGATCTATGGATGCTCATGCTTCAATCCTCCCATGAGCAGAAACAGGCTAAGTTTTAATAGGTCTTCCATTTATTTAGCCTTGGCTGGTGTTTATGCGTCAAAAGATAAGTCTAAAAAATATTAAATAGCTTGTGTGCTTCCTTTTTAAGTTACAATTATTTAAATTTTAGTTTAACTTAGTTTTGTTTTTAATGATTTGTTTGTTTTGGGATTCAGAGAAGATGACAGGAATAGGAAGGAATGTAGTGCAGACAAGTAGTTTGGAGTTTAATAAAACTAAATTGCACCTATATATTTGACTTCACCTTTAATTTGCTGTGTGATCTTGAGTACAAGGGCCTGTTACAATAAGGTAGGAACTGACTGATGCAGAGATGTCAACTCGCAGGGTGAAATAATTTGTTTAAATTTTATTTAGTGACAGAAGATATAGAAACCTCCGTCAACCGAGACAGCTACAAGAAGAAACATTGTGGCATACTCCCAATCATGGGAGCCTACCAAATTCCCAAAGCCCTCAAGGAGGTACACAGCTCCAGATAATGCCTTCTTAGAATAAGTTTCCACCAGATCTGAGAAATAATATTTACCAAGCTTAGAGAGTTTTCATACTCTCCTGGTTCTTTTTCATTATGCTGGATTTTTCTGCAACTGGCTATGTGCCTGCCTGCTCACCAAGTGAAATCACTGGTACAAAACAATCTCAACACATTCCTGAGTGTTTATTGCTCAAGTGGGGGAATTCAAGGTCAGCCTCCCATGAGTTCTGGTTTCCTGTTCCTTGGCAGAACCAGGTCTCAAGGCTCGCCGTGTCTATTCCTTGACAACCTATTGGAATCTGTCTGAAACCAGTCAAACAAAAGACAGAGCTAGTCACGGTAGTGTGCCAGCATCTATTTTAGACATCAATTCAGAATGCTACACTATCAGTTTGCTTGGACAATGAATCAAGATCCGTTGAGGTTAATGCAAGTCAAAGATACTTCTCCATTATGACAAGCTTGGTGCATATCTGTGCAAGCTCTAGACAGGGCATGAGCTCATGATAACTTGTAGCATGCTCAGTGAATGAAGAATGTGTGACTTTTAGGCATCGAAGAATTCCTAATTTATAAACTCTAGAAAAATCATATTTTTTTTCTGATTAGATTTTCTAAGGGACTCATTGCTTATTTCTTTTTATTTCTCCTTTCCCACAAGTCTTGTCACTAACTCTACATAGTCACAAATTTAGCACTACAAGTACAGATTCTGTATAATTCTGGACCAGAACTTTCCCTTTATGCCAAGCCAAGGTACTATGTTTGGCTTTAATTCATCACTCTGACCTACTTTGTTCTCAGCTTTAAAGAAAGAAAAATTAAATTAGCCCTTGCCATTAGGATAAAAAAGTTGTTTCAGCTTCCCTCCACTAAGGTACTATTTAACCACTGAACTTGTAATACATTAAATGGAACCAGAGTGGCTCTAAGGAATTAAGGCTGTTTCCTAACTTACTTCAAGGCTCATTAAGAGAAGAGTTTCCAAAAAGTGTGTTTCCAGTTTATTTCTAGTTTAAACTTCTCTTATACTACTTGTTTGAATTAATAGGGCTTCACAAATATCTTTTCGGGCATTGGTGAGATACTTAAGAACAATAGCATTTTATATAAATATACTAAACTGAGGTGGTAGTTTGGTCATCACATGGTTTAGCTGCTTCCCTACCCAAGTCTCATCTTGAATTGTAGCTCCCATAATCCCCATGTGTCATGGGAGGGACCCAGTGGGAGGTAATTTAATCATGGAGGCGGTTACCCTCATGCTGTTGTCATGACAATGAGTGAGTTCTCATGAGATCTGATGGTTTTATAAAGGGCTTTCCCCTCTTTTGCTTGGCACGTCTTGCAGCTGCCATGTGAGGAAGGACCTGTTTTCTTCCCCTTCTGTCATGACTCTAAGTTTCCTGAGGCCTCCCCACCATGCTGAATTGTGAGTCAATGAAACCTCTTTCCTTTATAAATTATCCAGTCTTGGGTATGTCTTTAGTAGCAGCATGAGAATGGACTAATGCAGGCCACTTGTGAAAATATTGAATTTAGAGGACAAAAATAAGAAAAAGAGAATGTAGAGATGCAAAGGAAGAAGGAAAAGTTGGTAATAAGATTAATTATAAATTTCTGGGTATGTTTATATTTATTGAATTTCTTTTACATGTTAGGCTTCATTCTGGGTGTTTGAAGATACATCACTAAATAAAACCAATTAAAATCTTGGCATTCATGTAATTGAGAGTATAATTCAGGATATAGAATATAAAAAATAAATAAATAAATGATTTTATACTTTAGGAAGAAAATTTGGAGGGGATAGGAGCGTAGCAATATGTGTGTAGATGTTGTGATTACATATAAAGTGGTCAAGGGAAATGACACTGAAAAGATATCATTCGAGTGAAGATGATGAAAATCTGGGAGTGAGCTATATAATAAGGAGAAAACAAGAAATACTTCACTTTAATAGCAGGCAAAATAGGTGATGACCATTTATATAATATCAGTATTGTGTTTTCAATTAAAAAGCAGCTTATTAAATGAGGAGTATATCTCTAGCTTTCAGCTATGTACTTTTTCAAGTCCTGCAAAAAAAAGAGGCTTAAGATTCTCTCGCTGCTCAAAGGACAAATACTCTTCCATCCACAAATTGAAAACAAGACAATTAGGAAGGGTGACTACATGTAACACATTTCTAATCACTTACTACAATAGAGTTGAATTTATTTAGAAATACTGCAGAACTTGCTGGCAAAAGAAGAGAGGGATTTCAAGAAAGAGTGAAGGAAGAATATGAGAAGCAAAGATAAAGATATAAGGATGAAGAATAAAAAATAATAATGTAGGGATGCAGAAGGAAATAGTTGAAATAAATAAATTGGCTTGATTACAAAAGAAAGTTATTCACTGGAAGTTAGGTGGCTAAAGCAATGCAGGATTAGGAGGGCCCTGATTTCTGAAACAAAATTTCAGTGTCTGAAATTGTTGGAATAAATAATAATTGACATTGCAAGTAGGGTTTGCTTGCCAAGACACTTCCTCTTTTGCCAATTATGATGTCTGGATGTTCTACTATTCGTCATTGTTTGGGTTTAGACATTGTTCCAGAAGTTTCCTATAAACATGCACATATGCAATATGTTAGCAAATGCTAGTTTACTTGATTTAAGAAAATGCTCCACCCTCTCATGTCTTTGCTTAATGTCCTCTCAAATGGAATTGCGGATTCTCTTGTAATTCTTATAATATTACTAGTAGCAGCAGCAGTTGTAATATTCAAACACTCACCTTTCCGGCAAATTTTCTTCCATCCAGAAACATGTTCAAGTATGGCTAATATCAACAATTTCTCTCTCTTGATTTTTTATTCCCCTATAGCACTCTCCCAATTTCTTTACTCTATCAAATCTAAGCCTCTTGAAAGATCTCTGCCTCTACTTTTTTTACTTCCTAATCCCAGTAATCTGGCTTATGCTCCCTCTGCTCCACTAAAAATCATCCTGATGATCACATAAATAACCTCAGAATTGTCAGGTTCAATAAACGTACTTTAGCCCTTTACTTCTTCACCTCACTGATCCATTGGGTTCTGTTTTCCTGTCATCTCTCAGAAAATTCTCTTGTATCTGACTATCATGATTCTCTTTCTATTTCAGAGATCACTGCCTCAGGCTTCACTGTTCTTTCTACGCTAACCTCAGTCTGGACAATGTCTTCCATGACCAGAGCTTCACCTATTATAAATGTGGAATAAATGCCAAAATTTTATCTCTCACACATCTGCATTTTTGTTCGTAATATCCTCATCTCATGAAATATTATTCCTCTATTTTTCTGGCATTGTCTGTAAATACCTTACTAAATTTTATGCTGAAAGACACAGTAGAGTGTTCCTTCTTTGTTGCACATGCATTTCTTGCTAAAACCCCTAAAATAACACTCATCACATGTTTTCACTTTCTTTTGGAGAACAATCCTGGAGCATATTTTCAATTTTTGTATCACAAGCACCTACCATTATTTGGAACACCAGAATGAGGGATAGTGCTCAAGAATATTCATTGCATAGATGAAATTGTGTCATAAGGAACAAACAAAATATTTATATAAATATTGTAAATGACTGTCTATATCTTGGGGAACTTTCCAACAAATACAAAATAAAATCAGATAGAGATAAATCAAGGAGGAATCATCTTGTAAAGTCAGAGCTAGTGATAAGATATCAGAGAAGGGATGTCATGAGGAAATTATGAATACAAAACTAGCAAAACAGTTTAACAGATAGTGGGAGAAATAGAACAAGTATGCTAATTAAATCTCAAGCAAGACAAATAAAACAGAAAAAAATATTAACCCTATGTATAGGAACACAGAGATTAGAAATCATAAGGATAAAGCCCCGCAATCATTTCTAGAACCAATGACTTTAATGGAAATAGAAATTTTTTGTTTTAGATAGGGACTATCATAAACTGACTTACAAAAATTCAAGAGGAAAGTTAAAGAAAACCTTTACTTTAAAAAGAGTTTATTATTTTAGCATGGGCAATGCCGTGTCCACACTTGAGATACAGGAATGATGAAATATAGGAGATACGAGTAAAAAAGATTTCAACATGGTCTAATTTTCAAAAGTCAAAACTTTCAGCCAGGTGCTGTGGCTTATGCCTGTAGTCCTAGCACTTTAGGAGGCTGAGGAGGGTGGATCACGAGGTCAGGAGTTCGAGACCAGCCTGTCCAAAATGGTGAAACCCCATCTCTACCAAAAATACAAAAATTAGCCAGGTGTGGTGGCAGGCACCTGTAATCCCAGCTACTCAGGAGGCTGAGGCAGGAGAATCACGTGAACCTGGGAGGCAGAGGTTGCAGTGAGCTGAGATCTCACCACTGCACTCCAGCCTGGGCAACAGAGCGAGACTCTATCTCAAAAACAAAAAGTCAAACTTTCAAATAAAACCAGGTGGGGAGGCTGGGTGCAACGAGTCACGCCTGTAATCCCAGCACTTTGGGAGGCCAAGGCAGGCAGATCACCTGAGGTTAGGAGTATGAGACCAGCCTGGCCAACATGGTGAAACTCTGTCTCTGCTAAAAATAGAAAAATTAGCCGGGTGTGGTGGTGCACACCTGTAATCTCAGCTACTCAGGTGGCTGAGGCAAGAGAATCTCTTGAACCCGGAAGGCAGAGGGTGTAGTGAGCTGAGATTGTGCCACTGCCCTCCGGCCTGGGCAACAGAGCAAGACTCCATCCCCCACCAAAAAAAAAAAAAAAAAAACAGGTGAAGAGAAAAAAAAATACGAAGTGTAAGGTTTGTAAAAGAGGGCTCATAAACCATGAATGAGATCAGATAGATTTTATTGCAGTTTTCACCTTTTCCACTGGTTATATAGCTAGACAGACTAGTGACTTGGGCAGATTTCAAATCCAGCAATTGAAGACAAGATTTTCAGATCAATATTATTAAATCATTGAACTAAGTTGAGGTAAACTTTACATATATATACTTTAAGTTCTGGGATACATGTGCAGAATGTGCAGGTTTGTTACATAGGTATACCCGTGCCTTGGTGGTTTGCTGCACCCATCAACCTGTCATCTACATTAGGTATTTCTCCTAATGTTATCCCTCCTCCAGCCCCCACCCCACCGACAGGCCCCAGTGTGTGATGTTCCCCTCCCTGTGACCCTGTGTTCTCATTGTTCAACTCCCACTTATGAGTGAGAACATGTAGTGCTCAGTTTTCTGTTCCTGTGTTAGTTGGCTGAGAATGATGTTTCCAGCTTCATCCATGTGTCTGCAAAGGACATGAACTCATCCTTTTTAATGGCTGCATAGTGTTCCATGGTGTATATGTACCATATTTTCTTTATCTAGTCTATCATTGATGGGCATTTGGGTTGGTTCCAAGTCTTTGCTATTGTGAATAGTGCTGCAATAAACATACCTGTGCATATGTCTTTATAGTAGAATGATTTATAATCCTTTAGGTATATACCCAGTAATGGGATTGCTGGGTCATATGGTTTTTCTGGTTCTGGATCCTTGAGGAATCGCCACACTGTCTTCCACAATGGTTGAACTAATTTACACTCCCACCAACAGTGTTAAAGTGTTCCCATTTCTCCACATCCTCTCCAGCATCTGTTGTTTCCTGACTTTTTAATGATCGCCATTCTACTTGGTGTGAGATGGTATCTCATTGTGGTTTTTATTTGCATTTCTGTAATGATCAGTGATGATGAGCTGTTTTTCATATGTTTGTTGGCTGCATAAATGTCTTCTTTTGAGAAATGACTGTTCATATACTTCGCCCACTTTTTGATGGGGTTGTTCATTTTTTTCTTGTAAATTTGTTTAAGTTCCTTGTAGATTCTGGATATTAGCCATTTGTCAGATGGATAGATTGCAGAAATTTTCTCTCATTCTGTAGGTTGCCTGTTCACTCTGATGATAGTTTCTTTTGCTGTGCAGAAACTCTTTAGTTTAATTAGATCTCATTTGTCAATTTTGCCTTTAGTTGCCATTGCTTTTAGTGTTTTAGTCATGAAGTCTTCGCCCATGCCTATGTCCTGAATGGTATTGCCTAGGTTTTCTTCTGGGGTTTTTATGGTTTTAGGTCTTATGTTTAAGTCTTTAATCCGTCTTGAGTTAATTTTTGTATAAGGTGTAAGGAAGGGATCCAGTTTCAGTTTTCAGCATACGGCTAGCCAGTTTTCCCAACACCATTTATTAAATGGGGAATCCTTTCCCCATTGCTTGTTTTTTGTCAGGTTTGTCAAAGATCAGATGGTTCTAGATGTGTGGCGTTATTTCTGAGCCCTCCATTCTGTTCCATTGGCCTATATATCTGTTTTGGTGACTTTAGCCTTGTACTATAGTTTGAAGTCAGGTAGCATGATGCCTCCAGCTTTCTCCTTTTTGCTTAGGATTATCTTGGCTCTATGGGCTTTGTTTTGATTCTATATGAAATTTAAAGTAGTTTTTTCTACTTCTGTGAAAAAAGTCAGTGGTAGCTTGATGGGGACATCATTGAATCTATAAGTTACATTGGGCAGGATTGCCATTTTCACAATATTGATTCTTCCTATCCACGAGGATGGAATGTTTTCCCATTTGTTTGTGTCTTCTCTTATTTCCTTGAGCAGTGATCTGTAGTTCTCCTTGAAGAGGTCCTTCACATCCTTTGTAAGTTGTATTCCTAGGTATTTTATTCTCTTTGCAGCAATTGTGAATGGCAGCTCACTCATGATTTGGCTCTCCGTTTGTCTATTATTGGTGTACAGGAATGTTTGTGATTTTTGCACAGTGATTTTGTATCCTGAGACTTTGTTGAAGTTGCCTGTCAGCTTAAGGATATTTTGGGCTGAGACAATGGGGTTTTCTAAATATACAATTATGTCATCTGCAAACAGAGGCAATTTGATTTTCTCTCTTCCTATTTGAATACCTTTTATTTCTTTCTCTTGCTGTTTGCCCTGGCCAGAACTTCTAATACCATGTTGAATAGGAGTGATGAGAGAGGGCATCCTTGTCTTGTGCCAGTTTTCAAACGGAATGCTTCCAGTTTCACAAGTATCAATAGCTGAATCGATCAAGCAGAAGAAAGGATATCAGAGATTGAAGATTAACTTAATGAAATAAAGTGTGAAGACAAGATTAGAGAAAAAAGAATGAAAATGAATGAACAAAGCCTCCAAGAAATATGGGACTATGTGAAAAGACCAAACCTATGTCTGATTGGTGTACCTGAAACTGAAAGGGAGAACAGAACCAAGTTGGAAAACACTCTTCAGGATGTTATCCAGAATAACTTCCCCAACCTAGCAATACAGGCCAACATTCAAATTTAGGGAATACAGAGAACACCACAAAGAGACTCTTCAAGAAGAGCAACCCCAAAATACATAATTGTCAGATTTTCCAAGGTTGAAATGAAGGAAAAAATATTAAGGGCAGCCAGAGAGAAAAGTTGGGTTACCCACAAAGGCAAGCCCATCAGACTAACAGCGGATCTCTCTGCAGAAACCCTACAAGCCAGAAGACAGTGGGGGCCAATATTCAACATTCTTAAAGAAAAGAATTTTCAACCCAGAATTTCATATCCAGCCAAACTAAGTTTCATAAACGAAGGAGAAATAAAATTCTTTACAGACAAGCAAATTCTGAGAGATTTTGTCACCACCAGGCCTTCCTTAAAAGAGCTCCTGAAGGAAGCAATAAATATGGAAAGGAAAAACTGGTACCAGCCACTGCAAAAACAGCAAATTGTAAAGACCATTGACACTATGAAGAAACTTCATCAACTAACGAGCAAAATAACCAGCTAGCAGCATAATGACAGGTTCAGATTCACACATAACAATATTAATCTTAAATGTAAATGGCCTAAAAGCCCCAATTAAAATACACAGACTGGCAAATCGGATAAAGAGTCAAGACCCATTGGTGTGCTGTCTTCAGGAGACCCATCTCTCATGCAAAGACACATGTAGGTTCAAAATAAAGGGGTGGAGGAATATTTACCAAGCAAATGGAAAGCAAAAAAAAAAAAAAAAAAGGCAGGAGTTGCAATCCTAGTCTCTCATTAAACAGACTTTAAACCAACAAAGATTTAAAAAAAAAAAAACACAAAAGAAGAGCATTACATAGTGGTAAAGGGATCAATGCAACAAGAAGAGCTAACTATCCTAAATATGTATGCGCCCAATACAGGAGCACCCAGATTCATAGAGCAAGTTCTTACAGACCTTCAAAGACACTTAAACTCCCATACAATAATAGTGGGAGACTTTGACACTCCACTGTCAATATTAGACAGATCAACAAGACAGAAAATTAACAAGGATATTAAGGACTTGCACTCAGCTCTGGACCAAGCAGACCTAATAGACATCTATGGAACTCTCCACCCCAAACCAGCAGAATATATTTTCTTCTCAGCACCACATCACACTTATTCTAAAATTGACCACATAATTGGAAGTAAAACACTCCTCAGCAAATGCAAAAGAATGGAAATCGTATCAAACAGTCTCTCAGACAACAGTGCAATCAAAGTATAACTCAGGATTAAGAAACTCTCAAAATCACACAACTGCATAGAAACTGAACAATCTGCTCCTGAATGACTACTGAGTAAGTAACAAAATTAGGGCAGAAATAAATAAGTTCTTTGAAAGCAATGAGAACGAAGACACAATGTACCAGAATCTCTGGGACACAGCTAAAGCAGTGTTTAAAGGGAAATTTATAGCACTAAATACCCACAGAAGAAAGTGGGAAAGATCTAAAATTGACACCCTAACATCACAATTAAAAGAACTAGAGAAGTAAGAGCAAACAAATTCAAAAACTAGCAGAAGACAAGAAATAACTAAAATCAGAGCAGAACTGAAGGAGATAGAGACACGAAAAACCCTTCAAAAAGTCAATGAATCCAGGAGCTGGTTTTTTGAAAAGATTAACAAAATAGACCGCTAGCTGGACTAATAAAGAAGAAAAAAGAAAAGAATCAAATAGTCACAACAAAAAATGATAAAAGGGATATTACCACTGATCCCATAGAAATACAAACTACCATCAGAGAGTACTATGAACACCTCTAAGCAAATAAACTAGAAAATCTAGAAGAAATGAATAAATTCCTTACACATACACCCTCCCAAGACTAAACCAGGAAGAAGTCGAATCCCTGAGTAGACCAATATCAAGTACTGAAATGGATGCAGTAATTAATAGCCTACCTACAAAACAAGCCCAAAACCAGACGGATTCACAGCCGAATTCTACCAGAGGTACAAAGAGGAGCTGGTACCATTCCTTCTGAAACTATTCCAAACAATAGAAAAAGAGAGGTAAACTTTTTCTAAGTATACTTTATGTTTTGTGTTAAATTAACAGAGACATATCTCCTGATGCCAAGAGAAGTTTGTAAGGAGGAAGCACACATGTTCCAACTGCCTCAGGGCTCTTAGAAGGGTGATTTCACAGAAGGAGAGGAGAAACAGAGCATTTTATAAAAAAGAATTGATTGAATGCAGATGTGCTGCCATCCACAGTGCTTGCTTCTTGCCCTAGTCTCCTGGCTCTTGAAGATCAGCATACAGTCTTTGGGCACTTTCCCTAGAATCTTTCTAACCACTCCATACCTTTCCTATTTCTTCTTTCCCTTTCAAGTGATGAAGTTACAAAAGCATTCCTTTCATCTTTGCTTAAACTTTCCCATTTTTCAGCTAATGTTCCCTATGTTTCCTTTGAATGTTAGGCATCTATTTATCCATTTTATTGATTCCATATAAAAGCAACACAGAAATAGCATACAAATACACACACATACATGCATATGTATGCTTCTAAACAACCACACAAAGTTTTTAAACATCCATAAACAAATTACATCCAGACTAAACACCTCCAAAACATACATAATAAACAATACAATACACAGATTTCATGCTTATCTTTCAGAACTTCTTTTTTAGCTGTTTTATGGTATTTTCAATATATATTGTGGTTTTATGTTCATGTGTTAACCTCCGAAAAAAATTCGTCTGTCTACTTTAATCTATCTTTCTCAGAACTCCATTACTTAACTTTTCCTGTTAAAAGTATTGTCCAAATATCGATTGGTATTTAGATTTTATTCTAATCATAACACTAAGGAATGCCAATTTTTAATTTGGATTACACTAATGGTGGGTCCTGATTCAACCAAGCCATCTTATGGCTCTTAGGTGGTATTACTTAATTTGTCTTAGTTCTCATTAGTTTTTTTTTTCCTGTTTTTAAAATTAATGCAGCATGCACTATCTTGAAAAGGAATTCATTTCTCAACAAGATGTACTTTGGTTCCTATTTGGACCATATTGAAGATATATATTACATATAATAAATATTTTGTTCTTTGCTTCATGATAGATATCAAAATAAATAAATTTCATTTTATTTTGCAAGCATTTATACAGTATGCATTATGTGCCAGCCTCTGTCTGAGAGTGACATATATGTACCTATTCAATTAATCTTCCTAATGGCCCCCATGTAAAACACTTCTATTTTAAACATAAAGAACCTGAGACAAAACCTTTGAAGTAACTTGCCCAAGATATTACAACAAATAAATGCTAGAGCTGGTATTGTATCTCTAGGTCAATTTGGCTCCAGAGTACTTACTTGCTCATAAGCTTTCAGCCATGTTGTCTATCCTTAACGTTGTCTGTCAAGAGTTAAATATTTATATTTTATAACTTTCATATTTTCATTTTTTATAAATTTTTAATTTTAAATGATTTTACAGAAACCTTGCAAAAGTAACACATAAATCTCTTGTATACCTTTAACCCATATTCTCCAATTATTAACATACACCATATTTTCTCTTAGAATTTTCTTTTTATGCCTTTTTGGCTCTCTTTCTCTGTCTCTCTTTCCCTCTCCCTCCATCCTTCCCTCCCTCTCCCTCCCTCTCCCCCTCCCCCTTTCTCTCTCTGTCTCTGTGTCTCTCCATCTGTCTCTCTGTCTCTCTCTTTCTCTGTCTCTCTCGCAAGGAGCTGCTCTCCTCTCTCCTTTCTTCTGTTTGGACGTGTGTATGTGTGTCTGTCTTTCTGTCTCTCATTGTCCCTCTGTCTCTCTCTCTCTCTCTGTCTCTCTCTGTGTCTCTCGATCTGTCTCTCTCTCCCTCTATCTCTGTCCATCTATCTCTCTCTCTGTCTCTCTCTCTCTCTCGCAGGGATCTGCTCTCCTCTCCCCTTTCTTCTGTTCTGACGTGTGTGTGTGTCTGTCTGTCTGTCTGTCTCTCTGTCCCTCTGTCTCTCTCTCTCTATCTCTCTCTATGTCTCTCCGTCTGTCTCTCCCTCTCTGTCCATCTCTCTCTCTCTCTCTCTCTCTGTCTCTCTCTCTCTCTCACAAGGAGCTGCTCTCCTCTCTCCTTTCTTCTGAAAAAAAAATTTTCTTTTTGTACAGGGACATTTTATATTTTTCTAAACCATTTGAGAGTAAGCTGCAGATATGATGCCTGTGTATATTTTCTAACAGGATAAATACATACTTATTTAGCTATTATATTTGTATAATAGCTTAATTATAAGTACTCCAATTGTATAATTGATGCAATTTCATGATGTAATTTACAGACCTCAATGCTAATTGTCTCAATAATGTCTTTCACCGGAAAAGTCCATAATATAATCCCAAATCACATGTTGCCTTCAGTTTTAATCTATTTAGTATTTTTAAAATCTGTAACTGTTCTTTAGTCATTTTTCATCCATCTATGATCTTGAAAATTTTAAAGACTACAGGACAGTTATTTTGTAGAATTTCCCCCTATTTATATCTATCTGATGATTCCTTTATATTAAGTTGAGGTTATGCAAGTGATTTTGCTTTGTTCGATTACTAGAAATAACTCTTATTACTTGATTAAGTGAAGTCAGCAGATTTCTGCAGGGTAAGGTTCCCTTGTATTAATGAATATTTGAGGAGACATATTTTGAAATAACATAAATACCCTCTCCCTTATTAAATTCTTACCCACGAATTTACTCCCATTTATTATCCGTATCAGAATCAATTATTCTGACAATATTTTTCAAATGGTGATTTTTTAATTCCATCATTCCTTTTGCATTTAGTAATTGGCATTATACTGTATATAAAGAACTTTCCCTTCTGCCCTAAGCCCTTGTATACTTAGTAACTGACATCACTAAAGACACATAGATTTCGTTTTCATTCAATGGGTTATAATTCATTGTCTTGATCCTTTCGGGCTTCTCTAGACTGAGTAACTGATAAACAACAGAAATTTATTTCCTACAGTTCTGGAGGCTGGAAAGTCCAAGATCAAGGTGCCAGCAAATTTGAGGTCTAGAGGGCACTCACTTTCTAGTTCATAGATGACACCTTCTTCCTGTGTCGTCACATGTTGCAAGAGGTGAGGAGTCTCTCTAGATCCTCTATTATAAGCACGTTAATGCCATTCATGACCTAATCATTTTCCAAAGGCCCACCACTTAATACCATCCCCTTGGGGCTAGTATTTCAAGGTAAATTTGGGTGGTACACAAACACTCAAACCATAGCATCCATTAATTTCATTATCTATTTTAAGGCTTACATTGTCTAAGATCAACCCAATGGAAGCACCTTCAGCCTGGTTCCTTTGTCTTTTCCTCCTGCCCCATCTTCCTTGAACATTTATTTTCTGATAAAAGAAGGTATTTACTTATTTGAAATACATATGTATTTTTTTATTTGAAATACAATTTGCTTAACTTGTTTATGTTATATTTTAGGCCCTTTTGCCCCCAATTTTTAATTTTTATTTATTTTTGTCTATGTCAAATATTAAAGTGGCTCCAAAAGTAAAACTGTACAAAAAAGGTATACTCAGAAAATCATATTGCCCCCTAATTCTTTCCAGTGTATTCCTATTCCAAATCTCATGAGTTTATAACTTCTCTTTCCTATGCTTTTTCTTTCAAAAGTAGGTTGATTCTTTTATATATTTTCTCTTTTTTCTTATATAGAAATAACAGTTTGTCAATATTATTTACACTTAGCTTTTTTTCACTAAAAAATTCTGAGAAATCATTTTATATTTAGTCAAAGAGCTCTTTTATAAAACCTATCCAGTACTTCATTGTGTATGTACCACAATTAACCAGTATCCTATATATTTGCATTTATATTGTTTGCAATATTTTGCAATTACAAAACAGTGCAATGAATAATCTTGTGCAGAAGTATTTTCATACTTCATATTTTCATACTTTACTCATCAGAGTAAATTTCTAGTAGTGGAATTGTTGAGTCAAAGATAAAACATAAACACAACTTTGCTAGATATTTCTGATTTCTACTTCACAAGACCTGTTTGTATTCCCATTTGCATTCCCATTTGTAAAATATGCCTGATTCTCCACAGCTTCACCAACAGAAGATTTTGTCAAGCTTTTTAACTTTTGCCAACTTGATGACATCTAGTTGTGTGTGTGTGTGTGGTGTTTTGTTTGTTTGCTTGTTTGTTTTTTAGATAGGGTCTCTCTCTGTCACTCAGGTTGGAGTGCAGTGGCACAATTATAGCTCCCTGTAGCCTGGACCTCTGGGGGTCCTGCCTCAGGATCCCTGTCTACAGTAATCACATTTGTCTACACTAATTTGTATGGTGTTACCTAACTAAAGTGTTTTATTCTTTGAGTTAGTTTTACCATTGATTTTTTATTCTCCAGTAGCTGGGACTACAGTGAGGTGCCATGCACCCAGATGATTCTTTAATTTTTAAAATTTTTTTATACAGACCTGGTCTCGCTATGTTGCCAAACCTGGTCTCAAATTCCTGAGCTCAAGTGATTCTCCCACCTCAACCTCCCAAAGTGTTGGGATTGCAGGAGTGAGCCACTGCCCTCCAGCACAGAGTAATTTTAATTTGTATTTCTCTCATATGAGTAGAGCTAATATATCTTCTGGCGTTGGAGGATCACTTTTATACTGATTTTCTTACAAATTGTCTATTCATTTTTTCTGTCAGATGTTTAGCCTTTTTACCCTAAAATTTTCCAATTTTCAGAATTTTTTCTCTGCAATATTTTCTCCTTGTCATTTGATTTTTATTGTCTATTTGCTAATTTTTTTGGCCATGGAAAAGTTTTTATTTGAATTTATCAATATTTTCTTTCATTACATCTAGAGTTTGTGTCTAATTTGAATGGAAGTTATCCTCTTAATAGTTCCTAAGTGTACTTTAGAATTTGGGGTACTATTTGGAGACTTTTAGGTAATATTTGACTTCAATATCCAAGAGATGCCTAAATCTGTGCCATATTACAAGTCACAGGCAAATGCCTCCCAATGTGTCTGAAAGATGGCTGAAATATACATATATATATATACCGAAAGAGAGAAATATTAAGATTTTTCTTAGCAAGGTTTGAACCTAAGTTCCAAAGCTGAGGACTCTAGAAAATTGGATTAAACAAGAAAAAGCAGGGCCGGGCGCGGTGGCTCACGCCTGTAATCCCAGCACTTTGGGAGGCCAGGGCGGGTGGATCACGAGGTCAGGAGATCAAGACCATCCTAGCTAACATGGTGATACCCCGTCCCTACTAAAAATACAAAGAAAATAGCCGGGCATGGTGCCCGGTGTCTGTAGTCCTAGCTACTTGGGAGGCTGAGGCAGGAGAATGGCGTGAACCCGGGAGGCAGAGCTTGCAGTGAGCCGAGATTGCGCCACTGCACTCCAGCCTGTTGACAGAGCGAGACTCTGTCTCAAAAAAAAAAAAAAAAGAAAGAAAGAAAAGAAAAAGAAAAAGCACCATCTATTTATCTCAAGCTAGTTATCTCAAAAGAGGTTCCACCAGAATCTATTTGCCATTCTATTCTTCCCCACCTCCATACCACCTCCATTCCTCACACACTTGCATACATACATACATACACAAAAAGTCTACTTCATATCTAGAATCTCACCAATTTGAATCTAAATAAACAAATAAATTAATCTAAGACACCAGGCAATACAAAATTCAATTCAGGAATGAGAGTGAGAGAGAGCATTTCCAGTAATCTTACCATTGTGGTCCTGTGTAGAGCAATGACCACCTGCGTTACTTTGGGCAAATTACTTCAGTCTCCCATACTTCAGTTCCTCCATTTGAGAAGTCCATTACATCCCTTGCATTCACATTAGGTATAATATTTATGCCTATCTCATAGTAAATTATGAGAATTGAATGAATATTTTATAACATTGAAAGTTGCATTTGTCAAAAAGAAGTATTATATCTGTGAGATAAAAATTTTTTTAATCAATTTACATATTATGATGCTATTCCAGAGTTCGAATTTTGGATTTACTTTTAATGAGGCTTATATTTAAAAAGAAAGGAAAGAGAGCTATATGTAATGTTATCACGAAGACTATGTAAATGATTTTTTCAGAAACAAAGTTTGACAATTTTCACATCCCATTTGACATTTTTCTGTTATGATTTAAAAGCTTAAAAATGCATTAAGTCTCAAGCATGACTTCCAATTCTTATTTTAAAATATAGACTGTCAATTGAAAAGTTTATAAATTTTGTGTGTCTCCTATATTCTTTTTTCATTTTTAATAGAAATTTGAACAACTGTCTTAAAAATACAGAATGTCTTTTACCTCTATCAGTGAAAAAATCCTCAATGACAACGCTCACACAGAGAAAATATCTTGCGGAAAATTACAACATTAGAATTTTTCTGACTCTAAAGCAAATAGGTCTAGATGCTGTTGAGGATCTTCTTTATTCTTTAAAAACGATGACTTCTTATTTTTAAACTTTTCATTCTGAAGAGGAGAGAATAATATTAGCATAGGTTTGTTTTAGCATAGAATTATACTGAACAGGGGAAAGTTTAAAGCATTCCCCTTGAGAAGTGGAACAAGACAAGGATCTCCACTTTTACCACTTCTATTCAACATAGTACTGGAAGTCCTAACCAGAGCAATCAGACAAGAAAGCATCCAAAACAGTGAAGAGGAAGTCAAACTGTCTCTGTTTGCTGATGTTATAATCCAATTTTCTAGAGTCCTCAGGTTTGGAACTTAGGCTCAAACCTTGCTAACCCTAGAAAACCCTAAAGACTAATCCAAAAAGCTCCTAGAACAGGTAAATGAATTCAGCAAAGTTTTAGGACACAAAATTAATGCGCACAAGTCAGTAGCTCTGCTATACACCAATAGCAGCCAAGCTGAGAATCAAAACAAGAACTCAATCCCTTTCACAATAGCTGCAAAAATGAAAAATAAAATAAAATACTTAGGAATATATCTAACCAAGGACGTGAAAGACCTCTGCAAGGAAAACTAAAAAACATTGCTGAAAAAAAATCATAGATGACACAAAAAATAGAAACACATCCCATGCTCATGGATGGGTAGAATCAATATTGTGAAAACGACCATACTGCCAAAAGCAACCTACAAATTCAGTGCAATTCCCATCAAAAGACCACCACCATTCTTCAAAAAACTAGAAAACAATCCTAAAATTCATATGGAACCAAAAAGAGCCCACATAGCCAAAGCAATACTCAGCAAAAGAAACAAATCTGGAGCCATCAAGTTACTCGACTGCAAACTATACTATAAGGCCATATTTACCAAAACAACATGATACTGGTATAAAAATAGGTACATAGACCAATGGAACAGAATAGAGAACCTAGAAATAAAGCCAAATACAGCCAACTGATCATCGACAAAGCCAACAAAAACATAAAGTGGGGAAGGGACACGCTATTCAACAAATAGTTCTGGGACAATTGGCAAGCCACATGTAGAAGAATGATTTTGGATTCTCATCTCTCACATTATACAAAAATCAACTCAAGGTGGATTAAAGACCTAAATCTAAGACCGGAAACCATAAAGATTCCAGAAGATAGTATCGGAAAAATCCTTCTAGACATTGTCTTAGGCAAAGACTTCATGACCAAGAACCCAAAAGCAAATGCAACAAAACAGAAATAAGTAGATGGGACTTAACAAAACTAAAAAGCTTCTGTGCAGCAAAAGAAATAATCAGCAGAGTTAACAGGTAACCCAGAGAGTGGGAGAAAATCTTCACAATCTGTATATCCGACAAAGGACTAATATCCGGAATTTACAAAGAACTGAAACAAATCAGCAAGAAAAAACATTCAATCCCATCGAAAAGTGGGCTGAGTGGGTGTGGTGGCATGCACCTGTAGTCCCAGCTACTAAGGGGACTAAGGCAGGAGAATGGCTTGAACCCTGGAGCAGAGGTTGCAGTGAGCCCAGATTGCGCCACTGCACTCCAGCCTGGGCGACACAGCAAGGCTCTGTTTAAAAAAAAAGAAAGAAAGAAAGAAAATGCTAAGGACATACATAGACAATTCTCAAAAAAAGATAAACAAATGGCCAATGAGCACAGGGAAAAATGCTCAATATTACTAATTATCAGGGAAATGCAAATCAAAACCACAATGTGATGCTACCTCACTCCTGCAAGAATGGCCATCATCAAAAAATCAAAAAATAATAGATGTTGACGTGGATGTGGTGAAAAGGGAATGCTTTTGCACTATTGACGGGAATGCAAACTAGCACAGATGCTATGGAAAACACTGTAAAGAGTCCTTAAAGAACTAAAAGTATATCTACAGTTTGATCCAGCAATCCTGCTACTAGGTATCTACCCAGAGGAAAAGAAGTCATTATACAAAAAAGATACTTGCACACACATGTTTATAGCAACACAATTTGCAATGCCAAAGATATGGAACCAGCCCAAATGTCCATCAATCAATGAGCGGATAAGAAAATGTGTGCATATATATATATGTATTCCATGGATATATATATACCATGGAATACTACTCAGCCATAAGAAGGAAAAAAATAATGACATTCGCAGCAACCTGCATGGAATTGGAGACTATTAGTCTAAGTGAAGTAACTCAGGAACAGAAAATCAAACATCGTATATTCTCGCTCATATGTGGGAGCTAAGCTATGAGGTTGCAAAGGCATAAAAATGATACATTGGACTTTGGGGACTCGAGGGAGAGGGTGGGGGTGGCAAGAGATAAAAGGCTGCACATTGGGTACAGTGTACACTGCTCAGGTGATGGGTGCACCAAAATCTCAGAAATCACCACCAAAGAACTTATGCATGTAACTAAACACCACCTGTTCCCCAAAAACCTAATGAAATAAAAGAATTAAAAATTTAAAAAGCATAGAAAAAATTCTAATGTTTTAGTTTTAGAAAATCCTTGGGTCAAAAAATAATAATAAAATTCTCACTGAAGCTTCACGTCTTGTCTAAGTGTTTTTAACTAAAAGGAATATTTTTGAAAGAAGCAAGTGCATTATGTTTTTCATGCTTTTCCCAGTAGCAGGTACACCTATGACTTTCAGAAATGAGGAAATAATTTACCATAATCTGAAATGACAGAGAAAGAGAGAAAACAGCTCATTTAAATCTGTGTCCATTGAGCCACTTGATAAATGCAACACAGTGCTAAAAGTGGAAGATCAGGCAAAGGTGTCAGAAGGGCAAGAAATAAGTGGTCACTTCATTTATAGGCCAACCCAACTACATGTGATTATATATTTTGTGCATATGAGTATGCACATGCATGCATGTAACATCCTTTATATCATCTCCTCAACTTTATTATCTGTTTATTATAAATAAGGTCTTATTTTTGGCAAGGTCAACAACGGCCTCTAGTTTCTAAATCACATTAAATATTTATTAGCTTTTATCATATTTGATTTGATCACTGTATGGTCCTTAAAACTCCCTCCTACTGCAGCTTTCATGACTTAGTCTCTATTTGTTTTTCCTCTAACCAGCTGGCTTGTCTTTTTCAATCTGTTTTATGGACTCTGTCTGTCCTTTAGATAATTAGTTTCCATCATATCCCTCTATTCATTTTTCTTGACTTTTCTACTCTAAAAATGTTTCCTGGAATAGTTCATCTATTGTCATGGCTTCTACCATCTGTATTTAGGTAAATTTCAAATCTATATTTCTAATGCTGACTTTTACAAAGAGCCTTAGACACTATAAATTTAATTGTCTACCAAACAAATCAACTTACAGTTTTCTTAGCACCCTAATTTTAAACTAATAAAAACTAAACTTATCATCTTTACACCACAATATATTCCTTCTGTATTCTATATTTTCACAAATGGAAACTCTTTTTACTTAACCAAATAAGTATGGAAAAGCTTTTCGTCAAGTCTTTTAATCTTTATACTCTGTTGCTCCTGAAATACAATTGTTCCTGTCTCACTGAAATACGTATTCTTCTCTCCATAGTTATTACCACTGCCTAAAATAGTGTCAATCTCATATGTGATCCACAGCAATATTTATATTACTGGTATCCTAGTAGATAAGGCTGACTCACTCTCACACAACAATACTCATTTTCCTTAAAGGCCCACTTGATCATGTACTTCTCTGGTTGAATTGTTTCAGTGCTTGCAGTGCCTTCTCCTTAACATATATAAAGCCCTCTGTGATCTAGGGCTTTGATTTCAGCTTCAGCTTCATTGATCACCACTGACCTCTCCACAGTGTATATGCCCGTATCTAATTACTATTATCTTTAAGAAACCTACTTGTGACTTTGCCTTTGCTCATGCTGTTCTCTCTTAGTGAATCTCCTGCCCAAGCCCACTGTTACTCTCCACAACTTATCTTAGATAGTCCCACCTTCTGATAGTATTTCTTTCAACATTCCATCTTTCAGAATGAGTAAGGTGTCTTCCAATGTCATCACATGACTTCTAGCCCTAATTGTCCATAATTTAATTGTCAGCTTCTCTGTCAGTCTCTTCCACTGAGATTCTTTAGGGCACAAATTCTATGTATTATCTATGTCTCTTTATAAGCAAGTCCATTGTCTGAAAAAATCCTTGGTGTTTAGTAACTATAAATGAAATGAATAACTGGTATTTTGACTGAATCTGTGAATAAATGCCTGTGATATGTAGAATAATGGCCCTCCAAGATTACTATACCCTGATTTCCAAAGCCAGTTAATATGTTACCTTCTACAGCAAAAGAGACTTTGAAGATGTGATTAAGAGTTTTGAAATGGGAAAATTATCCTGGATTAGCCAGGTAGGCCTAATGTAATCACGGGGTCCCTGTATGACAAAGGCAGGGGAATCAAGAGTCAGAGAGAGATTTGAAAATGCCACCCAGCCAGATTTGATGATGAAGGGAGCAGTCATGAGTCAAGGGATGCAGGTAGCAACTAAAAGCGAGAAAAGGCAAGGGAATAGATTTTTCCCTAGAACCTCCAGAAGGAACTAAGCTCTTCAAAAGCCTTGATTTTAGCCCAGTGAAAGCCATTTCAAAATTCTGACTTCTGGAAGTATAAGATAATAAATGTGTGTTGTCTCAAGTCACTAAATTTGTGGTACAATTGTCCCTTGATATCCATGGGGGATTGATTCCAGGATCCCTGTGGATGCCAAAATCAATAAATGCTTATGTCTTTATGTAAAATGCTTAGCAGTTGCATATAACCTGCTCACATTCTCTGGTATACTTTAAATCTTCTCTAGATTACTGGTAATATCTAATGCCATTTCAATGCTATTTAAATAGTCATTATACTGTATTACTTTTTACATTGTTTTTAAAAACAATTTAAACAATAAAACTTTGGTTTTATTGTTGAATTGTTGTTTTTTTGGTGTTTTTTTTTTTCAAATATTTTTGATCCATAGTTGGTTGAATCTGTGGATGGGAAACCTTCAGATACACAGGGCCCACTGTACTTTGTTATTACAGAAATGGAAAAAGAACACAATGGCTTATATTATCAGTTCCATAGCATATAACAGGAAAAAAATGTACAATAATTTTTTTATTGTCTGATTTAAACAATTTGAGATGAGGCAACCAGCTTATGTTTTGCTGCCATCTTTAAGGCCAAATGGGACAAAATATCTTTTGGGTGGATTTACTATAATTAAAAAATACTATTTTAAAATCAATAAAATCTTAAAATGTTTTAAATGAACCTATTTTATTTTATTTTATTTTATTAACAAGAAAGATGGTTCTCAGAGAAGTTCATTGATTTGTCTAAGGATGCACAATAAATGAGTATGATGGCATCAGAACTCATGATTCACCCCCCAATATTCATTCTTCTGTATCTTCAGCAAACTAGGCTTCATTTTTGACATTGTCCCCACAAAGAAATTTTCTTGTTCGTTTTATTTTTATCTTCTCCAATTGAGGAATTGCTAATAATCAGCTCAAATTAAGAAAATATGGTGAGTTAAGTAGAGTAATCTAGAAACGTATAAAATCCCAAAATAAATGACTGATGCTAAACAATTAAGGAATAATGATATTTATCTTTAATTCTAGGTGATGCTAACACTAAAAATTAGATAACCAACCTGAAAAAGGAAACATACTCTTTTTATTCTGGGTAAGGTTCCCAGATAAAGTACGGGCCACTAAATTAAATATGAATTTCAGATACAAAGTTGGTATATGTATGTCCAAAATTTTGCATGAAACACACTTATACTAAAAATTATTTGTATCTGAAATTCAAATGTAACTGAGTGTTCTGTATTTATATTTGATAAATGTCAATCCTAAATCTGAGGAACATAAGATGTAGCATGTCATTAATATTCAAGACCACAAAATTTCATCCCAGGGCTTCAAATACTCAAAGCTTTAGATCTGAGCTTGAATTTAACACAGGCAAACCAAGCCATTTCCTAAATTGATGTATTATCTAGAGTGTCTAAAATAGGCCCATAAATCTGATTTGCTTAGGTATATGAGGAATGTTCATTAGTAGATACATGTTTATAGAACCCTCTATCCTTTGGATATTTAGGATAAGGATGTGACCCAGGTTTCATAACACCCCTCTTTGAATACTACGGAAATGACCCAATTCTCTTGGCCTACTGACAGGGTAATTATGATATCTTGTCAGGAAAAGATTTTAGACCTGTTTTAAAAAATTGTAAGTGCATTATGAATAATTTCTAATGATAACAGTACTTGATTATAACTATGGCTGAATTAAAGGATCAGTTAGCTTCTAACATATGCACTGAAGCATGCACGAAATGTCCCCACCTTGAGCACAATGCTTTTAGTTATATTTTTCCCCTTCCTTCTCTTGTAAAACATAGAGAATGAAAGGATCTTTCTGACATTTGTCCCTTAACAAATGACATGTTTACTAAGATCTCTCCTCACTTATAGGAGATGAATTTAGAATCCAGTGCGACAATTCCGCCCATACTAGATGTCTTATTCTGCAGCATTCAGAAGCATTTGTTGCTTCCCAACCAGAACAGAGGCAGTTAATGATGTCCATAATGCTCCATCAACATGACTTAAATTCAAAGATGTTTGCATGTGTAATATTCACACTGGAAAAAAAAAGTGATAATTAAGAGTCTGAAGTACAAAAGGGTAATGCACTGTCCTCTTCCTCAGTAGGGAAGTTCATTAGCAGTGGAATCATGTCATTTGCCCATCTGTTCGTAATTGCATTCACCCCAGGAACTAAGTGAAGGAAGTGACATCACATGGTCCTTATATACACAAGTTCGTAAATCACATGTATGTTCTTATCTGCATGGATGACTGGAGGAAAAAAAAAAAAGCAAAACAGTGACAACAAAACCCCACCAGCAACAATAACAACTAATTGAGCCTTTTTCAAGCTTAGCATAGGCAGATGACCTCATTAGTTTTGTACTCTTGACAAGATATTCTATCTCTAGGAAATGTTGCAGAAAAATAAGATGGCACTGCTGCTTGTGTGTGCCGTCAAGGCCATATTGTGGGGGTAATTATCTTTCAACTAGTTGGAGACACACCTCTTGTTTGTATGTCCTAAACATCGGGTGCTTAGCAGCTGCTGTAATATCAATGGGGGAATGAAACAGGCCCTCATTAGATTAGCACTGAGCTTATTGCTGGTGCCAGTCTCATTATTATTGGTGACTAAACTGGCAGATTGTCAGGATGCCTCATGGCGAGATGAGCTTTTGCAGCTCTTTGTTTGTAGTTATTGTAAACAATGAAGTGAAAGCAATCCCTTGGGCATAGTCATGTCTCAGAGGTTTTTCTGTGAGCAGCAATCAGCTTGCAGAGGCAGCATTGGTAAACAACCCCTTATTTTAAGGAATGATATTAATTAAAGCATGGTGTGTGGTTAGGAAAGAGAACTTGTTAATTATTTAATGTCACCTGCTCTGATCAGGCCCACCAGTTGAAAGTCATATATATATATACTTTTGCCTCAAATGTGCTTTGCCTGTCATGAATACCACTGAAAATATAAGCTTCCAAGTGGTGAAAACCTGTTTTTCATTTTAAATAATCTGCAAATGTGAGACATTACATCATAGTCTTAAATGCAAAGCAGATTTTCTTACTTCCCTTGAAAAATGGTATTGAATCCAAAGCCTGTACTCTACTACACTGCAAAATAGTTAGAATTGATTAGGTCACCAGAATAAAATTATCATGTATCTAGAACGTGATTCAAAACCATTTGGCACATAGTGCCATTGTATATTTAAAACATAAAGACTGGAATTGAGATTGTAATGTTCACTTGAGTAAATGAGAAAATTTGTCTAATTAAATGAACTGAAGCTCAAAACAATATCTATAACCTTTTTAAATGATTATATAAGGAATGCTTCACCTTACTTTACCAGTATTAATGTATGCACAAAGGTAGAAGACAAATCCTAAGGAATAAACTTATATCTTGCACATTTAAGTGTTCTTATGCCTTCTGGATAACAGTGACCATGGTATATGAATATTTACCCCAAATTTTAATATCTGCATAGCAAAAGTGGTTTCTGAAGCCTCAACCACCCAATTGGTTTATTGTTGTTACCATTTTCTAAATGTAAGTTAACTCAATAAGGCGGAATATTTTCTCCAGCAAAATAACTATAATTTTCCCAGGGCCAAATCCGATCTTCTTATGTGTGTGAGGACATTATGTGAATTACTGTCTTCTAGTAAGACATAACTTTTCCAGGAGAATATCTCTGTGACAAAAGGAAGCCATTCAAAAGAGGAGGCTGGGATTTCAACCATTTCCCTAGAGAACAGTAATGAATATGGATTATAATTTGCACAATTTGGCTTTGCCCTTAAATAAAAGAGATAATTGGCAGTTCAAATCATGAATCCATAGAGCTTTGATGATGTTGGAACCTTCCTTGATTTTCTCTATATTCTCACTGCAGTCAGCGAATACCATATCTAAACTCATTACTATTCATGATAGAATTATCTTCACAAACTCCCAGAAGCTCATCTACCGCAAGCCAATTCTTCAAGACTAGCTATTTCTTCTTAAGTAATGAAACTCTATGTCTCTCAGGAACATTCGTAGTGCATGGGGGATTTGTTTGAGAGACAAAGCAAAATCTTTTTTTCTTTTGTGTGGGGTGACACAAAATTTACTTTACTTGGGATGTCAACATAAGAACTCAATCTCCACTTAATTTTTTACTAAAATTATTTTAAATTATCAAAATATCTTCAACAATTTTAATTTAAGTTCATTTTTATTTCATTTTGAATTTTAAGTTCCTTTTGTCTCAGTAAAAATAATCATTTTAAAAAATGCATTTTAGGCCCTATGTTAGTATCAAATTTTTACAATTACAGAGATACTTCAGTATATTTTTAAGAGTCAATGTTGTTTGGGGAGGTTGAAAAAAATACGTTAAAAATTCCATGCCTCAGTTCCATGACAGACAATAAATATTTGTTTTAAAGGACTGAGAGAGACCAAGAATAATTTTTTAAATCTATAAAAATGTCACTTGGAAAATTATAAAAGCTTGTAGACCTATGTTAACAAGCAAGAAATGTTCTTTTCATCTAGGAAATTTTTGGTGTCTTTTGAACATACTAATTTTTGGTTACATTTTGGTTGAGTTTTTAGATAGATAAACATATATATTCATGTATAATATTTATGATTTTCTTAAGCAATCTTTCACTAATTAGCAAAAACTACCATTGGGAATATTTGAACACAAATGACTTTTTCTAAATACCACTAATGATGGAGATATATAGATATTCAAACATTAGTATGATTCTATTTTTTCCCCCAATGTTGGAAAATTTGTATTCTTCAAACCTAATGGAGGAAATCATTTGTATAGAATATTCACATGTGTTCTTTCTAAGGATGTATTAATTATTAGGAATAATTTTTTCAGGTTTAGAGTATTTTCCATGAAAATGTAGTAAATACGGTAATGTCAATTTACTAATCACATAAATTCAACATAATTTATATTCATGAGCTAATGTTATTCTCACTTGAACTCACTATTAGAATATGTATTAGTTTGTCACTTCTTTGTGCATGTGTATGCATGTGTGTATATGTGTGTCTGTGTGTGTGTTTTAGAGGGAGAGTTTCCCGAATACTTTAAAATTGCATATTTTGTTAAACGTGCAAGTTATAATTGGTGTATTTACCTCTCTACCTTAATTCCTCCAAACTAGAAGTAAAAAGGATTTTAGCCTCTTGACTATACCCCTTTCAATTCCTAAACAAATGAAAACTAAGTCTACAAATACAGTTTGGCCCCAATCTCTGACCAGAGATGATCTAGAATAAGAGTCAACAATTTTTTTCTGGAAAAGGCCACATAGCAAATATTTGCAGTTTTGAGGGCCATCAGATTTCTCAAAACTACTCAACACAGTGATTGTAGCAGGAAAACAGCCATAAGCAGTGGATAAAC
Source organism: Homo sapiens (assembly GCF_000001405.40). Lineage (NCBI taxonomy): Eukaryota > Metazoa > Chordata > Mammalia > Primates > Hominidae > Homo > Homo sapiens. The sequence goes on along the minus strand of NC_000006.12, from coordinate 140,954,369 downwards.
AAATTAAGTGTGGTTGTGTTCCAACAAAATTTCATTTGTGGACACTGAAATTTGAATGTAATATAATTTTCATGTCATAAAATAGTATTATTTTTTATTATAAAAAACCATTTAAAATATTTGCCAGTTGCCATGGTCCATGCCTGTAATTCCAGCACCTTAGGAGGCCGAGGACGGAGTATCACTTGAGTCCAGGAGTTCGAGACCAGCCAAGGCAATATCATGATCATGAAACCCTGTTTTTACAAAAAATTAAAAAAATTAACCAGGCATGCTTGTATATGCCTATAGTTTCAGCTACTCTGGAAGCTGAGGTGGGAGGATTGCTTGAGCCAGGGTGGTTGAGACTGCAGTAAGCCATGATCATGCCACTGCACTGTAGTCTGGTTGACAGAGTGTATTAGTTTATTTTCAAACTGCTATAAAGAACTACCTGGGATTGGGTAATTTATGAAGAAAAAAGATTTAATTGACTCACAGATCTGCACGGCTGGGGAAGCCTCAAGAAACTCACAATCATGGCGGAAGATGAAGGGGAAGCAAGACCTTCTTCACATGGCAGCAGGAGAGACAGAGAGAGAGCACAAGGGGGGAGGTGCCACACTTTAAAACCATCAGCTCTTGTGAGAACTCACTATCACAAGAACAGCAAGGGAGAAATCCACTCCCATGAGCCAGTCATTTCCCACCAGGAACCCCCTCCAATAAGTGGGGATTACAATTTGAGATGAGGTTTGGGTGGGGACACACAGCCAAACCATATCACAGAGTCTCAGAAAAAAAAAAATACGAAAAAAAATTTAAAAATAGTCTTAACTCATGAGCCATCCAAAAACAGGTGTTCAGTGAGATTTGGTCCATGGATCAGAGTTTATTACGTAGAGTACCGAAAGGACCTGTATGTAGGGTTGAGGGTAGAGGGTGATTTTGAGCCAAGGGGCCCTACAAGTCTGCAACCTGCAAGTCCCTAAGTCTCATTCAGGTATTTCCAAAATGAGAACTTACTCTGCATGACTTCCAGGCTAGCACTTGTCAGCCTACAGAGCTTGGCAAGATGTTTGGGGGCCAGTAGATCCCAATCGATCTGCTGAGTTTCTACCTTACTCAGACAGGTTCGCCTTATTGGAACTAAGACATGGGCCTAGAAAATAATTACCAGCTCAGCTAGTATCCATTGCTGTTTTACCTGATGTACATACTCTGCACTTTGCAAGAGCCTGGATTTACTCCTACACAGCGTTGATCTCAACACAGATTAGAAAAGCTACTTATAGTTGCTTGCCTACCAGCAAGTTGATGACAGACATAGATGTTAATTTCTCATTGTAATATGTATTTGTCCTAATTTAAATCTACAAATACACGCTTCATTGGCCTGCTGATACAGAAGCATAAAATTTTTAGAATTTTTAGGAAGGATATTAGTGATTTTAGGAAATCTTCACCCATAAGTGTCTCATGTTATATTGATCTTTTATTGAATTGATCTATAATTCATATTATATTTTATATATATGAATGTATAATTCATATTATATTGATCTCCTAATGGTCTTATATGAGAATGGGTCCTAGACTTATGCACTTTTGGATCAAACATTACTAAATATTACTTCTCCTACTTGTTGGCTATATGACCATGGATATAATATTTTATTTAAAAATTATTTTTCCTCCACAGTAAAGTATAGATATTAAATGTCTCTACATTATAGGAGTATTGTATTCAATGTGATAACATATGTGGTTAGCTATACGTGTTTCTATTCATTTTCTATGTTTGCATTTTTAAGCATATTTAGTGGCTTAACACAATGCACATTTATCATGTCACAGTTTTTACCATTCAAAAGTCAGGCATGGCTTATCTGGGCTTAACTATCCTCTATTTTAGAATGTCACTAGGTGCAATCTAGGTGTCAGCAGAAGCCTCATTAGATGTTGATGGAGTAAAGGTCCACTTCCAAGCCCCATCAGTTTGTTGGCAAAATCCATTTACTTGTGGCTGCAGAACTGAAGGTTTTAGTTTCTTAAGTAGAGGCTACTCAGCTCTGAGAACTTGCTTACAGTCCCTTGCCATGTGGCTTCTCCAACATGACCACTTACATAACAGCTTACTTCTTCAGAGAAGTTTCTGACTTCAGGAAGGGTCAGTACCTTAAGGGGCTTTTACCAGATTATTTGCTCTAAGCTTTTGGGTACAGAATAATTCCTCCATGTCATTTTAAAACTGCAGACTTGTGTTCTGCTCCGACTTATTCTAATTCAGTCAGTCTAGGATAGGAGCGAGACGTGTCCATTTTTAACAAGCCCTTTAGGTTTTCTGATGAAAGTTGTCCAAAAATCATATTTTGAAAAACCAGGAATCTGTCAAGTAAAATAAGACTGCTTGAATTATATCCAGGGGTTTGGTCATTTTTGTTATCAAGAAGAATGTGTAACATGAAGTTTGTGTCCATAAATATGCATAGCATAATGAATTCATGATTATCAGAAGATATAGAAATGTATAACTAATGTTAATATTTCTTAATCATAAGCAATATATGACAATTTATACAAAAATCTATTATACTATCTGTCTAAAATGATTAAGAGAAATGACACAAATGGGAAACGGGGTAAAGAATATTGAAAAAGGGAAACTGGGATGCATCCAATAGAATATAATTAAAAATGTATTTCTTGTGCTGTGTAAACTGTTAATAAATTGCCTATGGTCTTACTATAAAGGAGCTTAATATTTAATCAGAGGAAATTAGAGTGTATTTAAAATCACTACTAAGAAACCAAGCAAATAACTGTGTAGTAAGGAAACTATTAGCACTAAATTAAAGATGCATAAACATATTACTAAATATGGAAGTACATTCTGCATCTGATTATTCAGAGACATATTCATAGTTATTATTATATGCTCTGTGACCTGAGTTACATAAATGGCTATGATCCAGTTAGAGTCGATTTTATAATTAAGCAAGCAGTCTGATATATTTTAAAGCAGTCAAACTTTAGAAAGATATAAATGCATTTTAAAATTGAACTGTATATTTTTGTCACCCATGTGATGAAATACTTAATATCTTCTTCAGGACACTCATATGTAATATGGTGGTAATATGCACTGTGGCTTTTGTGAGAAACAGTTGAGATAATTGTGTATTTATGGCTCATAAAAAGCATATAATAAATATTGGCCTCTTTACCCATTTTTCTCTTCCTTGAGCATTGCTTAGGAAGAAAAAGTAATCCTGCCATACTCTCACATGTGATTTCCTTACCCAGAATAGAAATATTCTAGCTTTGCTTCTATTTCTTTTTATTATTTAGTTATTTTATAAAATGCAGAGGTTTTTCATGGATATTTCCATTCATGAGAACAATGTGATTCTTGCATATGTGACATTCCAATAATTTCAAATATGGCACTTAGAATTTCAGTTAATAGAGCATATTTTATACAAGATCAGAACCCTAGATCTGTATAGAGTTTCATTAATTCAAACTGAATCTGGGAATAATTGAGCATGGGGATACCAGAGATACCTTTTATCTTGGTTAGGACTATGCACATAATGGACAGATTAAACTCTTGTCTCTGCAGTATTTGTGCTTCAAGATTGTCACAATTAATTTTTTCTTAAAAATTTAGAAATTATTGGACCTGACTCCTAAGGATTGTCTCTCTTTTTAGCCAGATGATATATGATTTGGGGTCACTTAATCAACAGGGTATCAGTTGACTGCTAGCCCCACTTAGATCTTGAGTCCCCAAGTCTTGTGTCCTTGCCTTATTCCAAAATATTCTTGAAACTGAGTTTCTACCACATACCTTCGATTCATTGAAATGAGATCCACATATCCTGTGGCACTTCTCCAGTTTCTGGACCTTTTGTTGTGCATCCTCTTCTTCTCAGTGCCAGAGTTTCTGACTTCACTCCCATTCTCCAAATGGCCTCTCGTTACTTCAGTCCAGTATCTAAGCCCTATTGTCAGATTTCACTAATGTTCATCTTTCTTCTACTTTGATTTCCAAGGATTGCTAATCCCTCACATTCTTAGATAGAAAGTCTGATCCTTGGTTTGAAACACTTGCTTATGATACTTGATTCTAACAAGGCTTAATCTTAAGGAAAGAATTCTGTTTTGTACCTTTCTTTATATCCTTTTATCCATATCACATCCTTAGTTGTGACGAAAAGGTCTCTAGGGTTCTCTTCTTGGCTTTTCTAAACAGGCTTGATCAAATTTACTTTAATGTGACCAAACCTATCATTCTAAAAGGCAAATACACTATCCCAGATAGACAGCCATAACTCCATTTTGTGTACTTCCTAGGGAATAAAGTATCTGCGAACAACATATAACAAAAAGTATAAGAATAAACTGTAAAACAAAACAAGACTCAATGCATACATTCACACTTTTGTTATTCTTCCAATAATTGCATAATATTTCACACTCCTAAATAGGAAATTTATCTGAAATGTAACATATTGCTGGGAGAAATATATACGAGAAACACATCTATTATGGTCACATTAATATCTGCAGCCTGAAATCATTGGAAATGTTTATATAGAAACATGCAAAATCTTAGTTTCTTCTAAGACTGCCTTTTGCCTTTATTCATCTACTCTCACACAGCGACAATGTAAACTTCTTTTTGTCATTTTTGTTTTATTCACCCCAAATATGCCATTAATGTTGCGCCTAAATGATGGTACTTCATGATATATTTATTTGGTACAGTTTCTTGCACTTTAAAATTTAATTTAAGCCATAATGCTGACATATTTGGCATTCTATATTTAATAACTGGAATCTTGGGAGCTGTGAAAAATTAATCTGTCTCAGAAGTTAAGAATAACCATGATTGAAACTATGTCCTTCTGTTCCCAGCAGTATCATGACCTGACAAAACATTTCACATTATAAGGTACATTTGATAATTTCTTTTCACTGGTTCAATGAAGATGAATAGTAAAGGATGTTTATTGAAGTTAGACATGATTTTGAATCACTATTCCTTCTTTATTAATTGAATAGTTTTAGTTAACTGATAGATGAAGAATTAACCTGTTACATATGTAAGACTCAATTCCTCATCTATAAATTACAGGTATAAAAATAAAAAAAAATAGGCCGGGTGCAGTGGCTCACGCCTGCAGTCCCAACACTTTGGGAGGCCGAGGTGGGTGGATCACCTGAAGTCAGGAGCTCGAGACCAGCCTGGTCAACAGGGTGAAACCCCGTCTCTCCTAAAAATACAAAAATCAGCTGGGCGTGGCAGCGGGTGCCTGTAATCTCAGCTACTCAGGAGGCTGAGGCAGGAAAATTGCTAGAACCCGGGAGGCAGAGGTTGCAGTGAGCCAAGATCACGCCATTGCACTCCAGCCCGGGCTACAACAGCGAGACTCCATCTCAAAAAATAATAATAATAAATAAATAAATAAACAAAAACCCTTATAGGGTAATTGGGTAAAACACTTATCCATAGAAACTTTATTCATAAAAGCTCCAAACTGGAGACAACTCAAAATGACTATCTGTGAATTTAAGACAAAACCAAACCGAATTGTAGTATATCCTCACATTTAGGACACTACTCAGAAATAGAATCAAATAACTGTTGATACAGGCTACAACATGGATGAATATCAGAATAATGATCTAGAATTGAAGTTAGACCCCCAAAAGAGTACTTACTGCATAATTCTATTTACTTAAAATTCCATGAAATACAAACAAATCTGTATTGACAGAAAACAGATCAATACTTGCAGAAAGAATCTAGGAAAGAGATGCAAGAAAGAATTACACAATGACAGCAGAAACTTGTGGTGAGATGAATTTGCTCAATATCTTGATTATAGTAACTGTTTCAGGGTATAAACAAATGTCACAATTTATTAAATTGTATGATTTAAATCGGTGTGGCTTATTGCATGTCACTTCAATAAGATTGTTAAAAATGATAAGAGGGAATTTCTCTCTTTTTCTGTTCTCTGAAGCATTTTGTGTACAATTCAGAAGAAATATCTTAAAGGTCTAGTAATGCTAACCTGAAACACATCTATCTTGTTCAGAAATCTTAGAGGTAAGGAGAAGAAGGAAGTGGGCATTTGGATTAGCAATTCATTTATTTTCAGGGATGTTGATTTATTATTCTATTTCAGCATTGGTTCAATTTTGTGTGCAATATTTTTATAGATAAATACTAATTTCCTATGTGTTAAAATTATTGCCTTATATTTTTCAAACAGATGGACTAATATTTTAAGTAATATATTTTTGAAAAAATTACTTATGTAATATTACTTAGAAGACAGCTTTAACTCTGAGTCATTCTTTTATGGAAAGCATGGGACATCTTTCTTCCTTTCTTTTGGAGTTATGCGTCAAAAGGAAATAAAATATACAGAATTCAGTTGAGTGCTCTGTAAATGTAAAGAAAAAAATGTTTTTCCTTGGTTTGAAGGAGAATTAAGCCTACAGTATTTCAGATCTTAGTCTTAATAAGGACTGTCGTGGGTGGAAGAACTATTATAAGAAAGCTGTAGCGGAACAGCTCAAGTTAATATATATACTCTAAGGAGAAGAAATCTCTAGGGTTATGATTTTTGTGTTGTACAAGTATTCTAGAAAATTTCAAGAGCTGAATTGAGTTATAATTGATTTTACTCTGTTTACTACATTCTTTCTTTCTCCTGGTAAAAGCTTAATGAATACAATCCATGATACAAAAAAAGAGAGAAAAAAAATCTTGTGATCAAAAGGTCATCCCAGCTAATCAAAAGATAAAACACTCTACTTTAAATAGATGTACTTCTGAACTTGGAAATAAGATAAATCTGGCATATAACATGTTAGGACATACCAAGTAATAAGAATTGACATATACACTACAAAAATATAGAGTACATTTCTCTTCAGTGAACATTTGAGCAAATGTAAATTTCGATTAACATGCTTCAAATAAATTTATTTACTTTATCTACTGGTACTTAGAGAAACATTACACAATGAATCACCTTGACATTAAAGCTGATCTACAGTATGATCCTACCCTACAATTTTAACTTTATTCCTTACTCCTTTCCAACCAATGCTCCAGCCAAACTGTAAATATTTCACAAATGTATTGTGCTTTCCTACTTCTGAACTTTTTCTTATCATATTCTTTACTTTGTTGTCTTTTCTCACATTAACACTCTGAAATCTTTCTTTCAACATTCAGATAACATACCATCTCCTTTATTTTATCACTTTAGACTAAAAACTTTTATCATGTTTTTCATAGCATTTATCATATTCTTCCTAGTATTACGATCACTATGGACTAAGTTTGTCTCTCAATTAGAAAGTAAGCTGGTTGGGATAATGGCTTTCAATGCTATTTCTGTTCCCTATTTGCTGTCACAATACCTTCTCTTGATCAAAATACAGATTAAATATGTATGGAACTGGAATTAATACCTATGAACTTGTGTAAGATAATGTATGCAAGCTGTAAAATGCCTCTTAAGATTTAGTTGATATAATCAGCAATGTAATTGTATGTTGTATAATAGGATTACAATTATATACTTATATATATATGTGTGTATATGTATTTATATCAAATATATACCTTAATCCCTCAGTTTTTGTGGGAGATTGATTTTAGGACTCCTTGTAGGTACCCAGATTCTCAGATGCTGAAGTCCCTGATATGAAAATGGTATGATATTTGCATATAACCTGTGGACAATCTCATGTATACTTTAAGTCTTCTATAGATTACATGTAACTAATACAATGCTAATGCTATGTTTAGTTGTTGAATCCACAGATGCAGAACTCATGAATACAGAAGATCAACTATATATATGTGTGTGTTTGTGTGTGTGTGTGTGTGTCTATACATATATATATGAGATACGTAATTATCTAAGAAAGCATGTTAAAATATGGTAGGAGGCAGTGTAAACATTGTAGGCGAGACTTGAAGTCCTGTAGTAATGCCATCAAAGTTTGAATCTTCTGTAAATATAGCATATATCACACAGAATCCTACATTTTTGATGTGATCTACTGATCCCCAGGTTGTCTCATTTCTTAGAGATTTTTCTTCCTTTCTTTTTCTTTTGCTGTAGCTCACTATCAACTGGTGCCACAACACTCCTCCTTTAGATTTTTATTAGTTACAACATAATAGTAAATGATACTCCTAATAATTCAGTTTATCATTTTCTGGAATTCCTCTTTTCTAGTGAGCTCTTCCCACACCCTACCTCAAACACTCATGCTATAATCATATCTGAGACAGGTACTCAAAGCTAGAATCCAACTAACCTCCTAGAAGACTTCTGGAATTTCTAGATTTTCAGATTACATTTTCTGGTACCCTGACCTGAACAATAATTTAATTCCACTGGGAAGGCAACTTCAAAGTTACACAAGCACAGTAGTGTATCAGTCCATTCTCATGCTGATATAAAGACAACTGAGACTGGGTAATTTATAAAGAAAAGTAGTTTAATTGATTCACAATTCTGCATGTCTGGGGAGGCCTCAGGAGACTTATAATCTTGGCAGAAGGTGAAGAGACATGGCTTACGTGATAGCAGGTAAGAGGGAGTGAGCAAGAGCCCTATAAAACCATCAAATCTTGTGAGACTTATTGTTATGAGAACAGCAAGGGGGAAAATGCCCCAATGATCCAATCACTTCCCACCTGCTCCCTCCCTTGAAAAGTGGGGATTATGAAAATTACATTGTAGATGAGATTTGGATGGAGACACAAACTATAAAATTATGCACCTGGCCCCTGCCAAATCTCATGTCCTCACATTTTGAAACAAAATCATGCATTCCCAACACTCCCCTAAAGTCTTAACTCATTTCAGCATTAACTCAAAAGTCTGACATCCAAAGTCTCATCTGAGACAAGACAAGTCCCTTCTGGCTATGAGCCTGTAAAATCAAAAGCAAGTTAGTTACTTCCAAGATATAACAGAGGTATAGGTATCAGTTAAATACACCCATTCCAAATAAGAGAGATTGACCAAAACAAAGAGGATTCAGGCCCCATGCAAGTCCAAAATCCAGTGGGGCAGTCAAATCTTAAAGCTCCAAAATGATCTCCTTTGACTCTATGTCTCACATCCACATCACAATGATGTAAGAAGTGGTTTCTTATGGTCTTGGGCAGCTCCACCCCTGTGACTTTACAGGATACAGCCTTCCTCCTGCTGCTTTCACAGGCTAATGTTGAGTGTCTGTAGCTTTTCTAGGGACACAGTTCGAGCTGTTGGTGGATCTACAATTCTGCAGTCTGGAAGACGGTGGACCTCTTCTTACAGCTCCATTAAGCAGTGCCCCACTGGGAACTCTTGGTGGGAGCTCTGACCCCACATATCCCTTCTGCACTGCCCTAGCAGATGTATTCAATGAGGGCTCCGCCCCAGCAGCAGAATTTTGCCTGGACATCCAGGCATTTCCATTCAACCTCTGAAATCTAGGCTGAGCTTTCCAAACCTCAATTCTTGACTTCTGGGCACCCACAGGCCCAACACTATGTGTAAGCCACCAAGGCTTGGGGCCTGCACCCCCTGAAGCAATGTTTAGATAAAAAATAAAATAAAAATACTTTTTATTATAAATAGTTTTTCTAAAATTATTTATCTTTATTTGAGCAAAGTCAGTTATGATGTTGATTCAATCAAGACTTTTTACGTAGTTTTTCTCCTGACAGTGGTGTAAAAAACGAAAATGTAAAATGCACTTGCACTTAAAGTACATAAAATTGGAGGGCTGGACACAGTGTTTCATGTCTGTAATCCTGGTATTTTGGGAGTCCAAGAGAGAGGGATCACTTTAGCCCAGGATTTCAAGACCAGCCAGAGCAACACAGTGAGATCCCATATCTACAAAAAATTAAAAAATAGCTGAGCCTGGTGGTGCACAACTATAGTCCCAAATACTTGGGAGGGTGAGGTAGTAGGATCACTTGAGCCCAGAAGGTCAAGGCTGCAATGAGCCATGATTGTTCTGCTCGCACCCTAGCCTGAGCAACATAGAGACCCTGCCTCAAAGTATAAAATAAAATAAAGTACATAAAATTGGAAATATTTTACTAAAAATATAAACAATATAAAAATTAAAAATCAACATAGCTTTTAACGTAGTATTTTTCTAATACATTTTAAATTATTAATTTATTTAGTAAAACAAAGTTCCTTCATCCTGCCTTTTCCATACACTGACCAATTATTCTGCAGTATCTTACAAGAAAAATTCCAAGGTCTTGCCTGTACTTAACTATATCCTATTCATCTTCCTTTGCCCATTCTCTCGTAACTTTTCTCTATTATGGTTTTCAAATCTACCCTACAACTGAAACTGTCAGAGTCACCAATGAGCTCCATGTAGCGCAATACAATGGCTCTTCCTTGGTCTTTATATTATTCACTATGTTGATGACATTTGAAATATTGACCACATCTCACTCTTTGATCTATTTTTCTCTTGACTTCCAGGACGCCCTACTATCTTGTTTTGCTGTAAGCTTTTTGCTGGTCCCTTTTGTTGGAAAAACAAATTTTAAGTTACACTGCTAACTCTAGATGTGGAAATATTTTATATATTAATATAATTCATTTCTTAATTATATTTTATTTCTAGCATATCAACAACTGGTTCATAAGGTTTTACACACACATAAGAAATCTACACAGATTTTTTAAAAGGTTCATTAAGTTCATTAAGAATAAGTGTTTACCCTTTTATCTTAATACATATAAAAGTAATAAACTGAATTGATGAGAATATTTGTTATGTACACTCATTAATGTTTATTGAGAACTTGTAATGTCTTAATTGAAATTATACAAAATGGATTTATATCACTGGGATTTAAAATGCCTTAAACACACTAATGAGATTATTTTATTTTTCAGGATTTTAGGAAATGCATCATAATTTGTTTACCATAAATGACACCAGGTAATATTTTCTCTATACTTTGCTAATCAGTTGATTAGAATTGATTGCATAAAACAGCTTGCTTTACTATAAAAACTTTAGCATTTTATTGGAAAAGGATAATTTAATTTGCTTATTTAAGACTCTCCTATGAGACTTATACCTACTCATAGATGAAAAGGCATATATTCTGAAATAAGATGATTCTGGATTCAAATATGAGTTCCACCGCTGATTAATTAAGGGTCTTTGACAAATTTCTAAATTTTACAAAACTTTTATCTGAAGCAAAGAGGGCTGTAACACCTATTATACAATACTGTTATGAGCATAAAACCTAGCAGAATGAAAAGAGCACAGTCCTTGACTTGTGGTGATCAACTACATGAGAAAAGAACATGGAAACACTCACACAATACACACAGTGCAATCCCCTACTTTAATATACATGGATAGGACTGAAGGATCTAAAATATTCAATAGATGATATAACTTACCCAGTATTTTCTTTAAACCTCTTCTAGAATAGAATGAGAAAGGAAATGAAAAGAAAAATTGTCTTAATTCATGATCTATGATATTTTTTCTGCAGGAAATAAACTGATTTATCAATTTCAGTTTAAATGCCTATTTTTTCCATGTATGTGTAAAGTTTTTTTTGACACAATTCTGAAGCAAAATAAAATACAAATGGAGTGGATTGTGTGTTGCATGTGTTTGTGAGGAGCAGAAAGAGACAGATAAATAAACACCTATCTTTGGAAATTCAGGACATATATACATTTTAGCCACATGTATTCTAAAATAGAATGATTTTGTCAATAGATTTCTTTTAATATTTAGTTCTTCTGGATTCCCATTTCCCATTATTTTCAAATATCTTTTAACTAAACTATTTTCTTCTATCTGATATCATTTGATTATAATGTCTGTAACTACTACTGATAGTATTGATATGGAGTTATATCATTATAAGGCCTCTAGACATTAACCTCATAGCATGCTGAGTAAAATTAACTTATGATTGTCTTTCTTTCCTTTTTATCTGTCAATTGAGTTTCTTTATGAGATTTTTTTATGGTGAATATTTCTGTTCTCATTTGTAGAAACAGAATCAATACAGAGTCACGGTGAAAAACTATATACCTTGGGTACCACAGTCTGAAGAACAAGTAATTTTTCTGGCATTATTGAGTATTCCAGACAGTTCAAATAACCACATCATTGAAATGTGACTGTCTTTTAAAAAAATGTAAATGTGTAATGGCTTATATTTGTTCTGCTGCTATGACAGATTACCACACATTTAGTGACTTAAGACAATCGACATTCATTTTTCTCATAGCTCTGTAGGTCAGAAGTTGAGATGCGTTCAGCTAGTTTCTCTGTTTTGGGTCTCACAAGGCCAAAATCAGTGTCAGCTGGGCGGGGCTCTTACCTAAAGGCTCTGGGAGAGTCTGCTTCCAAGCTCCTTAGGTTGTTGGCAGTATTCATTTTCTTGGAGTTGCAGGGCTGAGGTCCTGCTGTCCACCAGGAGCCTTTGTCAGCAAATTAATGCCACTTGTGTTCTTCATCATGCTGTCCCTGCATCTTCAAACCAGCAAGTCTTTCTCGTGGTTTGAATCTCTCTGAATTCTAATGCCGTTCCTCTCTTATAACAGCCAGGGAATGTTCTCTCCTTTTTAGGGCTTATGTGGTTATATGGTGCCCACAGAGCAATCCAGGATAATCTCCCTATTTAAGGTTCATAAACTTAATTATATTTGCACATCCCTTTTGTCATATAACCTAATATATTCACAGATTCAAGGGATCATGGTGAGGACAGTTGGGGGAAGGCATTCAGTTTACCACATGACTTGTTAAACATCCTTCAAAATTGACAGAAGTGTCCATATATTCCTGATATTTTAAATAATGTTCCATAAAAGACATATATATTTAATGACAAAATGTATTTTAATGAAAGTGAATAAATGGTGTAGTGAATGAGCCTAGACCATTCTCCAGCATCATTCTTTTTGTCAAGTTTTGTTATTTCTTCTTGATCTTTAAATGCCAAAACAAAAGTAAAAAGCATTGAACACGAAACATATAGGAACCTTTCTTAGTTCCTATCATGAGAGACATAAGAACTGAATGCAAGTCAAAAACAACATCCCCATATATTTAGATTCTCATAGCACATTTGACTCAAAAAATATATGGTTCTCAAGAATTAGAGGAGTATGTAAGCTATTTAATTCAAATTTGGAGATTTATGTGTCATTTTCCTGGAAATGTCAAATTTTTCTAAAATTTTCTACATGATGAGTTAGAGTTATTAAGGTAATTTATTTCTGATTGATTACAAGGTAAGATGTTAATGTATGCTACTGCAGAGTGTGAAATTATTTCCTTAAACTTTAAATTACAAATGTTGCTGTGCATTTGTAATTCTGTATCAGTGCTTTTTCTTTGTTCTCATCCTTCATGTCTGTTTTTCAGTTATGACTCTTCATTGCTGGCTATTGTTAGAATGCATGCTTCTAGCAAAAAGCCAGCTACCTCTACTTTTCTAAGTTGTTTCATCTGCTGTAATTATAAACTCAATCCTGAAAAAGAAAAGGAAGTATGAGGTCGATGTTTTAAATGTAAGTCAGTAAAATTCATAAACTAAGGACTCTTCTAAAAGTCAAGGTCTTTGTGCCAGACATTTCAGTTCTGAGTTCATTGGTGTGTTAAAAGCTGAGGCTTCTGGAGTATTTATAATATGGAGAATTCTTTCAGTATAATTTTCACTAAAACTTCAGCAGAGAAAGCTTATGATAACTCATTTTCATTTCATATTTCTGTTATTTCAAAAACTGAATACCAACATTACTACATGATGAAAAATATTGTCTATTTCCCATAATTTTTAGCATTATTCAAAAATACCGATAGGTTCTATGCGCCAAATATTCTGTTTTCTGTTAATATTTTGGCAGCAGTACCAAGTTTGACACTAGAACATTTTAACTTGGAATCATAATTGTGTTTATGTATTCATGGGCTTAAAATTATGCAGAATACTTTAGATAAACCATATCTTAGCACAATTTCATTAAATTTTGTTCTAAAAGCATAATTCACATGATTTTCTCTAAATTACTAGCAGGAACCACTTTCCTTGTCTACTCTTTGTTATATATATAAACTTCTTCATGAACCTGTACTCAATTACTTTTTAAATCTTTGCTGAATGTAAATTATATAAAATGCATGAAAACATGTGTCTTTTTTTCCAAAAAGCTGCAGGCAGTGTCTGAAACAGACTGAATTCACTGAGTTTAATAAAAGACATGAAAAAAATAGTGCAACAATTCTATCCATGATGCCAATTTACTGTTTCTAACAAGCTTTTTTTTTTGTAATGTTATATGAATATCAAGTGAGTCTTGCTTTATTTAAATAAAATTAGGAGAAGACAAATGAATATATAACATCTTTGAAAAAAAATGAAATACTTATTAGAAGACCAAATAGAAGACCGTGATTCAGCAAAATAAACATAATTCTAAGTATACACACATAATTCTAGGTGCACATACTCACGTGTGCAAGAAGTGTTAAATTTTCTTTCTTTCTCTCTCTCTCTTATTTCTTTCGAGACAGGGTCTCACTCTATCCCCAGGTATGAGCAGCTCACTTCAACCTCAAGCTCCGGGGTTCAAGGGATCCTCCTGTCTCAGCCTTCCAAGTAGCTGGGACTATAACTTGTGTTAGCATGCTTGGCTTATTTTTAATTTTTTTGTAGAGACAGGGTCTCTCTTTGTTGTCCAGGCTAGTTTGAACCCCTGGCCTCAAGTAATCTTCCCTACTCTACCTCCCAAAGTGTTGAGATTACAGGAGTAAGCCACTGTGCCTGGCCCGTTATATTTCAAAAATAGTATTCAACTTGAATTAAAGACTCTATTTTCCCATTAGTTTGGCAGGAATGTCCCACACTACCCAAGAGTTTGATGTACTGAGTGGGCAAGTCTCCAAATCAAAGGAGGGCATTCCAGGAGGCTTTGTCTTTGGCCCAGGTGGGTAACTGCAAATAGGCATGTTAACCTAACTCAGATTGGCCCAGGAAGGCAGGAAAGGCTTAGCCTTTGTAATCTTTTCCCTGATTGGAAGTCTTGGTGCCCAAGAGCCTGTCTTCCTATTTGATAGTGTTATCTAATCATTCTCGTCCGAAATCTTGTCTCCAATTCCAGTGATCAGGAAGGGAATGGAGCATGGATCACAGTCTTTATTTAATTTGAAACCAAAACTTCCTTGCTGGTTTTGTGGAAATCTCAATTACTGCTTTAAAACCCCAACACCAAAGTCACTAATCTACCTGTATGTCTTTTCCTTAGCCAACTCTGCCCCATAAATCTCACGTATCTAAAACAAAAGCCAGAAGGGGGGGTTGTCCTCTGGAAACTTCTACTTTCAACTAACTTAATGGGGAGGGGGGTGGTTAAATATCAAGAAAAAAACACAAATTAATTGCTTGGAATATTATCGTGACACAATTTTTTGATTTGGCTCTTTACATGTAGCCTGTATAAGTTTAGTTTCTATGATTTATGTATTTATATTTCGTTCTCTCTGAAAGGAATTATGAAAGCATACATTGTTTCTAAAAGATATTCTTACAGTAAAACATAGTCTGGAAAGCTTTCACATTTTCAAATGTGCAAACTAATAAAGAAGCACACAGGAGAATTTAAATTATGAGAGTAAAATTGAATCTAAAATTTGAACACCAATCATAATTTTTGTTACATTACCTTTTTCTTTTACTAAAATAGAAACAATAATTCAAATAAAAGTTTTACCAAATGAAATAGAAATGTAATACAGGGGATAAAGAGATAAAGACTACTATGAGGGAACAAAAAGCATTGTGTTTCTGTCTGGCTCTTACATAACACAGAACCAAAAGAAAAGTTCACAAACCAGAAGCTTATGAATAAACATTTTTCATAATCTAATTCTAATTATATTACTCACTCTTTGGATATCTCTGATTAGAGATAAGATTTCTCAGTGTCAAACTCAGCTTTCCTCAGTGTCAAATTATAACCTCATCCTGGAAAATGAGCATTCCCGTCTCACACTCCTAGAACTTGAGATAACTAGTTGTCCCTTTCTCTGTGGTAGTAATAAATGAGCATACTAAACATGTTTATTCTGTTAGAAATGATAGCAAAAATGATGTGCAGCTTTCATTCAAAATATTATTTCTTCTGTAGTATATAGAAAAAAGTGTAAAATCACAAATGTTATTATGGGGTCCAAATTGTACCTTCAATTTTACTCCCCAAAATCCCCAGTTACTTCCTTATAAGCTTTTTATGCTTTGTAACAAAGCAACTTGCTTCATTCTTAAAAACAAAGTTTTGTTCTAAAATATTTAATACCATACATAATACTCATGTATTCTTCTAATAATCATAATCATTTTCATCGTCATCATACACCAGTGGACCTACCAGCAAGCTCGTGAAATGTAATTTCAAAGACTTGTGTGTCCCTTTCTTCAGTGGTAGCCATCTGCCTTGCTGTGATGAGTAACAACTATCTCAGTTGTCGTGTTTGTTATCCCTTTGCATTCTCTTTCTTGTATTAATTGTGAAGAATAAAACATACATATAACAATATAAAGCATAAATGCAAATTTTATCAATGTTGGAAAGGAAGCATTCATGTACCCCAATTAGAGTCCAGTGTGCTCTTGCCTGATAGCATTCTCCTCCCCAGCTCCCAGAGACAACCATTATAAAGGCAATTTGGGGGCTACACCAGGTAAGGGTGTGCAGTAGGAGCAAACCTCCAACGAACATATGGTTCAGATTTTGAGACTGACGATCCCATATGGCAAAAAGAGGAGTTTATTACTCATAGTGAGGCTTTCCTGGGAGAGCAGAGGAGGCTCTCAAACAGGTCTGCAAAGTTAGAGAGAGAAAGGACAAGTGACTGCTTTGTCTTTTACTGTAGTTAGGTGATGGGGCTAGGATGAGGGTCCTCACACTGTACAGAGCTTCAGCCTTGTGTGGTTGGAACTTCCCTGGCACTAAGGGAGTGAGCACGTGAACTTTATTATAGGCTTGCTCAGATACAGGGCAAGATGGAAAGACAGAGAGGCGGGAGTTTCAATGCTGTCAGCAATCAAACCTGAAAAATGGAATCGGGCTTTATTACAAAGGTTTGTGTTATCATTATTTTCTTGTATCTCTTTATAGTTTTATTAAATGATTATCCTCTGTTAAAAATTAAGTGTGCACATTTATGTAGATTGGCTTCTTTTGCTCAATGTTATCATTGAAAAATATATTAGACATCTTGCCTGTTTTTCATTTTAGTGACTGTATGTTAATGTATATTTGAATATGCCATGCTTTTTCACTTTTTTCAGTTTTGACTCTTTCAAACAATGCAGCCATTTAAAAATATTGTAAATTTTATCCTCTACACAAATACATGATTTTTTTTCTGTGTGTATATATATACATACAGGGTGGACATACATATATATGTAGAGACTACATATATAGCTTTCTTTTTGTGTGTTGTTTAATAAATCCTTACTATGTGTTCATTAACATTTGGTCTTATTTTAATGTGTATATTATATTAGGGTTCTTTAGAGGGGCAAAACTAATAGGACAGATGTATATATGAAAGGGAATTTATTAAGGAGTATTCATTCACATGATCACAAAGTGAAGTCCCACAATAAGCTGTCTGCAAGTTGTGAAGCAAGAAAGCCAGCTCGAGTCCCAAAACCTCAAAAGTAGGGAAGGAAGCTGACAGCGCAGCCTTCAGTCTGTGGTTGAAGGCCTGAGAGCCCCTGGCAAATCACTGGTGTATGTCCAAGGGTCCAGAAGCTGAAGAACTTGGAGTTCCATATTCAGGGTCAGGAAGCATCCAGCACAAGAGAAAGATGATGATCGGAAGACTCGGCAAGTCGGCTTTAACCTAGCCGCACTGGCGGTTGATTCGAGGGTGCCCACCCACACTGAGGGTGGGTCTGCCTCTCCCAGTCCACTGACTCCAATATTTATCTCCTTTGGCAACACCCTCACAGACACACCCAGCAACAATACTTTGCATCCTTCAATCCAATCAGGTCGACACTTAATATTAACCATCACATATACCACTGATTGCTTTGTCTTTTACATTTGAATCTGTACTTCATCTGTGATTTTGTGTGTGATGTATAGTAAAGGACTTGGTCTTTTTTTTTTCCAATATGTAGCCATTTTTTTTCCACATTAGTAGCCATTTTCTTCCCAGCAACATTTATTGAAAGCAGTGTCTTTCTCCCCATTCATATTCAGTCTCATTTTGTGTTCTTATATCTTTTTATATTCTATTCCATTCATGTATTTGTCTATTCCTGTACCTGTATAAACCATCTTAATTATTATAGATATTTAGTAAATATTGGCACCCACTAGAGTAAACTTTTTCCATTTTCTTCTCCTTTGAGTCTGTCAGCAGTTCTTGGAGGTTTACATTTCTTAACTTTTAAAGCAGCTTTATAAGAATGACCATCACATATACCTATTTGTTAGAATTTTAACTGGATTTATATTGACTCTACAAAGGCCTTGGAGAGAATTCACGTACATAAACACACACACACACACAAAACTGTTTCTTCAATACACACACACACACACACACACACACACATATATATATATATGCATTATGGTCTAAATGTTTTTGTTACCTCAAAATTCATATGTTGAAATTCTAATCCCCAAGGTGATGGTAGTAGAATGTAGGGCTTTGGGGCAGTGATTAGACTATGAGGCCAGAATACTCCTGAGTGAGATTAACGTTTTTAATGAAAGAAGACCCAGAGAGGCCCTCATCCCTACCACCATAAGAGGACATGTGAGCAAAGTCACCATGTATGAGAAACTAGGCCCTCAGCAGACACTGAATCCACTGGTGCCTTGAGCTTGGACTTCTTAGCCTCCAGATCTGTTAAGAAGTAAATTTCTGCCAGGTGCAGTGGCTCTCGCCTGTAATCCCAGCACTTTGGGAGGTTGAGGTGGGGGGATCACCTGAGGTCAGGAATTTGAGACCAGCCTGGCCAACATGGTGAAACCCCATCTCTACTAAAAATACACACACACACACACACACACACACAAATTAGCCAGGCATGGTGGTGCACATCTGTAATCCAAGCTACTCAGGAGGCTGAGGGAGGAGAATTGCTTGGACCCAGGAGGTGGAGGTTGCACTGAGCCGAGATGGCACCCACTGCACTCCAGCCTGGGTGACAGAGCCAGACCCCATCTCGTGAAAAACAAACAAACAAAAAAGAAGTACATTTCTGTTGTTTACAAGCCAGCTAGTTTATGGTGTTTTGTTAGACAAACTACCTTTATTTTCATCTTTTATTCCCTATATGTATTGTTGTTGATTTATTAGAATGTCTAATATTCTCGGTATAATACTGAACAAGCATAGTTTGTCTGTCTTCTGCTCAGCTCAGCTCATGATATCTGTCCATATCATTGTGTATATCACTAAGTAATAGGCATCTTTGTTTTGTTTCTGTTTTAAGAATTTATCAATTGGGATAAATTAGTAACACTACTAATTGTTGCTTCTAACATTCTATAACCTTTCTGATTTTTTATGTTTTTCAGTTCCCACGGTATTTTTCTTAATTTTTCCATTATTGTAGCAAACTTGTTCTCTTTTTAGGTCCTTCAGCTTGTGCTTTATCTAGTTTGAGGTTATGTTATTAAGAGTATATGAGCCAGGAACAGTGGCTAATGGCTGTAATCCCAGCACTTTGGGAGGCCAAGCTGGGAGGATCACTTGACCCCAGGAGTTCATGACCAAGTCTGGCAAAATAGCAAGACTCCATCTCTACAAAAAGTCAAAAAATTAGCCAGGCGCGATTGCACACGCCTGTAGTTCCAGCTACTTGGGAGGATAAGGTGGGAGGATCACTTGAGGCTGGGAGGTCAAAACTGCAGTCAACCGTGGTCATGCCACTGACTTCAATCTGGGCAACAGAGCAAGAGCCCATCTGAAAACAAAAAAGGAGTTTATAAGTCTATATTTCTCCCTGATAGACTGCAAAAAATCTTATTACAAAGGGTTTTTTTAATCAATAATGATTTGTGATTTTAAGTATAATTACAATCGGTTTATTTAGATTAGTATTTACTTACATATCTTCCTCCATCATCTACTTTAATGTTATTGCTAATCTTATATTTTATAGTGTCTCTTGCTG
Organism: Homo sapiens; assembly: GCF_000001405.40. NCBI lineage: Eukaryota > Metazoa > Chordata > Mammalia > Primates > Hominidae > Homo > Homo sapiens. The sequence goes on along the minus strand of NC_000006.12, from coordinate 140,934,130 downwards.
AAATAATATCATTGGCATTTGTTCTGCTTTCTTTTGCCTTTTAATTGGATTAGTTAATAACTTCATATTTGTTGAACTTATTGATAATCTTTGAATTTAAGTTTCAAAAATTAGTCTGCTTTTTCTATTTGCTTCTGTACTCTTTTTTCCTTTTACTCTTTTTTGTTGTAATATTTTGAATTAAGTGTATACTATTTAATCATTCCTCTTCTTTTCTATCAGTTATATACTCTATTTTAGTTATTTTATTGGTTAGCCTAGAACTTATAACTTCTGACATCAAGTGATAAAAAAGCTATTGCTCAGTCACCGTACCAAAGAAGGCATATGGGGTAAATAAGCACGTGAAGATACTCAACATCATTGTCATTAGAAAATTTAAAATTAAAACAATGAGATATCACTACCTACCTATTAGAATGGCCAAAATTCAAAACACTCAAAAGACCAAATGCTGCTGAAGATGTGAAGCAACAGGATATCTCCTTCATTGCTAGTGGGATTGAAAAATGGCACAGCTACTTTGGAAAACAGTTTGCAGTTTCTTACAAAACTAAACATACTTTTATTATATAATCAAGCAATCGTTCTCCTCAGTATTAACCCAAATGAATTGCATATTATGTCTTCACAAAAATTCGCACATAACAGGGAATAGCAGTTTCATTCATAATTGTCAAAATTTGAAGCCATCAGGATATCTTTCAACAGGTGAGTGAATAAAAAAAAGTGGCACACCAATGCAATGGAATATAGTTTAGCACTAAAAAGAAATCAGTTAATAAGCTATAAAGTCAAGAAGATACATGGAGAAACTTCTAATGCATATTTTTAAATAGAAGAAGCCAATCTGAAAAGTACCTGCTGTATAACTCCAACTTTGTGACATTCTGGAGAAGGCAAAATTTTAGAGACCTGTGGTTGCCAGGGATTTGCAGGAAGGGACAGAGGAAAACATTAGCAGAGTACAGGTAAATTTTAGGGTAGTGAAACTATCCCCTATACTACTGTAACCATAGACACATGACATTGTATGTTTATCAAAACCCCTCGAACTGTACAACACAAAGAGTGAAACTCTCATGCAAACTATGACCTTTAGTTAATATAATGGATCAACATTTGTTCATTGATTATACAAATGCCTGCTAATTAGAGATATTAATAATTAGGAAAATTGTGGAGAAGGTGTAAGGAGAACTCCGTACTTTCTATTCAATTTTTCTGTAAATTTAAAACTGCTCTAAAAATAAAATCTATTAATCAAAACCAAATAAAAGCTACTGTGAAGCAATAACTTTCTTCCAGAATAGTAAGGACCTTAGCACACGTCTACCCTATGACAACCCTTACAGAATTTTAAAGTCAACTATATTGAGGTAGAATTTACATGCAATACATGTTTCCATTTTACATGTACACTTCAATGAATTTTGCCCCATGTATATGTCCATGTAACCACCAAAAGAGTAAAGATATCAAAAACTTCCTTCACCCTATATGTTTTCTTGTTCCTCTTCCCAGTAAATCCTCACCTTCCACTCCTAATTCCAGGTAATTGCTGATCTGTTTCTCAGATTAGATTTCTGCAGATTAGATTTAAAAAAAAAAAAAAAGCTTTACATAAAAGTAGTTACCCAGAACATACTCTATAGGATCTGTCTTCTGCTCAGCTCAATGTTCATGATATCTATCCATACCATTGTGTATATCACTGATTTATTCCTTTTTATTTCTGGGTATTCCATCATACAGATATACCATAATTTGCTTATACATTCACCTGTGTTGTCATTTGGTTTGTTAGAAGTTTTGGGCCATTTTGAACATAGCTGCTGTGAACATTTATTCAGAAGTCCTTGTAGAACACAAGTTTTCATTTATTTTGGAAAAGCAGCTATGAATAGAATTCTTGAGTTATATGATTATTGGGTTTTTAATACTCATCTTTATTAATTTCATCCTCAATGGGCACACAAAGTGTTCTGAATCAGAAAAACATCTCTTATTAATTTCTTCACAGTGATTAATAAGTATATTGTCCTTCCTTGCCTTTCTATAGGCTTATCCCTGAGGCAACACAATAAGAGCCCATGGAAATTTTTCCTACACAAATGGCTAGATGCTTCATAGGTATGGAATAAGAATAAAATGACTTTTCTCTGTTTACACGGGAGAAGTTATCCCTCTGGTCTCTGCAAAAGTCTTCTCATTACTGCAATGCTTTAGTATGTAAATGCAATCTCTCTTAGGGCCAGATAGACCAAAACATCTTAACTTTTAAGAACTAGAAATGTGTTCAATGTCTGAAGCCAAATTCCTTCTTGAAATACAAATATCTAGGAAGATTACTTACCAGTCTCTGTGGTGTGCTAACAGTTAAGCTAGGGGCCTATCCCTGGATGTAAACATTTGACTTTAAGGAAGATATGTCTTTATCTTTTTGAATCAGACAAATTATCTCTGTCATAAGGGGAACAAATAAATCTAATCCTTACAGTATGTAAAAAATGTTTCTAGGGGAAGTCAAAGCAAACTATCTTAACTTTCTACCATGTAAGTTTCTGTTTCTATGTTTCGGGAGGCTAGGTTTCTTTTCAGAAACACCAAGAAATCCAAGTAAGTTTTATGTACGAGAAATTATATGTAAGTTTAACTTTACAAGAAACGGTTAAACTGTTTTCAAAGTACCATTTTATATTCCCATGAACTGTGTATGAGAGTTCTAGTTGCTTTATATCCTCACTGATATTTGGTTCCTTCCGTCTTTTAAAATTTAGTTATGTAATGGATAGGTAGTGATATCTCATTATGTTTGTGATGATTTTCTGCCCAGTTGAAAACATTATTTCCCGGTCTTTGGCTTCCATTGTAGCTGTCAAGAAGTTAACTATTGGACTAACTGCTCTTTACAAAATATGTTTTTCTTTCACTATAGCTACATTAAGATTTTTTCTGTGTGTCTGCTATGCAGTGTAGTAGTGTACAATAATTTTTGTCCTATTTCGGATTTGACGGCTTCCTTGAATCTGATGTCCTATTGGTTTTAGAAAATTCTTAGCTACTATTCCTAATATAGTGTCTTTGGTTTCCTCTCTCCTTTCACTCTTACTGTGATTTGTATTAAATTGTATGCCAGTCTTTCTCCCTGTATCTTAAAGATATTATATACTTTCTTCTGTATTTTCATCTATTTTTTCATTTAATATTTCATTTTAGATAATTCTTTCTGTCTGACCTTCCAGGTACCAATTACTTATTTAATTTTGTTTAATCTACTCTTAAATATGTTCATTGTGTTCTAAATTATTTTTCAGTTCTAACATGTCTTAGTTTTTCCAAATCTATTGTCTCCCTTTTCATTATAAAATGTTTACATTGGGCTTTTGTGTGTTTAAAAATAGTAAGCATAGTTGTTCTCAGGCCTCTCTGTAGATATGCTTCTGCAGTCTTTTTATTTTTCAAATTAGTTCTCATTTATCTCCTACCACACCTTGTCTTTGTATTTACAAAGTTATTTGTTGCAGTAATGTCAGATATAGAATTATGTTTTCTTCTACCAGAGAGAATGTTGTGTGTCTCTACTTGGTTCCTGGGTTATAGTGGTTTGAGACACTTCCATGCTAGTGCTACTGTGGCATCCAGAGGATGCAACCCAGATGGTAGTGCTTGCAGGGACATTTTATCTTGCTTACCTTACGTGAGGGCACCCTTTGGGAGTCTCAACCCAAGGCAGAGGATGATTTCCAAAATCTCCATCCCCAGTGGATCCCTAGCCCTAGGAAGCTGTTGAAAGCACTCATTATTTTGCCCCCAAAATAGCAACTTCTTCAGTAAAAAGATGCCCCCCAAATAATAGCCTATCTCTCTGGAATTTCTCTTTGTCCTATATTTCAAACCAAAGAAAATTCACTATTTTGGTATGTCTTAGATGCTAAGGCAATAGCTGTTTAAAACAATAATATCTAGCTTTATAATTATGTGTATCAAGAAGTCTTGTACCAGGTATTGGGTAAGCAATTAACAAATATGAAATTCACCTCAATTCTAGTAAAAATAACATATATATTTTCTTTACATACTACATATTTTTACAAAGATTAAAAATAGCAAGAAAACATACATATTACCTGTCCATCTATATTATCTCTAAATAATATATGAATAACCTTTTTTAAATTATATATATGAAATCATAGCATGAGTACTTCTCTAGACATGTTTTTTCACCCATTCTTTTTTTGAAGTGTATCTATGGTGATATATGTAACCAAAGTTCATTTATTTTCATATATAATATACCATTGTATATATATCAACATATGTTTGTCTATTTCACTATGGATATTCAGATTGTCTTAAGTACACAGTTAAAAATAAAATTATTTTGCCTTACTATATACATGTATTCAACTTTATTATATATTGTCAAATGGTTTTACAGAGTATTTATAATAATTTTTAAAACCACCAGCAATTTATTAAAGTTCCTGCTATTTTGTATCCATGACAACATTTGTATTATTAGTTTATTTTAATTTTTGCCAACCCAGTCCTTTACAATGACATCTCATTATAGGTTTAATTTATATTTTCTTATGAAGAAATAAGATAAAATATATATCTATGTTTCCTCTTTCCCTTTACATATTTGCCAATTGTTTTTTTCTATGTGGTTTCTATATAGTTTTTCTCACTGGCATGAAGGAATTATTTATGTAGTTTGAATAATAATTATTTTCCTGTGCTATATGTTGCAAACATCTTCTGCTAGGGTGTAGCTTGTCTTTTACTTCATAGTTATTTTGATGACTATGTCTTATTTTTGTTATAGTTGAAAAATTCATTAAACTTCTCCTTTGAAGACATGATTTTTGTGCTTTGAGAAATTAATTCCTATCTTAGAGAATAAGAATTTTGTTCTAAAATTCTTCTGGGTTTGATTTTAGGCATAGGTATAATATTTCATTTTTTTCATGTGGATAACTAATATTCAGAGCTTATTTTTTGAGATGTTCCAAATATTTTGACTAATAAACATTATCACATCAGTAATCTATCAGAACTCTGTATGAGGGTGAATAGACAACCTATAGAATGGGAGAAAATATTTGCAAACTATGCATCTGACAAAGATCTAATATCCAGCAATTATGAAGAACTTAAACACATTTATGAGAAAAAAAATTAAACAACCCCCTGAAAAAGTGATCAAAGGACAAGAACAGACATTTTCCTAAAGAAGACATGTATGCAATCAAAAAGCTCAATATCACTGATAATTAGAGTAATGCAAATCAAAATCACAATGACATACCATCTCACACCAGTCAGAATAACTATTAATAAGAAGTCAAAAAATAACAGATCCTGGCGATGTTGGGGAGAAAAGGAAACACTTACGCACTGTTGGTGGGAGTGTAAATTAGTTCAACCATTGTGGAAAGCAGAGTGACAATTCCTCAAAGAGCTAAAAACAGAAATACCATTTAACCCAGCAATACCATTACTGGGTATATACCCAAAGGAATATAAATCATTCTACCATGAAGACACACGCACAAGCATGTTTATTGCAGCACCATTCTCAGTAACAAAGACATGGAATCAGCCTAAATGTCCATCAATGGCAGCTTGAATAATGCAAATGTGGTACGTATACACCATGGAATACTATGCAGCCATTACAAAGAATAAGATCATGTCCTTTACAGAAACATGGATGGAGCTGGACTTCATTTTCCTTAACAAACTAATGCAGGAACAGAAAACCACATGTTCTCACCTCTAAGTGGGAACTAAGTGATGAGAGAATACGGACACATAGAGGGGAACAACACACACTGGGGCCAATCAGAGGTTGGAGGGTGGGAGGAAAGAAAGAATCAGAAAAAAAAGAACTATTAGGTGCTACACTTAGTAACTACTTGATGAAATAATCGGTACAACAAACCCCTGTAACACAAGTTTACCTGTATGACAAAACCGCATATGTACCCCTGAATCTAAAAGTTTTGGTTTTTAATCTCTGTATGGTTAGGTCTGTTTCTCCTCTCTCCATCCTTTTCATTGCTGTATTTGTTTATTGCTGAGACAAAACAGATACTCTTAACTATTAAGATTTTGTAATATATCTTTCCACATAGAAAATGCTCCCCTCCCCAGCCAATCTTATTCTTTTTCAATATGCCTTAACTATTCTTGTAGCTTCTCTCCTCCATTTTGTAATGTGTGTCCTTGTTTGTATAAGTTTTTTGCTTTTTTTATTGGAATCCTGTTGACTCTGTAAAGTAGTTTAGGACAATATATATCTTTATGGGAGAAGACTATCTATGAGCATAGCATTTTCTTTCACATATTTGGAACTTTCTAAATATCTTTCAACATTTTTAAATACTTTTTCATAAAACTTATATTTCATAAAACTTATAAATATTTTTCATAAAACTTTTTCATAAAACTCATAACTATCCCATAATATTATTTCTATCATAAATGAAACTTCCAAAAATAGATGTTCTTGTTGAACAGAAATCCTGGCGACTATTTGTATTGAACTTAGTAATCATATTACATATTATTTGTGAATAATAATAGCGGTTTTGCTTCCTTTCTAACCCTTGAACCTCTTTTTTCTTGTTCTTTATTCCCTTCTTCTTTTTGTACAGATGGGGTCCCACTATGTGCCCAGGCTGGTCTTGAACTCTAGGCCTCAAGTGATCCTCCCACCTCACCCTCCCAAACTGCTAGGATTATAGGCATGAGCCATTATGCCCTGCCTACGCCCCTCTTTTTTCTTTGTGAAAATATAAATGCTAAGACCTCTCATAATACGTAGAATGAATGTTATAAAACTGAACATTAGGGCCGGGCGCATTGGCTCACGCCTGTAATCCCAGCACTTTGGGAGATAGAGACCACCCTGGCTAACATGGTGAAACCCCATCTCTACTAGAAATACAAAAAATTAGCCGGGTGTGGTGGCAGGAGCCTGTAGTCCCAGCTACTCGGGAGGCTGAGGCAGGAGAATGGCATGAACCCGGGAGGTGGAGCTTGCAATGAGCCGAGATTCGGCCACTGCACTCCAGCCTGGGTGACAGAGCAAGACTCCATCTCAAAAAAAAAAAAACAAAAAAACGGAACAATAATGTATTGTTTCTGATTTAACATCAAATAAGTTATTTACTGAGAGATTTTTGTAGCTACTTTTATCTGACGATTGAAGAAGTTCCTTTTGATTCAAAGTTTGTTATGGCTTTCTATCACTAATTGTTTTAATTTTTTCTCATCAATATATTTTGTTCTTTCTAATCTCCTAGTATTATATGTTAAATTTTTTTATTCAGTGACACAGTGGTAAGCCTTTCCACTTCATTAACATTTCACCTAAAATATATTTAAATGGTAATATAACATGATCATAACAGAAATATGTATGCGCGAGTAACAATTATTTCACTAAAATTTGAGTGCAGATATAGATCTTTTTGATGAACCAAAGACAGAAGATGATAACTAAAAAGCAATCAAAATCCAATTAGCCAGAGGCAGAAGTTTGATATATTTTGTTCAATAACATTTAACTAAATTAAAATTCTATCTCTTGAAATAAATATTTTATGAATTACGTTTTCCTTGAAAGTCAAATTTGAATCCTAATGTGGCAAAAGTTTAGGCTTCAATATTATTTGATTTGTTACTGTATGTTACATTCTTTCTTACAATAAATACGCATTAATCTAAATATGATTAATATTCAGTAATCATCCAGAGCTCTTTCATAGCATCTGTAAACATTTTGTGTAATTCAAACCACAGCAGAAGTAGTAAAGACCATCATTAATATACTACCTCTCCTTTCTTGTAAAGGGATTTAAAAAAGAAAGATGAAGAAATTCTAAACTGTGCCCTTAATGAATGCTGAAGAACAACAAATTCACCTTCTTCTTTCAACTAAGAAAAATTAATCATCTCTTGAGAATTATGATACTTATGAGGCACATAAAGAGATCTATATAATGCTCTAAAAAGACACTCAGAAATATCTTTATTCCTCTTGAATTTGAAATTATTGTGACCACCTATCCTTATCTTGTCTTACTTTTCTAGTCCAACCAAAAGAACTTTCTGTGATGATGGAAAGTTTCTGTAATCCATACTGTGCAATATAGCAGACTTCTGGGCTCTTGAAAGTTGGCTAGTGTGCCTGGGGAACTGAAGTTTTTAAATTGAATTTACAACTAAATTTTATTTAAATTTAAATAGCTATATGTGTCCAGTGGCTACCAGAAAGGACCAAATGGCCAGACATATCACTTACATATTTGTTGTTTTTTTATATGTACATTTTCTCTTTCTCACCACTAAAAGTAAAATTTGATGACAGCAGGATCTTTGCCCTTTTTTGCTCACTATTATAACTCAAGTGGTTAGAAAAGTAGTTGGGACGTGGTAATTTTTTGTGTATTTTAATACTCTGAAAACAACAGAAATATGAAAACCTTTTTTTTTCAAATTCAAATATGCTATGTAGTGTACTCTTTAAAGCAAGGGTTAAATAAATGCTAAAAGTTCTAAGATTTTTTTTTAATGGCCCCTTAGGTCAGGTTGCCATAATAAAAATCAAAATTTTCTATCCCAAATGTATCAGTGGTTGTCTCTACTTAACTCGCAGTTAGACTTCTGGGATCAAGAGGTCAGTTTACATGTACAAGAGCCAGCCTTTGGCACATACAGAAAGTGTAAAACAAAACACAAATTTTAAGTCTGGGTTTAACCTGGAATGAATAATTAAGCAGATACTCTAAGCAAAGTATCCATTGAAAGAGATCAGCCAGGCATTACAAACCATATGTGAGCCAACTGAAGGAACTCCAAAATTTGAAGGGTGGATAGAAAACAGTTAATAGGGAGATTTCCCGCAAGTTGTTTAAGAATGAAGGCGTACACTTTGAGTATGCAGTTATTAACGACTGCTGTAAAATATAACACACTGAAATCTAAATTTTGCATAGAACAGCAATCATTTTCTTATTTTTTCAATTTTGGGCTCAGAAATTTGAGTGGGGCTCAGCAAAGATAGTTCATCTCTGATCCACAAAAACATCCCAACTGGGATACTGCAATGACTTGCGTGTCTGGAGTAAACAGAAAGAGCTGAGAGCGAGCAAGGTATCTCTCTCTGTCTCTCTCTCTCCTCCCCCACCCCCCTCCCTCTCTCTGTCTCTCTCCCTCTCTCTTCCCCTTGTTCTATATGACCTTAACATTAGCTAGGGCTTCCTCACAGCACGGAGAACTCAGGTCAGTCAGACCTTGACATGGTTGGTCAATGCACCAAGAGGAATGAGCTGCTCATCCTCTTAAAATCTACAGTCAAAACCGCTATAGCATCATTTTCACTATACTACATTATTTAAAACAGTCAGAGCCTAGCCCCAACTCAAGGGAGGATTCACAGACCTCACCTCTCATTAGAAGAAGCATCAAAATATTTGTGGCTATTTTTATGCCATCACAGATTAAAGCAGCCTTCAGCTATGGATGAATAAATATCTAACCATGAAGGGTACTGAATTATTTTTATCTAAAATGTACATGGAAATAATTGAGTTACACTTATTAGAAATGTCCTTGGCAATGTGCTAGAAATCAACTATTAGTTTTAAAAGTCATATGTTTAGAAGGATTCCATTTTACCGTATTACTTGTTTGTCCACTACCACTGTCTACACTGCCACATCTACAGGCAACTCTTCCTCTGTTTAGTCACTCCGAAGAAATTCACCAAGCTGTCTTTAAGAAATGACTCTATAAAGTTGTCTAATTTATTAGGACATCACAGAATTAGTAAGGCAGAAAACCAATAACGTAATGTTGAGACCTTGAAACTCTCAAGAAACTCTGTTTGGAAATTTTACGATTTTGCCACATAAACTCACCTGCTTTTGCTTGGTCCATATTGCAATGTTAGGAGAGGGGAGTGTAGCTAATAAACACAGTCATAAATTTATGCTATTTGCCTTCTCACAGCATTTTATCACCAAAAGTTATCATACATTATTATAATTTATCTTTTTATATCTGAACAGCAGATGAATGATAAAAATGCACGGAGGGGCAATGAGTTACATTTAAATGCATTATCAGAGTTAAGTCTTATACCCAAAACCCACAAGCTTCATGGCTCAAAACTGATTTTTTTTAACTTTTAATTGCTCTTTGTTACTACAGTGTATGGTGATCAGAATAATGATACTCCAAAGATTTCCACACCCTAATACCTCAAACCTGTAAATATCTTACCTTGCATGAGTGCCACAGCCAATAGAAGGGAGAAAAGGCAAGCGAATGGGTTCTCCACAGAGTCTGCTGATGTCCTGCATATATCAGGATTTCAGCCTGTTAAACCTGACTTTTACCTTCTGATCTCCAAACTGTACAATAAAAAAAAAACTGTGTTCTGTCATTGTATTTGTGACAATTTGTTACAGCAGCAGTAGGAAATAAATCCATGATGAAATGTAGTATATAACCTACAGCATTTTTAAGTTAAGAGCAGAGGCTATTAAAAATGACAATGGGACAACCGCTAGAATTTGAAAATGTCCCTGTCAAATTGGGTTGAATGTGCATCCTATCAGTAAAGCCACTTTATCTTTGTAGGGTATTGGGTTAACTTTCTTGGTGATTGTCCTTCCATATACATAATATTAAATAGCCTCCTAGGAACAAGGAACAAATACAATATTTATGTGGGTCCAGAAACTTCCTGAAAATGTACATGTTCTAAAGCACCCTTGAGCACTTAGAAACTCTGAACTTCCTGATCACCTTTTGCTAAGCGTATTCTACTTGAAGACCATCTCTTGGGAAACTTGGCCATGAGCCAGGAACTCTGACATGATTACTATGCTGAGGCCAAATAAAACTCTATAGTACTGCCCAGAACATATAGTGCATTCTAACCACAAAAGAGAGTTCAGACAAATCTCTACTAAGGGATATTCTACCAAATATCCAAGTATCTGAGCAGTAACCCTGAAAACTGTCAGTCATCAAAAACAAGGAACATCTGAGAAACTATCACAAACAAGACACAGGACACAGGACAACTAATTGTAATGTGGTATGCTGGTTGGGATTTTAGGACAGAAAAAGGACGTTAAGGAAAATTGAGCTGTTCCACAGGTGGCCTCCACACCTCCACTTGTGTTGCTGCCATATCCATAGTGATCCCTGAGAAGTTCCAGCATATTTTGCGAATACTCAACACCAACATCAATGGGCGGTGGAAAACAGCCTTTGCCATCACTGCCATTAAGGGTGTGGGTTGAAGATATGTTCACATGGTGTTGAGGAAAGCAGACATTGACATCACCAAGAGGGCAGGAGAACTCACTGAGGATGAGGTGGAACCTGTGATCACCATTATACAAAATCTACCCCAGTACAAGATCCCAGACTGGTCCTTAAACAGACAGAAGTATATAAAGGATGGAAAATATAGCCAGGTCCTGACCAATGGTCTGGAAAACAAGGTCTGTGAAGATCTGGAGTGACTGAAGAAGATTCAGGCCAATAGAGGGCTGTGCCACTTCTGGGGCCTTCATGTCTGAGGCAAGGACGCCAAGACCACTGGCTGCAGTGGCCCTGCTGTGGGTGTGTCCAAGAAGAAATTGGCATGTGGGCCTTGTCTGTTAATAAATAATTTATATGAAAAAAAACAGGAAAACCAAGGGAATCTAAAAAAGTAATCTAAAATGAACTTTAGTTAATAATGTTGTATCAATATTGGTTCAATAACTATGACAAATGTACTATTTTAATTTCAGTTGTTAATAGGGGAAACTGAGCATAGGATATACTGGAACTCTCTATACTGTCTTTGTAAGAATTCTTTAAATCTAAATTTATTTATTAAATATCTCTGTCATAAGTTCTAGTTAAGAAACTTCAATTTAAAATTTTTGACCACTGAAAATGGAAAGGTGGAACATTGTGCTTGGGGGATATATGTCCAAGATTTCAAAAATTCTGATAGCCAACAGATTTCAAATGATTGTTATTATTTTTCTTACTTATAAAGTGGCACAGTTGATCAAGATGACTTTTATTTACTGTGACTTTCTTACAGACCCCAAATGTTTGAAGACACAACTTCTGAAGACAAAATTTTTACACACACATAGAAAAAAAATTTGGTTTCCTATATATACATCTATACTAACAGAGCATATGCACGCTTGACATTGTATTTAGTTTCTTAAAACAATTATAACTTCACATACTGGGAGATGCATTCCCTAACCTCTAGGAGGAGCTCCTTGCCAGCAATCTCCCTATAAAACACACACACAAACACTCACTCACTCACTTACTTACTCATTCTCTCCAGCCTTCACTCAAAGGTAGATGGTCACAGAGTTAACATGAGTCAAAGCTAAGGAAACAAATCACCTTTTTTACTATGGGAAGAAGCTTCCAGTGAGGGAGTAGATAGGTTCATAGTTGTTAGGTACTCTTCAAAAAGAAGTGGCAAGTTTTGTAAGTTGAACACATGTAAGGGAGCCAGAACCATCTAATTTATGAACGTATGTCTGAGGAGAGGCCACAAAGAGTTTGCAACACAGGTCCTGTTGTAATGCATAGCGTGTATGTGCTTGTGATAGGACAACTTTATATTTCTCTCAGAACGTTTTGATGACAACAGGTAGTTCATCAAATATTTGGAGTCTTAGTCATCTCTATTTTCTTTCCATAACAGTCAAGGCTAATTATTTTCTATCCAGGAACAATTGTAATACAGAATACACCTTTACATTTTAAAAAAAAAGTTAATGTAGGTGTATGAACAGAAAAGGAGTTGTTATTCATCTGTCATTTTTATAAAACTTTCCATAGCCACATTCAACACCTAAGTATAGCATATAGTCTTATTATGCATTAATTTACTTAATATTTTTCAAAATGTAGTATGTTTACATGTAACACATTTATTATTTCTGTTTTAAATGTGAACAAATATTTTCAAAGTTTCTTAGTTTTCATATCTAATACGATCAATGTTCAGAGATATTGCCCACAAAAATAAAAGTATTTTGGTCCTGAATAACAAGAATATAAAGGGATTTGAACCAAATGTTTGAGAAACGCTGTTTGAGAAATACAAGATCTTGGTAACCTGGAGGCTTTAGGGGACAATCTGGAAAGCCTTGGAGCAGAGTCTGAATTGAGTCTGCTGATTGTTTACTCTTCAGAGATCCGAGGGTTAATGGACACCTTGGAGAAAGATTTATATTGGCCCCATAAATGTGTTCCATCTTGGTATGGCCCCAAGGATCTGAGGAGAAGCTGTATATTTGAACTGGGTCTTTTCAATCATCATTCGAAGCCTTACTGTTGATTTTTTTAAAGGTAATATGCAGAAAAGAGTGTTTGGAGTTATCAATTGCTCTATTTTATACACTCATGCAGGTGTGTGAGTGAAAGAGGGAAAAAATGTATGGAAGATTATGTGAAAAAAGAAAAGATTTATATACCTGAGGGTTTTGTTTTGCTTTTTTTTTTTTTTTTGGCACAGACTGCCTGAGAGAAGAGAGGGAAGGAAACGGGTGTGCCCATGAAAAAAACCTAATTTAAATAAAATTGTATTTGTCTACATGTATCTGTATTTATAGACAATTGTATTGGAAAACTGTTAAATCTTACTCTTCCAACTGATGGGGAGTCACTCTTTCAGGGGAAAAGAAAGTTGCAAAGGTGTGTGTATATCATATGATTCTACTTTAATAACAAAGAAAACAGTGGATATAATATATGTAAATATATATGCCTGTATATATATATATATTCATGAACAACAAAAAAGGATTGAAAGTGAGCATTTTAGGCTATTAGCATTGGTTATCTCAATGAGATGAGAAAGAGAAGTAGAGAAAGATAACTATCATGGCTTTTATGCATTTTGCAATACAGATGGTCCCTGACTTACTATGGTTCGACATACAATTGTTTAACTTTATGATGATGTGAAAGCAATACATATTTACTAGAAACCATACTTTGAATGTTGCTCTCTTCTCTGGCTAGCTGCAGGATACAGTCCCAGGATGCCGGGCAGCAGCAGTGAGCTACAGCTCCCAGTCAGCTGCGCAATCACAAGGGTAAACAACTGAAACGACCATTCTGTTTATCACTTCCAGTGCAGTATTCAATAAATTACAAGAGATATTATAAAAGGGATTTTGTGTTAGATGACTTTGCCCACCTGTAGGCTAATGGAAGTGTTCTGGGCACATTTAAGGTAAGCTAGGCTCACCTATGATGTTTTAAAGGTTAAGTGCATTAAATGCATTTTTGACTTAATATTTTCAACATACAACCGGTTTATCTAGATATAACCTCATTGTAAATCAAGGAATATTTGTATGTCATTTCAATTGTTAAGAGAAGTATGTGTTATCATTGTAATGTAGAAAAGATGAAAGTTTTATTAATGATGCTCAATATAGAACAATGTTATGATATAATACATGTTAAAAATAGTTACAAAGAATTTGTATAGTAAGTCCCATTTTTATAAAAAATTAAGGCTATGTTTGTGTATGTATAGCTTTGCAAAACTTTTCCTATTGTTTCAGAATTGTGCCTGAAGCACACAGCTAAGTTCAAAAATTGCTAAGTACCATGTATTCTAAATCCACATAGCCAACAATGAACTGACAATTGGGACCTGACACCTTTATCACTCAATGGTGACAAACCCTGAGGAACAAATAGAAAAGGAAAAATGAAGAAGATTTTCAGTACCAGACTGACCTTTCTCTACACTAAGGGACTGGAGTCATTGATCTGCCTCTGTTGAAAGACAAATACCAAAGCTTTGGATCAATATTGAATTCAAATAATAATTTCTCAGTTATAACAGTCTAGTAACGAAAGGCACCTGAAAAGTATAAAATCAGTCCAAAATGCTAATGATGGAAGTGCTATTCAGCAAGAAAGAAGTATGTGAGTTGTATGTAAGTAGGGATGAGAGTTGGGTTTGTTTAAATTATCTACTTATTGCATTATTGGGGAAAAATATAAAATGTTATGGATCCCAATAATTTGAGATTCCAGCGACATATGTTCAGAAAAAAGACTGGAAGGATACATGCTACTGTGATAATAAGGGTTATATCTGGTTGGTAGAATCATGGAAGGTTCTTATAATTCTTATTTTTGTATGACTATGTTAAATTAGCTACTAGAATAAAAATTTTAATGTAAAAACATTTTTAAACATTTCTGCACACAACGTAAACATCACTTCTAAAAACATACAGTATCTGTTATCAATTTGCTACCTAATGTTATCTAATTCTGAGCTTAATCTTTCCACAGCATTTCTGGAAGTTTGAAAGCAATATAAACATTGACTTCACATGCTAATTATTGGCTTAGCAGAGAGAGGTGTTACTTTTTTATTTTCTAAAAATGTGGTACATAGCTTCTTCATTCTGTGTTCATCTAAGAGACTCACTGGGGACTACTTTGTGCTAAGTCATTAAAAAAGGTTTCTCCCTGCAGTACATAACTGCCATCTATTATCTCCACCTTCTTGGGCTCATCTTGTTAGGACAGAAAAGTATTCAATATTGGAAACACTTTCCTCATGACACCTTGTATTGTCTTCCAGGAAGGATATAATAAATAAGTCAATAGCTTTCTAGCACAAACCACACTATCCACTCTGGTAATCGGTAGTCCGTCACAATGAAGAATTTGTGTCTTTGCTTTAGAGGGCTTGCCAATCCTTTCCCAAGCTGTTTATTGACACAGGCATTTAATTTCTCCTAACGGTAGCATGAATTGAACTTATCTCTTTCACCTCAAAACTTTAAGTTTCTTCATAACCCAGATATACTTTATTGTCTATGAAGTAATATATACAAGCTATAATTACTCTATGTGTTTAAAGTCCAGCTTCTTCTATAACCCACATAAATGATACAACATATTTTTCCATTACAAAAAAGGTGAACTGATAAACATTAACAAAGTAGAGATTAGAACTATTGATTCCTTACTGTATTCTTTTATGACATTTAAAGGAAATGGGAGTGAAAAATAAAAACTCAGGGCCCCGATTCCTTATGCCAAAAGAAAATAATTAAGCTGGAAGCTGAGTCATGCAAGAAACTGCCTTTTCTTTTGTTCCTAGGCAGATAGGTACAAATAAAATGTTAAACATCTCCAAAGGTAGCTACTCTATGTTCACCTAATCTTATCTAAAATGCGTGAGATGAATACATAACTGACTATTCCCCTACCTACTCCTTTTCCCTTGAAATGTGTGGATTACCATATCCTCCCTCTGTAAACTCCCAACTGGTTTTTCTTGCCGGCTCCCTAGACAGAGCAGATTTATCAAGACAGGGGGATTGCAATAGAGAAAGAGTTTAATTCATGCAGAGCTGGCTGTACAGGAGACTAGAATTTTATTATTACTCAAATCAGTTGCCCCGAAAACTCAGGGATGCAGATTTTTAAGGATAATTTGGTGGGGAGGGGGTTGGAAAGTGGTGAGTGCTGATAGGTTGGGTCCAAGATGAACTTCCAGGATGTCAAAGATGTCTTGCACTGAGTCAGTTCCCGGGGTGGAGAAGGGGGTACAACACCAGCTGACCCAGTTTATCCATCTGGGTGGTGCCAGCTGATTCATCAAGTACAGTGTCTACAAAACATCTCAAGCTCTGATCTCAAGTTTTACAATAATGAGTTTATCCCCAGGAACAATTTGGGGACGTTCAGAATCTTGTAGCCTCCAGTTGCATGACTTCTAAACCATAATTTCTCATCTTGTGGCTAATTTGTTACTCCTGAAAAAGGCAGTCTAGTCCCCAGGCAGGAAGGGGGTTCATTTTGGGAAAGGGTTGTTATTGTCTTTGTTTCAAAGTTAAACTATAAACTGTTAGGTTGGTGCAAAGGTAATTGCAGTTTTTGCCAACACTTTCAATGGCAAAATAAGTTCCTCCCACAGTTAGTTTGGCCTACGCCCAGGAATGAACAAGGACAGCTTGGAAGTTAGAATCAACAGGAAGTCAGGTAGGTCAGGTCTCTTTTCCTGTCATAATTTTCTCTTAAAATTTTTGCAAAGATAGTTTCACCTCTTTCCCTCCAGTCCACTTTTCATCTTTAAATATTAAAACCCTGAAGTTCTTCTTTGGAGAAAAGCACAGACCACAGACTGTTTCTGTGATTCTGTGTTCTTTTCTTCCAGGCATATCCTAAACCTTGGCAAGATAAACTTCTAAATTGATAGAGACCTATCTTAGATACTTTCTGGTTTACAATAACTAAGTAATGAACATATGTAGAAAGGAAAATACTGTTTCGTGTACATCAACATGGTTTTGTTTATGTATATTTGTGCATAAAATATATACAATATGTGGGGGCCATGGGCTCTTGGCCCCTTAAAGGTTTTCTGAAAATCACTGACACGAGGCAGATTGATTAATAGGAAAAAAAGGCATACAAATTTATTTAACAAGCACACACAGGAGCCGTCAGAATGAAAACCCAACTTCCCAATGAATTACAGGAACTTATGTATCATCCTGAGGCCAAAGTAAAAAATGCAGACTCAGAGTATGGCCAGAAAAAGGTAAATCAGGTTTAGTGGCAAGACAGGTTGAGAGAGAAAGAGAGAAGCTTGGCTAGCAAAGGTGGCTTTGTTACTCGGATGAAACCTCCCTCAGAGAGACTAGATGGTAAATGTTTCTTTTCAGACTTTAAAAAGTGTGATACTCTCAATCTCTCCTGGGTCTGAGGAAAGGGATAGAAAGGGGAGGGGGTATGGATGGATTAATGGAGATTCTTTATAGATGCACGATTTTCCCACTTAAGACACCTTTGCAAAGCTACTTCTGTCAGGATGACCAAGAGGGAGCCATTTTAAAATATTTCAAAAAAATATATTTTGGTGTAAAATATTTTTATTTCCTTCAAAGATAATGAAAAATATGCTGAATATTCTATGTCAGATAATTTAAAATATCTATTGAAGAATGGTAAATATTATGGTATCACCTGCTCTTGTGTAGACTCTCATCTCTAAAGTAAACTACTGGATAGCCCAATTGGTTCTGTGATTTTTTTTACATCATTTCCTACTCTATCTTCATTAGAAAACAAATATGAAATATGTCTTTTTCATTTTAAAATTGAATGTCGGCCAAAAGCCCTTTTTATTGACTATTCAATAGGTTTCTGTTTGGGAGCAAAAATGTTCTGAGCCATTGTAGCTGTAATGAAAATGTTTGTTATGGTATTGCTTAGTAAAGCATATAACCAAATCATCAGCTAAATATAGCCTCATAAGCTCAGAAATTATCTTAAGTATAACACAAGTGTTTGTCTTTCTGTCGGGGAAGAAGTAGAGTAGCAGTAGGACCACACAAACTAATTATGTTTCCCTTAGTGTTGATTGTAAAGAAGGCAAAGCGTTACTCCTATTTAAATTATTGAAATCTTTGTTTATATTTTACTGTTTCTTCTTCAAATGCCATTAATAATTTGATTGTATTGCCTTTAGTTGTTAATTCTCTAAAATATATGATATGGTTTCACTAAATACAATGTGATAAATTCATCTAAATTTTGTTTTTCATAATGGTTCTGCCCTTTCCTCAGCTCAGAGGGCATGTTTTCTGCAAGATAGGGAATGATGTCATTTTATACAGAGAATAATCTACCACCTGCTGGAAGGAGGAGGCATATTGTGGCAGCTGCATCACTGATTTGAAAAGGCAGCAAAATATAAATGTATAGATGAGTATGTCAGTGTAAAGGGTGGGGACGTATAACATGCTTTCCTCAACAACAGCTGGAAAATTATACTAAGCCTAAAATAGCATCTTTTGGCTTCAAACCAAATGTTTCTATCACTAGTACTACACAGAACAAAAACACTACTCACAAATGAATTCCACATTCTGTTTACAGAAGTAGCATCTTCACTGCTAGGCATATTAGATATTGAGGGAGAAATGCTAAAAAGTGAGGACAAAGATATGGTTTATGACTCCATTTATTTTCAAAAAAGACCTGGAGTCTTTAGACAAACAAGAGAGAAATAATGACTCTTGAACCCTTACTGTTTTCCTCTAAAGACTGACCTGGCATAAAGAAGTATAGATTTTTTTTAAAAGAAATGTGAAAGCTCATATAGAGCTTTACGAAATGCCAGTAATAACTTCAGAAATAATCTGTCTCTAAATAACGAATTTGATCAATTATGAATGAAAAGAAAGCTCTGTGTGTTCATAGAGCATTTAATAAATAGATGAACTTGTATGGCAAATACAATGAAATTACATGAATCTGTAAGTAATTTTTTTCTTTTATAGTTTGTAAACAATGACTAATAGAAATTGTCACCTAGAATCAATTCCAAGGTGTTTTTCTTTTTTTATTTTTTCAGAATAGAGGAAATAACAGCACTAAAGAGCATGCTGTCCTCTTTTGCAATGCATCTGGTAGTAGGGAGGTATCCCTCGGCATTTCCTTTGGGATAGCAGATATTTTATGTCAGCCTCTATTATTTAACTAATAACATTCTAAATGTCACATTTAAAAAGTAACACATATTGAATTTTTATTTAATATGTAGTATTTCTTCCATTGTTTTTCATTGCCTTTGGATATAAAAACTTTCCGTAATGACTACTATAATTGAAGATATTTTCATATGGATAATTGATTTTTACACACTGACTAATTAGATTTATTTTCCTATTGGGGTACGTTGACCATTTAAGCAAAAATTAACAATCATTTAAAGCTGAGTCTACATAGCAGGTAATTACATGATTAATTTTCTATAAATGTTTAAACTTCATATTTTAGGTAGGAAAACATGAAACTTTAGTATACACATTTTTTCTGGTGTTCTCTGAATCAAATAAAAATTTCTCTTGATTTCATACCTACTTTATAGTGTGGCAAAAAGTATAATTAAAAGCAAATGTGGTCTTTGGCTATTAGACATTTTCATATTAATAGTGGAATATTCACTCGCTTAACACCTCTATATTTAATTTTAAGAATTAAGTCTGTAGACATTTCATTTAGAATAATCGTTATTGCCAAATAAGGTATTAGTCATGTTGAAAGTTTTAAAACTTGTCTAAAAATCAAATATCTACACATCTCCTACCATTAAGAAGTGGGTTTTTTGGTTTGTTTGTTTTCCTCCTTGAATCTGATGGACTTGTGACTGCTTTGACCCATAAATGATGATGGAAGTGACACTATGTGACTTCTGAAAGTAAGTTATAAAGAGTGATGCAGCATTCTCCTGGTTCTCTGGGACACCTATTTTTGGTGAAGCCCCCACCATGTAACAATTCTTACTGTTCTGGTACTACCACCCTGAAGAAGTCACATGTAGAAACATCTGCCAACACACCTAGCCAATAACCAGCATCAACTGCCAGCCCTGAGAATAGGCCCAATTGGATGCATAACCAAATCACCCTTTAGATAATTTGATAATAATCAACATCAGACTGAAACTCCATGAAAGAATTCAAGTGAGAACTATTTAGCTGAACTGTTTCAAAATCCCTGACCCAGAAAATTGTGAGCAAAATAAAATTGTTGTCTTAAATTGCTAATATTTGGGTTAAGTTGTTATGTGGCTGTAATAATTGGCACAGTTATTACTTCTTTACTCATTACCTCTGTAGGAAAAAAGGTCTTATTTCTTTAATAAATATTCAGTGAATACTACACTTTACTTTGCGTGGTGCCTTACGATGTAGATACTCTTACTGAAAATTCTTATTTCCTTTATCCTTTAATGATGCTGGAGCCACCAATTGAAAAGTGAAAAAAAGTACTTTTGCCTGACACCAGTGAAGATCTAAGAACAAGAGCCTCTCCGCACATATGCTGCAGGACTGCTGCACCTCTGGCTTGCACTAAATCAAGAGGGAGTTATTTCATTGATTGCCATGAAAGTTGAAAGCACAGCAAAATTGTAGGGCAAATTAATAATAGATTAAAAAGTTCGTTGAATTTAGTGTTCTCCTTTTTTTCTCTTTGCTATTGCTTATAAAGAAGAGTGAATATGCCTCAGTAAGCACTGATTCTTTCTTCTTCCTTGTGTAAATCTACCTTTTGTGACTGCAGGATAGACATTGCATCATTGATGTAGCCTTGGCCTTTGCTTTTCCTCACTTGTCACATGTGAGTCTACTGAGGGTTTTGCACTATGAGGAATACTCTGATTCCCAGATCAATTCAGAGAAGGACACATTTTCACTCTTTGAAATTTGATACCTGTTGACTCCTGTTCTCTAGCAAGTCTTCACAAGTGATTTTGCAGCTAATGAGACCCAGGATTCAGAGCCTCTCGAGAACAGAAGGGTCTAGACTACCGAGATTACCATGTGGCTGTGATCCACAGAACCCACTTTCTTATGTGGGAACCAGTGTGCAAGGTTTATCCTATGCCTAGATTCTCTAACATGATTTTTGATCATTTCTTGTATTTCCTTCACCCAGGACAGAGATTTTGCCCTAAACAAGCCCATTTACGAGGGACTGGTATTCTGCTTATAATTTGTCATCGTCCAAAAATGGAGTCTGACTCTCATCGCTCTCTTCCATGAGTTAAGCCCTCTTTTACCTATTTCTCATGTATTCAGTGTTATGTTTTGTAGTTTTTCGATAGGGTTTTTAGTAGTAGTTTGATTATTAATTTCTGAGTTCCCATATGTGGTTAGAAAGCATGAAATTGATTCTTTGGAACTTATTGAAGATTCTCTTGGAAGCTAGAATATGATGTATTTTAGGGGGTAAATATTATACATATGCTTAAAATAATGTGGATTCTATGATGTATAAAGTTGCATATATCAAGATTGTTAATTACTTTATTCACATCTCATTTTGTTTTCTGTAAATTTAATCTATCAATTTTTAATGACATATTAAAATTTATAGCTTCAATTGTTGATTTATCTATTTCTTCTTTTTTTACTTCTTGTTCTTGCCTATTTCAAGGCTGTATTAAGTTTTTCTTATAATGTCATTGTTATAAGAATCAATCTACTGTTACATTTGCAGTGTGCAAATATAATTTGTATTGATAGTTTTTACTTTAAATTGATTTTACCTCATGTTATTTTGCTATTCTAGTACTTGCCAGTTAATACATACATGGTATAACTTTTCCCATTATTTTATTTTCCATATTCCTGCCTCATTATTTTTAAGTATGCCATACAGAAAATGTATTACTGAGTTTTTTCAGGGAGGGGCTGCCAATTTGCACATATCTGTCTTTTGACTAGCAAGGCTAACCCATTTAACTGCAATCAGCTTGATATTAAGACATAGTTCTCCTAACTTAAAACTATTAGGTCTTTCATTTTTTTCTTGAATTTATCCTTTCCTAATTTCCAGTGGCAGATCAAATTTTTTTCCTGTTGATTTAAAAGGTATTCTGTACTTTAAAAAAAAATTGTGATCTCTACTTATCCTTAATATTCTTATTGTTTTCTAAAACTGAACAATAGCTTATTTTATGACCAGACCAGTGTGTACCTTCACAAAATTTCAAATAACAGTTTATTTTTCTTCATCCTCTTTCATTCTAATCTATATTGATGTAATCTAGGATTTCATTGCCAAATTGGGTGTCTGTGGATTGGGGATGATAATAATGCTGATCTCATAGGGTTGTGGTGAGGTTTAAATATACAACATATATGATAGTGTTCCACCCATCCTTTGCACATAATAAATAATAAATGTTAGTAAAATATCATTATGGATATGTTTATGTATTATTTATTGCATAATTATATGAGAAATCTCACTGTTTAATGCTCTATTTAATAGTCAAACATTCAGATCTTTTCATAAAATTTTCCATGTGTGGTATCATAACTAAAAATATTTTTATTTTACACTTAAATGCTATTCTTTCTGGATACAAAATTTATAATTTACTCCATGCAATATAAAATTGGTAAGTCTATGCTTTCTTGCAGTTATTGTTGCAATTGAGAATTCTGATTTTTAAATCACATTTCCCATTGAAGGTATTCTGTTTTGATCTCTCTAGAAATTTAGAAATTTCTCTTTGTCTTTGATGTTCTTACATTTCACTATGCTGTCTATATGTGTCAACCCTTGCACAATCTTTTCTATTTAGTATGTTATGGGTCTTTACAATTTGAAGATTAATAGGTTTCTTTAATGTTTGGAAATTCTCCATCATTATTTCTTTGAGTATTCTCTACCTTCCATTTCTCCTCTTCTCTTCTTCTTGAACTTTACGTATATATATATATATATATATATATATATATACATATATATAAATACTTAATATTATGTGTGTGTGTGTTTGTGTGTGTATGCAGTAATCATAGCAACTGTATTAACAGAGCAACAAAAGATTTTCAGGGAGTAATGTTTAATCTCTGACAATATTTAGAATTGTCAGTGTATGAGGTTAGTATAATGCAGACCAATTTTAGTCAGTTTTATTGCTGTTTTAAATTTTGTTCCTAAAACACACTCCCTTATTTCCCACAAGCAGAGTAAAACTGTTCTCTTGGTCCTGCCCCTCCACCCTTGGTTTGACACTGCTTAGGACAATATGTTTCTGAAAATCTGTGGTGTAATGTTTAGTTAATTTATCAAGCCTCTTCATTATATGTACAATAGAATTTCATAAATAATATTCACAATAACGTTTGAATTTAAAGTAAAATAGAACCTAGGATTGTTTAAGAATAGTGAATGTAACTTGCAAATAAGTGTTATAATTTCTTGAAATTTTAAAGATAACAGCATCCCTTGTTAAAAAGGAGCTTGTTGATATTGTAAATGCATTTTATTTTTAATAAGCAACAGCTCATTGAAATGAATGAGACCTTTGCACCATTTTACCCAAAGCAATTTTGTGTAATAAGACTAATTCCTTTGAGGTCATCTGTTATGGAATTTAACTTCAGCTCAGTAAATTGTTTCCCCATTTCTTTGAAATGAGAATTTAAAGAAAGTGAACAAATGAAGGGATAATAAGTAAAAAATGTGAGCCTATTGTTAATGATCAGTCATTTTTAAAAAGCAAGAAAAATGTAGTTATATGTTCACATTGAGTCATTTGCAAAAATATACCAAACTCTCTGACTCAATTATTTTAAAGCTATGGCTAATGTTTATTTTTCAACAATACCAATTATAAGAATTACAAGAGAAAACATATTTTTGTAGGAGGTCACAATCTGTGTTTGCAACGTCATCTCTCATTGATGCTGTTACTGCTCCCTGCCTCTAAACTTTCATTCTGTCTACTCCAGATTCCTTGGTACTTCTGAAAGGTGCCATCTGTATCATATCTCTTGGTGTTGATTCATCATTTTCCCTATGATATATTCTTCTCACTCACTATATAGGCCATTCAATTTCTAACCTTTTTTCAAGGCCTAGATGGAATTTTTGAAGCATGTCTCTTAGACATGTTTCAAAAGAGTTCATTATTCTCTCCTCTGTGATGGAAAGAACATTTTTCCTTGCTTTTACAGCACAGCATTGCATAATTAATATATGTAAATTGTATGGCCTAAAAATAAAGGTAAGCTTAACTTTTAATTTTTCTATTGCTCCAAGTTATGGAGTAATCTTCCAGGTATGTGTGGTTTTCCAATGGGTCCACAATAAGACCAAGAAATGAATGTGAAACATAAGAGGTCATCCATGAATAGCTCTGCTGTGCATGATGATGTAATGCTCTCTCCTCCCTGGCCAGGGCAACAGTGCTGATTTTGAGATTTTGATTAAATTAGACCAAATTTCTCTTCTATATGACAGATTTAGATTTCATTAGTTTAGGGTTTTGTTTTGTTTTGTTTTGTCAATGTTCTCAGAGGGTCTGTGTGTCTAAGTGAATGTGTGTGCATATTTGTGTCTGCTTGTATATGGATGGTTGTTATTGTTATTGTCACTGTTGTGTTAGATGCAAATGTTGCTTCTCAGCCAACCAACAGTAATACATAAATTTATCTTCTCACTCCTTACAGAAAATATTGGAAGGAACCAGGACTTAGAGCAGCAACGCACATTTTGGATTAGGCCATACTATTACTGTAGACTAAATAACACAGAGATAGCCTCTCACAAAAAAGGTCTGTTGTCCAAAAGAATGCAAAAGTGATGATATATCCCCCCCTTGAACAAAGCTGAGAGATAATATGAAGAATAACTGTGATATTGATGGCAGCAGTGGCCCACCTGGAGCAGCTGCTGCAAAGACACTGGTTGCAGCAGGGAAGGGGTGGCCAGGGCTCTAGGGAGTCCAGGGGATCTGGGAACAGGCAGGAACCCCACCCCATTTCAAGTTGGCAGGGCAGGAGCCTCACACTCCCAGGCACAGCTGTACCCACTCAGCCATGGCTATGGACCAGGGCAACCCACACTCTTGGGGGCCCAGGAGGGCCCCCCACCCTTTCAGCCTCAGAAGTGCTTGCTCCTGCTGCTTGGCCTCTCCCTGCTCTGATTTTGGAGCAAAGTTGATGCTAAACCCATGCCTGTCATTACCTGGCTGGGTATGTGAGCACTGACAAGCCAGCCCCCTGCCACTTCTCCCCCCTCTAGACTTTGGGCACTGAGCACAGCAGGGAGGCTGAGTGGGGGCTGATGGCAGCTCAGCATGGGCCTGCAGGAGTCCCTCAAAATGAATAGCCTGGGCACCATGGACTACCTGTTGATGGGCATGAGGCAGACAGACTCCTGGGCAGGAAGGGGCAGGTGCCTGATGAAGCCTCACCTTCAAGCCAGGGATGGCCTGAAGCCTGGGGCTTGGGCCATCAGTTTCCAGTGGAGTCCACAGCAGGAGTGAGAACTTATGATGCTTTTTCTGGTCCCGCTCATGGCCACCCATGGACCAACGAGCATGGAGTTCCTCCCCTCTGAGCCCATAAAAACCCCAGACCTAGCCAGACTAACACAGATATAGGGATGACCTGCCTGGAGAAAGGAGTTACCCACTGTGGGTCTCCTTTCCACTGAGAGCTGGCCACTCCTTGGAATGACCTGCCTGCAGAACGGAGCTACCCATTGCGGGTCTCTTCTCCACTGAGAACTGGACAGACGTCAGAATGACCTGCCTGTGGTAGGAAGTTAGTTACTGTGAGTTTCCTCTCTGCTGAGGGCTGAACACTTGTCAGGATGACCTGCCTGAGGAAAGGAGCTACCCACTTTGGGTCTCCTGAGAGCTGTTCTGTCACTCGATGAAGTTCCTCTCCACCTCACTCACCCTCCAGTTGTCTGCATACCTCATTGTTCTTGGATATGGGACAAGAACTTGGGACCTGTGAAATGGCAGGACTGAAAGAGCTGTAACACAAACAGGGGTGAAATATGTCCTTCTTCTACTCAGTTGTTATGGGTGATAAGAAGGAGAAAAGAGCTGCGACCCTTCAGGGATCCCAGACCTAGGGGATCCTCGAGCCAGGGCTGTGACACCCTCTTTGGGACTCTATGGTTACTGTCATCTCCAGGCTTCCCAGTGCCACCGTGGTCCTTGGTGCCTGCACTGGAAGCCACTTGTGGTATGCCTGGCCCAGCCACAGCCTCACATGGAGCCGGCTCCTGTGCTGGTGCCTGGAACTGTCTGCCCTGCGGCAGCTCACACACCTGGCTGAGCACTGGGGTCGGGCCCCGTGGTCACTCACACAGCCCTCACTGCTCTGTGCCTGGCTCGCCCTTGGCAGGCATGGGATTTGGGCTGGTAGTGCTCCTGACCACAATGCCAAGCCAAGTGGGCAGAACAAGCCCAGCAGGCCCGAGCAAAACTCGGGTAAATGTGCCATCAGCCACAGAGGTTTCCAGCTGGAAAAGTGACACCCTACGGATCCTGTGACAATATGGATGACTGAAGAGCACACATACAATAACCTCTTCTTTCCAAAGTACATTAAAGGAAATTGACTCTTAGATTTCAAAGTATTTAAAAGCTCAGGCTTAGAATAAATGAAGAAGAATGGCCATAGAAAATTATCTATATTTTTCTGCTCTTCAGGAGTTCCAAACCAGCCTAGGAAATATAGGGAGACCCCATCTCTACAATAGGTTTTTTTTTTAATCAGCCAGGCATAGTGATACATGTCTGTAGTCCCAGCTGAGTGGAAGGGTCACTAGAGCCTGGAAGGTCTAGGCTGTGGTAGTCGTGATTGTGCCATTGCCCTCCAGCCTGGCAGACAGAGTGAAACTGTTGAGAAAAAAAGAATGGTATTGATACAGCTTATTTTCTGCACTCTAAAGGACAAGTAGGCTTGTCTTTTTGTTTCTTTTGCATGGAAATGATGTTTCACTACTTTAGATTTCCCAAGTATCTTTGTTTACAACAGTTACAAGTGATTGTTAATATTTCTCCTTGTTAACTAATTTCCTATTTGCAGCATTGTCAATCCTATTAAAGATGGCTAATATTTTCCCCTGCTATTTTAAGCAGATGCAACTATTATATATTGCAGTGAAAACAATAATAAACATTAATAACAACGCTGCATTTCTTCAACTCCCACTGTTTAGTTGTCAGGGTAGTTGGCTACAGACCAACAGAACTGACTCAATCTATATCTTAATTGCTGATCGATGAGTTGGATGATGTGTTGGAAGTTCAGGGGAAAAAAACTGTGACCCAAATCTGAAGGTATATCTGCTCAGCACTCCCTGGAGGCTTTCTCATCAGCACTACATATTTTAGGAAATCATAACATTTGAGAAAGGGCCATAGTGGTTGCTTGTCACAGACATGCATGCTAAAGAGACAGCCATACATTGCTTACATGCATTTGTTTCAATGTTTACTATTGAAAAATCTATTCAAATAATTTGTAAAAATTTATATTTATTTGTACCAAAATAAATGCTTTGCATGTAGAATTATATTGAGATTTTTTAAAGTACCAAGATTTTCCTTGTATTCCATTGGCATAATTGAGACAAATCCTCTCTTTCTCTCTTTCAGACTTAGCTGTCTGTATTTTCTTTTTATCCAGAGATAGATTTTCAATAATTCTCTGTGATTTCTCAATTACCCAAACTCCAGCCATGATATTGCCACCCACATATTTTACTCATCTGAAAACTCTACTATCATTTCTATGGAAAATGCCACTGAAATTATATCCCCTCCCTATATGTAGGCTAGAAATAGCAGTTAATATTTTTCCTGTCACTTAGTGAATTATACCCTGCAGATGCATGTTCACTCTCCATGAAGTAAGAAACCTGACTGGATTCAGGAGAAGAAAAAGATTCTTTGTGCCTCTTTCTCAATTTTATTCAACATTCATTTACCTTTATCTCCATTTAGGAGTTTCAAGAAAAAATCAGCACTGTGTTGGCAAGAAAAATAATTAATATTGAATTTTTTAACTGAAAAATACAATGAGTGCCTGAAGCACCAAGGTATCACCATTAACAAATCCAGAAATGTTGGTATCTAGCAGTAATGGAGGAGGAATATTCAGGGACATGGTAACATACATGGATTATTTTGTAAATTGAAACTGTGTCTTCACTTCAGACAAAGATGCCATATGCAGGAATTTTTACATTCCTCCTTAAAAGTTATTGTTTTGTACTTTTTGTGTTTTCTTTTTTAAAGCAAGAGTGTAGGTTAAAAAATAAGTTTAATTTCCTTGGAGACAAAATGTTATATACATAAATTTATTACAACTATAATAATATTAATGTACTTGGATTTCTGTTTATGATTGAAAAATACCAATAGTTAAGATAAAGGCTGAATGTATTCTCGAAGTAGAGGAAAAGATGAATAAATTTAATGTTAAATATTATTTATTTATTTATTTATTTATTTATTTATTTATTTATTTATTTTTTGAGACAGAGTCTCTCTCTGTCACCCAGGCTGGAGTGCAGTGGCACAGTCATAACTCACTGAAGCCTCAAACTCCTGGGTTCAACTGATCCCCCTAACTCAGCCTCCTAAGTATTAACAGATGGGAATGTAAGGGGCTCTATATGTTGCCCAGGCTGGCCTGAATTCCTGGGCTCAAGAGATCCTCCTGCCTTGGCCTACTAAAGTGCTGGATACAGGTGTTAGCTACCACACCCAGCTCTAATTTACTTTTATAATATAGAAAAATCTTGTTCCCCTTTCCTTATTTTTTTATCTAATAACAGTTACACTTTCTTTACTTTTACTTTTTTCTTTTTTTTTTTTTTTGAGACAGAGTCTTGCTCTGTCACCAGGCTAGAGTACAGAGGCGCGATCTCGGCTTACTGCACCCTCTGCCTCCCAGGTTCAAGCGATTCTCCTGCCTCAGCCTCCCAAGTAGCTGGAACTGCAGGTGCGTGCCTCCATGCCCAGGTAATTTTTGTATTTTTAGTAAAGAAGGGGTTTCACCATGTTGGCCAGGATGGTCTCCATGTCGTGACCTCGTGATCTGCCCGCCTTGGCCTCCCAAAGTGTTGGGATCACAGGCATGAGCCACAGCGCCCAACCAGTTATACTTTCAATGGACCGTAAATGGTCATTAATATCCAGAGCACTCATGCAACTAACTGATCTGATGAGATTTCCCTAGAGAATTCTCAATCTCTGATGAGAAATAAGGTCAGAAATAGATTACTTACGATATTGAAAATTGTCATGTTGTCATTTTTTTACATACTATGCCTGCTAATCTTGTATAATACAGTGTGGTAATTTAATGTGATTTTCTCATAATTAGAAATGACATATTATTAAAATAAATATTTTTCCAATTGCCTGCAAGTTAATGTTCTACATCTACATATTTTTGTCAAATGCTAAGCAAAATATGCTCTTTAAAGAATTAATTGTAATAACTTTATTCCCTTCTGAAAAATTCTCTAATAATTAAAAATAAAAGCTTAAACTTTAAAAAAAAACATTGAAATTTAACCTTTCCACAGATTTTACTGTTGTGATTTTCATACAAAACATTTCACCTCAAAAAGATAGTATATTCTCATCTCATTTTTGGGTATATACTATGTAATTCAGATGTTAATTTAAGTTAGTTGACATCGCATAAAAACAATTACCAACTGCGAATCTGGATTTAAAATGCTCTGCCATTAAACAAAAACAACTGAGTACAATTAACATTTTTGTTTATATAAGCTATATCTCTTGACATTATTTTTATGGGATCATATTAAAACAAAAATGCCATTTTTCCTACTTTGTGACTTCTTTATATGTTTTGTCAGTGTATAAATACTAAAAATGTACATAAAAAGAATATTTTATCCTGAGATTTTAAAACTTTCTCTTATTTCTGATAAATATTATATAGTGTGTGTGTGTTTTCACTGTAAGACTAATGTCTACCTTAGAATGACTTAAAAGTTATTGTGATAGAGAACAATGTGAAAAATTTAGAAAATTGTTGTAATTGGAAAGTTTTATCAGTTATTTTTTAAAACCCTTTGATAAATGTTTCACTTATTTGGGATATACTCTTTGAGATATTTTGGTACCTCTATAATGAATGATGTGATTGAAATCCAGTTTGTTTTATGTATGAGAGATGATTTTCTGGAATTTAAATTGCTGTAGCTTTTAACCTATATCTGTTATATTATTATTTTTCATGTGTTTTATTCTTAAACATTTTATTTGAAAGCTCATACATCAAAGAATATTTACTCTATATACATTTCAGAGAATTGTAATGAAATGAAGACACACTTGGTCACCACTTAACTTGAGAACTAGAACATTACCAACCCTCTGTGCTCGCCTTCAATTACGTTCCTTTCCCTCTCACCAGAGATATCAATATTCTGAATTTTATCTTACTCTATCCATTGCTTTTTCTGATGGTTTTATCTCCTAGGTGTCTATTCCTAAACAATATATTACTTAGTGTTACCTGCTTTAACATTTATATAAATGGCCTTATACTACAGGCATTCTTTTGGAAAAAAGATTGTTCAAAACTGTTTCTTTATTCATATATGTTGATATCTGTACATATGATTTATTTATTTCCATTGTGTTTCAGTTTTGTGTTATCACACAATTCATTTATCCAATACAATTCATTTATCCATTTTATAATTGATATACATTTGAGTCACTTTCCATTCCCTCTTTCGTTTTTTGGCTCTGGTTTGTTTGTTCATTTTTTGTTTGTTTTTGTTTTTTGAGACTGAGTCTCGCTCTGTTGCCCAGGCTGGAGTGTAGTGGCGCAATCTCAGCTCACTACAAACTCTGCCTCCCGGGTTCATGCCATTCTCCTGCCTCAGCCTCCTGAATAGCTGGGACTACAGGTGCCTGCCACCATGCCTGGCTAATTTTTTGTGTTTTTAGTGGAGACAGGGTTTCACCATGTTAGCCAGGATGGTCTCAATCTCCTGACCTCGTGATCTGCCCACTTCGGCCTCCCAAAGTGCTGGGATTACAGGTGTCAGCCACCATGCCCAGCCTGTTTTGGTTTCTATTTTCACTTTTTGCCATGAACATTCTTCTAATTTCTCTAAAGAAATAACACAATATGAGACTGACAAGTCATCGGAAGGTATACATTCATTTAACATTAATAAACAATGACATCTATTTTCCAATATGGGTTAACTAATTCATAGTGATATGCAGTAGTTTATAGAAAGTTCTTTCCTTCCCAGTACTTAGTATTGTCAGACTTTTTATTTGTGTAAATCACATAATTTAAATGCCTTTGGTTACTCATGAGAACCATTGACTTTTTGTTAACCCAATATTGTTTTCTCTTTTTTACATAGTATTATTTTCCTTTTATTTTTGCACCAACATTTTATATTCATGCACTCTTCACATTAATTTTTTATTTGCTTTACAAGGGAAAAAATCTTCTTCATGACAGTAATTTCTCTTTTCACTTTCCCACAACATAATTTGATAGAGTTATTCTTAATTTTAACTTAGTGACATTTAACCATATTTACTACATGCAATGGCTTTTGAATTTGCTTTAGAGGAGTTTAATCTATAGGTTTGGCTGAGGTCTCTATCTGAATGATTTATAATATACCTGTATTAATATCTGTTCACATATATAAGAAGTCATGTATGTTAAAAGTATGTCTTAAAAATGGCAAAATTAGTGGGACATTATGGATTGAGAAATAAACTGTATTACTTAATGTCAAATTTGGTGAAGTGAATTAATGTGGTTGATAGGGGCAGGAGGCAGACAAATGCCTAGGTAGATAAGGGTGAAACTCTCGAGTGAAACTCCACCTCCAAGCCAAGGACAGTTTAAAGCCCAAAAGCCAAGCTATAAGTCAAATCCATGGACCTGATTGAGAAAACTTCTTCCCATTTAGCTTGCTTTCCTCTGGTTAATTCTCACCCTTCACCTATTTTACATATAACTACCCTTCCCTAATTGGTTTTCTACACTGTCGTGCCCACCTTTGAGTGGTGCCTTTGTTTTAACCTCTTTTGCATACTCACAAACCAGTCAGCACACACTCCTTCTGAGCCCATAAAAGCCCTGGACTCAGCCACACTGGGAGAGAAACCACCTGACTCTGGGTGGTTGATCACCCTCACGTCCCTTCTCTGCTGAGATGTGTTTTGTTACTTAATAAACTTCTTCTCTGTCCTCCTAACCCTTCAATTGGCAATGTATCCTCATTCTTCTTAGATGTGGGACAAGAACTTGGGAACTGCCGAATATGGGTATGACCTATAACATGGGCAGGCTGGGGTACACCTGGCAAGCCACGGGCTGAGCCAGTGTGCAAGCCAGGCACAGCCAAAGTGGACTGAGTGGATGGGCTATCTCTTGAGGCAGGTAGCGTGGCTGAGTGAGGCCTGGTCAGGGACATCACTGGCCAGAGGTCCCCAACTTGTAAATTGACTGAGAAAAATCCTGTGTCAAAGTTATCCATTTTTTTCCTATTCTGAGTGGTAAAACATAAAACTTTTTTTTAATCAGTAGATATATAATGACATGTGGATTTTAGGATTGAAATTTTTTTTAATAAGGATTATAATTGTTTAGAATTGATAAGAGAAAATATGTTTAGAAATGAAGGAAACCAAAATATTTTACCCAATTGTGTCTCTTTAATGTAAATCTTTTTAGCTAAAGGCAATTAAGAAGCAATAAAGAAAGAAAACACAACCTCTCTCTATCCTATCCCCTTTCTGCTCTAAAGGCAAGATGTAAATTTTACTTTTACTGAAGAGGGTGTAGGGATTTTATTAGCTCAGAAATGGCACCAACCAAGCCAGAGTAATAATGAAGCAAACTTTAGTACCCTCTCATAATTTTCCTTTCTTTGGGAGCTTGAAGCTGTTCTCATCTTTCTCTTTTCTCTGCTATAAAATGTACTGCTGTTTTTTAAAATATTTAAACATAGCTCCTAAACCACTGCTTTGAGAGAGTTACTTTTAGATACACTTTTCTCCAGTGTGATGGGAAGCATGCATATTAATATCCTTCTGCTTGCTTTTCTCTTATTGATCTTTCTTTTGTTTCAGGGAGAGTGTTACAACTATGAACTTGTGTTAATGAAAAATTATATTTCTCTCTTCTAAATGTGGAAAATATTGCTGGAAGAAACAGGCAATGAGTAGCATAAAGTCTGGAAACCCATGAGTTAATAATTACTGTTTTTTTTCCAGCTAGGTCTTCTAATTTCTTCAAGTAATTTTGTATGTGTCATAACTGAAATAGCACCACATCTGCATAGTAACCAGATTGACCCATAGAAGGCTCAGGTAGAAACCTAGAAGACCGTTCACTAACCACAATGACAAGAAGGCAAGATATCTCAAAGCTCGAAAAAGTCTAGAGAATTTTGTTAAAGGTAACATAGAAAAATAATGATAGAAGAAACCAAGGTTCTTTAACTTTTATTTTTATGCCATTTTATTGTGACACTACATATACTGAATTCTTGTCAACCACTAACATTTATAATACAGATCTTACATCTCACAAGAAAACAGAGAGTGAGCAACCTCCTAGAATGAAAAGAGCTTCATGTGCAAGGCTCTTGAACTCCTATAGAAAGAACTGATATAGTTATTACCATAATTAATATATACATTATATCCAGGAAAGCCTTATGAGTAGTCAGGTATTGGGATTAATAAATAAGGCAAGATTGTGTCCTTAGGTGTCATCAAGAACTGCAGGATACTTCTTCAATTCTTAAAATCTGGAAATTACAGTGAATCAGTTATCTGAAGCTCAAGAAGAAGTTAATTCTGCTTTATCTTAGTGGTTACTACTTTTAGTCAGAATTTTAGACGAGAAAACTGTAATTACAAAGAGGGAAGATGTCACAAGATGAAGTCCAAACCTCAAAAGTGCTGTTAATAATGGTTATTCTTTCACTTATAGTATAATCACTCTCAGCAGATATAATCTTGAAAGTAAAATATTAATGTAAAATAATGGTATTAAAATCTTGTCTGAAATTAGTAGAATTATCTCAGTGGCAATGCCAAAGTTCACCTATTTCATGTATATATTATAACTGTATCAACATAATCAATAAAAGTAAGTGGTCACTAACTAGAGTTCTGAAGGAGTTTCAGGACAGAGGATCAGAACTCACTGAAAGAAAATGGGTCTTTGTAAATACTTGAGCACTTTCAATTGTATCAACACAAACTAATAAGGTTAAATTTTTTCTTTACACTCTGATTCTTTGAATAAACTAAATGAATAGCCAAGAAAATTGGGTTAAAATGAAATTTAAAAGACTATTCTAGGTACTTTTCTATTCTATTTTCATTTATACTGAAATATTTCACGTCAGTTAAGAAACTCTGTTCCTACTTACTAATCATTTTCCACAGAAATTATGTGTTCAAAATTAGAGTTTATAATATTTGTAGAATTGCGTGTTTAATATATTTATTTCAATATCCCCAAACTTAAATTTCTTGGTAACTCAGAAGAAAAAAATCCTTAGAAATGGATGATGACTGAAGACAATACTAGAGAAGGATCTACAACTATTCATGAGTAAGCCTCCAAGATCTCTCTGCAAACAGTTAACTAGTTTTTACATTGTATAGAGGGTGTTTGTGTGTGAATGGAAACCGTCTATGAAGTTTCAAGTACTAGATATACTTAGGAGTGAAGGAGTGGAAATAAAGTAAAGCTTGGGTCAGTAAAAACAACAACAAAAACAACCATAGAGATCAGTCAAATTGAATCATGTAAAGTGACTCACTGTATGGAATAACTATGCCAGGGAAGACTAAGGTGAAAATAATGTTGATTTCATGGTGGAAGTCAGAATAAACATTTTAAGCCTAAATTCCTGATAGAGCTGGAATACCTAGAACTATTGAAGGTAACCAAATAATGTGTAAGAAAAATTTTCTGTGACAAATTATTAGATATTTCTAAGAGATTTAAACATAAAACTAAATTAATCTTAAACTGTCAAGTTTAACACCTGAAATCTTCACTTTGCTAACTTTATTAACATTTAGAGATTAGGGAATTCTTTTATAATTTTCCCTTCCTATTTTTTTCTGCCCATACCACTCCTCCTCCTGACTCTGAGACAGCCAAGTGGGAGGGGGGACCTCACAGAAACTCCAGCCAGCCTGCCCACTGGGGTGGAGCCTGGGGAAGTTCAAGCCCTTTGCAGGGAGGAGGAGCCTGGCCCCTCCTCTTCCTGTGTGGAAGCTGGGATTCCAATGGCAGGCAGGAAATCTTGTAGTAGGTGATCGTGGCCTTCCTTGGGATCCCTGTTTCCCCCTTTTATTCCCTTTTCACCCAGTAAAACCCTGCTTTGCTCACTCTTTAAAGCATCTGTGAGCGTAAATTTTTGTGGCCATGGGATGGACAAGAACCACATGTTTACCTGAAGTCCTGTGACATTTTGGTGTGCAGCATGGGAGCTCCAAAAGTGGTGAGTAAAATGAGGGCTCAAAATCTGTCACTGTTGTTTCTAAGTCTTTACATCCTCGGACTTCTGAGGGTGGGGGAACCATGCCCCCACCCCCGTGGCTCCCGGGCCTTTTCATGGCCTTTTCCTTCCTTTTTTGGGACCCATTGCTAAGCAGCAGTTCCTTGCCCTGCTGGGGCTGGGACGCATGGCCCAAGGGTCCCACACAGCTGGCTGGCTGGTTCCCAACCACAAGCCACCGCAGCCTTCCCCTTTCCTGGCCAAAGGGTTTAGCTTTATCGGACAGTAATTAAGCTTTACCTCTGGTGGAGGAACCAGTTGCATAAGAATAAGAGGTTCTTCCCCAGGCATTTTTAAACTTTTTTTTTCTTCCCCTTTTCCCTTTTCTACCCAACAGCAGTTAACCTTTAAAGGTATTTTTTCCCCTTTTAGAAGATGTTTTTACTAAACCAGGCTCCCCCCACAACTATCCAACTATCACTGTTTGTACACTTTGTAAAGTTTTGGTTGTGAAAAAGGATTTGTGGGGCTAGTCTTGGGCTGTGGCCAATCTGGTGTGCTTTGCGTGTCTGTATGGTTTGGTTGCAGCCTCCATCTTGCTTTGCATCCTGGGGGCATGGCCAGTAACTGCTTGGCAATCCCTCTTGTTTGGTAATCCCTCTTGAGGGAATGAGCCTTCTCAGATTAGATATCTGCATGTTTTCCTAGCCCTGTCTCTTATAGGGCCCCACCCAGCGACTGGGTTTTCTTCTGGCTGGCTGTGTAAGTACTATGCGTGATGTTTGTAAAAAGAGCTCTAATAATTTGGCCTAAAGAAAGAAGTGTTTGGATCAAGTATTTTTTTAAGGGAAGTTAAAAGCTGTGGTACCTTTCGGTTCACATGACTTTAATCTTTCAGAAATAAAAACAGCCCTAAAGACTACTGGGAAAATGCAGGTCAGATGGAAGTTTGCTAAGCGTTTTGAGGTTACAAACTGCTTCATGGGTTTTGAGAACTCTGTCTTGCCTGCTTCACAATTGGTAAGGCCTGCAGAAGTATGAAACTAAATGCACCCTTAACTAAGAAGGCAAACGTTGACTCCAGTTAGCACAATTAAAGCAACTTACCAGGATTTACCTTAAAGTTAACAATTGTTAAGGGTTACCATTATAACATGTGATTGAAACTACTGAAAATAGATTTACATGCAAGGTGTGTAAGAACAGTAAAATGTGTTTTTTAGTAAAAGGTTATAAGAAGGGATGGAAATAAAAATCTTTGCCTAGGGTCAAAGGATTGTTTTGAGTTAATTTAGGAAAAAGCTGAAAGTTCAAAGAAGTGGTAGAAGAATTGTGGAAAATAATCTTGCAGAAGAGACTCTCTGTGTGAACATATTGACTAAATTTTAAAAAGGGTATTATATGGTTTTTCTGTAAATTGAGCATTGAAATAAAAGCATAACAAGGTTTTCCTACGGTTCTAATCTGCTCTTTGGCAAAATTTGTAAAGGGTTATAAAAGGTCTTTGTTTCTTTAAAATTTCTGAGTCATGATTTTGGCAAAATAACTTACGATAATCTGGAATTCTATTTTATAATATCAAGTGTTTTAAACCTTAAGTATTTAACAGCCTTCCCAAAATAAAACTTCAGTTTCAAAATTGTCTTCTCTGGCACCTGGCTTTTTGAATGCTTCAGAGGACCCATGAAGTGTTCAGAAAAGGGAGGTTAAATAGGATTATTTAACATGTTTAAGTACATGGAATTGCCAAAATGATGCTCAGTCTTCTTTAGGTTATATCTTGGTGAATAATGCTAATATACATGACAAAATTGTATGGGATTTCTAAAATTCTAATGTCTGAGTATGTGCTATGAATTATAATTAAGGTTTTTATGTTTAAGTTATTGTAAACCACTGAGATAACCAAACTTCTTTGTCAATCATGTTTCTAACTGTAACTACTGTGGATATTTTGCTATTCACAGACAATTGTTGTCATGTCGTAATCCTTTTCAAAAGATGGTTTATAATGAGCTATAGGACACTGAGAGGTGCTCTCAAACATAATTTCTGATTGCACTTGAGACAATCAGGTTTCCGATAACTTTAGAAATTTTAACATTGACATAAAGGAAAATGTATAGGATTCATGAAGAGCTGCAATGTTCATGAATATCCAGTAAAACAAGAGTTAACTAAATGAACTGAACTTAGAAAGCTGAAGCAACCTTTTGAACCATTGCTTGGAATATTTCTGATCCTCGTTTTGTTTTTTCAGAGTCAAGTGAACTTATTTTGAATGGTTTATGGCCTTTAATAATTACATAAGTTATATACTCCTGTGATCAAAATTTGGAGCATGTTTGTTTCTCTCTGCCTGGTTCCTCCAGAATTTAGAACCTATCTGTGAGTACTCTTAACTTATGGCAATATAGCTGTTTGCATCAGTGCAATAAGAATTTATTTTTCTTTTGCAACAGGACACAATTGGAAAAAATGGTTACCAAGGCTTTGACTGGAAGGGTATGCTTCCCTTTAAGGAGTCAAACTCTACCTACAGAGCCAATAAAAGCCCCATGGGAGACTGGCCTCATACCTTCATCTGCACAATCCCTGTACAGAGTTCCTGACCTGTGGTCAGTAAAGAATGTCACTTTCTAACAGGTCTAGAAGCTCCAAGTTTATCTTGTGACCTTAAGAGGAGAGGATCACTCAACGCACAAGTATTTAAGGATACAAACCCATGCTTGGCTTTAAAAGGTTTTATCTGAGATTCCTTGTGGAAAAGAATTCCATGAAAGCCAATATAAAAGGCCTATGTAGAAATGATTATTCTTGCTGCACTTTATGCAGATAAAAAGGCCAAGTATAAAACTAAATGCAAACCACTCAGTCCTATGATGATGTCTTTTATTAACAAACATGAGGACTAGAAAGAGAGAAATCATGTATCAAAATTGATCATACATTATCATTCAATTCTAAACTCACCAGTTGTTTTTCAGTTTTTACCTACATTTTTAGACTAACCCTGCTTGTTCCTGTGAACCAACCAGCAATCTCTGGCTGCAGCTCAGAATGAACAAGAGGATAGGAAATGTGAAAATGAGGATCAATATTCTAGTTCTGAGCAATTATCCTGCAAATCCTTCCAGGTGATGGAATAAATAGGGTGCCGATCACCCAGAGGTTTCCTTTTTGGGAAAGTAAGACCAAGGGAACTAACCAAAGCAAAGCACCATGCCCCCAAATCCTAGCAAGCATAACTATAGCTACCAGTTATCTGGGTTATGTCACAAGGTATCCCTTTGTCTCCCTTGTTGGAGGAGGACTCAGTTCCACAGTTTCAGCTTAGCATTCGGCTTATGATAAGGGGTCCATGCAACTGCCCCAAGACACATTTTTGTCCCAAACTCAATTCTGAGCTTCAGGGCAAAGCCCTAGGAAAGAAAACTGGATCTAAAAGATCCAGAGGCAGATGACAACAGAGGTTACAAGGCACCGTGCAGGTGAGCATGGCTGATTCCTGCCAATTAAGCCAACCCCAAGCTTCCTGTTTCATGGATAAAGGCCACGTTAATATCTATGGCATAAATGAAGTCTAGGGAACTCCAAGGCTACTGACAGTAGGTGGGAAAGAGACATAGATGAGAGCAGATACTTCCTATTCTCTAGGACCTCCCTGCTTCATGAGTGCAAGCCACTTTGGCCCTCATGATGAGACCTGCCAAGGTCACTGGAACTCGGGGATGCAAGGATGGAAGATGGAAAGAGGACACTCTTCTCTCTCTCCCTCACGTACCCTGTGTATCTGCTAGGAAGAGAGGGGAACCAGGGATGCTGCTCCCCTCTTTCTAGATGGGTAGCCATTCATCTTCAGTCTGTACCCCTTTCAAATGCATCCTGAACCGCTAGGACTCCTTTGAATAAAACGCCTTCTTTTTCCTTTCTCCTCCTCAGTTCTCCTTTCACTAATAGGTAATTATGTTTCCATGTTTCCGTACTATGAGACACTCCCCTCAGATGCATTTGCCAAACTGGAAAGAGTTAATTGCCCAAAACTTAACACTGGTTGGCGTAGGATTGAGGTCAGGGGACGGAAACCCAAAAGCCCAAGGCAACAGCAAAAGAGTAAAGTTTTTGTTTGTTTGTTTGTTTGTTTTGTTTTGTTTTACCAGTTGTGCTTTTGGCCTCTCTCTCCCTGTGTAAACTGGTAAAATACCTCAGAATTTTAGAGCTGTCGTTAGCCCTCCCCTTGTTTCGTTTTGATACGTTTTCTAATAACCCAGTTTGTCTGTTCTTGCCTTCAGGCCATCAGACTCCAAGCAGTCATGCAACCAGAGGCTCTGACAATGACCTCTCCTGCTGGGAGCCCTTAAATAGGCCTCTAGGAAAACTCTGACCCATTTCCCCAAAACAGTGCCCCCTGTCAGCAGGAAGCAGTTAAGATCAGTCTTCATCCTTATCCTTAATCTAATGGCAGTTAGATGTACTTCTTTAGAGGGGGAAGTGAGACAGCCAGGTGGGAGGGGGTCCTCAGAGAAACTCCAGGTCCTCGGAGAAACTCTAGCCATCCTACCCACTGAGGTGGAGCCTCGGGAAGTTCACGCCCTTTGCAGCATGGCCTGCCTGGCCCCTCCTCTTCCTTCCCTGGAAACCAGGGATTCCAACAGCAAGTGGGAAATTCTCTAGCAGGGGACTCTGGCCTTGCTGAGGATCCCTGTTTCCCCCACTCTTTTTTCCCCTTTTCGCCCAATAAAACCCTGCTTTGCTCACCCTTTAAACCGTCTGCGAGCCTAAATTTTCATGGCTGTGGAATGGAGAAGAAACCTGTCTTTAGCCGAACTAAGGAAAGTCCTGCAACAGTTTCATGAGTGTTTTCTTCTTGTCATTTAGATCAAACTCATCAATTCCTAGAAGAATCTTGTTCATTCCCTAGTTCAAGCTGCTTCTCATTCGTTGAGTCTCTCTCTAACACATTATCCTATTTGTGCCTGTCATGGTACACTGTACCTAAAATGATTGAATAGTTTCTTTGATAATTTAGTTTCCTGCCATTAGAATATAAGCTTATTAAAGACAAGTTTACTGTTTGTCTTGTTCATTCCTATATCCCCATCACCCACAACACAACCCATTCCCCGTCTTGCATACCACTGCCATTTAGTTTATTTGGTTGACAGTTGCCGTGATCTCTGTATTCAGTTCAGGATATGCATCCTTTGGATTTATAGTGGCATTCTGATCAGGAATATCAGCATCATTCTTTTCTGTGGATTATTCATCTGTGAGGCTCTAAATGGTTTTGTTTATGTGTTTGTTTTTGTTCAAAGGTCAGCTCAATCTTATATTTAATTCTGAAAAATATGACATGACAAATGTTAATTATAATTATTATTCACTTGTGCTTGACAAATACTGCTTTCTAAAGAAAAATTATCATTGTGATACTATTTCTTTAAAACCCCAAAATGTAACCAGTGGACTTCTCTCTAGTATACTATACTAAGACTTCAATACTTCTAAGCTATTGTTTTCGTTTTTTATTACTCAAACTGTTTATATATGGAGACTGCTTATCAGATAAATTCATTCTGGGCTTTTTGCAATTATACTTCAACTAGCATTCTTACCTTAAAAAGCTAATAGTATTGTGTTTTAATAAAATTGAATAAAACTCAAATATACCCAGTTTTCACAATCTTTTTAAAAGAGTCTATTGACAGCAATTTTTAGTTGGAATTTTTATCAGAAATATCCTCCAAACCAAAAGCTTTGGACAAAATATTTAGTTTGATTTATTTGGTCATTATTGTGGCTGTAAATGTTTGTGTTTATGTAAACTGTTTTTGTCTACATGGTATTGAAACATGAATTTTTTTTGTCTCAACTAAAAACAATTGTATTCCAAGATATCTTGAAGTGTCTTCACGTGTGTAAAATAGTACTTCAGCATTACTGTATTTACAATGATATTAATTATAGGTAGATCCATCCTATGTGGTAAAATGAAAAGGACTCTAATATTTCTGGTCTTAAACTGTTATGCAGTTTCAACAATGAAAGTTTATTATTTGGGGCTAATTGTTTTTTAATTCCAGGGCTTAAAATATATGTGATTATTATTAATTACGATTATAAAGACAATTTTATTATTTAACTGTATCTAGGAAAATGAAGGAATTGAAAACAAACTTCAACTTGGCCAAAATTTAGCCTAGAGCTATTGCCTGAAAAATAAGTAGAACCCATAGCAAACAAGCATTGTGTGAATCATGTAGTGTTTTGTTTTGCATTGCCATACCTGTCAATCAGCCTAAACTGTTGATTGTCCATGTAAACACATAACATAATAATGTTAAACATTTTTTTAAAGGCAGTCCAAAATACAGGGCATAGTGTTATTGGTGGAAGTTACTGGTGATGAAGGAGAATGTAAAATTGTTTTAATTCTCTTTACATTTTTCATTGCTCCATTTTAAATACATTTTAATAGACATTCATTATATTTAGAAATTAAATGTTTGGGATATCTAAATAAACATTAGTTCAGTTATTTTTCCCTTTTGTCTTTTACATCTGAAACCTTTTAGGCTTTGACCTAGATTCAGATTCAGTGGCACTAATCACTAATACTTAACAAAAAAACAATTAAAATGTGAAGTATGCTAATGTCTTGCTTCTTTGAATATTCTACCCCTGAGGATTATTTGTTTTTAATTCCCATCACTTTTTAACAGCACTCCTAGGAAACATTTAACAATAGTTTTAAATAAAGGTAATTTTTTGAAAGAATAATAAACTTAGCAAGATAATTTTTATATTCAAGGATATAGTCAAATGCATTTTCTAAAAGACATTTTATTTATTAGGCAAAATTAGAGTTTTACAAGTGACATAATGGTATAGGCTATTATTCTATGACAGTTTAATAAAATATTGGCTAATTTAGGTATATAAAGAAGATTTTGCTTTGTGCATTATAGACTAATTGACTTAAATTATTTTAAAATATTTTCTTACATTTAAATATTTTCCTTTAGGACATGAATCATAAGCATTCAAATTGCCTACTAGAAAATTGTGTAATGTCATAAATAAAGTATAACAGTTAAATTTTTGGTGGACCTATTTTATCTGAATACAGTAAGTTAGTATGATTGTTTCAGATATCTCAGGATAAGTACAAAATCTACATTGTGAATACCCCCAAAGGTACTCACTCAGAAACACAGTTTGTACACTTACAAAGATAACATCCTTCACAAAAGAAAAGAAAGCAGTTTGCATAAATCTTAATAATTTGAAATAAATCATATTATATACAACAGGAATTGAAATGAAATTATATGATTAAGTAAATTACCTTTAGCCTGTGTTCTACTGAGAATACACATAACAACAACAAACTTTAAACTCAGCCCAATTCCTGAAACGTTAATGCAAGCAAGTATAATAAAGGTTTAGCAGAAGAAGTATGCTTTAAACATCAAATGCTCAGTCTCTAAATTCCCATACAAGGTATCTGACTGTCAACTAAAAATTTAGAGGCATATGAAAAGATAAATAACAAATAACACTCTAATGAGTGAAATAAATAATTACAGGATTAATATATGACAAAAATGTTGGAACAATCAGAAGGAGAATGTAATGTAACTGTGATTAACATATTAAAAGCTTTAATAAAAGTGGAATAAAGTATGAAAGACCAGAAAGATACTTTCAGCAATCAATTGACTATAAGAAAGAAGCAAATGAAGATTCTAGAAGTCAAAGCACAGTAACAGGGATGAAGAATGGTTTTGAAGCACTCATTAGTAGATTCAACACAATCAAGAGAAAAGTCAGTAAACCTGAGGATAACCCTAATAGAAATTGCTGAAAATAAAACACAAAGAGTGAAAAGAGAGAAGGAAAAATAAAAAAAGCAAAGAGGAAAAGTTGTAGGACAATATTATATATACTAACATACACATAGTTGACACTCAGAAAGAGAAGAAAGACAGAAAGGGCTGAAAACAATTACACTTTGAGAATTTTGCAAAATCAGTGCCAGACACCAAACGACAGATTCAAGAAGCTCAGGACACCAAGCAGAATAAAAACAAATAAAGCAACAGCAAAAACACAAACAAAAACCTCGCCTAGTTGTGCCATGTTGAAACTGCCAAAGGTCAAAGACAAATAGAACATCTCTTAGGCATTCAGAAAAAGACATATTTCCTACATAAAAGCAGTGTTAAAAATAACAGCAGACTTCTCAAACGTTCCACACAA
Organism: Homo sapiens; assembly: GCF_000001405.40. Lineage (NCBI taxonomy): Eukaryota > Metazoa > Chordata > Mammalia > Primates > Hominidae > Homo > Homo sapiens. The sequence continues at coordinate 140,889,928 of NC_000006.12, read as the reverse complement.
CCAAGAAGACAATGAAGTGTCCTTTTAAACGTGCTAAATGAACACACACGCACACACACACACACACGCTCAGACCTAACTTCTGTGTCCAGCAAAAATGTGTTTTTCAAAAAAGGGGAGAAATAAATATTGTCCTAGACAAACAAAAACTGAGAAAAAAACAGAAATGATGTACTCTATGTTCATAGCACAAGTAAAATTTAAATATTTGACAATGACATCACAAAGATAGGGGAGGGTGATTGAAAAAATTTAGTGTAAGTTCTTTAACCCATACATAAAATAGTGCAATGTTATAGAAACATAGAATCAGATTAATTTAAAATGCATATTAGAAACCCTAATAAATTTACTAAATCTGATTTAAAGTACTGTAAGCCAACAGAGCAAAGCAAGCTAGAATTTCTTAATGCTCAGTTAATCTGTAAAAATGAGAAAAGAAGAAAAAACTAACAATGAACAAAAGGAACAAATAAAAATTACCTACCAGATTAGTATATTTTAATCCAACTATATCAAATTTACTTTAAATACAAATGTTCTAAACACACCAGTTTAAATTAAAACATTGTCAAATGGGATAAAAATGTGAGACGCAAGTATATGCTCTCAGCAGGAAAACCATATTAAGTATAAATGCGTAAAAATATGAAAAGCAAATGGATTAGAAAAGGTACATAATGCACAAAATAATAAAAAATAGAATTATAGCCGGGTGTAGTGGCTTATGCCTGTAATCTCAGCACTTTAGGATGCTGAGACAGGAGGATCACTTGGGCCCAGGAGTTCAAGACCAACCTGGGCAACATAGTGAGACCCAATCTCTACAAAAATTTTTTTAAAAAATAGCTAGATGTGGTGGCACATGTTTGTAGTTCCAGCTATTTAGGAAGCTGAGATGGGAGGATAGCTTGAGCCTGGGAAGTAGGGGCTGCAGTGATCCATGATCACACTACTGCAGGCCCTGTCTCAAAAAAAAAAAAGAAGAAGGAGAAGAAGAAAATTAGAGTGTCTATGTTAATATCAAACAAACATCAAAACAATAAACATTATCAGAGGTAACAAGGAAGATTACTTTATGATAAAAAGGTCAATTCTCCAACGAGACATAACAATCTTAAATTTTTAAAGAGTTTTAAAAATATGAGACAAGAATGGAACTTAAAGATGAAATAGAGAAATTCAAAATTATAGGTAGAAAATGCAATATGTCTATCTCAGTATTTAATAAAGAAGTAGGCTGAAAATTAGGGTATGATGACCTCAAAACACTATTAACCAACATTTCATAATTGATATTTACAAAACACTTCACCCATCAAACACCAAAAAAATCACATTAATTTGAAGCTCACAGGGAACATGCACAGGACAGATAACATTCTAACCTCTAAAACAAACTAAAAATTTTAAAATACAAAAAAATCTGCAAACTATGTTCTCTAATCATAATTGAATAAAATTATAAATCAGTAACAGAAAGATGGGTAGAACACTGCAAAATATTTTGTACTTGAACAACACACTTAACTCATGTTAAGAAGAAGTGTCAAGGTTGTTAAAAATATTTTGAACTAAATGAAAATGTAGCAAAATATGTGAGATGCAGTAAAAGCAGTGTTTAGAGGGAAATTTATATCATTAAATGCATATATTAGAAAAGAAGAAACACTTGAAAATCAATACATATAATACTCTTTTTTAGAAAACTAAAGAAAAAAAGCACCATTCAACCCTAAAGCAAATAGAAAATGAACGTAGTACACATAAACCTAAGAAATTGAACACAGAAAAATAATAGAGAAAATCAATGAAAACAAACATTGTTTTTTTGAAAAGATCAATAAAATTGATAAGCCTGCCAGTTTAGCCAAGAAAAAAGAGAGGATACAATGTCGTGAATAAAACAAGTATCACCTCTGCTGATTACAAAGGGAATACTAAGAACAACACTATGCCCAGACATTTGACAACTTAGGTGAAAAGAAAATTCCTTGAAAGGCACAACTATCAAAACATACTCAAGGATAAATAAATAGCCTGAATAGCTTTATATATGTGCTTTAAATACATTGAATTATTCATTAAAATCCTTCCAAAAGAGAAAACGTAGGTGGTTATATTGGTGAGTTCTACCAAACATGTAATGAAGAAACAATACTAATTCTACATAATCTCTTCTAATATAACAGGCGAGGAGAAAATGCTCCCTCACTCCTTTTACCAGGTCACCATTACCATCTTACCAAAACCAGAAAAAGACATTTCAAAATGAGAAAACTACATACCAATATCTGTAATGACTATAGACAAAACCTTCAATGAAATTTTATTAGACCAAGTCAAAAAATGTGGGCCAGGTGTGAAGGCTCACGCCTGTAATCCTAGAAATTTGAGAAGCTGAGGTGGGTGGATCGCCTGAGGTCAGGATTCCAAGACCAGCCTGGCCAACATGTGAGACCCTGTCTCTACGAAAAATACAAAAATTAGCCGGGCATGATGGCGGGTCCCTGTAATCCCAGCTACTTGGGAGGCTGAGGCGGAAGAATTGCTTGAGCCTGGGAGGTGGAGGTTGCAGTGAGCAGAGATCCCGCCATTGCACTCCAGCCTGGGGGATAGAGTGAGACTCCGTCTCAAAAAATAAAAATAAAAATAAAAATAAAAAAATTAAAAATAAATAATGAACAACTGGGTTCATCTAGGAATACAAGTTTGCTTCAATATTTGGCAATTAGTAATTGTATTCATCATGTTAATAGATGAATGAAGGTAAACCGAATGCTAATCTTAATAGGTGCAGAAAATATTTGACAAAATTTGATATCCATTCATAATAGAAACTATTAATCAAGAAAAGAAAATGATATTAAGCTAATAAAATTTTCAAAAAGCCTATAGCTAGCATAATACTTAATGTTAACATAATGAATGTCCCCCACCCCAAGTTTGAGAACAAAGCAATGTTTTCCTTTCTTACCATTCCTATAAACATTTTACTGGAAGTCCTAGAAAATGCAATAAGGCAAGAAAAAATAAAATACACTTTTCTATGTTACAATGTCAATATAAATGTCTATTATATTCTCATATATTAGCAATGAATAATCAAATTTTCAAATAAAGAATACCTTTTTAGTATAACACCAAAATAGAAAAGTTATCAGTTTAACAAAAAATACAGTATCTGTGTTAACTATGAAACACTAGTTAACAAAATTAAACAGGCAAACAAATTAAGAGATGTAAATTGTTCATTAGTTAGAGGATTGAAAATGTGGTGATGTCAATTCTCCTTAATTTTACTTATGGATTTAATTCTATTCCAATTAACATCCTAGTAATAAAATTGTGAATATAACAACATGACACTAACATTTATGTTAGTTATAATATGTTTATATTAAGGCAGAGCCAAAACAGTATTAAAAAAGAAAAATAAAATTGGAGGTTTGTCATCTCTGATCTTAAGACTTCCTATAAAGCTACAGTAATCAAGACAGTTTGGTACATATCAGCACAAGGATAGACACATTCATTATTAGAAAGAACATAGAGTCCAGAAATAGACTTACACAGATAAAAATGTACTTGTTTTTGATAAAGTTCTAAAGGTAATTCAGTGAAGAACAACAAAAACCTTAAAAACCTTATGTCACATCTTGTACAATATTAATTTCAAATGAAACATAGGTCTAAATGTAAACCTACAAACATTTTAGAAGATAACATAGGGGGAATCTTTATGTCCTTGAGTTCAGCAAAGACATTTTAGATATGAAAGTAAAAGAAGAATCCTTAAAAATGATAAGCCAGATTGTATAAAAATTAAAAACTTTTTCTCTGTGAAAGATACTGTTATGAAAATGAAAAGACAAGCCAAAACCTGGGATGAAATATTTGCAGCCCTTATGCCTGATGAAGGAATTCTCTCTAGAATAGGCTAAAAGAATATAAAAAATTGTTGAACTTACCATTATAAAACAAACAATTCCTATGACATTACTTGCAAGAATCTGAACAGACTCTTCACAAAACAACATATATGGATGGCAAATAAACATAAAGATTCTCCACGTCATTAATCTTCAAGGAAATTGAAATTAAAACCATATTGAAATATTACTGTTCATATATTATAATGTCTAAAACCAAAAGAAAAAAAACCAACCTGAAAATAAGAGCTTTTCAAGGTGCTGAGAAGTGGAACTCTCATATGTTGCCACAAGGGATGGAGAAATGGTATCGCCACGTTGGAATAAAGACTGGTGGTTTTCATAGTTGTTATAAAGTTATACACTTAACCATAGACTTAGTAATTTCACCACAAGTTATTTAACTGATGTGGTTTGGCTGTGTCCCCACCCAAATCTCATCTTGAATTGTAGCTCCCATAATTCCAACATGTTGTGGGAGGGACCTGGTGGGAGATAATTGAATAGAGGGGGTGGTTTCCCCCATACTGTTCTGGTAGTAAATAAGTCTCATGAGATCTGATGGTTTTATAACAGGTTCCCCATTCACTTTGCTCTCATTTTCTCTTGTCTGCTGCCATGTAAGACATGTCTTTTGCCTTCTGTCATGATTGTGAGGCCTCCCCAGCCAAGTGCAACTGTGAGTCCATTAAACCTCTTTTTCTTTATAAATTACCCAGTCTTGGGTATGTTTTTATCAGCAGTGTGAAAATGGACTAATACATTAACCTAGTAAATATGTTCACCCAAAAGTCTGTATGCAATAATTTATAGGAGTTTTATTCATAACTGAAACTGGGAACAACCCAAATGACTTTCAAAAGATGAATGATTAACACACGTAGACACATCCATGCAGTGAAATGTTACTCAGCTATAAAAAATAATTAACATGGATTTACACAACATGGATGCATTTTCAATGCATTTTACCATGAAAGGAACAAGCCCCAATTGTATGATTTCAATTATATGACATTCTGAAAAGGCAAACTATAGAGACAGAAAACAAGTCAGTGATTGCTAAGAATTGAATGCAGGAAGACGAGTTGACTACAAAGAAGCAACACAAGAGCCTTTTGGAGATAATAAAGTTATTCCGTATGATATTGTGGTGGTAGACACATATATCAATGCGTTTGTCAAACATACGGAACTATCCACCCAAAAGAGTGAATTTTACTGTATACAAAGTTTTGAGAAACCCAATTGACCGGAGAAACCTAATACGAAATACAGACTTTGGCCAATATATCTGACTATATTGCTAATGTGTGATATAATCACAGTGAAGCAAGAGGAGAATAAAAAAGCTACCTCAAGTAACTCATAAAATGGTGGTTTTTTTTTACTAGATACCGTAAGACAAAAGGCAAGTATGATTGTATCCAAATACTGTGCCTTTGTGAAAAAAAATAGCCTAAAGGTTATAGATCAGCAATTCTGAACCACTATACTTAACATATTATTGTTGAACAAATGTTTAAATATAATATAGATAATGTGAGCCACATTTTTTTACTGTAGGAGAAAGAGGTTGTAAATAAAGGGGAATGATAGATGTAGTGCTGGGTTGAACTTGGAGATATCAGTATGAACACGTTTATTATAATATATGCATAGATACAGAAATAGGCACAGATATGTGTATATATATGACTTAGTATACATATATACATTTCTTAGTCCAAAACACGGAGAACCTAGAAGCAGGCTCCCCACCAGCAAAGAAAACACCTAGAACCCATATTATAGTTTCTAAATATAATTCTCTAATTAATTGAACCAGGGTTTCTTGGAGAAACTATTGGTGCTAGGGTTGTAGCAGGGAAAGACAAGACAAACCCAAAACAAGTTGCCAAGCCAGGAGGTAAGGTAGAATCTTTAAAATATACTAATTGACAAGAGGAGAGAAAAAGGAGAAAGAGGAGAGAGAAGGGGAAGGAGAAGGAGAACGGGAGGAGGAAGAAAGGGGAGGGAAAAGAGGGAGGAGAAAGGAGGAGGAGCAGGAGGATCACCACCCAGAAGCCAATGGAGGAGGAGGAGGAGGAAGTGGAAGAGGAGGAGGAGAAGGAGGCAGAAGAGCAGGAGGACCACCACACAGAAGTCAACTAGAAAAAGTTCCCACAGATTAACTCAGGAACAATTTGAGCCATAAAGTACATAATGACAGTCTTGGATTATAACTCAAAGAATAAAATTCTCTTGAATCTATAGCGATATAAGAAAATAAGTCAATAAATAAGTCAGGAGAAAGGAGCAACTTTAACTTCCAGAAGAATTCGAATACATGTAGGAGTGAAGGAGTACAAAAATCACCCCAAAAGCATCACAGTAAACAATGCCGCATGCAAGAGACGACTGCTAGAATTAGTGGAAGAAACTTAAGAAACTTTAAGAAGAAATAGGATATTTGCATGTCCTTAAAGCTTCTTCTCTAAAATATTTGCTAATATGGTGACTTCTATGGTTCCTTCAAGAGGTGAGCTTGATTTCCCTGTCTTTGGGTATGGGCTGTGTACTTACTTTCTCACTTCTAATAGAGTACAGCAGGTTTAAAAAAAGCAACTCTACAGTGGAGAGAAGGAACCTAATGGATGCTGCTTTTACCAAGATATCAAGGTTAACATTACCAGTAGTAAGACAGTGATTATCATGTATTCCCTGACACAAAGAAGAAGAAGGGAAGGAGAAGGGCATATCATTTCTATGCTATGCTTCCCCAAAATGCATACCCTACATCTAATATGAGAAAACAGCAGCCAAAAATAAATTGAAGGACATTTAATTACACAACTGCAAGTATTCTTTAAAAAAAAGCCAGGCCATGAAAAACAAAGATGGAGAAAATGTCACAAATTAGAGAAGACAATGAATACTTGCCAACTATACATAATATGATAGCTTAGATTTGATCCTAAACATAAAAATAGGAAACACATAAGTAGAAAAACTGAGAAAATCTGAACAATGTCTGTAGCTTAATTAGTAGCAGTATATCAATGCCAGTATCTTAAGTGTGATTATTGTCCCATGGTTATGAAGATGCTAGTATTAGGGAAAGCTAAGATGGGACCAGGTGATGGATATATGGGACTGTCTTTTCCCCTCTTTGCTATCTTCTCTAGGTCTTTATTTATTACAAAATAAAAAGTTAAAAAAACAGATTTACACTCAAAAGGTTTCATAATCATGCCACAGATAAAAAGTTACATATATTTTCATGGTGCAGAATCATAGAACACATATAATTTATACATTTTGTTGCACTTTTTTTTCAACTTTTCAAAAATTGATTACAATAAGCAAATTACACATGGAAGAAAAAATATAATAAGGAAAGAATATGACATTCAAACATTGGTCATTTTCACAATTTATTTGATTTATCTATTTGATCTTACAACAGTTTGTGAGAAAAATACAATTAAACTTATTTACTGTGTTTTGAAGAAGAAAAATTTATTAGTCTGCCTTTTCAGTACACAATTAATTGTCTGTGTGAGTCCTGGAATATTAAACAGGATTAATGCACTACACTTTCCCACAAATGTTCAGTTTCCCTGCAGTGCAGAGAGAAAGATGTAGCTGTCTGTCCTAAAAATAGATAGATGCAAAGCTGCTAGTGCAAGTGTGTGCAAATTTTGTTTGCTTGGTATGTAGAGTGCAAAAGGTAAGGCAAACAGCGAATATATTTCTGTGGGTTATACGTCAATTTCTGTAGAAGCAGTGGTATATTAGTTTAAAAAAAGCTTATCCTTTTTTTTTTAACAATGTCAAGAAATACAGGTAGACAGGAACGTAACATAGATGTCTATATTTTTAAGTTTAGGGGAATACTTAACTTTTGACAGCTTTAGCATTCATTATATATCAGGTTCTACAGTGTATAGATAAAAAAAGGATTTTATGTGAACAGAGTATATTGTTCCCCATTGTAATAAATTGCATAATTCAAAATTGCTAACTTAATTGAAGTTACTTTTTAAATATATAGTATAAGTGAAATTTGTTTGATCATTTTTTATTCATTCAATAAAAAAATCATTAGTTGTTGGCTCTTTGCAACTGTAAGAGAGACTGAATGTGTTATGGTCAAATTGAAGACACATTTTGATGCATTTGTATATCACAAAGGTGGTTTGAGGACCACCTAGAGATAAACATATCTCAGGTGAAAACATTTATCGAATACCTATACAGTAGCACTTCTTAAATTTCAGTGTGAACAAAAATTACCTTGGGATCTAGTTTAAATGTAGATTTGTATTCAGTAGATCTGTTATGGGCCCTGAGGTTTGGCATCTCTAACAAAATGATGTCAGTGCTGGTGGTCTGTAGGTTGCAATTTGAGTAGCAGGGCTCTAGAATACACATGTTTATAAATGACCCAATCACCTTCCAGATCACCAACAGAAAGATATGCCAGCTTTTCATACAATGACAAGAGAATAGTAATGCATGAAAACAATCGATGACTCCACTAGAGAAGACACTGTATGAGGGGAGGTTTTTTGGTCTGTGTTTTCTCTGCTTTAGTTCTGGTGCTCATAACAGTGTCCAGCACATGATAGACACTCAATATTACTTACTGAGTGAAAGGTCAACTAGTTGAAATGTTTTATTATATGGAGGATGAAAAATAGTTCCTACCCAATATTTTTATACTTTTATGCTTCAGAATTATGAAAGTCAAATAGAAAAGTCAAATATTAACTTGAGTTAACAGGAAGTTAAAAGAAGAGGACAGTATCATTTAGAAATGCAAATTAATTAGCAAACAAATTAGTGTTCTGAGTTTATACAGTTTTAAAACTTTACTTTTTAAAACATAGTAAATTTGTTACACTAACTTTAAAAAATTATTAAATTTTCTTTACTACAAAAAGAAAAATAAAGTGATTCTGTTCATTTGTATTTGAGAAAGAATGTGGGCATATATTCTGCATGTAGACAATTGTTTCTATAACTTCTTATATTAGAGAGTATATTTTTAAAAACGGTGTCTACATCATCAGGTTATTGTAAGGATTAAGCAGAATTACTTATTCAAAATATAAAGTAAAAATGCATGGCACAAAATAAAGGTTCAATAAAGTATTATTATCAATAATTAAGTAAAATAATATAGAATAATTCAGTACATAGCTTAATAGGTGACTGTGCAGGATGATGAGAAAACCAAGGAATTTGGAGAAATAACCTATTATTTTGAGCCCTGGCTTCTTTGCTAGTGGATTTTCTGACCTTAAGCAACTCCGCAGGTAGGTCTGGATATATAAATTAAATAAGAAGGGAGAAGGTTTTATAAGCTCTGCAGTGCTAAACAAATATTAGTCTGTACAGGCCTGGAAAAATAGAGAAGGAATGTTTCTTAATCTTTTAAATTTCATGACATTCATGTCAATCTATGAAGATTTACTGAAAATCATGAGTCCAAATATATTATGCTAAAACCCTTGTGCTCAGGCTTAGCAGGTCCAGAACTTCACCTCAAATAGTCTTAAAGCTAGAAAAATACTACAGAAAATTCACTAACAAATGTGAAATTACATGGAGGGCACATGAAGGAGTGTGGGGTGCACTTATGTGTGTGATTTTATTAAGGTATAAATCTTCTGTTATTTTGCTTGCTAAAGGACAGATGGCTGCCTTAAAATGGAATCTGGATGCAGCATCCACATACTGAATGTCATTATACACAGCAACAGCTGTGTTTAGCATATCCTTCATTTGAATTCTAGTTCAGGGGAAAGACAAAAAAGCATAGGCTGTCTATTATCACCAGGCACTATGTCCAAATAATAAAAACAGATTTTCTAAGGAACTCATATTTAAGGGGAATGTAGTCATAGTTATTGAGAAATCCAAGATTGTGAAAATGACTAATCCTAGACCTGTGGCATAGCCTTTGTTAAATTTTACCCAGGAACTAATAAGTCAATGCCCAGGGAACATAAGGAAGGACATGCAATTTGAAGAGTCTAAAGAAAGCACTAGTATAAAACTGAGAAATAAGTGAAAGCATTTAATCTGTGTGAAATTTTCAGGTCTTTTTCATCATAATGTATACAAATCCAGTTGATGCTTCTGAGGATGACAGTAAAGCTCTGTATTACCTCAACCTGCCGTGGGAAAATACCATACAGTGGATGGTTTAAACAACAGAAGTTTATTTTCAGAAAGTTCCAGAGGCTAGAAGTCTCAGACCAAGGTCTGACAGGCTCCATTTCTGGTGAGGACTCGCTTCATGGCTTGCAGGTGACAGTCTTCTCACTGTCCTCATATTGTGGGCAGCTGGCGGGAGTGCTTGCAAGAGAGAGGAAAAGAGATGGAGAGAAAGAGAGCTCTCCGGTGTCTCTTCTTGTAGTGACGCCAGTCTTAGGAGATCAGAACCCAACCTTAAGACCAAAATGACCTTAATTACCTCAAAAGGCCTTGTGTTCAGATGCAGTCACATTAGGGGTTAGGGCTTCAACAGTTCCATCCATAGCAAATTCCTAAATTAACATTATTACTATATGCATGGCTATACATTTTTATAATTCTGTACTTTTACTTTTGGAATTACCCTGTGGTATGTTGTAAGCAACTTGATGGGAAAGGGTTCTGACGACTGAAAGTAGCAAGCCTGCCTCTAGTTTTAGCTGCCACTTACTAATCTGTATGACCTTAGGCCAGTTACTTTACCTCTCAAAGACTGTTTTTTATTTGCAAAATGAGGCTAATAATATTATACATACTGCAAAGTTTCAGATAGGCACGTACAATAAGCACAGAATAATTAATATCTTCTAAAATAAAATTTCCCTTAAAATAGAGAATTGTTTTTCTTTAGATGACAGCACTTTTAAATTGCTAATTTACCCCAATTTTTTACTAATATTTTGGTTCCTTCTAAACCTTAAAAAATATTTATAAAAAGACATTTAAAATATGGCAATGATAATTGATAAATATTTGTATCAGGAAATAATTCACATAAAAGCAAAATATTAAAAGGTTTTTTATTTGACTTGGCTTAAATGAATCATGAAGGGTGGAAGTGATGGGTGCCACAGATATAAAAAGAATAACAGTGATAAGGCCAGGCTTGGTGGCTCACGCCTGTAATCCCAGCACTTTGGGAGGCCAAGGCGGGCGGATCACGAGGTCAGGAGATCGAGACCATCCTGGCTAACACGATGAAACCCCGTATCTACTAAAAATACAAAAAATTAGCCAGAAGTGGTGGCGGGCACCTGTAGTCCCAGCTACTCAGGAGGCTGAGGCAGGAGAATGGCGTGAACCTGGGAGGCGGAGCTTGCAGTGAGCCAAGATCAGGCCACTGCAATCCAGCCTGGGCGACAGTGTGAGACTCTGCCTCAAAAAAAAAAAAAAATAGTGACAATAACTGACAATTTTATGAAGTAACCTTTATTAATAATTTGATTGATAAATGGGCAAAATAAGACACACAGCTCATAAGCCAAAGAGAACAAGATTATAACTCAGGGGTTGTGGCTCCAGTGACTAGCAATTTTTTTTAATTTTATTATTATTATACTTTAAGTTTTAGGGTACATGTGCACGATGTGCAGGTTAGTTACATATGTATACGTGTACCATGCTGGTGTGCTGCACCCATTAACTCGTCATTTAGCATTAGGTATATCTCCTAATGCTATCCCTCCCCCCTCCCCCCACCCCACAACAGTCCCCAGAGTATGATGTTCCCCTTCCTGTGTCCATGTGTTCTCATTGTTCAATTCCCACCTGTGAGTGAGAACATGCGGTGTTTGGTTTTTTGTCCTTGCGATAGTTTACTGAGAATGATGATTTCCAATTTCATCCATGTCCCTACAAAGGACATGAACTCATCATTTTTTATGGCTGCATAGTATTCCATGGTGTATATGTGCCACATTTTCTTAATCCAGTCTATCATTGTTGGACATTTGGGTTGGTTCCAAGTCTTTGCTATTGTGAATAGTGCCACAATAAACATACGTGTGCATGTGTCTTTATAGCAGCATGATTTATAGTCCTTTGGGTATATACCCAGTAATGGGATGGCTGGGTCAAATGGTATTTCTAGTTCTAGATCCCTGAGGAATCGCCACACTGACTTCCACAAGGGTTGAACTAGTTTACAGTCCCACCAACAGTGTAAAAGTGTTCCTATTTCTCCACATCCTCTCAAGCACCTGTTGTTTCCTGACTTTTTAATGATTGCCATTCCAACTGGTGTGAGAAGGTATCTCATTGTGGTTTTGATTTGCATTTCTCTGATGGCCAGTGATGGTGAGCATTTTTTCATGTGTTTTTTGGCTGCATAAATGTCTTCTTTTGAGAAGTGTCTGTTCATGTCCTTCGCCCACTTTTTGATGGGGTTGTTTGTTTTTTTCTTGCAAATTTGTTTGAGTTCATTGTAGATTCTGGATATTAGCCCTTTGTCAGATGAGCAGGTTGCGAAAATTTTCTCCCATTTTGTAGGTTGCCTGTTCACTCTGATGGTAGTTTCTTTTGCTGTGCAGAAGCTCTTGAGTTTAATTAGATCCCATTTGTCAATTTTGGCTTTTGTTGCCATTGCTTTTGGTGTTTTAGGCATGAAGTCCTTGTCCATGCCTATGTCCTGAATAGTAATGCTTAGGTTTTCTTCTAGGGTTTTTATGGTTTTAGGTCTAATGCTAAAAACTCTCAATAAATTAGGTATTGATGGGACATATCTCAAAATGATAAGAGCTATCTGTGACAAACCCACGGCCAATATCATACTGAATGGGAAAAAACTGGAAGCGTTCCCTTTGAAAACTGGCACAAGACAGGGATGCCCTCTCTCACCACTCCTATTCAACATAGTGTTGGAAGTTCTGGCCAGGGCAATTAGGCAGGAGAAAGAAATAAAGAGTATTCAATTAGGAAAAGAGGAAGTCAAACTGTCCCTGTTTGCAGATGACATGATTGTATATCTAGAAAACCCCATTGTCTCAGCCCAAAATCTCCTTAAGCTGATAAGCAACTTCAGCAAAGTCTCAGGACACAAAATCAATGTACAAAAATCACAAGCATTCTTATACACCAATGACAGACAAACAAAGAGCCAAATCATGAGTGAACACCCATTCACAATTGCTTAAAAGAGAATAAAATACCTAGGAATCCAACTTACAAGGGACGTGAAGGACCTCTTCAAGGAGAACTACAAACCACTGCTCAATGAAATAAAAGAGGATACAAACAAATGGAAGAACATTCCATGCTCATTTGCAGGAAGAATCAATATCGTGAAAATGGCCATACTGCCCAAGGTAATTTATAGATTCAATGCCATCCCCATCAAGCTACCAATGACTTTCTTCACAGAATTGGAGAAAACTAAAGTCAATCCTAAGCCAAAAGAACAAAGGTGGAGGCATCACGCTACCTGACTTCAAACTATACTACAAGGCTACAGTAACCAAAACAGCATGGTACTGGTACAAAAACAGAGATATAGATCAATGGAACAGAACAGAGCCCTCAGAAATAACACTTCATATCTACAACTATCTGATCTTTGACAAACCTGAGAAAAACAAGCAATGGAGAAAGGATTCCCTATTTAATAAATGGTGCTGGGAAAACTGGCTAGCCATATGTAGAAAGCTCAAACTGGATCCCTTCCTTACACCTTATATAAAAATTAATTCAAGATGGATTAAAGACTTAAACATTAGACCTAAAACCATAAAATCCGGTGACTAGCATTAAAGCTGTGTATGATTGGTTATTTGGAAGGGTAAACTGGACACTTCAGCAGAACTTTTACGATATAGAAGTGCTTTGATGAAGATACCAAGGCAGTTCCAGAAATGTGATTATTGTCAGTATATCCAAAAGTGATTCCTTCCGCAGGCCCTTACACGCTCATTAAACACACCAAGCATATTCATGCAAGGACAACACTGAAGTAGTCATTTCAACAAAAATTAACTGTGGAGGGTACCTAAATTCTTATGTGGCTAATGAGCAAATTCTCTTTCTCTCTCTCTCTGTCTGTCTGTCTCATAGTTTTTTGGTGATCTTGAGTATTGCCATTTAGAGAGGATATCATAATGTCTATTCTGGTGCTATTCCTTTCAAATAGGCACCTTTACTCATTTTTACTCTTTAGGGCTCTGTCCCATCTGCTCAGTGGTGTAGACACATGGACTTAATTCCTTTTTCGTTATTGAATACAACTTGCCTCCTCTGGTTGTTTAACATATGTTTACTTTGAACATAATACTCTACATTCTATTCAGTCTTGTTAGTTACAATTAAAATCAAATTATATATTTTGTAGGTTAAAATATGTTATTTTTTCATTGTGAGGGCTCCCTAAGTTTCTCAGCCAAATGTTTATATATAAGCTGTTGAGTTTCTTGCCCATTATCATCCTAGTCAATTATCTAAGGATTTTATTAGTTTCTTGATCAGAAGGAAATACAACATTATTTGAGAGCTATTCAGTTTGTCTAGTGAGGACTGAGTACTGACCAATATATGTTGCCAAGATTGTTACATACTTTCACCTAAAACAAATATGATATTATTTTTAAAACCCCAATACAGTATGAGTTCTATTGAGACATGATCCTAATGTTTTAAAATATGCAAGAGTTTGAGTAACTGGACAAATTACGATCCTGTAATATAGTAATAGCAAAAAGGGTATAATAAACTAATCAAGATGTCCTTTTGAAAATAATTGTGCATAGATGTGCACATTTTCTCTGTTTAATGAAAACACTGATTGAACAGCTAAAAGTTCCATATACTAGCATAAGCCTTGATGTTATAGTAATAAATATGTGGCTTTTGTCCTTGTGAAGCTTTTATTCTAACTGGAGCCACGGATAAGACAATAAAGACTAAGTTTTGATTCTGGTTCAAAAAACATGATCAGCTCAATTACCTATCAGCTACATGGCTTTTCTTGGACTATTCTTATGCTTAGAGAAGTAATGAAGTGGAAAGAAATGCCAAGGCCAGAAAAATGTAGGGAGACAAGTGTGACTTAAGGCCCATATTGAAGGAGATGAAGCTTTTGTGTGTGGAAACTTTCAAACATATGCAAAGAAGACAACGGTAAAATGAAACCCTGTGAAGTAATTACCCAGCTGTAATAATCATCACCACTTTTGTTTTATACATCTATACCCCTATTCACTTTCACCATTATTCTCTATTATTTTGAGGCAAATGCCAAACATAACATAATTGAACTCAAAAATATTTCAATAAGTTTCTCTAAAAGATAGGTACACCTTTAGAAAAAGGTAGTCACAATAAATTTTTCATCCCTAAAAGCTCAACAATAATAATCACCTTAAAGTTATCCAACAGACAATATTCAATTTTTCCTGATTAAATTTTTTTTTTTTTTTTTTTTTTTTGGAGACAGAGTCTCGCTCTGTCGCCCGGGATGGAGTTCAGTGGCATGATCTTGGCTCACTGCAACCTCTGCTTCCTGGGTTCAAGCAATTCTCTGCCTCAGCTTCCCGAGTAGCTGGGATTACAGGCACCCACCACCATGCCCGATTAATTTTTAATATAAGTTGTTTACATTCAGATCCAAACATTGTGTTTAGTAAATATGTCTTTAAATTTCTTTTACTCTGTAACTTCCTATTTTTTTTCTTTCAAAATACTGCTTTGAAGAAATTGTGCCAAAGGTTCTATAGTGGTTTTGTAATGTCTCACTTTCTGTTTTTTTTTGCCATTGGGTCCTCCCAGAACCTGAGGGAAAACAAAAGCAAAAAAAAAAAAAAATGCTTCTGTGTCCCTCTATTTCCTTAACACTGGTAGATAGATCTAGAGGTTATGATCCGATTCAGGGTAGAGGTCTTAGAAAGGGTTTTTTATATGTGGTGGTGTATAAACCCAGCAAGACCCATATGATATCTGTTAGATTGGTGCAACAGTTAATTGCGTGTTTTGCCATTGAAAGTAATGATAAAACCTGCAATTACTGTTGCACCAGCCTAATTGTTTCTATTTTTTGGAGGTTACACTGGTCATTGAGAATACTTGCTGATATCCATTTTTTTCAGTACATGTTTATAACATGGTGATATTTTAGTGTTTTTTTTTCAGTACATGTCTATAAAATGGTGATATTTTAATTTTATCATTTCTCTCTTCTTTTTTTTTTTTTTTTGCAACGGAGTCTTGCTCTGTCGCCCTGGCTGGAGTGCGCGATCTCGGCTGACTGTTACCTCCGCCTCCCGGGTTGAAGCAATTCTCCTGCCTCAGCCTCCCAAGTAGCTGGGACTACAGGCACAGGCTGCCACGCCCAGCTAATACTTTTTTTGTATTTTCGTAGAGACGGGGTTTCACCGTGCTGCCCAGGCTGGTCACGAACTCCTGAGCTCAGGCAACCCGCCCGACTTGGCCTCCCAAAGTGCTAGGATTACAGGCGTGAGCCACCGCGCCCGGCCCATTTCTCTTTTTATTAGTTGAATTGCTTCTATATAAAGAAATCTTCTTGTCTCAATTATTTGGTATCCTGAGGTGCAGTTCATACAGAGAAGTCAGGGAAATGTTTAGTTATTTCCCTGCATTTACCAGTTCTCAGGACAATAAATTTGTTCTGTAGTGTCTTCTAAATATGTCTAAAGAAGTTTTTGTTTGTTTTTATTCCTTAGTATCATTTTTGAATTTACAAATTGTAACCTTCAATCCAATTTAAAATACATTAAATATGCTACAATTTTATCAAAGTCCAAACTATACTATATTTTATAAATGTGAGCCCTTTCAGGTTGATTGAGTCTCTTTGGTGAGATTAAAATAGTTCTTGGTGGCTTCCTCAACTTATGATGTGACATTTTTCCCACTTCCTGCCCCAGAACTGAATTTAGCCATATCTCCAAAGAGCATGAGTCCTTGTGGTGCATAGAGACACAGAGACACAGAGCTTGTTCTATGCTCTTCATGGCTACTAATTTGTTCCATTTTTTTGTTCTCTGTAATTGGCTTTCTTTCTAGTGAGAAAATGTTTCTTTAAGAGAATGTACATCATAGATTCATACTTATATTTATGAATCAAATGTGCTATTTTCATTTTCTACCTAACTTCAGCCATTTTATATTAATTTCTCTTTCATCTTTTGTTAAAAAATCTAGGTTCTTGATGGCTTTACATAACGACTTGGTTTATCTGTTATATACAGTAATTTACCTGCATCCATGGGGGATTGGTTCTGGGACCCCTGAGGATACCAAAATCCCAAGATGCTCAAGTCTCTCATATAAAACCAAGTGGTACAATTGGCCCTCCTCATCTGCAGGTTTTGATCCACAGTTGGTTGCATTTGTGAAAGCCAAACCTATGAACATGGAAGGCTGGTTGTAGACATAATAGTTTCTGAATAACAATACAAACAGTATTACCAAAAATTTGTTTTCTGAACATAGCTGTAGAATATTTTTGCAGTTATTTTTGCTCTTACCTTATGTATCCCTACTAGGTATTACAATTTATTATGTTTTTTGGTCACTTGGAATAATGTCTTTCTGTCTCTTTAAGCCATAAACTTGATGCAAATTTTTCACTTGCTTTCATATATTCTCATGCTGATTTAAATTTGTTTTGTACTTGTGTAAAATATGTACCTGTCTGTAGTATGAAATCTAAAAAATAAGATCAAATGAAGAAAGTCTAGCTGTTAAAAACAACCCCATTAAAAAGAGGGCAAAAGACATGAACAGACACTTTTCAAAAGAAGACATATATGCAGCCAACAAGCATATGAAAAAATGCTCAACACCAGTAATCATTAGAAAAATGAAGTCAAAACCACAATGAGATACCACTTCATACTAGTCAGAATGACTATTACTAGAAAGTCAACAAATAACATGCTGATGAGGCTCCAGAGTAAAGGGAACACTTATACACTGCTGATGGGAATATAAATTCATTCAATCACTGTGGAAAGCAGTTTGGCAATTTCTCAAAAAACTTGAACAACAGTTCAACCCAGCAATCCCAATAATGGGTATATATATATTTTTTTCTTTTTTTTTAATTATACTTTAAGTTCTAGGGTACATGTGCACAACGTGCAGGTTTGTTACATATGTATACATGTGCCATGTTGGTGTGCTGCACCCATTAACTCATCATTTACATTAGGTATTACTCCTAATGCTTTCCCTCCCCCCTCCCCCCACCCCACGACTGGCCTCAGTGTGTGATGTTCCCCTTCCTGTGTCCAGGTGTTCTCATTGTTCGGTTCCCACATATGAGTGAGAACATGCGGTGTTTGGTTTTTTGTCCTTGCGATAGTTTACTGAGAATGGTGGCTTCTAGCATCATCCATGTCCCTACAAAGGACATGAAATCATCCTTTTTTATGGCTGCATGGTATTCCATGGTGTATATGTGCCACATTTTCTTAATCCAGTCTATCATTGTTGGACATTTGGGTTGGTTCCAAGTCTTTGCTATTGTGAATAGTGCTGCGATAAACATACGTGTGCATGTGTCTTTATAGCAGCATGATTTATAATCCTTTGGGTATATACCCAGATATGGGATCTCTGGGTCAAATGGTGTTTCTAGTTCTAGATCCTTGACTAATTACCACACTATCTTCCACAATGGTTGAACTAGTTTACAGTCCCACCAACAGTGTAAAAGTGTTCTTATTTCTCCACATCCTCTCAAGCACCTGTTGTTTCCTGACTTTTTAATGATCGCCATTCTAACTGGTATGAGATGGTATCTCATTGTGGTTTTGATTTGCATTTCTCTAATGGCCAGTAATGATGAGCATTTTTTCATGTGTCTGTTGGCTGCATAAATGTCTTCTTTTGATAAGTGTCTGTTCATATCCTTCACCCAATTTTTGATGGGGTTGTTTGCTTTTTTCTTGTAAATTTGTTTGAGTTCTTTGTAGATTCTGGATATTAGCCCTTTGTCAGATGAATAGATTGCAAAAATTTTCTCCCATTCTGTAGATTGCCTGTTCACTCTGATGGTAGTTTCTTTTGCTGTGCAGAAGCTCTTGAGTTTAATTAGATCCCATTTGTCAATTTTGGCTTTTGTTGCCATTGCTTTTGGTGTTTTAGGCATGAAGTCCTTGCCCATTCCTATGTCCTGAATGGTATTGCCTAGGTTTTCTTTTAGGGTTTTTATGATTTTAGGTCTAACATTTAAGTCTTTAATCCATCTTGAATTAATTTTTGTATAAGGTGTAAGGAAGGGATCCTGTTTCAGCTTTCTACATATGGCTAGCCAATTTTCCCAACACCATTTATTAAATAGGGAATCCTTTACCCCTTGCTTGTTTTGTCAGGTTTGTCAAAGATCAGGTGGTTGTAGATGTGTAGTATTATTTCTGAGGGCTCTGTTCTGTTCCATTGGTCTATATATCTGCTTTGGTACCAGTACCATGCTGTTTTGGTTACTGTAGCCTTGCATTATAGTTTGAAGTCAGGTAGCTTGATGCCTCCAGCTTTGTTCTTTTGGCTTAGGATTGTCTTGGCAATGTGGGCCCTTTTTTGGTTCCATATGAACTTTAAAGTAGGTTTTTCCAATTCTGTGAAGAAAGTCATTGGTAGCTTGATGGGGATGGCATTGAATCTATAAATTACCTTGGGCAGTATGGCCATTTTCACAATATTGATTCTTCCTATCCATGAGCATGGAATGTTCTTCCATTTGTTTGTATCCTCTTTTATTTCGTTGAGGAGTGGTTTGTGGTTCTCCTTGAAGAGGTCCTTCACATCCCTTTTAAGTTGGATTCCTAGGTATTTCATTCTCTGTGAAGCAATTGTGAATGGGAATTCACTCATGATTTGGCTCTCTGTTTGTCTGTTATTGGTGTATAAGAATGCTCGGGACTTTTGCACATTGATTTTGTGTCCTGAGACTTTGCTGAAGTTGCTTATCCGCTTAAGGAGATTTTGGGCTGAGATGATGGGGTTTTCTAAATATACAATCATGTCATCTGCAAACAGGGACAATTTGACTTCCTCTTTTCCTAATTGAATACTCTTTATTTCTTTCTCCTGCCTAATTGCCCTGGCCAGAACTTCCAACACTATGTTGAATAGGAGTGGTGAGAGAGGGCATCCCTGTCTTGTGCCACTTCTTTCAAAGGGAACGCTTCCAGTTTTTTCCCATTCAGTATGATATTGGCTGTGGGTTTGTCATAAATAGTTCTTAGTATTTTGAGATACATCCCATAATACCTAATTTATTGAGTTTTTAGCATGAAGAGTTGCCGAATTTTGTCAAAGGCCTTTTCTGCATCTATTGAGATAATCATGTGGTTTTTGTCTTTGGTTCTGTTTATATGCTGGATTACGTTTACTGATTTGCGTATGTTGAATCAGCCTTGCATCCCAGGGATGAAGCCCACTTGATCATGGTGGATAAGCTTTTTGATGTGCTGCTGGATTCGGTTTGCCAGTATTTTATTGAGGATTTCTGCATCGATGTTCATCAGGGATATTGGTCTAAAATTCTCTTTTTTTGTTGTGTCTCTGCCAGGCTTTGGTATCAGGATGATGCTGGCCTCATCAAATGAGTTAGGGAGGATTCCCTCTTTTTCTATTGATTGGAATAGTTTCAGAAGGAATGGTACCAGCTCCTCCTTGTACCTCTGGTAGCATTCGGCTGTGAATCCGTCTGGTCCTGGAGTTTTTTTGGTTGGTAGGCTATTAATTATTGTCTCAATTTCAGAGCCTGTTATTGGTCTATTCAGGGATTCAACTTCTTCCTGGTTTAGACTTGGTAGGGTGTATATGTTGAGGAATTTATCCATTTCTTCTAGATTTTCTAGTTTATTTGCATAGAGGTGTTTATAGTATTCTCTGATGGTAGTTTGTATTTCTGTGGGGTTGGTGGTGATATCCCCTTTATTATTTTTTATTGTGTGTATTTGATTCTTCTCTCTTTTCTTCTTTATTAGTCTTGCTAGCGGTCTATCAATTTTGTTGATCTTTTCAAAAAACCAGCTCCTGGATTCATTTGATTTTTTGAAGGGTTTTTTGTGTCTCTATCTCCTTCAGTTCTGCTCTGGTCTTAGTTATTTCTTGCCTTCTGCTAGCTTTTGAATGTGTTTGCTCTTGCTTCTCTAGTTCTAAATTGTGGTGTTAGTGTGTCAATTTTAGATCTTTCCTGCTTTCTCTCGTGGGTATTTAGTGCTATAAATTTCCCTCTACACACGGCTTTAAATGTGTCCCAGAGATTCTTGTATGTTGTGGCTTTGTTCTCGTTGGTTTCAAAGAACATCTTTATTTCTGCCTTTATTTCGTTATGTACCCAGTAGTCATTCAGGAGCAGGTTGTTCAGTTTCCATGTAGTTGAGCAGTTTTGAGTGAGTTTCTTAATCCTGAGTTCTAGTTTGACTGCACTGTGGTCTGAGAGACTGTTTGTTGCAATTTCTGCTCTTTTACATTTGCTGAGGAGTGCTTTACTTCCAACTATGTGGTCAATTTTGGAATAAGTGTGACGTGGTGCTGAGAAGAATGTATATTCTGTTGATTTGGGGTGGAGAGTTCTGTGGATGTCTATTAGGACCGCTTGGTGCAGAGCTGAGTTCAATTCCTGGATATCCTTGTTAACTTCTGTCTCATTGATCTGTCTAATGTTGACAGTGGGGTGTTAAAGTCTACCATTATTATTGTGTGGGAGTCTGAATCTCTTTGTAAGTCTCTAAGGACTTGCTTTATGAATCTGGGTGCTCCTGTATTGGGTGCATATATATTTAGGATAGTTATGCTTGTTACCTGTGTGACAAAATAGTATGTAAACCAAACTTCTGTGCTATGCAATTTATCTCTAGACCCAATCTCCGCACGTACCCCTGAAAATAAAATAAAACCTAAAAAAAGTCTAGCTGTTATTCCTGATCTTCATCATCTACTCTCTCTCCTCTACATAGGTAGCAATATCAGTTTATGACTTAGACTTTTATTTAAAAAAATAAGAATATAAAAATGAATTTGTAACCACTCACCATTTATGTAGATAAATAACACCAAACAGTATACATTTTCTTTGCTTGTTTTTTCAGATTATTTTGTATCCTGAAGATTTGATAGTAGTTTACGTAGTTTTTCCTTATTTCATGGTAGAGCTGTGTATTCTTCCATTATGTAAATGAGCCACACTTTATTCAGCCAGTGCCTACTAGTGGATTTTTGGGTTGTCTCCAGTTTTGTCAGTTTAGCTTCTACCCTAAGGGATTGACCACAGTGTAGGTTTATTCCTGAAAGGAAATTTCATTTTGGTTAATATCAATTCATAGGGCCCAGACATCTCAGTAACATGAGGTTTACTTCCATTCACTCACATTTCCTTCTTGCACACAAATGCAATGTAAATCTAGCAAATCTCATTTCAGCTGATTCTTAAATTGTGTTTCTAAATCATCTGTTGACTGTCTTAGAGTGATTTATGGGTTTTAGCTTTCAAGGCACAAGAAACCACTTTAACTTCCCCTTATGTTTTCTTGCAAAGAAAATGATACCACAAAGGTCTTGGTGATGGTTTTCTTTTTTTTCCCTGCCTATTTCTTCATATATATCTATTGTTGTTGTCTGTGAACATTTTGGTTTTATTATTGTAGTTGCTTAGTGTTTTGTGGGAGAATCTGTAGAAACTAAAAACTATCACTATCTCTCCAGAATTCTATATTCTATTATATTATAATATGATAATTATTTTATTATCATATAACATATCTTCTGTGATAAGATATATTATGTCATATAATTATTATATCATCAAAGATTTTATATATACAAAATAAGTATTTTATACAGAAAATACATAATTTTGACCACATCTTAAGGTTAAATATGATTTAAAACATATTCTTCATGTTAGTGTTTTGCCTAGTTTCATCTTATGATTAAGGTCAGCTAACTTTAGTGTCTTCTTTCTTCTCTATAAAATGAGCCATAAAAATGACAAATATATGTTTTCAATGACAAAAATATGTTTTCTAATTATCTGCTTTTCATTCAAAAGTTGCCATAACCAAGTGGGATTATGATACATAATTAAATAAGGCTACTCAGTATATATGGGAAAATTGAAGAACTTCATTATATATTAAACTGTCTTTATGTTTTTTAAAAATACATTACTATTTTTTTTAAAACCAAAGTACTACTTAGGCCATAAATTATACTAGAAATTCTGGCATCTTAAAGTAAATTCAGTCAATCAGAATAAGAATTTATGTTCAGGGTAAGAACTTTTTTTTATTCCCAGGTGATAGCTCCATCATCACATAAATCTTCACATAAATCCATCTCACAGTATGAAATTCAAGTTAATTGACTGAGTGACAAATTGGTTTAGTCTGTAGTTATTAAGTAGTATTTAATAAGTCCCATTGTGTCAGTGACATAGGCTAAACATTCAAAGTGTGTTTTCTGTGTAAGCATTCCTTACCATTTTACTTCCTTTGAAACTCTTTACAAGCATCCTCACATAACTTTTTTTTTTTTAGGTGAAGTTAGCTAGAAGTGTTAGGGAAAGAAACAATATAAAAGCATTATAAAAACTAAATTCATTACCCATGATGACATAAGCAAGACACTTGCAAGTTATCTTAAAATTAAATGCAGTGGACTTTAATTATCTGCAATGTACCAAAATAAATACCCTGAAAAAATGTCAAAAAACAACACCTAGAAATCATGGGTAGAATATAATAAATAACCTTTTAACACACAAGGTAATCCTAGGGGTGAAAAACGAAGAGGGAGCAGAAAATATAATGGGTAATCAGACACTATTGCTAATCTTGGAAACAGAGACCATTTGAGTATTAAGAGGCTTATAGAAAAAGACCAACCAGGCAAGTCAAAGAGCTGTAACTTAGACTCTTGTATAAAATAGCAGTATTCAAAGTGCAATTCCCTTAATTCAATGGTGGAATACAAAAAAAAAGTCCAAAGTAAGAGTAAGACAACAAAGTATTATTACCTATGGTCTGAAATCAGAGTGGGTTAAAAATGATCATATCTCATCTTTTTAGCCAAAAAAGCATATCTTCATGTAAATCTGGGATTTGAATTTATACAATATATGTTCCTAGGAATTTCTAAAACAGTAAATTATTATTATTATTATTATTATTATTATTTTTGAAACAGAGTTTCGCTTTTGTTGCCCAGGCTGGAGTGCAATGGTACGAACTCAGCTCACCACAACCTCCGCCTCCCGGATTCAAGCGATTCTCCTGCCTCAGCCTCCCGAGTAGCTAGGATTACAGGCATGTGCCACCACGCTTGGCTAATTTTGTAGTTTTAGTAGAGATGGGGTTTCTCCATGTTGGTCAGGCTGGTCTCGACTCTGGACCTCAGGTGATCCACCTGCTTCGGCCTCCCAAAGTGATGGGATTACAGGCATGAGCCACCGCGCCTGGCCAGCAGTAAATAAAATTTTAAAACTTCCACATTTAGATAAATCATTGTAAAACTTCAAAACTCACAAAGACAAAAACAACATTTAAATACAGCCAGAAAAGTACTCTTCCCTTAAATTTTTTAGACTGATAGCATGCTTCTAAAACAACAATAATATCCAGAAATGTAAAATTATATCCTGAAAGTGATTACACAGAAATATCTGTCAACATAGAATTCTTATAATAATGTAGAAAATAATTTAAGAAGGTAGACAAAACAAAGACCTTTTCTGGTCAGAAAAACAAAACCAGAGATTTATTACTAAAAAACCCTTATGTAGGGACTTCCAAAGTATGTACTTTGGATGGAGGAAATTAAATCCAGAAGGAAGGTAGAAAGACTGAGATGTAACAGAGTCAATTAACTGAAAAAGGAGTAAGTAAACACATTGGTAAAACTAAACAAAATTTGACTAAATAAAATAAGAATCAAAACTCTCAATTTTGTAGGTGAAAATAGGGTAGGACTAAAACACTGGCTTGTAATAGTATGCAGGTTGCATAAGAGTAAGTTGAAGATTTCTAATGGTTTGGTATTGTTCAAGAGAAAAGACATAGAAATATGGAAACTGTAAAATGCTAAAATACTAAAGATTTGATGTTGGGCTGGGCGCGGTGGCTCACACCTGTAATCCCACCACTTTGGGAGGCCAAGACAGGCGGATCACAAGGTCAGCAGATCGAGACCATCCTGGCTAACATGGTGAAACCCTGTCTGTACCAAAAAATACAAAAAATTAGCTGGGCGTGGCGGTGAGCACCTGTAGTCCCAGCTACTTGGGAGGCTGAGGCATAAGAATGGCGTGAACCCAGGAGGCAGAGCTTGCAGTGAGCTGAGATCACGCCACTGCACTCCAGTCTGGGCGAGAGAGCAAGACTCCGTCTCAAAAAAAAATAAAAATTAAAAAATTAAAATAAAAAAGATTTGTTGTTAACAATCAGAATAATTAAAATGTAATGTGTGATGTCCAAAACACTAGACTGAGAAGAATGATTAATACCAAAAGGAAGAAATAGAATGAAGTAAGGAAAGAGAATGGAAAATGCAGAATAAATAGCAAGAACAAAACAATATATTAACATAAATTCAAATATATTAGTAGTTACAGGAAATGCAAATGAACTTAATTCAGTAAAGTTTTAGATAGAATTACAAAAATCTATCCATATGCTTTTTGCTTGAAAAACATGGATATAAAATTTTAAGCTAAAGAAATGGATTTTAATCAATAAATGAAAATAACATTAAATTTTAAAAGATCAGATAAAGTAGATTACAAGGTAAAACTATTACTAAAGTCATTGCATACATAAAAATATAATTATTTGGGAAAGAACAGCAATTCTAAATTGGTCACCACAAAAATAACAGAGAGTTTTATATATATAAAGCAAAAATTATTTGAAGCTTCAAATTCACCAATATTGTGGGAATTTCCCAATGGCAGGTTGATCGTTACTTTTGTGGATACAGATCCCTTAAATAACATTAGTAATGAGCTTGACTAGAGCATACATGGGATCCCAGATCTAATTTAGAAAGCCATACTCTTCTCAGCACACATGGAATTTTAAAGAAAATACACCACATGGTTGCACGTAAGACATGTTTCAGACTTCAAAGAATAGTTGTCATAAAGAAAGCTTTGTTGACCGGGTGCAGTGCTGACGCCTGTAATCCCAGCACTTTGGGAGGCCCACGCGGGTGGATCACCAGGTCAGGAGTTCAAGACCTGCCTGACCAACAGGGTGAAACCCCGTCTCTACTAAAAACACAAAAATTAGCCAGGCGTGGTGGCGCATGCCTGTAATCCCAGCTACTTAGGAGGCTGAGGCAGGAGAATGGCTTGAACCCGGGAGGCGGAGGTTGCAGTGAATGGAGATCGCGCCATTGCACTCCAGCCTGGGCAACAGAGTGAGACTCCGTCTCAAAACAAGAAAAAAAAAATGCTTTGTCTGACAACAGCATAATTGAGGTAGAAGTAAATATAAATGATACTTAAGGAAAATGTAAAGATATGCTCTTAAGTCATGGAACAAATGAGCACTTATCATGGAAATAAGAAAATATTTAGAAATAAATATTAATGAAAATGATACAGAGTAAACAAGTAGTATCCAGTGGAAATAAATGGTAAATAATATTTATGGAATTGAATATTAAAATTTAAGAAGAAAGAAAAATGAAGTAAATAGCTCATTTTAAAAGTTTGAAAAGAAAGGTTATAGAATAAGCCACAAAACTATTACAACAGGTATTGAAGAGAGCAGAAATTGAATAAAGACAAAGAAAGATACAGCAAAGGTAAAAAAATCCAGCCTTCGAATCATTGGTAAGGCACATAAAGTTGATAAAACTCTGTTGAGACAGATCAAGAAAATAAGAGTGTATAAACGACAGAAACTATTAAAAATAAAAATTAAGAAAAACCTATAAATATAGTAAAAAATTAGAAAGTGAACACTATTAAATACTTTGGGACAATTATTCAGAAAGATGATAAAATGGGCTATTTCCTAGAAAAACATAACTAAGCAAACCTAACTTAAGAAGAATTAACAAACATCTATATAGTAAAAATATATTGAAGAAATTCAATCAGTAGACAAATCTAAACTTAAAAAGAGAAAGAGACAGAAAAAAACATTTTCCTCCAGATAGTTTAGTACATGAATTTCACACAAAAATATTTAACAAAAAGATAGTGCTGATTTATTGTATTTCTGACAAGACAGTAGGAAAAAGATTATAGAATCATCTTACTCATTAAAATAGAATGCAGTGCAAAAATTCTAAACAAAATATAAGTAAGCCAAATCCAGCAAAATATAAGCAAACATAGAAAGCAAAGATTGCTTACCTTTAGAAATATGTATAAGTTTATCACATTGATAAATGAAAGAAAATAAAGCATACAGTTATCTCAAAAGATTCAGAATAATTACACAATGAAATTCAAAACCTATTTTATAATTTAAAAAACAAAAATCATTACAAGATAGCATACATAGGCCGGGCATGGTGGCTCACGCCTGTAATCCCAGCACTTTGGGAGGCCAAGGCAGGTGGATCACTTGAAGTCAGGCATTCGAGACCAGTCTGGCCCACATGCCGAAAACCTGTCTCTACTAAAAATGCAAAAATTAACCAGGCATGGTGTCGTGTGCCTGTAAGACCAAGGCATGAGAATTACTTGAACCTGGGAGGTGGAGGTTGCAGTGAGCCAAGATCGTGCCACTGCACTCCAGCCTGGTTGACAGAGCGAGATTCTATCTCAGAAAAAAACAAACAAACAAAACAAGGTAACATACATAAAAATTTTCTTACTTTGGTAAATGATATAAACAAAGCCTACACTGAACATTTTAATATAGTTAAAATGTCAAAAAGTTTTTTTTCTCTTTTCTCTCTCTCTTTTGTGTGTGTGTGTGTGGTGTGTGTGTGTGTGTGTGTGTGTGTAAGGTGTTTACTCTGTTACCCTGGCTCGAGTTCAGTGGCATGATCACAGCTTATTGCAGCCTCAACCTCCTCGGTGGAAATGATCCTCCCACTTCAGCCTCCTTCCTGAGTGGCTGGGACTACAGGCATGTGCTGCACACTCAGCTAATTAAAAAAAAATGGGGATGGGGTCTCATTATGTTGACATGGCTAGTCTCAAACTCTTGGGCTCAAGTGATCTTCCCATCTTGGCCTCCCGAAGTGCTAGGATCACAGTTGTGAACCAATATGTCCAGCTCTTAAAAAATAAGAATCAGACGAGGATACCCAGTCTCATTAAACCTTGTACTAGATACCTTTGTAAAATCGTAAAATAAGAAAATAAAACAAACACAGGTAAACGATATTTTTAAATTTTATATAAGATATATATCTCCATAGTTTACTATGGATCACATATAGACAATTTATTGTACTTAATAAATGAGGTCAGCAACATTGTTGTTTATGGTCAATGTATAAATGTCAATTCCTTTTCTATAACTCAGCAACAGATGGATAATATATCTAAAACTTTAGAATATACAATAAAAATATACACAAGGTATTCAGAAATGAATTATATAAAATACATGAATGACCTTGATGGTGAAAATTCAATAAACTTTTTAAAGGATTTCAGAGATTAAATAAAATGAAGAGACATATAATGTTCATGGATAAGATAAGCAATATATTAAAGTCATTTATATTTTTGAATATTATTAATATTTTAAATATTATTAAAGTCATATATTTTTCAAGTTGATCTTTAAGTTTAGAAATTTTGCCAATCATTAATTTGACCAGTTATTTCTAACATTTATATGGGAAGATTGTGTACTTGTAATAGGAATATTCTGAAGAGTATAAAAGTCAACAGTATGGATATTAAGAAATCATAAATTTATGCAACCAGGATATTGTACAGTTGGTTCAGGGATACATAATAGATAATGAGATCAGTGGAATTAGATAAAGCCAAAAAAACAGGCATTTCATATATAAAAACATGACTTAAGACAAATGTGAGGAAATAGTGGACTCAAATGAAAGGCCTAAACAATTGGTTGTATATGAAAAAATAAAATAAAATAGCATTCTTGATTTACACAAGGTGTAGGTAAAGGAGAATTTTTTTGTCCTTGAGCAGAGAAAGATTTTTTTTAATTAAAAACTTCTCGACTACTTTAAAAGTTAAAATGCTTGTGCAAAAAAAGAAAAATATTAAAATATGAGTTACAAGGTGGGATAGGATATTTGCAATGTATGCAACTCTCAACAGATGGTATAGATTATATCAGGAATACTTCAAAATCATTAAGAAAACTGTCCACTGTATAAATGGCAAGATAAACAAGTAATATGGAGAAAATTTATAGAAGTAAAGCCTCAATAGTCAAAAAATAAGAAATAGAATTTCACTAATAATCAGAAAAACCCAAATTACAATAACCATGAAGTAATTTTTGTGTCCATGAAATTAACAATATGTAATTGTACCAAAAAGGCTGTGTTATACCATGAGAATGTTAATTGCTACAATCAGGTGGAAAGACAAATTTAGAAACTCTCTAGTGCATTTGAGGATGGTAATATCCCCGCCATTCTTGCTGGATAGCTTGTAGATCTCTTGTATATTGAGATGTAGAAAATGTTCAAAGCAGCAATGTTTGTAAAACAAGAAATTTTAAAAGTTTTAAATGTTGACTCAAGAAAAAATATATTTTAAATCCACAAATATTATATAACAGATAAGTGAATTAACTAGAGTGACCTGTATCAACATGGATACACCTCAAAAACACATCTGAGAGAAAAAGGTGGCCGAGATCGCGCCACTGCACTCCAGCCTGGGCGACAGAGCGAGACTCCGTCTCAAAAAAAAAAAAAAAAATACATTGGTTTCATTCAGAAAGACGGGACAATTTAAATATTTTCTGATTGATAATTGGTTGAGTTTATCTGAAGACCTGGGATCAAAGGAAATGTTCAGGTTAAGATAAAGGATTGTGGAGACCAAGTTTTATTGTGCAGAGGAATCTCTCAGATAGCTGACTTCAGAGAGAGAGCAGGTTGTAAATTGTTTCTTATCAGACCTAAAAGGGTGCCTGGCTCTTAGTTGATTATCTTCTGGATCTAGAAAGAGAGGAAGGAAAACAAGGGGGAAAGGGGATTTTCTATACAATGTGGATTTTTCCCACAAGAGACTTTGCAGGTCAATTTCAAGGTAAGGCAAGGAAATATATTTGGGGGTTAAATATTTTTTGCTTGTCTTATAAAGTTATGCCAGAGTCAGATTGAAAAGTAAGTCATGATATATAGGGTCAAATAAAACCCATCTGATGAGAATTTATGGTTTGTAAGGCATGACTCCCCAGACTCCTTAGAAAGGAATTTGGGCAAGATTAAAAAAAAAAAATCAGAACTTAGTCCTCATACACCATCAACTTGCTGTTACTTAGCTATGATCAGTATTTAGCATTATATCCTTGTTCTTCTCAGGGTTCTTTTTAAAAAATTAGTTGCAGATCTTTGTTAAAAGGAGGCTTATTTTTCAAATTCTTGTATGTTGGGAAAAGAGGCAAGACAAATGTTTCTGAGATCTTAGAATGCATAGAAAATTTTACAAAAATCACAGTCTGTGTGCACTATAGTCTTGTGGTGCAATAGCACATATACAAAGACCTAATTAAAAAGAAAATCAGACCAGGCGCAGTGGCTCACGCCTGTAATCCTAGCACTCTGGGAGGCTGAGGGGTGGATCACTTGAGCCCAGGAGTTCAGGACCAGCCTGGACAACATGGTGAAACCTCCTCTCTACTAAAAATACAAAAATTAGTCTGGCATGGTGGCACTTGCCTGTAATCCCAGCTACTCGGGAGGCTGAGGCAGGAGAATTGCTTGAACCCAGGAGGTGGAGGTTGCAGTGAGCCGAGATTGCATCACTGCACTCTAGCCTGGGTGACAGAGCAAGACTCTCAAAAATAAAGAAAGAAAAGAAGGGAGGGAGGGAGGGAGGGAGCGAGGGACGGCAAGTGCAGCGGCTCATGCATATGTAATCCCAGCACTTTGGGAGGCCAAGACTGGCAGATCACTTGAGCTGAGGAGTTGGAGACCAGCCTGGACACCACAATGAAACCCAGTCTCTGCAAAAAATACAAAAATTTGCTGAGCGTGCTGGTGCATGCCTGTAGTCCTGGCTACTCAGGAGGCTGAGGTGGGAGAATCACTTGACTTGATGTCGAGGCTGCAGTGAGCTGAGATCGCACCACTCCTAGATGATAAGAGTGAGAGCCTGTCTCAAAACAAAGAAAAGAAAGAAAGAACGAAAGAGAAGAAAATACAGGTATTACGGCCTAGGTAAGTACGTACCCGTATGCTAAATTGTTTAGAAGATTATGTCAGATGAGTCACACCTTAGCTTGGTCCTGTGGAGCACGTATCATTATTAGTCATGTCACGTTTTACAGATGAGTAAACTAATGCAGTTATAATTTGTAGATATATGTAATCAACTAAGCAGCCAAACTAGGATTTGAAACCAGCTCCTTGCCTTCTTAGCCCACGTTCTTATCCTCTAACTAGCACCCAGCCACCAGGACTATTTTCCCCTGACCATGAAAGGCAAACAACTTTCCATTCAAAGAATACTTTATAATGACAAATGATGGGGAGTCAGTATCGCCCTAAGGTCTCCAAGCTGCATCAATAGCTATCAGTCACACATCAGATAAATAGATTTCAGAAGTTTTGTGTACAGTATGTTCTTGAATTTGGGCTTAAGCTCAGACTGACATATAGTATTTCATCACTAATGTGATCTCTTTCTTGCAGAGGGAACATTCTTTTTTTAAATTGTATTGCATAACTTGTTTGCTTCCTAGCAAAACAATTTTTGAATTTCTGTATAATTTCTGTTAAATCTATTTTTAAAGTTGAGGCTTAGGTCAAATGCAAATATGAATATAGATTTATCCAGCATGCATAATTTGTAGTCTGCATGGAACTGACTCATCTGTCTTCAGTATCTGGCAGTCACATGACTAGCTCTCCTGCTAAGAGTGACCTATTCATCCTTCAAATAAACATCCACAAGGGGAAGAAAAACAATATGTACAGTTCCAGAGAAGGAACAACATATTGTGCATGAGCTGATGTACTTGAGTCAGTTCTGCCAACAGTCTTTCAAATTAAGAGTTCCTCATTCAGAAAGCAGTCAGAAATGAAAAGAAATTCTAAATGTTAAGCAATCTAAAAACTTAAGATTATATTCTTTTTTTAAAATACAAGTGAATGACCAAATTAGTAAACAAGTTTCTTGAACATCTGCAGGATGATTTTGGCATATACGTGTTTCAAATAAATATAAAGTTCTATATTATATACAGACATATGCTTTTCTGTACTTACCCTAGTTTAATCTGGAAAAAAAATGTACTTCTGTATTATCTGTGTTCTGCTCAACCCAATCTGTAGTTGAGAAGACAGGAGATCTGTAGATGTATGCACAGGGCAAAATGTTTTAGATACTTCATGGTTTTTTCTATGAGAGGAGAAAACATCCCCACTATGTGAATGATTCTGCCAGTAATGTACATCCCCACCATTTAACAGATTTTTAAAATGCATATGTCATTTTCAGTAAAAAGAAATGTATACAGTAATACCAACTGCAGACTAAAATTGACTTTCTGGAAAAGTTTCACACATTTTCAGTATAAACTGATTAAAATCAGAAAGATGAACTAACATTCTGAAATAGTCATCTAGCTTTAAAATGATAAATTATTGACTATTTGCCTTTATATACTTTATATATATATACAATCATTTTAGGAGAGAACTTGAAGAAATGGTTTAAGAACATTAGGGAGTGAAATTGTACTATCTCTATATGTGAAAACCTCATCTATATAATGTGAAATGAGGTCTCATATTTATGTGGGTTTTCATCAATGAACCAAAGAAATATATTACATTACTGATAGAAAAGTGTGAAGAAAATGGTTTGGATGGAAGAACCTTATAGTAATGTTTGGGATTTAAAATATAGGGATTTAACAGTCTGTACACCTTTGAAAAATCATTTCTAAATTTTTATCATTGCAATTGAACACATTTATTTTAAGATTACATTAAACAATTTTTTATAAATGTAAAAAAATAAATTTAAAATGAAATTCCATACTGTTTTAAAGCAAGGTTGCCTCCAAATTCAGATCTCCTTCTGACCCAAGATTTCAGGAATAATATATTTTTTTTTTCCTAACATTCAGTTTTAGAAGTGGCCAGGACAGTTAATAAAAGATGGCATTACGGAATTATTGACATTTTCTTAGGTGTGATGATGGCACTGTACCTTTGGAAAAAGATTGCCCTCATTTTTTAGAAATGGATGCCGAGTGTTTTATGTGTCATGATATCTGCAACTTATTTTTATATTTACATAAAAATGATGCATAGGTTTATTTATAGACAATTATAAGGCAAGTAAACAAGATCTTAATAATTGTTAAATAAAAGTTGAAGGCACCTGGGTACTAATCTACTTTCAGCTTTTTTGTATTTAAAATAATTTTTAAAACAAGAACATGAAGGGAAAAATAAATTCAATTATAGCCTCCGCCTTCTGATGCTCATATTCCTTATTCTCATTTCCACTTAATTTTTCCCATATGAATTATCTACCATTTTTTACCATACGTGTTATCAGTGCTTTTTAACTGGTCTATAGTGATGGACCCAATTTTTTAATTTTTCTTCAGTTTATCGTAGATTGATATTTTTGCAAAATACAATGAGGTGCAATAAAAATGAAATAAAATGGTACGCCAAATTCAAGCTCTTCCTTATCTCTGCTAATGAGAAACTATTAGAATATTCCAAGTGGTAGATGATAGTGTTTTGGACCAGTGTAGTGGTAGCAAAAGTAATAAGAATGGGTGAGATTCTAAATATATTTTGAAGGCAAATCTGGTTGGATTTACTGATGGATTGGCTGTAGCATTTACAAGAAAGAGAAAAAAATGACTCCAAGTTTTTGGGTGTGAACAACCGAAAGGTTGCAGTTGCAATTAATTAAGAAAGACTAAGATAGCAACAGGTTTAGCAGGGAAATGTATGAGCTCAATTATAAACTTACTATGTTTGAGATGCCCTCTAGACACTCAAATGGAAATGTTGATCCTGAAGTTTCATATGTGAGTCTGGAGTTGGAGAGAGGTCTGAGTTAGAGATAGAAATTTGGTAGTGGTCAATCTATAAAAGGTGTTTTAAGCCTTGAGCTTGGGTGACTGATGAGTCAGTAATAATAACTGCAGAACCTATGTATGACTCATAGTTAGTGAACCAGAATCTATTCTAAACATTTTTCTAAGTATATGTTAATTTCATTATTTCACACAATTAAATAAAATTGGTACAGTTACCTCCATTTTATAGATGGAAAACCAAGGCCCAAAATGTTGGCAGGCTGGCTCAGGATTATATGGAGAATATCAAGAGAATAAGTATAAATAGAAAAGAGGATAATTCTGAGTACTGAGTACTAGGGTACATAAAAATTAAAGAGTAGATGTCTAAAAGAAAAAAAAGACAGCTAAGTATAATGACCTGGAAGTTAAGTGAGGAATATTTGTCAGTGTGGAAGAAGTAAATACTTCAGGATGAAAAGAAGAAAGGAAAAAATGGATAACAAATAGTGTAAGAGTGATTTGCTTTAGTGATGTTCCTAAGTATGCAAAAAGGAAACAACAAATGACCTTAAATATTGTAAACTACAAATGCAAATTTAATGTATTTGACTGTTACAAGCAGTTAAATTTTTGACATGGTGTATATACAATTCTCATACTAAAATTATATATATTTAGTAAATTAAGTATTGTTAAATATTGTGCACTTGTGCATGAAGGAAGGAGTAAGAACTAAACTAAATCATATTCTCATATATTTCAAATAGAAAATCTCATATATTTCAAGTTAAATTCTCTAAACTTAATTATAAATTTCTGACAAGCACACTGGATCCGTAAATTTAATGTGCTTAATATTTTTATAAATGAGAGGCATTTAAAATGTCAGAAGCGTTTAAAATATTAAACACTCATATTTATCTAATAATTATGCAACTTGTTCCTAAACACAACATAGTATAATTAATTCTGTATAATTATGTAGTTATTAGGTAAATACGTAATAGACATATGTGTTTGTGTGTTATACTTCATGTTTCCTATTATATATTATCTATTTATGTATTAGGTACTTTAATATATATCTTCCTTTGGTATAGTCATTTATATCAAATTGAGGAAAGTGAAAGTCAAAAGACAAGGCATGGATATGATGACTGCATATGAATAAGATGAATTTCTGCCTCAAAATTGGAAGCTGGATGCTAAATACTTGCAGAAATATTCTCAAGACAGTGCGGAACATGTTGAACTGCTTCTTCAACTTCAGCTTTGTCTGCTGTATTCATGTTGGACAATATCCTGAGCCTTTCATTTACTTCAAAAATCCAGTGTCCCACATTCCATGGGCATCTTCCAAGTATTAACCTTAGCCAATTATTTTATAATCTTTTTCATAATGCTTGATCTGAATAGATGATATTCCCTACTGTAATCCAGCTTGCAAATATTTTCCTTCACTTCTGGATTTTATTCAATTTATTATGGCTTGTTTGGCTTCTGAAGTTTTTCCTCTATTTTTTTTCCTATGTCTGACTTCTCATGACAGATTTAGAGTTGTTTTATTGTGTGAGGACAAGCTTTTTTACATAGAAAAACACAGAAAAAAGGAAGTAGACAGTGAGGAAAGAAGAAAGAATATTGTATAGAAAGAGAATAGCTATACAGTTTAAGGATTATGTTAGCAAAGAGTTTAAAATATAGGTGAATAGGAAAATAAAGTCGTATTTCATCACAAGATAGAGGGATATTCCTTGGAAAAAATCATTTTTCTGTTTCACCAAAGTTTGGTCATTTGGTCTTTAATCTTTGTCCTTCTTCAGAGTCATGTGGCAACACTTCTCTCCCTTCTGCTGTAGCTGATGCTTGTCTAGCCTTCTCTGGGCAGAGGCAAGGTCCTGTTTTCCTCCCTCTATTTTCTTTGTAATTTTTGATCAGGCATGAACTTGTTGCTTTTTTCCTTTTGTGGTGGACCCTTTTGACTGTCAGAAGCTCAGTGTCACAACTCAGTTTTGAAGCATATATATATAAAGAGAGAGAGACTTTTTTTTGAAGCCCTGCTACAGTAGGTGAATACTTGCAGAGGAAAATAGATGCCTAATGGAAAAGATTGATGAATTTCTGCGCAGAAAACATGCAAAATATTAATTTCAAGATATAACTCAGTACTTTAACAAAAATAAGAAGTAGACACTGGGAAATAGGATAATTCAATTTTGCTAATTTCCTTTAGGGAAAAATCAAGCTATTACACTTTTGTTTTACACTTTAATAATTATAGAAATGTTGTTTTCATTTGTATTCCTAAAGTGTTAAGATAGCTATTAATAAAACTAAATTTTACGTCAAAGATAGTGTTAAAAAGGAGACAACAATGTACAAAAATAATACCTTAAAAAGAGAAAGAGAAATGAATTATTTGAAATATACCAATATGCAACAGATGCACATTAGTTAGGATGTGTGGTTAAACTTAAGGCTGTAGATTAGGTTAAAACCAAAGTCCAACAATATGTTTCTTAAAAGAAATGTGCAACTAATTTAAAAAGAGATTTAATAATGAAAAAAACAAACTAAGATAAATTAGGGTAAAGATAAAGTAAAATAAATGATGGCAATTTATTTCTGTAAAATTAAATTTTGAGACATCAATCTCTTTGATAAAAGGAACAACTAATGGAACAATTCATAGTCACAAACTTCTATGCCATTTGTTAACAAAGTACCAAATATATAAAACAAAATCTGTTCAAGTGTATAGAGAATTTGTGAGGGGTACAATTTTTCCATGTTTTAACATTCATAATTGATTATGCAAGTGAAATAAATTGTTCAAAATATAATAATGAAGTTGATGTAAAAATATGTATTTATTCATTCTGAAAACATTTAGTGAGGGCTTACTGTGTGTCAGACATTCTTTCAGATGCCAGAGGATGCTATAGAAAAATGCGTGCCCTCTTGTAATACTTTGTTCAAGTTCTGATCAGAAGGATGAATGATGGAGCCCAAGAAGCCAGGTACAAATTCAAGCTTCTTCCATTCATAAGCTAGGCAGTCCTTACTCAAATTTCTTATCGTATCTATTCTTTAGTTTCCTCATCTGAAATGTAGGTGAGGCTAATTGTATATGCCAACTTGACTGGTTTCAAGACGCTTACATATTTGGTTAGACATTATTTCCGAGTGTGTCAATAAGGGTGTTTCTGGAAGGACTGGGCATTTGAATTGGTGGACTGAGTAAAGCAGCTGGCCATCCCCAGTGTGAGTGGGCATCATCCAACTTGCTGAGGGTTTGAATAGAGCAAAACGGCAAAGGAAGGATGAATTCTCTCTCTCTGCCAGACTGTTTGAGCTGAGACATTGGTCTTTTCCTGCCCTTGAGCTAGAACTTACACCATCAGAACTCCTGGTTCTCAGGCCTTCAGCTCCAAGCTGTAATTTATTCCACGACCTTTCCTGGGTCTCCAGCTTGCAGAGGGTGGACTGTAGGAATTTTCTGCCTCCATAATCACATAAGCCAATTCCTTATAATAAATCTCATTCTAGATATACATATCTGTATATCTCCTGTTTGTTCTTGCTCTCTGGAGAACCCTGACTAATATAGTTATTCTGAGGATCAGTGTTGTTTTGAAAACTGAATATTTCAGTGTGTGTGAAGTACTCAGAACAATGTCTGGCACAGGCAGATCCTGCACAAAGGTGGCTAATATCATTATTACCCCTTCTTTTCACCACACCTCTAGTATTTCTGTAAGTTGCCCGTATACTAGCCCAGCAAATGAACCTTGATATTTCCATAACATGTAATTACCTAATTCATATTGTTGCTACCATTCAACTAGAGATTATTACAAAATAATTTGAAAAACATCTTTATAATTGCTCACTGATTAAAGATTTTAAGATGCTTTTCTTTCAAATATTTTTATTTCTCAGAGCACCTACAATGCTTAGCGTAGGTCTTCATTTTCTGTCACTCATAATTACATTCTAATATTTTCATTATTTTAATATTTATCTATTTTCTCTACCTTGCATTACTGACAGGATTTTTGGCCATGTCTATGTTTTAATTTTCTGCTCCCCACATACAATTTGAACAAAATATTATATTTTAAATTCTTTACAATTTTTCTCTTATTCTACATTTCTCATTTAAACTTAACCAGTTGTCTTTTCACCTAATTCTTATTTCTCTTTAGGGGTCTCTTCTTTTATTTCACAGTCTGGGTATATTTGTATTTTATTTATGATGCTAGTCCATCAATTTTTTTGATTTTTTAATAAAATAACGCACAGAACTACTTATCTTCTTCTGAGTCATTAGGATATTTTTATATATTTTTATTCTATAGTATTTTTCATGCCAACTATTGGTACTTATAAGTTCTCAGGTGAGTTTGCTACACAACTACCTCTTTAAATTGACTTTGTTGGCATGATATTAACTTCCAATGACATAGCTATATGATCAGTTCACATTGAAGGCAAAACCCTGTAATAGACAAAATTACCTTGTCAGATTGACTCTGGTGACAAAAAAAGGCCTTTATTTTCTTCAAACTATTATGAAATTATTTATATTCTATTAGAGGAAGAGGATTTAGGTAATTTAGCAGGCCAAGTGTTTTGCAGGTGCACGGTCACAGTTACAGTGATTTGTAATTTGGGGACCCTAATAGCACTAGAAGCTGAACTGCTCCCTGAATACTCTGCAGTGCAATAAATGGTGCCTATAACAGTGCTGTGAAAAATCAACATACCCAAACTTACAGAGAAAATTAGCAAGTTCACTTGGGGGAAAGATACATGGCCTGAGCAGATTTTTTTCCTCTCTCTTCAAGAGAAATCATTTAATCCATTATTTTGGGAATCAAGACTGATAGTTATCTGAAACTGGATATTTGGAAAAAAAAACAAGGAAAAAAGAAATATTAACCAATTTATGACAAAATAAAATAGAAATATACTAATAGATATTGAGTAGTATTTATACACTAGGTAATTTTCTAATCCCTGCAAAGTAGGATCTATCACCCACAATTTGCAGATGAAGAGAATGAGATAGAAACATGTAAATAAACTGGTCTGAGATAACCATAAAGTAAAAGTCAGGAGTGGTTTTTAAATGCATGCAGTCTGACTCAGGTTCTCTGCTATTAATCTGATAGAAGTCTCTTAGGAAATTTGTCATCCTGGTCAGATAGAAAAAACAGCCCAAGTAAAATAACCAGAATAAGCAGCTCAAACCCAGAGCTTGAGATTCCCATGTCCCATCAGAAATATGTTTTGTCTATTCCTCAAGCTCCATAGTTTGTCTTTAGAAGTACATGCTAGACACTTCTACAGTAAAAGTAGTGAACAAACGCCACTGATGTAAGCTACAAAAGACATTTGCCAATTGTGCATTCTAAAAATTTGAACATATTTGAAATACTTAAAAAATCCTGACAGTATCTTCAGATTTGACCATTCTTGTAAGCATTTTGACACTTAATAAGCAGAGAACCTCTTACAGAGATTCTTCTGGTCCCTTTCCATTCATCGTAAAAGATTTTAATGATTTCTTTATATATTGAAAATCTATTTTTATAAAACTGACCATACTAATAAAATCATGTAACACTTTGTACACTTCTGGCTTTGACCTATAAAAGATAATATTTTTTAAAAATCATATGTAATACTATATTGCTAACCATACATCAGTTTTATTAAAGACAAATAGACATTCCAAAAGGGGTTGCACGTCACATTTTTTGCTCTAGTAAGAAATAAGCTATTTTCTTGTCATTCGCTTGGAATTCCAGTATTGACATTATATGCACTAATGATTTATTTGTAGGAATCTTTTTAATTGAATTGTTGATGTTTCCAAGGTAAAATCATAATATAATTTAATTACAATAATATAAGAGGGCAATTAATTATGTACCCTCTTGTATACCTGATTATGAGAACTGCATTCTGTGTTTCAACCCCTTAAACTGAGAACTGTTATAAAGTCCATAGTGTTAGGATATTTAGAAATAGAAATGTTAATGCAACCAAGAGAGATTAAAGCCTCTTGAGTTCATATGGCATATTAATTTTGGCTTTTCTTCAGCTTTGAATTCCCACTATTTAGTAACTTTGAAATTTCATTTCCTTTTTGGACATTTCTCAGCACCACCATGAGTCTAATATAGTAAAATTGGGCTACCATCCAAGTGACACAAGCCCCATGCACTGGGGAAACGTAGGGATGGTGGATTCTGCTCCAAGACTGAGATAGAATAGCTCTTTATTTTGCAGACCTTTCCTTTATTTTTACTTAACTTTCCTATATTTGACATGAGAGCAACACAATCTCATGAGAGGTGTGAAACTAAAGGAACAGGGCCAAAGAGGCCCATGCAGTCTCTTTTGAGCCAAAGTCCTGTAGATTTACAAGGTCTTCCTGATCTATACTTGATCTAATCCAGTGGTTCTCAAAATATAGTTCCTGAGTATCACTGTCACCCGGCTAGTACAAATTTTCAAGCCCTAGGCTAGACCTGCGAAGAGGGCGTCACAGTCTGTGTTTTAATAAGGCCTTCGGATGAAATCTGATGCATGCTAAAGTTTAAAAACCTGAGTTTTCAAATCACCTTGGCTAAGCTCTACATAGGGGTTTAAGTCTATGCAAGTAGAGCAATACGTAGAGTGATTTTTGTTTTTCTGCATTGTTGCTGAACCGTAAATAATCTATTTGTAAATCTTTGTTAGTAGTAATGAGTTTGAATTTAAAAATTTGGAGGTTAAAAATTATGATCTTTTTTTTTTCTGCCTCTCTTGTATGTACAGGTTAATCCTCATTACTTACAAATTCCCTACTTGTGAAGTTGTCTACTTGGTAAAACTTTTTGTAATACAAAAATCAATTTTGTGGATATAAACAGATAAGTCCGGTGTAGTAAAAAATGTGAATTGTCCAACAAGCACATTTCCAGCTGAGTTCAAAGTGATGTCTTGCCTTCTTTTTTCAGCTCACAAACAATAAACAAGTGTCCTTTTGTGATCTATTTAGTGCCATACTTTAGGCATTTTTTTTTTTGCTTCTTCTTGGTGATTTCACTGCTTAAAATGTCCCCCAAGGATATTGCTAAACTGTGGCCCTTTTTTCTAAACACAGGAAGACAAAAGAATGTGCCTTATGGAGAAAATACATGTGTTAGCTTAACTTCTTTCTAGAATGAGCTACAGGGCTGTAGACATAAGGTCAATGTTTATAAATCAACAATATATATTAAATAAGTTGTCTTTAGACAGAGACATACAAAAAAATAAGGTCATGTATTGCATTAATCAGTTGATAAAAATATTGTAACCAGAGGCTTGAGGGACCATAACCTGTATTTCCCATAGGAACAATGGTTCAATATTGACTGATTCTGTGTTTGCAGCAAATTTATAGAATGTATCAGCCACTAATAATAAAAATCAGTTGTATATAATTTATATTTCTCAATTCTCTGCCAACTTGCCAATATAACAACTCCAACTAGTGCTATAGTATTTTTTTACATTGACCTAATCTTGCACTTCCCAACTCATTTTAAGATTGAGTTAATGTCTGACTTCCAAACCCTTCTAGGACAATTTGTAATGGCTTGTTGAAATCCTGTTTTTCTATAGTGTAGTTGTAAATCATGACAGATTTTAAGTTCACTAAATATTTGACTTCAGCAGCATCCAAATATGTTTCTACTATTTGATAAAGAGGAACATGTTCTAATTCTCATCACTGAGGTACATGGAACAAAGTTAATATACTCTGTTAAAACATGCCTTTCACTAAACTGGAAATTTAGAAACTGAAAATGTTAAGGAAATAGAATGGTGGGAAAGTAGATTTCATGAATTGACTCAAGCATAAGAAAACTTTTCACTGTCCTGTGTTTTAGATGCAGGCCGCTCCCCATCTTCTGGCCATGTTAACACCTTTGGACCTATGGCTGTTTATCTCCATTAGATTACATAAAATGGTATAAAGCACACTATACTACAGTGTTCTATACAAATTACATGCTTTTGGAATGCTTTTTTCTTATTAACTATTAATATACAAATGTATTTTACAGTTTGATCCTTGGAATTTTTTTTCTGGCTTATTTATTTTATTCAGATGTATTCATTTAAAGCATTAGGAAAGATTTTCAAGAGATGGATACAGAGGTGAACAG
Organism: Homo sapiens; assembly: GCF_000001405.40. Taxonomy (NCBI): domain Eukaryota; kingdom Metazoa; phylum Chordata; class Mammalia; order Primates; family Hominidae; genus Homo; species Homo sapiens. Next base: position 140,847,628 of record NC_000006.12, on the reverse strand, counting down.
CACAACTTAAATAGCCAAAATATTTACTCATGTGAAATTATGAATTGTTAATTAACAGAAGCAACTGTCAAAATCATGAAACACTATTTCTACCATTTATTTTTATTGCTAGAGTACAGGAAAAACTCATGTCTGTTAATCATTCAGCTTTAGACAATAACCAAGCTTTCATATACTGTGTTTGATGATGAATCTACTAATGCCAACTTCCTTTTTTTCTTACAAACTTCCTAAAAGAAGCAAAGCAGTTTAGATAGCAAGTCGATTAAATCAATTAAATTAAAAATTGATATTTTTATTTTATTTAAACGTAAACTTTTTTGTGAACTATAAAATGAAATATATTTAATAGTAAAAAGGAGGCATTAAATGGTTTTGGCTATTGTTAAATGACTCGTAGGTTAAATTTCTATCAGAATTTTAGATAACTTACATTTTAATCTCAGAATTTACTTTGGCTTTTATGATTTTATGAGTCAAAGTGCAGATGCCCAGTTTATTTATTGGAATATTTGCTGCATTTGTAATATGAAAGGTCATTAGGAATGACTCAACACCACAAAGCACAGTTAAGATTCTAAAACTGGGAAATGACAACTTATTATTTTTACACCAGCATTAAAGCCAATTCTCTTTTTATTTCATAATAGAAGTAAAATCCAATAATGAAGTCAATAGAAACAATGGTAGTCAGGGTTGATATTTATATTTTTATTCTAATGTGTGTTTTATCAATTAATAACTTTTTCTCTTTCAAACAAGAACTCAAAAAATAAATTCCTAGCCTAAAGAAGTTCAAAGATTTCTGATTTTAATATCATATATTTTATTTGACTCATCAATGTCCATGTAACCTCAGACAAGAAGAATGTGGACAGCATAATAATTGTAAACCATTTGCTACTGCATGATCAGAAACAGACACATAAACAAATTCTGGCCAAACGCATTAACGGAAGTGAGAGGGTTTCTCTAAAATCATCTCTTCATATCTAAATAAGAACCATAGCAAAATTAAGCTCTTCACATCCTCTGAATCAGTTTTGCATTTTATGGACTAGCTGAAATGGCTGTAGCCAAATTGCCACCATCTTTTAAGAAAAGCCAATGTCAAGGCTGGAGCAGGAGAGAAGGGGACCTGCTGTTAATGACAATGCTGAGCCATTGACTCCACCCATGCTGAAGACTGCTCAAAGGCTAGAAGTTGTGCTATTATATATGCAAGATTCTTATTGTCTAGGTATTTAGGTAAGTGTTTGTAAGTTTAATCAAAATCATTCCAATAGTTTTTGTTTGTTTGTTTGTTTGTTTGTTTTTGAGACAGAGTCTCATTGTGTTGCTCAGGCTGGAATCCAGTGGCATGATCTCGGCTCAGTGCAACCTCCGCCTCCTGGGTTCAAGCAGTTCTCCTAGATCAGCATCAGCGTCCCGAGTAGCTGGGATTACAGGCACCCGCCACCATGCCTGGCTAATGTTGGTCAGGCTGGCTCGAACTCCTGACCTCAAGAGATCCACCTGCTTTGGCCTCCCAAAGTGCTCGGATTACAGGCATGAGCTGCCACACCCAGCCTCCAAATACTTTTTTTTTAAATCAAAATAATGATTTCAATGACTGAGATCTGTTATGTATTTCAACATAATCATGTTTCATAAAGATTTAGTCTTCTGAAAGCCAGTGTGAATTGTTTTTTTTTCTACAAGTTTAATCAAAACCAAACAAAATCAACAAACCTCTACCCCCAAATGTGGTACTGTTTCCTAAAAGAATGCATTTCCTTTTTACTTCCATCACCATACATTGGTTAATGACTTCTGCACTTAAAATTCCTAACACACCTCACATAGCTCTTTTGTGCAGTAACACTTTTCTTCTCTCCAAATATGTGGTTCAATGGAAGTTACATTTTTTAAAATTATATTTTCCTCCTCACAACTTATTGGTTCTAAGATTTATACCCTTTCCAATGTGTATAAGACTACTGTGATTTTGGGACATGGGACCAAGTGTAGCATGTCTGATCCTATCTTTGATGGCAAATACTTCTGCTGTGAGATATGGGAGCTGCTGAGTGAAAATCTTTTACTGATAATAAAGCCAGTTGTCAGAGGGAAGCAAAAGTAAGAGAAGAAGAGACTTGAGGTGACTTTAATGAAAACTCCTACCTGCCAAAACTAGGCAAAAATATGACATACATAAATATAAATTTCCACAAGGAAATTTCTTTCCCACCTTTCTATATCTTTCTTACTCTTTATCATCACATTTACTAATAGAGATATTTAATGTTCTTGATACTCAAAGTGCATTTGATATACTATTTCTTACTCATCTCTTCCCTACCCCTGTTTCATATGGGGAGCTCCAGGCAACCTAGTGGGATGGGAATTGGGGACTGAGAGCGAAGAAGTGTAGCAATAGCATTAGCACAGTATTGGGGAAAGAGAGAGGAAACTGACAACATTCCTTCTTCTCACTATTGTTGTAGCTTGAGGAAGGCCTTTGCTTGGGGAGGTGAAAATGAAGGCTCAACTACAAAATGCAATTTAATTAACAAGATGGGAATTTTCCTCAGATAAGAGTGACTGTTAGACTTATTGTGCCAGAATAATGGCATAATAATAATGTTATGAAGACTATCTAAGATTTCTCCCAGAGAAAAGAGGAAGAACATATCATGGTGGATTTCCAGGCCACAGTGAAAAAGAATAGTTTTTTTGAATAGTTGCGTCCTAATGAGTTATGTTCGTTCAATGTAGCAGTTAGAGTGGTATAATATGGGCATGAACACACTACAGTTGTTGGCCCCAAAGATTAATAACAATGGGCATAAAACATGGAATAAGATACATAAATACTTATTTATATTGTCTCAATTTATGACAATAGGAATACTGTAAAAACTGATACAAAGCAAGTAATTCAAATAATGATAATTATAACTTTAAATCAAGAAACAGAACAAATTGCTTAAATTACATGCCAGAAAAGATGGCTAAAAAGGTTTCAGTGTCAATAATTATAACAGGAAATCTTCCTTTAAATCATTTTTACAAGAACAATAATTTTAAGCATCTCAAACACATGCACATTTACATTACCACATACGTGCACCCTCTCATTCTTTGGGCCATCATAAGTAGTATAATATTATGATGCTTTCATTTATTTGTTGCACATACACTCAACTCCTTCTATATTTATGGCCTGTTGCTGGGATCTAGGGAAAAATGCTATACAAATATGCAATGAACTCACTCTCCAGGGGTATATTTCCTACTTTGGAGACAGTTAACTAACAAGGCAGACATGATGCAGTTTGGCTGTATCCTCTAAGAGGTGAAGTTTTAGGACCGCAAGTAGACAGAAGGGGTTGAGGAATGAGGAAGCAGAGCTTCTAGATAAGGGTTTCTGCTAAAAAAAAAAAAAAAATGTGCCGCAGAAACAGATGGAGGTTAGGTAGGAGTACACTAAAAAATAAAAACAAAAGAAGAACAAAGGAATGGAACCCATGTTTTAAGAAGCCTAGAAAGCAGGAATAGTATGAGTACGTTGAAGGGGAAGGAGAAAATAGACGAGAGGCAAGCAGAGGCCAAATCACAGCTGATCTGGTAATGCATGTAAAGGAGTTTAGACTTTAAGAGTAATATCATCAAGAATAGTTTCAAGCTATGGAACTCAAGTGGAAATGACACTAAAATATTTGCTTTATAGAAAGATCTTTTTGAATTTTTGATTCCTAAAAATATGATGGAAATTCCTATGGATTGAAATAACAGATATGCTGAAACCAAAACAAACTGCTGTGTTCTAAATGTGTCCTCCAAACTTCGTATGTTGTAACTTCATTGCATTGTGATAGTATTAAAGGTAGTGCCTTTAGGAGGTGATTAAGTCAGAAGGGCAGAGTCCTCATGAATGAAATTAGAGACCTCATAAAAGAGGCTGAAGGAAGTCTCTTTTGCCCTTCTGACCATTCAGCCATGTGAGGACAAGTATTTGTCCACTTAGGAGGGTACAGCAACAAAGTGTCATTATTGAAAGCGAGAACGGCCTGCACCACACACGAAACTTGCCAGTGCATTGATCTTGGACTTCCCAGCCTCATGAACTGTGAGAAATACATTTCGATTATTTATAAAGTAACCAGGCTATGGTATTTTGTTGTAGCAGCACAGATGGACAAAGACACAAACATATACAAGTTTTTAAAGCATCACTGGGATGATAAGAAATTCACCAATGCCAAAAAAAATATTTTAATTAAAAAAAGATGAAAAGAACCTTTTTAGCTTTGATATGGTTTGGATATTTGTCCCTGCCCAATTCTCATACCGAAGTGTAATCCCCAACATTGGAGGTGGGACCTGGTAGGAGGTGTTTGGATTATGGGAGCCGATCCCTCATGAATGGCTCTGAACATCCCCTTGGTTATAAGGGAGCTCTCATTTTGAGTTCACATGAGATCTGGTCATTTAAATATGTGTGGCATCTCCCCCCATTCTGTCTCTCTCTTGCTCCTGTCTGGCCTTGTGAACTTGCTGGCTCCTCCTTCACCTTCCACTATGATTGTAGGCTTCCTTTGGCCTCCCCAGAAGCCAAGAAGATCCCAGCACCATGTTTCCTGTAAAGCCTGCAGAACCGTGAGCCAATTAAACCTCTTTTCTTTATGTAATACACAGTCTCAGATATTTCTTTATAGCAATGCAAGAACAACCTAATGCAAGCCCCAACAATTTCTGTGGAAAAATGGAAGTTCAACTCTTCCTCTTTGCAGACTGCATACAATATAGCATATGACACACTGTGGGGAAGCATCAAATAAGAGACTTCTTCATAAGATTAGTCCTCAAAAACAGTGATTAAATATATATTAAGCCCCTACTCCTCAGAAGTGACAGCAAAGAAATTTGGCTTTCTCATTTTTGGCATTGGGTACAAGGAACAAAATGATGTGATGATAGATAAGCATTAGCTAGTTATTACAGAAGATTGCATTCTGAATATGTGACTATCTTTAAAAAGTACAATCTGCCACATGTAACAGAGTTAACTGGAACACTGCTTATGTGTTAAGAAAAGTTTTAAGGTGAGAAATTAAGTTCAGGTGGTCTCAGGTAATCAAATGCAAGTTCTCTCCTGAAAAACATTACAAAACTTGGATTATAGGCTACAGGTAAATTATATTGTGATTTTTTTCAGTATTTCTCATTTCATTTTATATTATACCCTTCTATTTTGTATCTTATTAGCCCTTGGATTTATGAATGTGTCTGATGATTCAATGTGATGATTTGTTAAGATAAGGTATGAAATGGAAGAGGAGTATGTTAGGCTGGTACCGATGGATAATTCTGATAAGGTTAGTGATGAAGGCTTACATTCTGCCGAGCCATGTAGTGGTGTGGAAAGGGACACATAAAATCTCCTTTTCCAACAAAATCTCTCAGTGAATTTTACTTGAGCTGATAGTCCAACCTGGCATATGTCTTTCTGTCTTCTCTGACAAACTCAAAATGCAACATTATTTCCAGGAAAATTAAAGACACTAATTTCAAATCACAGTCATTGGATAAATGATGGTACTGATTGTTCTATACAACTATTAGAATCTACAATATAATGTTTGTTGAAAAGTACATCCTGTGAAAAGGATATAAGTTATGTATCAGCAGAAAATATTGTCCAGAAAAGTCACACAAATGGTCAAAACCTAATAATGCCAGCATGTAAAAATACACTGAGATAATTGCTGAGAAAAGATGCTGAAGAAAAATTTGAAAAGATTCTACTTTTAAGGAGTATCATCAAGGCATTGATGATATGTTACAATATATTGAAGAGGTTTTGTGTAATAAACTGAAAAACCAGAACCCTAATATCCAAGTTGATGAATAGATTTCACCAATAAATGGCATTCTGTAGTATTTGTAATATTTGTAAATGATAATAAAATTCACAGTAACATTCCCTGTGCAAAGAGTGGTCTGAAACAAGCAAAGGACTAGATATATTTAATGTATTATCTTTATATCTGAAACAGAAGTTCTATCTTCGATGGGTTGTATTAGCATTTGCACTAGGTACTCCATCAATAGTTGGCTCCTTGAAGATTTTACCTCTTGTATTAAGCCAAAGTCCAAATACTGTCATCAAACAATACTTTGTTCACAAACTGGTGCTAGTGTAAAGAAAGTCATGGAAAGGAAAGAATAAAAGTTCAGAAATACCACAAAAAATGGTCAATTTTATTAAACCCAAACCAGCTTGCTTAAGAATCTTTTAAAAAATGTATAAAAACCTGGGCAAACATCACACACACACACACAGACACACACACACACCTCCTGCTGCAAAAAGGAATTCAGTGGCTTAATGGAGGGAGAAAGTTCCCGATAGGATGTTTCAGCCGAACAAGAATTAGAGAAGCACTGTCAAAAAAAAATGTAGGCCGAATTTTGCTGAGCACTTTAAAGATGAAAAATCGCTGCAGAAACCAACTTAATTGGCAGACATTTTCATCACATGATCCAGTTTAACAAGTCTTTGCAAGGATCTGGATATATATATATTTTTACTTTAAATGCAAGATTTCTGTAGTTAAATAAGAAAAATCACATATTTAGAAATATCAGTTGCATTTAAAAAATCATGTTACAAAAGAGAATCTTGAAATATTTTTACCACTACTTGGGCTTAGACTGAGAAACGACACGAGCAAAGCCCAAACTTTTTTGAAAATCATCTAGAGAACTCCAGAGTAATACTGAACAGTATTTTTCTTCCCTCTCAACTCAAAGTATATAACAGAATAATAAACACTTTCTCTGTAATTTCTTTTCAGCCTGAGACCTTAGCTTTGAAAGAAGAGGAAGAGGCCGGGAGCCATAGTTCATGCCTGTAATCCCAGCAATTTGGGAGGCCAAGACAGGCAGATTGCTTGAGCTCAGGAGTTGGAGACCAGCCTGGGCAACATGGCGAAACCCTGTCTCTATACAAAATACAAAAATTAGCCAGGTATGATGGTGTGCGCCTGTAGTCCTAGCTACTCTGGAGGCTGAGGTGAGAGGATCACTTGAGCCTGAGAAGTTGAGGCTATAGTGAGCCAAGACCGTTTCACTGCACTCCTGTACTCCAGCCTGGATGACAAAGTGAAATCCTATCTCAAAAAAAAAAAAAAAAAAGAGGAATAACTTAATGAGCTGCAGTGTGACCACACAATCAAGATTAGAGTTACTATTCTGTCTCTAGACACCTTCTACATTTCTATAGAAGAAAAAGAATCTCCCTCCAGTCAGAAGGCACTGAATACTTTGATGCAGTTTTTAACTTCTAACATGTGTATGCAACCTTCTACTTGTTTAAAAAGGCATTGGGAGCAACTACAGAAATTGTCTCATTCAGTTTAAAATGAAACTAATGTGTGTTTATTGCAAGTTTGAACCAGCATTGAGCGACTATTTAGCAAAGAAACATAGGCACAGTTTTCATATAAATTTAATTATTTATATTTGATTCCAAAATAACTTTTAGGCATATATAGAGTTATGAAAAAGTTTATGTAACCAACACATGTGCATAACAGTTTGATAACTGATATATTGAATCTAAACATACCACTCAGAAAATATTTTTTCCAAAGATATGTTAAATTATATTTTAGGCCATAATTTTAATCATATGTCTTTGGTTTACAGTTTTAGTAGTTTTATCATTCAACCATATCAACCCATTTCATGTTGTAATAACATCAAATAATATCCAATTAGAATCACCATTTATATATTTTCTTTATGAGTTATACATCTTGAAAAGGAAGGAAAGAAATTAATGGGCAGAAAGGTAAATTAAGCTTAATACCAGATTTTACTCAAGAAAGTTTGGCTGACAGGTCAATTCTGGTTTTAAGAAGGGGAAAAGAAAAAAGAAAACTTTTTCACATACTTTATGGTAATATCCTTATTAGAACTCTGTATAGTAAAACTCTATGTTAAGTCTTTCAGAAAAACTTGAATTGAGTTGAAAAAATAAGTAGGAGGTGAAATTTTTTTTAAAGGAAGAAAAATTTGAGTTGTTTTATATATATATACTATTACCTTAGTAGATGGTAGAGAAAAATATACAAAAAATGATATAAGTTGTCCAACATAAGCAGATCTGCAGAAAATAGATTATTCTCTATTCAAAAAATAAGAGGCAACTATTATTGGACTAATATATCTAAAATTTATTATTCATGCTAATATATTATGCAATGTAGATATAACAATTTTTTTTTGCAGAGGTTCCCTGAGACATGTAAATATTTTCAAGGTTTTCTCCAAGGTAAAAAGTGATTGAGAATGAGTGCTGTAATATATGTAAATGTAAGCATATCACATTAAATGAAAGCAAAATAAATGAAATAACCTTCTTTCAAAAATGAAGTTCAGACTGTTGTAAGTATGAAATATATGGATATACTGTTTTCAAGAGTCAAGCCTAAAATGTAAAGGAACGGAAAATTAAATTTCAAAAGTTAGAAATGTATGTGTAAAGCATAAACTAAGTAGATGATGCTGTTGTAGTTAAATTAATATCAGATTAAAAACCACACAAACAAAATTATGATAAAGTTAAAAAGGATCACTACATGAAGATTTAATGCATATCTAAGTTGAACAGTTCTAAAATTGAATACAGCTGTTCATATAACTTAATTTAATGAAAAATTTGCCAAAATTTTAAGAAAGTGTGGCCAAATCTAAAAATTGAGTGGATGCTTTTAAAAACACATTATAGAAATGGATGAAATTGACAAAAATAATCAGAACGAATACAACAGACATTACCAGCATAATTAACAGGACAGAACTAATGTCACTCACTGAGTAGGAAATACACACGATTGAAGACTATTCAAAAAACATTCTGAAAACTGATAATGTAATGGTTCATAAAGCTAGCAGCAACAAATGACAAGGAATTTTTATGACATATAGAATAAATTATCTGATCACAATATATATTTACTCCCATTCTATATTCCAAAAGATCTATAATTCAATTCCCAGTTCAGGTGGAATTCCACAGTTCCATTTCATTTCCAAGAGAAAAGAGTGCATATTTACCAAATACGTAAACAATGATGTTCATAGAAGATAAATACCTCAGAGCCAAAGAGCTGGAAATAATCTAATATTCATCAACAATAACATTGATCAATAAATTGTGCTACATTCATACAATGTGATACTGTACAGCTACAAGATTGAACTACTGGTACGTGAAACAACATGGATGAATCTCACCAGTGAGATAATAAATGAAAAAAGTTAGATACCAAAGAGTGTATACTGGTGTGGGGAGAGATTGAGGCATGAGATCAACTGGAAAGAGGCTTTAAGGAAACTTACGGGACACTGTAAATCATTTATCTATTGGTCTGAGTGGTAGTTACATGGATTAAAATAGTGGTATGTAGATACATTTAAATTTGTGTCCATCCAGTTGAGCACCTTAGGAATATTATACTGTATTACAAATAAACTCATTAACTAAAGAAGAAATCATAATAAAATTTAGAAAATATTGAGAATTGAATCAAATAAAAATACTAGGTAAAAATGTATAGAATGCAGAAAAGCTCAGAATTAGTGAGCTAAGCAACAACATGAAGAGTTTAGAGGCCAGGCAAGGTGGCTCACTCTTGTAATCCCAGCACATTGGGAGGCCGAGGTGGGTGGATCATGAGGTCAGGAGTTCGCAACCAGCCTGGCCAACACAGTGAAAGTCCATCTCTACTAAAAATACAAAAATTAGCTGGGCGTGGTGGTAGGCGCCTGTAATCCCAGCTACTCGGGAGACTGAGGCAGGAGAATCACTTGAACCCTGGAGGTGGAGGTTGCAGTGAGCTGAGATTGTGCCACTGCACTCCAGCCTGGGCAACAGAGCTAGATGCCATCTCAAAAAAAAAAAAAAAGAAAGAAAAAGAATTTAGAATAACTCAAAGTAGAATGTGATTAAGATAAGAGCAAATAACATAATAGAAAACTACATTAATCATAATATAAAACTATAACATATTAATCATAATAGAACAAATTTACCAAAATCTAATCAAAAAGAAATACAAAACTGAATAGTTCTATAATCATTTAAACAGTGCGATTGGTTATTGAAAATATTTCTAGATATAAGTGTCAGTCCCAGAAAGTTTCTTAGAGAACTTCTTTCAAACCTGGAAGGAAATAAAAATTATAATTTTACACAAATTCTCCCAGGAAAGAGAAGAGAAGGGACACCTTTCAATTCATTTTATTGGACAAACAGAATGGTAATATTAGACAAAGACAGTAAAGGAAAAATATTGATCAATCACTTTTATGAGTATAGATGCAATACCATAAACAAATTAACAAGCTAATTCATCAATGCATTAAAAACAATGCATTTCGATCAAATTGAGTTCATAAAAGGAATTCCAGGTTGGTTTAACATCAGTGAAAAAACATTAATTTATTACATAAAATCATTAAAGTAGGAAATAATATTATCATCACAATATACAGAAAATTTATTCAGCGGAAGTCACTATGTATAATGATTTTTTAAAGTGCTTGGATAACTAAGGCATGAAGAATGTCTTTAAGTTGATAAAGGGTTTCTATAAAATATCTATAGGAAGCACCATTTTTATAGATCTTTTTTTTTCTATCAGATAGCGACAGTGGCATTTTAAATTCTCCCATTATGGTAATTGATTTATCTAGTTCTCCTAGTTAAAAATTCTATCAAGTTTGGCTTTATATATCCTAGGAGAATGTTAATAAGTCCATGAAAATTGAGAATTAAAATTTTTTATCCTTTTGAAATATCCCTTTTAAAAAAATTGAAACTGTCAGCTTTATTTTGGATAATATTTGTTTGTTCTTTTTTTTTACTTTCTTTAATTTCTGTAAAATTCTGTATCTTAGTTTGTGCAGTAATTAGTATGAAATTGGGTTTGATTTTACTTTAAACCAATATGATGATATGTGTATTTTATTTGGAGTTTCAAAATTCATTTACCATTAATATAATAATTATTGTATCTAGCTTATATTTAACATCCTGTCAATGTTTGATTTTTGTTTCATATATTTGCCTGTTTTCCGCTACTTTATCAGCTATTTCTGTAATGACCAGTATTGTTATTATTAGTACCATTATTATTCAGTATTTCTTCTCCATTAGTGTTTTAATTATACTTAGATATACTATAGTTTCAGGGATTATCTTCACTATTACATTATTCATCTTGACATTAAAATCTAATGCAATTAGTACTTTAACTTTTTCCTGGAAAATGCAAGAATGTAAGAATCATTTGACTGAATTAATTCTCCTACCCTTTGTGATATTGTTGCCATGCATTTTATTTCATTACATATTATAAACTTCAGAAGACATGATGATGCAGTCAATAAGTTTTCATATTTATATTTACTTTTACCTTTGCTTCTCATTTATTTCTTGATTCCTGTGTTCCATTATGGAATCTTTTTATTTCTGCCTGAGAAAATCCTTTAGTATTTGTATTAGTCAGGATGCAGTTAGGGAATAGAAAATATATTAGTATTTAAAGAAGGAAAAATTCAGTATACATATTTGTTAACTATGGAAAGGGGTAAAAAAGAATACTGAATGGTTTTAAAGTCACAAATGCAGGAAACAACTACCACTTCTAGAGCTAAGAGAGTGTGAATCAGGAAGGAACTAAGAACTTAGACGAGGTCCCCTGCTAATAGAGATTCAGGTATTTCTGGCAAGGGCAAGAACATGCAGACTGCTAGTGGTAAAGAAACATGCTGAAGTAAGTGCACGTGATAGTGAAGATCTTTCCAGAGACCATGGTCATAGGTGTTGTACAGGAGTAGCCTGCTAGGTGATGAGAAAACATCCTGAATGTTGACCGCAGCTTGTCCATATGAACCACTGGTGTGAGTGCCACCAGGCTTGCCACATGCTTCTGGATTGGCTGTCACGTTGAAAAGCAGCACAGCAGATAGAAGAAGAAAGCTCTTTTCTACTTGTCTCCTTTCACAGTGTCCTTCCAGGAATGTCTTAAACCAGCTAGCAAAGGAAGAATGTCTGTTAGGTTCAGTTCTAGTATCACAAAGAAAGGTAAAGAAGAGTGAATGATGAGATGAGAGGCATTTTTCAGAATGGGCATAATCTACCCCTTCACCTCTTCATCTTCCAGACACATCCTTCATGTAGTGTGAGTTTCCATACAGCAGGCAAACAACTCTATAATTCCATCGAATAAAAAGTTGTTATCCTTTTTGTAAGTGCAAAGTCCTTTTTCTCTCACAAAAATGATGAGGCCCATGGTCCTAATAGCCCATCATTTGCTATATTATTCACTAATCAAATTCAGTCACAATCCCACTGAATATTGTTATCTAAAGACTACATTATAAAATTATCCACCAATATGTTGTATATAAAATAAAAAGAAAAATGGGAAAGAAGAGAATATAATTAATATAATCTAATACATATACATGTAACAAGGAGAAACAGTAAAATTAACTATAGTTCACATTTTAATAACTGGTCATGACTATTATTAATATTTATGACTTTTCTTCTACAAGCTTTGCCATATTCCCTTGCTCTCAGAAAAATACTGCAGCTGGCCAAGATTTTGTTAGGTGGGGTAACCCAAACTGTTATTCTGAAAGGGCTATTTTCAAAAGTCCTACTTTTTTTGTTTGTTTATACTATCATTAATCTTAACTTTTGGATGTGAAAGTACTAAGAGGTATCCCTAGAGACTCCCAGGAGTTCCACATGGATTCCTCTTCGCCTCCATTGTAAAACTGCAAATCTATTTCAGCTTCATAATCATTATCATTATGACTATGATATATAATCATATTCATATAATTATGAATATAATAAATCAGAAGAATAACCACTTTCTGTATTTGTTAAGTCGATGACATAAGGAGCACAAAATGTCCAGGAGGCATTCTCATGTGTCAATTCAATGGAAACAATGTGTATCTGAGTAGTAGCAGTCTTCCTTTAGGAAAAAAAAGAATTCCACACTAGCAGAACTCAAAGTTCTTGATACAAGAACCAAAATTTTCACAAATAGACTATTAGGTATGCTAGTGAGGAGTCTTTCCCACTTCCTCTCCTTAATTCTCAGACCCATGTATTCCGGCAATAAAGGAGACAGGAACATAAAATGGTTTCTGATTGAGTTTAGCATTGTCTTCCAACTGTCACTGTAACTGAGTCCTCAGGAAGCCAATTCTATCTTTCTATTAAGCCAGTGACTTCTCAGGTATGTGCAAATACAAGTAAACTATATGAGCATAAGCCAATTGCTTCACTTCTTTTTCTATAAAATAAATTTCTTGATAAGAAGCAATTTTATGCAGTATATAATGATGGTAGATAGGTAGTCCATAAGTCAACTGGATGGCAGAGCTGGCAGAAGCATTACTGGGAGATAAAGCAAATCTGCGTCTGTATGCAGAATAAGTGCATACCCCAGAGAGGCAGAATCTCTGCTCCCTTTGTGAAGAAGAAGTTCAATGTAATCAACCTGCCATCAGGTGCCTGATGGTACTCCTGGGGTATGGTGTCATAACTGGGTCTCAGCACTGGTTACTACTAGAGACATTTTAGGTACTTAGCATTAGTAGTAGCAAGGTCAGCTTTGGTAAGAGGAAAAACATATTTTTAAACTCATTAGTAGTCTTACTCCTGACAGTATAGACACTTTGTTTATAGTCCCATTGAGCAAATACTGTGGTTGCCTGAGAAAGAAGTTTACTGATATTCACAGTGTCATTGTGTCCACTTGATTACTGAGAGCCTTCTCAACAATGGATGTTCCTTAGTGTTTATTCATATGAGATATAAATATCTTCAAATCTGGGCTCATTCTGAAAGCTCTATCCTCTTCCCTAGATTTCCAATTTTCCAATATTATTCTTTCCAAGTCTCTGACCTTTCAGCCAAACTCTTAACAACTGCCTGTGAATCAGAGCACATTTTTTTCCTGGCCAAATAGAGTGGCCAATGAAAGTAAAATAAAATTGTACCGTTCAAGATTCTGCACACTGGAAGGATTTTCCTTTATGACTCTGCTTCAGAATCACCCCTGGGGAGGGTTGTAATTTCTCAGCCATCTACTTCTGGATGGGATCATATCATGTAGATCCATCTTTTAACTAGGCTCAAGTTTTAATTTCTCATTCAACTAATTGTAAAGAACATGAAGGCTTAGGCAATGGTGAAAGGAGAAGTTAGTGTAGCAGGAGTCAGTATCAAGAAAGTGTGATCTACTTGCTCAATTTACTTGTACCTTTCAGACATGCCTGAGCCTAGTCTCTTATATGTAAATATTTTTAGTTGATAATATATTCCTACTGTGCATGAACAACTTTTTGGCTGTGGGTCAGATAATACCAGTTAGTGATAGGTATCTCAGGCTGAAGGGTCATCTGATACTACCATGGTTAGGACCTCAGTCTCTTCTAAGAGCCAGTAGCAAACATGATGCTCTTTCTCCACTTTACATCGCTATAATTTTCATTTATTTTTCCATACGTTCTCATTCTTTCTCGAAATGTTTCAGCTAGTTTTCTGTATTTTTAAACATTTTAAACATGATCATATAAATTTTGGTGTCTATTACTCAGCTTTGGACATTTAGAATTTGAGGACCATGGATTATCAAAGTACAAATGTTTAAAGGTTATTTTATATATATATATATATATATATATATATATATATATCTTTAGTTTTGTAAATAGAAATGAATAGGAGATAAAGATTATTGAGTTATTAATATTAATGCAGAGACAGTAATTGAGGCCACTGGAAGGAATTAGCTCTCCAAGAAAAAGTAGGTGGAATAAGAAAAGAGAACATAGGATATAATTTTGAGAAATACCCATATTTAATGTTCAGGGAGAAAAGACATTAAGAGAATAACCAAAGGAAGAAAAAAGTAATCAGAAGAACATCTCACCAAAAGTTAGGAAGTAGAATATTTTTTGAAGGAAGAAATATTCAATCAATAATGTTAGACTGGGAAAGAAGTCCCAGAATTGTTCAATAACTTTTGGTGACAGTCTCTGGAGTCTAGCAGTTATAAAGTGTGGGTTTTGAAGCCTACTGATTGGACACAAATACTGACTCTACCACTAATAATTGTGTTATCTAGTTAAGCTGTGTGTATTTCAGTGTCAGTTCTTATGGAGTATTAAATTAAAACATGTAACTAATTAGAACAATGCCTGGTACATGGGAAACCATAACATGTTGTTATTATCATCATCACTTTTGTTACTATTCATTTTATTTTGGCAAAAGTGACACATTGTAGTGATAATGGGCAGCAGATTGAGGAATACATAAAGCATTAGTGGAAACAGAGTAGACTGTATTTTTCATGAACTATTAACATATTTGACTGGGAATGGTAAGACATGAAGTGGTGATGGAGTTAAAATAAGATATTTCTTTTTTTTTGGATAAACTTGAGAATTTTTACTTTCTGAAGGGAAATAATCAGTGGAGGGAAGGTTGAAAATAGAGAAGGGAAGAACAATCTATAGCAAAAAAGTTCCTGAGAACACAGAAAGATACCACAATGCAATAGGTAAAGGGATTTGTTTAGGTATAAGGAGGGAAGCTTCTTTATTGAGTCTACAGATGTGCAAGAAGGTTAGATAGTATGCAGATAGATTATTAATGGCAAATTGGTATTATTAAACATTATTTTATACTTTTTATTCTACTGATCAGTGTATATTTAATTTATTCTTAAATTATATATTTATTTATTTGATCATTTGTTGGTTCTTCAAGTCATTATTTAGCAAATGTTTCCTGAGTACTTAGTATTTGCCCAAGATAATGTTAGCAAATAAGGATATAAAAATCTTGAGAATTATAGTCTGTGAATTAACGGAGAGGCCAAACTAGCTGGAAAGAAGCATATAAAGAGTAAAGTCTGAAATATGTCGAGAGCTGTGAGAGATAAATACAGAGTGTTGTAGAAGCCTAGAATGGATTGGGTGGGTTGGTGAGTGGTTTGAAGCACAGGAGTGGAAAGCAAAGCTCCTTTTCTTGGTTCATAAGCCAAGGAAATGCAAAATGCTTTTAAGTTTGGCAACTGACTCTGATTTTCCAACAGTGTTTTGTGGAAACTTGGGTTAATTTTGGATCTCCACAAGTTGCTGCAGAGGCAAGTAGAAAATTACGTAGCAGAACACAGCCCTCTGACCCATTCAGTTCAAGTCTATTTGGATCTTTTTCATAAATGAGGTCCTGTGTAAGATTTTGGTGTAACAGACATTTCTGCTATTTAAATAAAAACACATTTAACACGTTTGCCTTAATAATTTTTTGAAGGAAAATCTGATGGAGAATCAATAGTTAATAGACTCCACAGATAAATTTTTAAAGATATTTGATGATTATTTCTGGTTTCAAAAAATGCATATGATTATTTCTTATGACACAGGCAATAAAAGCTTATCTTTCTTTACAAAGAATCTGTAAGTTTTAGGAAAAC
This sequence comes from Homo sapiens, assembly GCF_000001405.40. Taxonomy (NCBI): domain Eukaryota; kingdom Metazoa; phylum Chordata; class Mammalia; order Primates; family Hominidae; genus Homo; species Homo sapiens. The sequence goes on along the minus strand of NC_000006.12, from coordinate 140,831,060 downwards.
TGAGACATAGAGAACAAGATATGCTCTTTAATATGCTTAGTATGTTGATAATGTTGTCCATTTAAAATAAATTATACATGCATATGAAAAATTTGAGGAAATACAATTCCTGAAACATTTTTAGCGCATGAAATGTTGAGAGTTTTAGCATTCTTTCTAAAAACATTTCTGAGCAAAGAATGCAAAATACAGCTGGAAAATTATTATGCTGAAATGTTGATTGCATGTTTTTAAAAGAGACAAAAATAAAGTAAATGTGCTAACCAGGAAGTAGTGTTAGCAACAATCCCAAGAAGAAAGAATGTGAAATGCAGAAAAGAAGTAGTAATTAGGATTGTGAGTCATTATAATGTTAAAATTGAAAATTGAATCATATTAAAGTTATTAAAGTCAAAACTTATGGTTCCTTAGTAGCATTATCCGAGTCATATTACCCATATGTACTATTTTCTCTTCCTGTTTGGTTTATTTTGCCTCTGGTCTTCAGCCATTAACGCAAAATGAATTAAAATTATATTGTTCTGTTTTTCAAAGATTGCTTTTTTGCTTCTTCATTAAAAAATGAGATTATAAAAATGTCTGTCAGACCATTCACCTTTCAGTTTCTTGACATAAATGTGTTTAAGAACTATATTTTGAAGACTATTTTTTTTCACTCGGTACTTCAGTTTTTTTACTTACATTTACAATGTGCAAAATTTCAGGAATGGCAGGTAAGAGAGATAAGTGACTAAAATAAGATGGATTTGATCACCCTTTCCACATTAAGAAAGACATTGAAATTGCTTCATTTGGGCATGTAAACAGACAAAAAAGCAAACAGGGAAACAACTTTTTTTCATTGTCATCCCTGGACTCCTTTCTGTTTCGGCACAATACATTTTTTTCTTCTTTAATGTTTTTGAGGAGAAGAATCATTATAATCTTAATAGTTCAGTAAATACTTGTTTACTTCCTCAGTTGCTAGACTCTTAGGAGAAAAAGTGATTTTGACAATGCTTAGGAATAAAATAACCGAATACTACTTAAGTGTTTCTGCGGTGCTTTATGGGCTGGCAAATGGTCAGTTACACACACAATGCCACAGCTTTCTTCTGACATAAGCTTTTCATTATTCTCCCTTGCTGTGTGTTGTGTCTCTTCTTTGTTTCTTTCTTTTTTTTTTGAGACGGAGTCTCGCTCTGTCACCCAGACTGGAGTGCAGTGGCTCGATCTCGGCTCACTGCAAGCTCCGCCTCTTGGGTTCACGCCATTCTCCTGCCTCAGCCTCCTGAGTAGGTGGGACTAAAGGCGCCCGCCACCACGCCTGGCTAATTTTTTGTATTTTTAGTAGAGACAGGTTGTCACCGTGTTAGCCAGGATGGTCTCGATCTCCTGACCTCGTGATCCGCCCGCCTCGGCCTCCCAAAGTGCTGGGATTACAGGCGTGAGCCACCGCGCCCGGCCTTGCTGTGTGTCTCATCTAGCATCGTTGGCGGGGCTCACAATAGCGCATCTGATTTTATGCATAGCTTACTATCTTTCAACATGCTGAAGCAGCAGGAGTTGAAAAAAAAAGGAGAGTGTTAATGGAATATAGGAAAAAGAAGGAGGAATCAGCAGAAAGAAAAAGAGAAAGGTACCACCGACGATTCTTTTAGGGCCCCTGGTTCCTTTAATTTTCCTTTTTGTTTCTCAGTGATCTGACATCAAAGACCCAGGCTAGACGTAGGTCTGGCTAAATTTATCTGATGACGTGATCAGTTCCAGCATCCTTTAAGTTTTGTGGAATAAAAAGTAAATAAAAAGATTTGAATCAATCAGATACCTGCTGAAATTAACCAGTCAATTTATTTAAACGGTTCATTGAGCAGTCCGGTGACGTGACAATCACACAGCTAGTGGGAAAATGAAAGAAAAAGAGCGGTCGGCTGGCTAGTTTTTATATATGATGACAATCATTCAACTTGAAGTCTCATTTGTTCTTCCCTTCACAGTTTGCCAGACCTGACTGGTTATTTTCGTAACAGAAAGACATAGACATAGTCTCTGCCAAATCTGCTTCACGATCAAGTTTAGTGAGTCAAGCAAGACTATTCATTGAGCATTCATAAGTGCTATGACAAGGAGCTACAGATTTTAGGAAATATGATTATTCAATAAATTAGACATAGCCACACTCCTCAATCATCATTCCAAAGGAGGATATAAGACAACTGCACATAAATAATTATCAAGAACACTGCAAGGAAGAAATTATAATAGAAGAGAAATTTAGTTGAAATGTTAGTGATCTTATAATCAATTTACAGCTAAATTCAAGAATTCCTCTTAAACTACGTCAGTAATCCTCAAGTGTGTGCATATTTGCAAATCATAAATTTGTAAAGATATTTCTAAATCTAAACATTAAGAGAAGGGGGGATAAAACATTGTGGATATGAAAGATATCCTACCATTGATAAAATATTTGATCTTGTGACACGAACAACACCCACAATACAAAATATACAAGAAATTTTTATTATCCAATAAAATGACAACTGGGTGATGTCAGAAAAAGATAAATTGATATAGAAATATTTGTGGATTGATAACTCAAAAATTCTCAATTGGAAAAATTCTACTATAATACTTGGTTCTTGGAAATGTGGCCATTCAATTAATTAAGCACTGGAAGAATTGCTTTTTGCAAATTATTACTAAGTGATTCATTTTTGCTTCACTTGCCTGCATACCAGGAACATACTACATTCTGGGGTATTCAGTTTTTCTTATACTGAAAGTTTCCTCTCTTTTGATTCTACTTTAAGGTCTCAGTTCTATTCCTAATAAGATGGTAGTGACTACCTCTGTATGTTTACTCATATACCATATTGTATCTAATCTATAGCATACCATATAACTGATGTTATTATGAGGAGTGGAGCCACATCAAGTGATGCTTTAGAAATGTATATGGATTTTTTGGTTGTAAAAGTGTATTGGGAGTAACCGCACACATTTCACTGGGGGATGGCTGGGGTACCAGATGTCCTGCAGTGCATAAGTTCATCATATAACATGAAGAAAAACTTTTCAGCCCCTGCAAGACCTTTTGACCTCTTTTGAACTCCTGTCAGTTATTCATGCAAAGTCGAGTGAGGAGACTCTGTATTATTTGGACCAAGAACCAAATTATCTTTTACTTATAAACAAAATAATTTGTACTGTTTTAATTTAAATTTTCCAGAAAACAACTATAAGGTAAATTTAAAAAAGAGCATACTTTGTTGTTTGAAATTTCACCAAAATAAAATTGCATCATCAATAAGAATGTCACTTTAGTGTTTGAGGGAATAATTCCAAACTGTACTTTTCTGTATTTGTAGTTACTAGGTTTGTATTTATTTTATGTATCACTGTGATCTTCTGACCACTCAACTGTACCTCATATACTTTTATGCTTTTTAAATCTGTAAACGTATCAAGAGATTTTAAAAACTGAAAATGCAGATGGAAACCTGCATTTTATTTCTATTCTCCTTGTTGGGAATGTTTTCTCATAATAGTTCCTAAAAATAACTACTATGGCGTTAATCATTTATAAAATAAGATAATGATCATTTTATATACCCCCTGTACATATTGACTTAATAATGTCTGTAAGACTTAGATTTAAAGCAATGCAAAGAAAGATTCAAATGAAGGCAGTGTGGGCATGGTGGTTCTACATTTTTTTGAGTGGAACTTCATTCATTAAGTATTTTAATTTCATTAACTTTAAGACTTTATGAGAATTAGATACTAGTTATGAAATGTGAATCAGCTGTCGTAGTTTTCAATTTGGAGGCTTTACCATCAACCCATTAAGATCATTGATCCTTTTGTATTCACAGTAAAAAGAGCAGTATCTGACTTAAATTAGCTTTCCCTTTTCTTTGAAAAGTAACAAAAATAAGAGTGTAGTGTTCAAATAAAATTGACCCCATGAAAATCTCATAAGGTTTGTCCGGAAACATTTTTAGCCATTTTCAACAGTATTCAACTGCTCCTTTTACAGGTCCTTTTATATAATAATCAATATATGCATAGAGAATTGGTACCAATTCTCTTATTTCAAGCTAGCAAGAAAAACAGATCAATAAATCATGAACTTTCTTTGCTGCTTCTTTCAACTTTAACAAAACAATTTTTCCAACCACTAAGCCAGTAGCCAATATTGTGATAAAGCTGTTTCTAAGTTCAGAATGTTCTGAGATTGATACAGACCCCAGAGTACACTTATTTATTTCTAAATACTAAAAAAAAAAATTATAACTGGTATTCTTGAACTCCCTCCTAACATCAGGAAATAATGCATTTATTTCATTAACAAATGTAATAATTAGCAGGTGAAAATAAAGTATTTGCATCATTTCTTCTTTTAAAGAGACTGTGATAGTAATAGAAACTTGATTAGCTGCAGCCTATAATCTAGAAAAGTTAGTTGAATTTAATAACCACAATTAATTACTGTAGTTCACCAATATGGTTTATAAATATGGGAAAATATTCCCTGATATAGAGAGTACTACAAATAAATATGTTATAGCTCACTTTCCACAAATGCTTAACTATATTAAGAAAGCCATTTCATTTATCTGACACTAATTTTTTCTAGCCTTCAAAGATGGTATTTGATTAAATGTTCTCTAAATTTCTTTCCCCTTTAATAATCTGTTACAGTCTCTGTTTAGACTGAAATTCAGTTTAGATTATAGGACAATTAGGTTGATTCTTAATCAGTGGATCAAAACTTCCAGATTAAATAAATTGGATATTGTTGTGTCTTTTGGAGGAAGACATACAAAGAATAATCATCAAAAAGTCAAGAGACACACAACTTTAACAGACAGTAAACATAGTACATATGAAAAATGGAAGTCTATGTGACCTCTTCATTGAAACTATAATTGAAAAGTATAACATGCATAATCAATGATAAATTTCTAAGTATGGTGATATGGTTTGGCTATGTGTCTTCACCCAAATCTCATGTCGAATTGTAATCCTCAATATTGGAGGAGGAGGCCTACTGGGAGGTGATTAGATCATGGCAGCAGACATCCCCCTGGCTGTTCTCAAGACAGTGAGTGAGTTCTCACAAGATCTGGTGTTTAGAAGTGTGTAGGACTTCCCTCTTTACTCTCTCTTCCTCCTGCTCCAGCCATGTAGGATGTGCAGGCTTCTCCTTTGCCTTGTGACATGATTGTGAATTTCCTGAGGCCTCCCCAGCCATCCTTCCTGTATATCCTGTGGAACCGTGAGCCAATTAAACCTCTTTCTTTATAAATTACCCAGTCTCAGATAGTTCTTTACAGCAGTTTGAGAATGGACTAATACGTATAGTAAAGGAAGACCTAGAAAAGAAAAACTGCCTTAAAAAGGCCTAGAGATTTTAGAAGACCACAAGACCAATACCTACAAATGATGTGATGTGTTTAAAAGAGCAAACAAAGATCTTGGGTACAATTGTGAAAATACAATATCTTGGTTTATGAAAACAATAGAGCCTGTATTCTCTCTGCTAATGAGATCACTTCTAAAAATGTTTATTTTAGGGTGTCAGAGCTATAAAGGAACTTAGAAAAACTGGAATAGTGGGTAGTCAATGTTATGAGAAATGTAGACATGTTGATGAATTTTAGCTCAATGTCATACCAAAGTTTTAATTTTTTAATATTTTCTTGTAATTAAATATATTACCTTGTGTAATTAATAATAATCTTCAATAAGAGATACAGTAACACTCTGTTAGTAATGCTGAGAAAAAAAAGTTCTCATATAAACAAAAAGGTGAATTAGAGGGCCAATGAAATTCTTCAAAATATGATCTGTAGAAGTGGAGGCTAAAGATGAATGTGTACAGAATCTGGATAATGAAAGTAAAATTGCCCCCTGTATGAGCCTTGTGTACTATAAAACATCCATTTCTTATCCATGATCCTGGCCACTTGGGAACATGGCTGAAGTTAGAAAACAATACTTTCACTGTACTCAGTATAAGTGGCCTGATTTATCACCTCCCCACTTTTCGCACCATAGAACATATTAGCTGAAGTGAGAATGAGTACAGTTCTCTTATTCATTTGTCAAGAGTATCATTCTGTTCATGTTCTGGTGTAGGAAATTAATATCATTAGAGAAGAAGAAAAGGTTCTGTTATTTTCCAATTCTAGTCATCATCCTAGTATTTCCCTGACTCAAAGTAATGTAGCAATTTCAATTACCTACTGGCTAGTATTGAGATGATTTTACTTACAACTCATGGAAATATTTTGTTTTGTTTATTTCCATTTTGGAATTGGAATTCTAGAGGATATTTATCTCCCTGTGTTTCTGCTTGACTACTTTCCTTGTGTAAAAATATCCAAATTATTTGTTTAAGTTCCCCACTGTCAGAAAAGGTTATGTAAATGAATATGTGACCTATATATAGGAAGTAGTCCCTTATGGTTTAATCCCTCTTACAATCACTGACTTAATAAAACAAATCCTTGCAGGAAATGTGATGCTGACCTACCTTTCAAAATAATGTATTAAAAAACAGCCCTGATTGTGTGGCAATAATATGTTGATAAAAATCTACTTGTATCAAAAAATGCAAGCCAATTTTGTGTGCCTGTATATATTTGTTTTGTGGAAATGGCCCAGATTTATTTTTATTTTTCTGATTTTAGTTTTCTTGCTAACTTCACATTAAACAAATAAATTAGTTAAGTGCGAAGTAATATTATTAGAGGAACGGTTTCAAGAATGTCTGTGAAATTGCATTTTAATACCCATTAGACATGGTTCTTCTTCTCTATAAACTTCTCTCCAACATTGAAAATGCAATTCTGCAGCATTAAGCAAAAGGCATATTTGAAATAAAGCTTGATTTTCAATCACTGAGCTAAACCTATTTCAAATAAACACCAGAATTCAATTAAATAGGAGTAAACTCTTCAGCTTGACCCACTACCATTTCAATGCTTCGTATTCTGAAAGTTTTAATAGGGAACACAAGACTTGAGTTGAATCTGATTTGGAGAATCCGAATGATCTGGCTGACCGGAAAAATGATAAGAGATGGGGAGAATGATTGCTCTTTGGGAGATAAAAGTTTTTGAGAAACAAGTTAGTAGAGAAACGCTTTCGAAACGCTGATGCTGACAAATGTGAAGCAGGTTCCCGGTGCGCTGATTACCAATTTGTCTGAGTCCAGTGAAACAGAACACTCACATACAGCACAAGTTATAGGAAGCAGATTTATCACTTACAGATAGGCAATGAGGGACAACAGAAGCCTAGGATGCACCACAAGCCAGTCTCCCATGGCTCAGGAAAGCTACCCAGGGTGGATCAAGTCTCTGCTGTGCATGCCCAATTACACCACAGTGGAGGGACCCTCAATGGCAGCCTGCCCCAAGTCATACACCTCAGGGTCACATTAACCACTGGACTAAATTGTTGAAGAATACCCTGTTCTGGGAAGATGAGGGAGCTGCAAAAGAGCCTATAGTATTCCAGCCACTTCCTCCTTACCTCAGGATTTTACATTCCCAGAACATCCTAGTTATTCTTGAAACCTACAAGCAAAACGGGGAACTGGGTTGGTCCAAGGCCACCCAAAGAACAGTCTTGTAACAAGGAAGCAATCATTCTTGAGAAAGCAGAAAGGCCCCAAATTGGCTTCAGGAAGACCCATGGGTCTTTTTATCAATTTTGTTTGAATACTCCCAGAGGCAGGTGGCATAACACCATTGCAATCCAGAAGGCAAATAATCTATGAATATATGCCCAGTTGTCTCCAGGAAGTAAGAAATTTACCTTGTCTACACCCATGGTTTTATATGCTGCCCATATATTAATAGAGGGAAGAGGGAGAGGGTCCTCAGTAATCAGTAATTGTAAACATTCATGCTTGTTGGAATGGTCTTCCCATGGCCCAGTACTTTCTGCTGCAAAAGAGCACCCTCAGTATGATGGACAAATTGCTAGTCAAATTGAGAAATTTGAGTAAAGTCAGAGAGACTTTGTCAAAAAAAAAATCCCTACTGGCACAGAAGCTCTGTAGAGAAGACATACTCTATATAGAACACAGAATTAAGATTTACCCAGTATGGTATGCCTACAATTACATAAGTTGGAATTTCCTTGGGAAGTGATTTTGGCAAATGTTGAAGAGAAAATCAGCACCTATTTATAGAAACCAGAATTTAAAAAAAAATCCTTTGAGTGGGGTGGTCTTTCTCAAACTTGAAGAGATAACCAAGCCAGATTTGATTAGATAATTTAAAAGTTTATCCATGTGCCCAGCTCTCTGCACAAACACCCTAAAGAAAGTAAATTCTTTGGGAGAGGCAACTGTATAATTTTTAAAGCTTAGGCTAAATATGATGTAGTGCCAAAACTACAGATTTTTTGAGAAGTTTAGATGTCTATCTAAAAAGCATTTTAAAGTAGGTTTGAAAAAAATTCAGGATTATTTTAAGAATGGACATCTCTATGAGAAGGGTTAAGAGGAACATTGAAAACATTGCCCTGCAAGGTTATCCAAGGCATGTATCAATGTCTCAGTGAACAGTCACTTGCTTAGAAGCCTTTGGTAGTGAGGATTTGCATATTAAATTACTGGACACCTACCGGAAAGCAGGAGAAGCATCCAAGATATGCATATTGATTCTGGAAACGCTGAAATAGCAAGTTGAAGAGAGAAGGGGACTATCACTGGGAACATCATATCAGAATTCATCAGAGAAAATGCCAACAGGAGCTGTCTTTTACTTAATATAGTGAGAAAAGTGTGAGCTTCCAATGACAACAGGACCAGGCACAGCTCCTGTGGAGAGCACGCAGAAGATAGGAGCAAATCTTTAGGCCATCCTCTTCTCCTGTTCCAATGGATGGTTACACAAGGATGGGAGTTGGGTGGGGTAAAAAATGCAATGGGAAATATTATCCTACTTTGGGAGGTGAAGGATAATCAGATAATGATTTTCAAAACTGAAGGGAGACAGAGGCAAGTAGAAAATAAGGCAAAGAGAATTACCTAGAATGTTTACTCTTATGTATAGCTTGGTTTTATGACCTGGCTGGTTGTGATTCCCATATATTAATAAGTGGGTTCATGGTCAGGACTTACAGGGCCAGGGCCAGGGTGAAGACTTTTAACATGAAAATTATTTGATTTAACCTCAGAATTTAATGTTACAGAAATTCTCAAAGATTGTATCAAGGTACATTGCTCAGTGTCATAGTACACCTACTACTAGATAGGATTCTTTCAGGGACATATGTCTGGTGTGTAAACTAACATTCTTTCTCTGTTTGCTAGTTGCTCTGAGGTTACTACAGCAGCCCCTGATTTATCTATGTGGACAATATCCACAGAATTTAAGCATTATGGTCCTGTTGCCTTGTGATAATGAAAAAGCATCTAACTCTACATTACTAGATGTCAATTTTGCTACAAAACTTGGATTTTGACAATCACACTTCCACCTTATACACACTTGGGCAAGAAAGTTTCTATTAGAGCCCGGAGAAATACCACCTACAGACAAGATCCTTAGATTTCAGAGATTAAAGATGTTGTAAAGCAGGGACTCCCTATCACCCAGTGGAGCATGAACAAGTTGAAATTACACGCCCTTTCTGAATGAAGAATGTAGCCCATGCATTTGTTAGCTCAGTGGTACTTGTGGTCACAGATAAACCCCACAATACCAGTGTTTTAAAACAGATAAAATTCATTTCTTATTCTTACGAAGTTGAAAATATAGTTATGTGCTTGAGCTGATTCACATCAGATCACAAAAACTGACTAGTTAATTTTCAGTAATTGTGTGAGCCAATTGTTAGTCATAGTCATTATTTTAAAATAAACACATAATTAAATTATATTAAAAACAAATCTAATTAATAATCAAAATCCATCACATCCTAATAATGCTACTAATATCTCTGCTGTAGTGGTTATTAACTTCTATTGTATTTGTATAATAGAAATTTTATGAAATGGCGTGATATGCACATCTCTTCCTAACTCTGTATTCAGTGCTGAGACCTTAGCATGAACACGGTCCAATTTAAAAGTCATCAAAGGCAACCTACTTACTAAATATTTTGTCACATAACATAGGTCTCCATCTTCCCATCCTCCAACATCAATTTCCTTGTAATCTGCACCCCAGTGCCTAGGTCAATATTATCATTTTTAGGTTTTGGCCGGCAATATCACATTCTAACTCATTTCCATATTAGTTAGGATAACAACATCTACAGCAACTCCAAGACATCAGTGAATTAATAAATTTGCACTTTATTTCTGGCTCACATAAATCCACAAATGTTGCTATTCTCCTCCAAATGACTCTTTGCATCCTGAGGCTCAATCTTTGACACCTGATTTCCAAATTTCCCCAGGGATCCATCCTATCTAGCCAGAATGGAAAAAAAAAAAAAAAAAAGCAAAGAGGATCGTGTGGGAAGGATCTATGGACCAGACCTGAGGATAGCACATACCATCTTTCTCTTGTATAGAACTCAGTTTCAGGCCACATGGATGCTGGGAAATAGAGACATCTGTGTGCACAGGTAGAAAATAACATAGTTCTAGTGAGGAGCCAGCATGCCTGTGCACACCCTCAGATGTGTGAACTCAGAGTCACACGTAGTAACTTTCTTACCTATCAACCAATATCTCATCTGATACCACCCAAGCCAACTCAAATAGTCACGACATCAGTTAATGCCATCATTATCTGGTACTTAGGAAATTGAGCTCAGAGAGGTGAAGTGACTTGCAACAGTCAAAATGGAACTGACAGAAGCCATGGTAGAAGCTGTGCTCATAAACATATTTGGTTGAAGTATGTACTCTGCCTCAGCTTACCTCCCTTCTTCCTTATCCAAACATGCTGGAGTAACCTTAGCATATCCCTGGAGTTTAAGGGCTATGCTGAAATAATCGCTGTTCTGTGTCATCTCTGGTTAAATTTCTCCAAGCTGGCTCAGGACTCCCAAAAACCTCTCTTTCAGCAGGTAAAGCTCTCAAGACGTAAGATAGTATGGCAAGAAATTAGTAGGGATAGAAGAAATTATTTAGTTTCATCTTAAATGTTTATAGCATATTGCATCATTAAACTTTTACATGAATTTGTTTGGGATAGTTTTACTAATGGTAAAAATAATATCTTTACATTGAGCTAAATTTGCCTCCATGTAATTCCTATGGATTGTTTCCTAACTGAATTGCAGGGAAGAATAATGTAAGTGTAATTCTTCCAAGTTACAAATTTTTAAATATTTAGAAGTGACCATCTCACCCCAGTTTTCTGTTTTACATGAAATAATTACAGGTCCTTTACCTGTCTATTTTATGGCATCAGTTCTGCAGCCTTTATCTTCCTCAATACCTTTTGAAAATATGGTACCTAGAAGGTAATTTAATTTCCCAGGTGTGCTCTGAGCATTAGATTAGGAATGCTCTCCATTATGGACTATGCATTCTTCTTTATTTCTTTTTCTCCCACTGTGGTTCCTCTGGGAAGGCATTGCTTTTTTTCATCATAGAATTATTATTACTATTTCAACACTGAACTTCCTTTCTCATTATATGTTTGGCCCTGAATACTGTCTCCTCCGTATCCCTATTTCTACAACATCATTCACAGTAATGAGATCTATTGTTACTCATCTGGTTATTAAATCAGCTCCTGTTGTCTATAGGTTTGTATTTTCATCATTAGTTCTGTATCCTAAATACTTCAAGTAAGCAATTCCATTTGCCCACAGTAATCAATATGCATTTAATATTTCATTGGTTTTTACCACTATCAGTTAACCATGATTTTACCAACTAGTACTTCCTTAATTACAAAGTACTAAAAAAGATCTTTTTCTTAATCTTTGGCAACATCAATATCAGCATATTTGATTATGAATAACAATATATTTAAAGATAAAGATGACTTCCTGATTTAATGCTTGATTCAATTTCCTCTCTAGACCCAGGAGGGAGTTATTTAAGAGATCCCAATTAGGAATGATTTGAATTAATTGCAGCAACATAACGTACACACTGCATTGCATTCCCAATTAAGTTAGAAAGAGATGGAAGATATTCTGCTGACAGCATGTCTTTATTGGGCTAATAGTCATTATTTACGTATCATCAATTCTTTATCTAATGTCAAGTATTTTGTTTCTTCAGAACACAAATAAGCATTATTAAGAAAAAACAATACCAATGAATAATAAATTTAGTGAATAAGAATAAGATTGGAAAATGCAGCATAAATTGACGAATCCTCAAGTACCCAAATCTTTACTTCTGTCTGCACATAAAAATTAGATGTCAACACTATGTAGGATTTGGATGACTCCCTGGAGCCCATTCTGACCTCAGATAAAAGCTAAATATATTGAGCCTTAATTGATTTCCATTTGATACTGAAGTTAAAATGTATCATGGAGCATGTGGAGATTCTTACAGTGTTTAGAATATTCATAAAACTAAATTATTCTCAGAGGGAAAAATGCTTTAATAATGACACATTAGAATGGTAAGTATTCTTTTAGTAATAATAATCATTGGCTCTTAATCATAAAATATTAGCTTCAAACTATTACACTATTTTTAAAAGATTGTTTTTATTGTGTTTAATATCGTTTTCCAATTTAATTCTAATTTTCGTTTGATGTTTTTATGTAATATGAACAAACATATGACTTGAATTAACAACATCAATACTTTAAATCTCAGATTTGCTACTTGTTTTTGTGTGACAGTGTATACGTCAGTTTAGCTTGCATGATTCTCATTTTATTCATGTGTAAATTTAAGAATATACCATTTCTTTCACCAAATGTTAGTTGCTGAATAAATGCATAGATGTGTGTGTGTGCACACACATGCATGTGCACAGAGGTGGGGGGAGAGAGAAAAGAAAGGGAGAGATTGTTATTTTGTTTTGGATCAAAATATTTCTCCCACAGGATGTTCTTTGCACAAAGGCAAATCCCTATATGTAAATGGTAGAACACTTGAATAAGATACTGTGGTTTTATGGGAGAATTTTAATCAAATAATTTAATTTGATAATATGTGCCTATTGCACGTATATAGAATTAGACTAATCCCTCCTCCACATGACCCCTCTGATTGAAGTCAATTCCAAATTCTAGCTGATACCTACAAAATGTAACTCAATGGATTTGAAAAAACTCATTTTAAAAGAAATCAATTAATTTTTTTTCAAAAATATATCTAGAGAGCCAAATTATCAGTTTGATCCTCCCATCAATTCACCAGTTGACTGGTTGTGGTTGTCAGTTATGCAGGCCTAGACTTAATTGAAGCTGAATATAGTGTTTTTCTGAAAGCGGAGGAAGCCATCCTGGATCCCAGAAGCTATTATAGTTTCATTACATGTAGTTTTGTGAGGCAAGTACCCAGACTAATGAAGTCTAATTTCCTGCAGATTAAAAAAGAGAAGTGATAAGATATCACTGATGTTAGGTAAAGAAATTCTGAATATAGCACATTTATTCTGTTAAATTACTCATGAACACATGAAAACGTGGTTGCAAGCTAACGGGAGGGCCACTAGTATTTTCTTCCTTTGAGAGCTGTGGGGGTGTGGGAAATTCAAGAGCCCATTCTGTAATCTTAAAGCCTTTCAAGTAAAAACTCTGTGGGTGATCTCATTTCAAGATAAAGTTAAACTAATATCACAGGTCAAAACTTGCCAGCCAAGAAACCTAAAGAAAATATACAATTATCACTACCAGGAATGCACGTAATATTTGTAACCTAGAAAACCACTAAAGAAGAATGCTATTTGTATTGAGCTTAACATTGCATTCATTTTGAACAAATGAACAATATATGGGTATAAGTACCTACATTCTAAAAATATATCACACCTACAAATTTATAGCACTAGGAAATATCAGTAGAAAATCAGCTGTCAGTTTACTAGAAATATCAGGTAATTCAGACTGTCCAATGTTAAAATTAGTCTTAAAAAGCACGTTATTGCTATCATAAACCATTAAAGGTGGTTTATAACCAGGGGAAAAATCCTTTAAAATCCTTCACTACTACAATTCACAAGCCATTGCTACAATTCACAACTCGTTTGTTAGAGTCTTAACCGCCCTCAGCTTTGCCTTGGGCCATTAACTAACAAACCAATCATTAACTGCTAGTAATGACCACTTTCCCAGGGATTATTGCTTAATTCAACTCTTGTGTGGGATCCATTATTTTCTGAGATGTCAAAATAACTATGCATTAAGACATTTTTCTGTAATAAAAGCACCTCCTGAAATAAACAATGTGAATGTCAGAGAATTAAATTGTTCAGTGTACACACTATTTAAAATACATTACTTTAATGAACAATTCTGATGTTTCGAGGGAACATTCTCATTTTTTCGCTCTCCTGAGCATATCTATCATGTAACTTAGATGCAGAATTAATATGTATTTTTCTTCAGTAAAACACACAATGTCAAGACATTTATATTAGTAAACTGTGTTCTATATTCATCTGAGTAAGGCACATTTGATTATTAGCATTCTGCTCCTGAGAAACAAGGCAGGTTTGCTTGTCTGTTGCCATGGAAATAAATTAGGAAGGATAACCTGCCTACTTATCAATTTTTATTAATGCAATCAGCCTACCTGCTTAACCCATAAGTAACAATAGCACATTTAAACTAAGCCAATAAAGCCCTGTAACTCTAGGGGTGCCAGTTAAAGTAAATAGGATAGAAAATTGCTGAAATAAAAAGTCTGAGTTATGTGTCATAGTTATGGGCCCCATTAATATTACAGGATAAAGAATGTTGCCATTGAGAGGGCTCTAATGGTGGAATTACCTTCAACTAACATTTACTGAGAGGAGGAGAGGCAACTGAGACAAGAAGTCAAGAGGTATGTAATAAAACACAATTGCCCTCCTACTGTATTGAAGCGGTTTATAGCTGTATGTGTTAAAATTTGAAACTAAAGGAATCCTAATTCAATGCTAGCCAAATAAACATGAAAAATATAGCATATGTTTGATTGTGATTATTTAACATGCGCTAGAATAAAGTTCACTGTCCTACAATATAAGAAGAACAAAGCTTTCTAAGCCAATCAATATCAAGTTACAAGATCAAAAATAGTTAACTTTTAAAATATAATATACTCATTTTTAAGTACTCCAGACCCATGTTTATTCATCACTGCAGGTCCAACTAAGCTTAGAAATAATTGATGTTTTCTCCCAGTAATTCAGACTGACTTGATCCTCAATGCCTACAAATTACTGAGATTTTACAAAGATTTTGCATTATTGTCAGGGAAATAGCAAATACACATGCATTTATTTTCTGAAGTGGGAGAAAAATTACTTGAGTATCATTATCTAGTTACTAGATTAAGGAAACACTTATCACAACAGAGGCAAAAATCTAATATTTATAAAATAATGTTTAAACTTTAGATGAGGATATAACTTTTAAAAAATGATCACTTAGTCATAAATTTCTATTTTTCATCTTCAACTATATTCAGTTGCTCAGAGTTTACTATTCAGAAAACTGAAATTTAATGACTGATCATTATGACATTCACACAACAGATTAATCATAAATGTGAGAATTAAATCAAGTTACTTATTCTAATTTTGCAAAAACAAAAAAAGTTTCTGTTGTAATTCATAGTTATTTGAGTTATAACATCTCCTGGATAAATAATTTTTTTTTTTGAGACAGAGTCTCACTCTGTCGTCCAGGCTGGAGTGCAGTGGCATGATCTCTGTTCACTGAAACCTCCACCTCTGGGATCAAGGGATTCTCCTGCCTTAGCCTCCTGAGTAGCTGGGAGATAAATAACTTTTTAAAAAGATCATCTTATATTTACACTAATAAAAGCAGGTTATGAAATACAAAATCATCCTTTTTATGGATCCCTATCTATTCAATCTGTGCAAAAAGATGGCTATGATATCTTTAACATTTAAAGGATAATGTGGGTAGACAGTTAACGTTTATTATCCATCAAACCCAAGGTGAATCCTTAAATATACACTGTCCCATTCATCTCTAAGATAAAACAAGTTGGTAAGATACATACATGGTATCAAGTTTATAAATATGAAATTACGTCTTAGAAATGATAAATGACATTCCAAAGTTAACAAATGGTAAATAGCAAAGACACAACTGGAACCACAGTTGATCTTATTAAAAGTGATGCAAAAAAAGCAATTACTTTTGCACCAACCAAATGTTTTGCAGGATATTAGATATGTAAGTCCCATTTCCTAACTACATTCCTAACAAATACACAATAATACTAGTGCCATATATTTTTGAAGATGTAATTTATGAAGAGATTGTGCTTGACAGAGTGGAAGTGATGGGAATTGAAAATATATCATAAACAGGGTCTCTGTTATAAGAAAAATATTAGCATCCAATGTAGATAAATATAAGTGGTTAACTATGGTTATAGGCCTATAAATGAGTCTATCAAAAAGTTATTTTTTCAGTTTCTTTTTACAAACATTTATATTTAGATGCAGATCCCATGCCATGCTATTCATCCATTTAATGTGTGCAATTCAATTTTTTTAGTGTTTTCACAAATATGCACAACTATCTTCAGTCAGTTATTGAATAATTACTTCACCTCAAAAAGAAACCCCACACTCTTTATTCAACATTACCCTAGGTCCTCAAACCTAAGCAAACACTAATATGGATTCTGTCTCATAAATTTGCCTACTCTGGACATTGAATATAAATGGCATCATATAATATGTATTATTTTGTGACTAGCTTCTTCCACTCGGTATAATCTTTTCAAGTGCCATTCATGCTATAACATATATTGTTATTCCATTGCAAGGATATACATATTTTTTACATCCATTGTTCAACTGATAAATATTTATTTGGGTTGTTCCCATCTTTTCACTATTGTGAATAATGTGCTATAAACATCCAAGTACAAGTTTTTGCTTGGACATATGTTTTCACGTCTCCAATGTACATGTCATTCTAATGGGCGGAAAGAGCTATTCCACTGTGGTTTGGATTTGCAGTTCCCTTATGATTAATGACATGAAATACTTGCAAGTGCTTATTGGCTTTCATATATCTTCCACGGGGAAATTTCTATTTTGATCTTTTACCCATTTTTCATGAGATTTTTGACTTTTTTATTTACTTTATTGAGTTGTAATAGTATTTAATATAGATAAAACTTTCAGATCAGATATATGATTTGCAAATATTTTCCCATTCTGCGGGTTGCCTTCTCCCTTTCTTAATAATGTCTGTTGAATGGAATACTATGCAGCCACAAAAAGAATGAGATCATGTCCTTTTCAAGGACATGGATGGCGCTAGAGGCCATTATCCTTAACGAATTAACACAGCAACAGAAAACGAAATACTGCATGTTCTTGCTTATAAATGGGAGCTAAATTATGAGAACACACAGACACATAGAGGGGAACAACGCACACTGGGGACCCTCAGAGGGTAGAGGTTGGGAGGTGGGTGAGGATCAGGAAAAATAAGTAATGGGTACGAGGCTTAATACCTGGGTGATGAAATAATTTGTATAACAAACCTGCATGACACAAGTTTACCTATATAACAAACCTGCACAAGTATCCCTGAACTTAAAATAAAAGCTAAAGGAAAATAATGTCTGTCGAAACACAAGTTTTTTTTTATTTTGATAAAGTTCAATTTATCAATTTATCAAGTTAAATAAAATTTCAATATCAAGTTAAATAAAATTTATCAATTTTATTGGTTTCTCATGGTTTTGTTTCATTTCTAAGAATGCACTGCTAAATCTAAGGTCAGGAAAATTTTCCTCTGCTTTTCTTCTAAGAGTTCCATTGCTTTAACTCTTAACATTTAGGTCACAGATTTATTTTCAGTTAATTTTTGTATACAGTAGGAGGTAAGAGTTTAATTTTATTATTTTGCATGTGACTATTCAGTTTTCTTAGTACAACTTGTCTTTTGTTTGTTTTGTTTGCTTGTTTGTTTTTATTAGAGACAAATTAGTGGTTCGTATCACTTGTTGAAAGACTTTTTCTCCAATGATGGAATTTGGCACTCTTTCAGAAAATCAGTTGACCATAGACACATGGGTTTATTTCTAGAGTTTAAATTCTATTCCTTTGAACTATATGTCTGTCCTCATGACATTACCACACTGTCTTGATTACTGTTGCTGCATAGTAAGTTTTGAAATCAGGAAGCATAAGTCATCCTATTATGTTCTTTTAAAAATTTGTTTATTTTGGGTCCCTTGCAATTTCATACAAATTTTAGAATCAGTTTGTCCATTTCTACCAATCAATCAGTTGGAATTCCGACAGAGATTGAGTTAAAGTTGCAGATCAAATTGAGGAATATTGATATCTTAACAATATTAAGTTTTCTGGTCCATAAACATTGGATTTTTTAAATTCATTTAAGTATTTAATTTTTTGAATAATGCTTTATAATTTTCAGAGTATAGCTGTTCTTCTTTTGTTAACATATATCTGATAAGGAATTAATATCCAAAATATATTAGGAAGTCACATAACTCCATAGCAAGAAAATAAGTAATTTTAAAATGGGCATGTGATTTTTCTTTTCTTGTGAGCTCTTTATCTAATTTTGGTGTCAGGGTAATAGTGAACTCATCGAATGAGCTGGGAAGTATTCCCTTCTATTCAACTTTTTAGAAGAGCCTGCGAAGATTTGGTATTAATTCTTTTTTAAATGTGTGGTGTAATTCAGCAGTGTAGTCAACTAGGCCTGAGCTTTCTTTGTGGGTAGCGTTTTGATTATTAATTAAAAGCCTTCACTTAATGTAGGTTAATTCAGATTATCTATTTCTTCTTGAGTGTTTTAAGCAATTTATTTTAAAATCAATTTAGCAAAGACAGAAGAAATATGCATTCATACTGTCTTTTATAATTATGTAATTGCCTTTACTAGGGTTCTTTGTTTTTTTGTGTGAGTATATGGATCTAAATTCCTGTCTGGGCTAACAGCCTGAGAAAAGTTTTTTTAGTGATTTTTGTAAGGTGTCTATTTTAAAAACAAATTTTCTCAGTTTGTGATTATCGGGTAATATTTCTATTTCACTTTCATTTTTGAAATACAGCTTCAGACTTTTGGTTGACCGTGTCTATGACCACTTTGTATATGATATGCTATTGCACTGCCTTAGGCTTCCCTTGTTTCTAATGAGAAGTCAGTTGATAATTTTATTGGAGTTCTCTTGTAAGGGATGAGTTTTGATTTTGGGCTTTTCTTTTCTTCTCTTGGTACTTTCAAGAGCTTGGCCAGGTGCGGTGACTCATGCTTGTAATCCCAGCACTTTCGGAGGCCTAGGTGGGTGGATCACCTGAGGTTAGGAGTTCAAGACCAGCCTGACAAACATGGAGAAACCCTGTCTCTTCTAAAATTACAAAATTAGCCAGGTGTGGTGGCACATTCCTATAATGCCAGATACTCGGGAGGCTGAAGCAGGAGAACTGCTTGAACCTGGGAGATGGAGGTTGTGGTGAGCCAAGATCACACTATTGCACTCCAGCCTGGGCAACGAGTGGGAAACTCTGTCTCAAAAAAAAAAAAAAAAAAAAAACAAATTTTTTTTTGTCTTTCAGCATTTTTACTGTGATGTGTTTGTGGATCACTTTGCATTTACTCTACTCGGAGTTCGTTGAGCTCCAAGGATCTGTAAATTATTGTTTTTCAATAACTTTGGGAAGTTTTTAACTGAGTTTTAAAATATTTTATGTGTTCTTTTCTTTCTCTTCTCCTTCTAGTACTCCCACTATGCTTATGCTAATGTGATGAATAATGTCCACATTTCCCAGACGCCCTCTGTTCATTTCTTTCTTCATTTTTCTCTTCGTTATTCAGATTGAATAATCTCTATCAGTCTAACTCCAAATTTGCTAATTATTTCTTCTGCCAGTTCAACTCTACTGCTGAGCTGTCTTTCTACATTTTTTCACTCCATTATTATACTTTTCTAGTGCAGAATTTTTACTTCTGTTTCATAATTTCTATTGCTCTATTGATACTTTCTATTTGGTTACATATTGTCATCATATCTTCCTTGAATTCTTTAACTGTGCTTTTCTTTCATTCTTTGAACACATTTATAATGATGTTTTGAAGTCTATTACTGTTAAATCTGACATCTGTTTACGCTCATAGGCAGTTTTTGTTGCCTGCCATTTTTTTTTTTTTTTTTTTGCACATCTCATTATATATTTCTTGTGATCTTTGGAAAGTGAACATTTTACAGAATACATTATAGCAACTCTGAGTAACCTTCTCCCAGGTTTATTTGTATTTGCTCATTGCTTATTTATTTATTACTAGCTGGGTTTTTTTAGTGGCACCTACTCCTCTCCCCACTTAACCCTCTGATGTTATGCTTGTTATGCCTGATCAGGGCAGTTACGGATTGAATTGTGTCCACTCAAAATGTATATGCTCATGCACTGACCTCCAGTGCCTCAGAATGTGACTTTATTTGGAAACAGAGTCATTGCTGATGTAATTTTTAAATTAGAATGAGGTAATAATGGAGTAGAATGGGCTCCTAATCCAGTGTGCCCAATATCCTTATAAAAAGAGAAAATTGGCCGAGCATGTTGGCTCACACCTGTAATCCCAGCATTTTGGAAGGCCGAGGCAGGTGGATCACCTGAGGTCAGGAGCTCGAGACCAGCCTGACCAACATAATGAAACCCCGTCTCTACTAAAAAATACAAAAAAATTAGCCAGACCTGGTGGTGGGCACCAGTAATTCTAGCTACTCGGGAGGCTGAGGCAGGAGAATCTCTTGAACCCAGGAGGTGGAGGTTTCAGTGAGCTGAGATCACGCCATTGCACTGGAGCCTGGGTGACAGAGCAAGATTCTGCCTCAAAAAAAAAAAAAAAAGGAAATCTGGAGACAGACCCACACACCGGGACAAAACCACAGGAAGATAAAGACAGCGATTGTGGTGATGGTTCTACATGACAAGGAAGGTAAAAATGGCCAGCAAACCACCAGAAACTAGATGAGAAGCATAGAATACATTCTCATTCACAAACCTCAAAGGAGACAACATTGCTAACAACTTGATCTTGAACTTTCTAGCCTCCAGAACTGCAAGGCTATAAATTTCTGTTGTTACAGTTTGTGTTACGTTGTTATGGCAGCTCTAGCAAAGTAATATAGGGCATAGCCTTGGTTATCTCATAGTCATTCTGGTATGACAGTGGTTTTGACAGCTCTCTTTGAACTCTTTCCTTGACCTCATTCAGCTGTTCTGTTCCAGTAATTGCCAGTTGATTGCTCTATAGTTTTCAGCAATATTCTGAATCATAAATTGATCCATAGACAAAGCCAATCAAGTTCAGGCTCCTTGGAAAGGATAATTTGTGAGAACACTGTTTGAGATTTTATTTTTTCTCATCCCAAGTGGGCTCCTCCCACTTATTTCTTTTTCTGGTTCTCTCAAAGTATCTGGCATAAAGTTTTGTCTATGTCAAATGAATCCAGTCATCTCTTCCCAATTTCCTTTCACTACAACCTCTCTTGCTTTTGAGAGCACTCTTAGACTTGAATTTCTCCACATTCTATTGCATGTAAAGAGAATTACTTTGAGAGAAGATTAAGAGCTATGTGTTCTATGACATGCTTCTCCCCAGCCTCCAGGCAAAATCTCTGAGCCACATCTCTGGAGTTTGATATGGAGACAGTGGTGTTCTTCACTCTGAGTGACACCTTGCTTTAGTAACTGAGTGTCCCATGGTGGAGAGTAGGGAAAGTAGCCTTAGATCTTCCTGCTAAGTCTTCTGATATGGAATCACTATCTTAGGAACAAAAGCAAGGGCCCCAGGATCTCAGTAGTGCCATGCCCAAGGTAGAGGTTACATCTCATGTTTTAGAATGAATGGAAGAAACCACCATCATTTGGCTAAACTCATAGTCTCAGTAACGTATAGCTGGGTTCAGGATGCAAAGTGTTCATGTCTTGCCTTTCCTAGGAAAATAATACTCTAACAGGAAGCTAGGGGAAGAGGTAGACCTTTATTTTTGGTTGCACCCATTTGCAGTTGATACAGATAGGAGACAGAGAATTACTGGGTAGAAGAGGGTGGTTCCCCAGCACAGGCCCCACTCTCAAGCCTGGATACCTGTAGCCCTAAAATGAGGATAGGCATTCCTGTTTTCAAGCCCAAAAGCTGCCTCTGGCCTGCCATTCCCCCTATCCTCTACCCATATAAACCCCTGACTCCAGGCTCCAGAAGTAGAGAAGGAGATGAGCATATCAACAGAAGAATGGTGTGGCAGAGAGAAGAGAAGGGACATCTGAACACCGAGTGGACTTTGGCTGGGGATGGTCAGAGAGGAGATTGGCTGTTGAGCAGCCAAACTCCAGCGGAAGATCATCTTCCCACTCCATCCCCCTTCCAGCTTCCCATCTAACCTGCTGAGAGTCTCCTCCACCACTCAATAAAACCCCCGTATTCATCCTTCAAGTCCGTGTGACACGATTCTTCTGGGACACTGGACAAGAGCTCAGGATACAGAAAGCTGTCACACCGGCCCTCTGCCCTTTCAAAAAATGGTCCACTGAGCTGGTTAATACTTAAGCCATCCGTGGATGGCAAGGCTAAAAGGGTGAACTTTAACACATGCCCATTTGGGCTTCGGGAGTCACAGGCTGTCACACCTGGATGCTGCCATGGGGCTGAAGCCTAGGGGTGCTCACTCCAGCTCCTACACCTGCCCGTCTGTATGCTCCACCTCCTATAAGGGGTTTGAGCAGCAGCAGCGACCTAACAGACAAGTCACAATCCTGTTGCATGTCCTCGGAGGGGAGTCAGGGAACTCTCCTGTTTCAGAGTGATGTTTCTATTTTGCTTAATATACAAGGATGAGTAGGAAGAAAGTCTCAGTTCAAATACCTCAATTCTCACTGTTCTTACAAAATGCTAGTAGATTTTCTTCCATAAATATCTTGTCTATATGTCCCTCATATCACTTCCTGAGACTTTAAATGATTGTTTTTAAGTAATTTTCACCATTTCTGCTGGAGTGTGGGTTGCTGGAGCTCCTCATTCTGTCATGCTGTAAATGCCTTTTAATATTTTTGAGTGTGTGAAAAAACTAATAATAAAGATTAATATAAGACACCATGGGCTTGTGCTTCATCTTTTAAAGATTTAAAGTCAGCAGTTCTCAAGGAAAATGCTACCCTGGAAAGAAAATATAACCTTAAAGTCTGGCAACTGCTCTGGACTTTTTCCTGAGATTTTCTTTCAAGGTAAGCCCAGTCTGTCTTAATGCACAGTAACCTATGCCTGGTGATTTAAAGCTCTAAAATTGACCTTTTAGCTTCCCATTTCCAAATTGTAATGTAATCTATTTGATACAAAAAAATTAAGTTTTGAATAATTAAGTGGCCCATTTACGATACAATAAAGTATGGATTGTCTTGTTGTTTTATATATTTGTTTGTTTACTTGGAAAAAGTAAAGAAAACCAAAGATAACACATTATTTCCTTGTAAAAATAATTTAATTGGAAAAAGGCTAATAGTTTTGCCAAATTTGGGGTTGGAGAACTCAATGTTTAATCTAATATGCAGTAAATTAGAAGAATGGGAGCTATATCTTTTTTTTTTTTTTATTTTAGGTTTAGTGCTCTACTGGTTTTAAGAAATGAATCATTGAATTTGTTTTATGAAAATTATTACTTAAAAGTTTGAAAATCGGCCGGGCGCGGTGGCTCACGCCTGTAATCCTAGCACTTTGGGAGGCCGAGGCGGGCGGATCACAAGGTCAGGAGATCGAGACCATCCTGGCTAACACGGTGAAACCCCGTCTCTACTAAAAATGCAAAAAAAATTAGCCCGGCGTGGTGGCGGGCGCCTATAGTCCCAGCTACTTCGGAGGCTGAGGCAGGAGAATGGCGTGAACCCGGGAGGCGGAGCTTGCAGTGAGCTGAGATAGCGCCTCTGGACTCCAGCCTGGGCGACAGAGTGAGACTCCGTCTCATAAAAAAAAAAAAAAAAAAGTTTGAAAATGTTAATTGTGTTTTTCTAAAACCTAGTAAACCAGGAACATTTATTTATACTCAAAGGATAAAACATCTATATTGTCATGTGAAATTTAAGCTCAGTTATTCTTATCATTTTAATTGCTCCTGAAAACAATAGTAATTGTTAATTTTGAGGTGCATCGTTTTAGGCTGGAAGACAAAGTAGAAAATAAAGTGCAAAATAGCATCACAGATAAGGCCTAGAATTAATTGGAAAGTACTAGGCAAGGGGCAGCAAGCAAATCAGTGGCAGAAAGCAAATTAGTGTTAATGACTTCTGTCAATATAGTTGATTTTTGGCTCCTACCACATCTGTGAGTGTGACTCATTCCACAATAATTGAATACAATGGCATTCCAACTATGTTTGAAATCTTTGACATTGGCTTAAGGAAGATTTTTCAGGAAAAGAGATTTTAGACTACTATTTTTGATACCAAGAAAAGAGAATGGCTTTTGAAAATATAAGGTCTAGATAATGACATAAAATAATTTATAATAAATATTAATATTATTATGATTTGTTTTAATTATAATTAATAGGTATTGATATATACTATACTAAGCACTATATGTGATAGATATCAGGTGTCAATTATTTTATGATGTATATAGTTTTTTAAATTTTAGTGATAAGAAGATTAAGATCTACCAAGACTAAAGGGCCAAAAGCACACAATAGAGCATTCAAAGGCATGCAGACAGTTCAAAGCTTTCAGTGTGTGTACAATAATTATTTACATGATATTTTAATCTACACTGAAGATACAGGTATGATTTATATCACAAAAAAATATACCAACATTCCATGTGGCATCTGTCAGCCAACGCAGAGGCAATAGAGGAATTTGTGTGTGTGTGTGAGATTAAAAAGGATGTTGAATAATTAGTATTCTAATTTATAACATATCACGCTGTTGTGCTGCTTCTTTTTAAGCCTATTTTTAAAATCATCTCATGATACATTTGACTTTCTCTCTTCATGAACTTAAAGAAATCTCTTTAAGTGATTTATGATAACCTAAGATTGGTTATGAAACACTATTCAATTTTACAGAATAATTAGCTTTCGAATTCTTAGACAAGATATATTCTGAAATATATCCAAATCGCCAGACTTTAAAAGGTAAGAATTATTATTTATATGCTTCTATGTTGATATATAAGATATAGTTTATCATATGTGAGAATCTTACGTAAATTTATTAGGTAATACATTCTGAATGTTCTGAGTACACAAAAGCAAGAGATCAATTAGTAATTTAAAAACAAGATGGTACCCAAGAAAAGTGGACAGCAGAAGCACTTTAAGGAGAATAGTTTTAGTTTTAGTAATGGTAAAAGCATGTGACATCCAAGATGCTAATAAATGCAAGCATAAAATTAAAGCAAACACAATATTAATTCCCTTTTGCTACCTGAAGATGTTGTAAAGTTAAAAATAACTAAATCATAATTAATAGATGTCATTCAATAAGAAACCTGTCAATAACAAAACTCCACAAGAAGAAAACTGCAGAATTTCTAATTTCCTGCAAATATTAGACATTTTAATTTCAGGTTCACTAGCTGAGTTACTAAATTCTAGGTAATCTTAGAAGATGGATGCTTAATAGCACAGACACACACATGCACACATGCATTACAATGTATAATAGCTATTATAATTATTACATATCTCTGTATCTACTTACCTATCCGTATCTATCTCTAATAGACCCTCCATTGAAGGACTGGCAACTAAATACCTGTCTTGCCAGTACTCATTATTTAAGAATGTGTTATGGCAATGTGTCCTGATAGAAAAATCATTATCCTTATTTCAAAAATACAGTATCTTGAATACAGAAACAAATAGGTATCTAGGTAGACGGTACAAACAAATACTCATGTGCATTTAAAACAGCATTTTAGTTTTAAAATATATATATATATATATATATATATATATATATATATATATATATATATATATATATCTTACAGAGTCACCAAATCAGATATGTTGAAAATAAATGATACTATTTTCCAGGTTTCATAGAAAGCCTAGGGATATTTTTCAGAGAAAATGTAAATTTTATCTATTCTAATAGCATTAGCAGTTTTTCTTATTGAGTTCAGAATACCTTATTGAGTATCTCTGAAGTTCCGAATTTAGGTATGCAAGAATTCAATCTTTTTCTACAGATATTGATTTTGTTTACAAAGATCTCCAGGAAGGAGCAGAGTGTTTGAATTTATGTTGCCATACTTGCTTTATCCCTTGCCAGTCAGTTTGCAGACATAGATAACAAGCTGGAGGTTAAAAAGCCTTAAAACAAACCCAGCTGTATAAATGATTATATGCATAATTTTGCATTATTGTTTTTATTTCTTTGATCAAAAATAGATGCAGAGTCTAGTCTTGTAGGAAATGAAAATGAATGGGTGTGGTATCATAGTGATCTGAGTCTCTTTGCTGTGCACACACTTGTATTCTGTGCCTTGATTTTTTGTTGTTGTGCAATGAAATGCTGCTTTTCCTCTCAAAGGTCATTAACAAATCCAATGAATGAGGGCATAGTAATGCATTTAGAGATCAAAAATGGAGCAAGAATTCAAGTATATATTCAGCTTTCTGAAACCCCCTCTGTCTGCTCTATCAACAATCACCAAAAGGAGACTGAACAGGAACTGCCTATCCAATTCCTACACTGAGCACAAAACAAGGTATTGGTGAATGAAATGATTGCTTAGAAAACTGAAAGCACTCCTCTTTGACTGAATACAGCTTGATTTATTCATAGATAATGTTTTAAGATAGGAGTTGTGTTATTATTGATTTGTTGTTATTGACATAACCTACATCAAGTATAACAATTTTCTAAATATTTCAGTGATATGAGAAAGTCTTATTAACTATTTGATTTATAAGAATATTTTAAAAACCATGTAGAACTGCTATAAGATTTTTGCAAAATTATCGTGTCAGAAATGGTACTAAGATTTATCACTTGGCACTGTGTCTTACTGTGTTTCTAATAAGTTGTTTTGTGCACTATTTTTTAAGAATTTTCTGATAATGATTACTTTTGGAGAACTCTGTAAGTGTAAGTTATTATTTGTTATCTCATTTTCTTAGAGGTTTACATATAAATTTGCTATTGTTTGTTTTTTCACACATAGTATAAAAATATAATAGTTGCAGCATGGTACTTAATTTCATTCCATTCACTTCTTAATAAGCTGTATTTGTACTCAAAAGGCATTTTTAGAAATGTGCTCACTAATATAATCTCTCATCTATAATTTCTACCACAAGGCAGCTAAAATTCCCTCTTGAGCAAGATAGATGTGCAAATTTAGTATTTTAATGAGGAAGTTTAAATTTATTTTCAAGAACACTTCACTTAGGCTAGGTTATTTTGAACATGTATAAATACAAGCACTCAATGTTTTAAGTGGGAAACCACTACTTGCTTATAGTGCTGGGATGCAGATAGTCAGGTTGAGTTTAAAAATAACCTTCCCTGAAGATCCTTTGATTAATTTATCCCAGAGCAAGTTTTCTTTACTGACCTTTGCATGAACTTCACTCACTGCTGTATGACCTCTGTTTTGCTTGTGCACAATATCTTTCTGTCCCTGCAGCTGGGCTGGTAAACACCAGGAGGAAGAGCATCCTCTCCTCCAAGACCTAGTCTGAAGTCTTACTCTCTGGAGAAATACCTTGTTTCAGGGATGAGGATGCAATACTTCACCTAACCATTGTACATATGGCAGAATAACTAAAGCCTGTGATCTAACAATTGCTTCATCACTCACTTGCAGAATAGTAATGTGAAAAGATATCTTTCTCTCCCATCAATACTAATATTAGAATACAGTTTTCTATAATCAACAATTAAATATTTATAGAAAGTATGTAAGATGAAGATTAAAAATGTATATAAATATGTAAAACAGTAAAAACATCTTTTATAAGGGAAGTATTATACTACGATTTTTCTGATTTCTGATGTCTTGTCACAAACACAAAAGAAATACATAGAAGTTGACAGATTATACTTAAGTTACAAAGACAGAGTATCCCCAGCTTGTATTGAAAATGATGGTTCATGTATGCCAACTGTCTACATGTATCAAAATAACATTGAATGTACCAATTAATAAAAGAAAAAAGAAAGACGAAACTGGGAGAATATAAAGACAAAATTTCCATATAAAATCTAGTGCTGGGTTACAAAGATATTTTTATTTAAACTATACATGCATTTTTACATATATATACACACACAGAAAGATTTATATATGTAATGTATAAGGATGACATTATTTTATTTCTAAGAGGTGTTCATGCGAATTTAAGATCTTGATTCCCTAGGGACACCGAATCCCAGATGAGCAAAATACAGGAGATATTTATTATAAAAATTACTTTTTGGGGCTAGATGAATTCCCCTTCCAATTAGCACTAGGTCATAAGCTATATTTTAAAATGTAGAGTTCATTGTTTATTTGCATTTGATTTCTCTCTCTAATAAAAAAGGAGAAATAGATACAAGTAAGACCAACTTCTTTTACGGTATCCACAAATCTTTACAACAATTATATATAATATTTGTAAGAATAAAAAATAATATTTTCTACTAGGACAATGTGCATTTCAGAGTCTTCCCCATCATTTCCTACCATGAAAAATTTTAAATGCTTACAAACGTGGAGAGAATAATATGATAAAACATGGCCATGTACTGATAACTTAGCATTAACAATTGCCAAATTTGGGCTAATTTTATTTTATTTATATCCCTCCCACACTCCCTCAAATTATTTTGGAGCCAATTCCATATATAATGTTATTTAATCCATAAATGTTTCAGCATATATCTCACAAATATTTCAAAGCAGCCACCATAATATTGCTTCAATAATAATTCTGCATTTGTTTGAAACAAATAAAAAGTTTAAAAAATCTCAGCAAAGAAATAAAAGTTATAAGAAAATGAACAGACAGAAATTATAGAACTGAAAGAATATAATAACAGAAATAAAGAGGAGAAAAAACCTTTGCTGGCTGAGCTCCATAATAGAGTGTTGGTGACAGAATCACTGAACTTGAGAACTGATCAAAAGATTTCACTCAATTCAAACAACAGAGAGAAAGTATACTTTAAAGAAAAAAATGAACAAAGTCTTATGGACATTGGGAATAATAATAAAATATCTTACATTCATAATATCAAAGTTCTAAAAAAGAAGAGAAAGAATACATGGCTGAAAAATGTGTTAAAAAATAGCTGAAAAACCCCCATATTTGGCAAAAGACATGTACCTACAGATTCAAGAAGCTGAGCAAACTCCAAATACATTATACCCCCCAAAATTTACTCACACAGCATAATTAAACTGCTAAAAACTAAAGAGAAAGATAATATCATATAAGTAACCACAGAGCACATCACCTATCTGGGAATTCTGATTTGTATGATAATAAACTTCTCTTAAAGCATGGAGGCCAGGAATAATTGGTATTTTTTAGGTGTGAAGAAAGAGATCTGTCACCCACGAATTCTATATCTAACAAAAATATCCTTAAGAAATGAAAGAGAAATCAAGGCATTCTCAGACAAGGGTAAAATAATGCCTACTCTTTAAAAAGGGCTACAAAAACTCTCAGCAAATAGAAAAATATAAAAGAGTGAAGCCGAGGATTTAAAAAAATAGAAGGACTATTAAATATGTAACAATAAGGATATATATTCTAGATTATCTTATTTCTCATGAACTTCTTAAGTCATATTTGATGACTGAAGTAAAAAGCATAACACCATCTAATGTGGATCTCAATAAACATAGAGGAAATACTTCAGACAATTACATAAGTGCAAAGAGAAAGAAACCTAAATATAAATAAAATTTAAATACTTAATCAAATAGTCATACTTCAATATGAGTACGTTGTAATAAATTACATACGTATATTGTAATATCCAGAACAACCACTAAGAAAGCTATAAAAAGAGATCTAGTTTAAAGCAGTATAAATAAAATAAGAAAGAATCCAACGGAAAAGCAAAGAAAGAGAAACAGAATAATGATAATCCAGAAAGAACAGCAGACTCCTGGTTCCAAAATGGCAACATAGTAGCAATCTGGCTTCACTTCCCCTTCACAAAAAACCAAAAACAAATATACAGCACAGAGGTTATTGCCAGCAATATCCCAGAACTCAAACAGGAAGATGCAACAGTTCATGGGGCCACAGACAAGTAAAAAAAACTCCAAACAGATGGTAGAAGAATCTGACTTCCATATCCATTATACACCCCTTTCCCCACAATCAGCCCTGCACTAAGTGTGTGGAAAAATTCTCCCCAACTCAGTTTCTATACTAGAAAAAGTGAGATCAAAGTGAAAATAAGTTTCTCTACCATCTTGGGTTCTCTGACGGGAGACCTGTCCCTGCCTCCACCCACAGGAAACATTAAGAGTCCCTAAAGGAGAAAAATTTCTGAGAAAGCCAAAAATAAAGGGGAAGGGAAGGACTACGATTCACAGTCCTGGAAACTGCTCTGTAACTCAGCCAAAGGAGATGCCAAATCAGAGTGGCTGTTCAGCAACTCCACACTAGGGTCTTCTGGGCACAAATTCCTAGGCAGCTGTCCCACATTGCAGGGATATCCCCTCTGAGATCTGTTTATTTGGGATGGGCAGAGCTGTCGTCCATTACTACAGCTGAGGCAAACCTGGGCTTATGAAGTCATCTAGTGCTTAAAAGGGGGCAGAAACTAAGCTGGAAAGAAATTTTAAAATTACAATGAACCTCTAAGCAATCACGTCAAAAAACAAAACAAAACAAAAACAAAAACAAACAAAAAAAACCAGAGAAAACTGGAATAAATAACTAAACTTTCAATGGAAAGACATAGACATACATAGACATACATCTACAAGAAACAACACCAAACCGGGAATCATCACTCCCCAAACAGACAATGCAAGGAATGAGTGATGGATACCAACAACATAGCAATATGTGAGCTCTCTAACCAAAAATTCAAAATAGCAGTTTTAAGAACACTCAGTAATCTCCAAGATAACACAGAAAAGCAAGTCAGATATTTATCAGAGACATTTAACAAAAAGATTGAAATATAAAAAAAGGCATATATTGGAACTGAGAAACATATTTGCTGAACTGAAAAATTCATTAACAACTCGTAACAGTAGACTTGATGAAGCAGAGGAAAGACTCAGTGAGCTCCAAGATCGGCTATTTGAAAATACACAGTCAGAGGAAAAAAGAAAAAGAATGAAATGGAGCAAATATGTACAAGATATAAAAAATTAGCTAGAAAGGTCACTATATAATGATAAAGTGGTCAGTTCAGAAAGAAGATATAGTTATAAATATCTCTGCACCCAACCCTGTATCACTCAAATCTATAAAGCAAACATTAACAAATCTAAAGGGAAATAAATACTGCCATAGCATAACAGCAGAGGACTTCAACACCCCACTCTCAGTAATAAACAGATCATCCAGACATAAATCAACAAATAAATATCTATACACTGGACCAAATAGGGCTAATTGACATTAACAGAAATTTTCCCCCAGTGGTGGCAGAATACACATTATTTTCAGCAGCACATAAATAATTCTCCTGAATAGACCACATCTTGGCCCACGAAACAGTTCTCAACACGTAAAAAAAATTAGAAATCATATCAAGTAACTTTTCTGAATACAATAGAATAAAACATTAAATTAATAACAAGAGGAACCTCAGAAACTACAGACACATGGAAATTAAACAACATGCTCTAAAATGACCAATGAGTTAGTAAAGAAATTATGAAGAAAAATTTAAAATTTCTGAAACAAATGAAAATGAAAAAACAGCATACCAAAATCAATGAGATACAGATAAAGCAGTACTAAGAGGGAAGTTTACAGCAATCAATGCCTATATCAACAAAGTAGAAATACTTTAAATTATGTGATACCTTAAGTAAACTAAAGATATACCTCAAGAACTAGAAAAGCAAGAATAAAGCAAACCCAAAATTACTAGAAGGCAAGAAATAATACAGATCAAATCAGAAATAAATTAAAACTAAAGAACAATTACAAAAGATAAACAAAAAGTTGATTTTTTTGAAAAGTTAAACAAAATCAACAAACTTTTGGCTAAACTAAATAAGAAAACAGGAGAGAAGACTCAAACACATGAAACCAGAAACAGGGCCAGGCGCGGTGGCTCATGCCTGTAATCTCAACACTTTGGGAGGCCGAGACAGGCAGATCACAAGGTCAGAAGATCGAGACCATCCTGGCCAACACAGTGAAACCCTGTCTCTACTAAAAATACAAAAAAAATTAGCTGCATTCGCTTGTAGTTCCAGCTACTTGGGAGGCTGAGGCAGGAGAATCACTTTAACCCAGGAGGCAAAGGTGGCAGTGAGCCGAGATCACGCCACTGCACTCCAGCCTGGCGACAGAGCTAGACTCCATCTCAAAAAAAAAAAAAAAAAAAATTAGAAACAGAAAAGTTGACAAAGCAACTGAGACCATAGAAATACAAAGAATAGAGAATGTTATGAATCACTGTATGCCAACAAATAAGAAAACCTAGCAGAAATGGATAAATGTCTGGACACATACAACCAACCAAGATGGAACCATTAAGAAATTGAAAACCTCAACAAACCACTAACCTGAAATGAGGTCAAAGCTGTAATAAAAGTCTTTCATTCAAGAAAACCCCAGATCTGATGAATCCACTACTGAATTCTCCCAAACTTTTAAAGAGCTAGTACAAATTCTACTTAACTGCATCAAAAAATTGGAAAGGGGGGAATACTTCCAAACCATTCTACAAGATCAGCATTACCCTGACACCCAAACCAGACAAAGAAACAACAAAAAAAGAAAACTACAGGCCAGTATCACTGATAGACATACATGCAAAAATTCTCAACAAAATAATAGCAAACCTAATTCAACAACACTTCAAAAGATTATTCACCACAATCAAGCATTATTCATTTCAGGGATGCAAGTATGGTTCAACATATGCAAATCAATAAACATGATACATCACATTATCAGAACCACAAAAAATATCCTGCGATTATTTCAGTAGATGCTGAAAAAGCCCTTGATAAAATTCAGCATTTCCTTGAGAAAAAAAATTCTCAACTGGATATAGAAAAAACATACATCAAAATAATAAAGGTCATATATAACAAACACACAACCAACATCACACTGAAAGAGAAAAAATTGAAAGACAACTCTCTAAGAAATATGGCCACTTTCATCACTTTTATTCAACATAATACTGGAAGTCCTGGCCAGGGAAATTAGGCAAGAGAAAGAAATAAAAGGCATTTAAATTGGAAAGGAAGAAGTCAAATTCACATTGTCTACAGATGACATAATCTTATATTTAGAAAAACCTAAAGACTCCACCAGAAAACTGTTAGAACTGAAATAAATTCAGCAAAGGTGCAGGATACTAAAATCAATATACAAAAATCAGTAGCATTTATACATGCTAACAATGAAGAATCTATAAAAGAAATCAAGAAGTATATCCCATACCTACAAAGAATATCAAATATCTAGAAATAAATTTAACCACAGAAGTGAAAAATCTATACAAGAAAACCATAATAAACACTGATGAAAAAAATTTGAAACAACCCAGAGAAAACATATTCCATGCTCACGAATTAAAATAATATTGTCAAGATGGGAATACTATCCAAAGCAATTTATAGATTCTATGAATTTCTGTCCAAATACCAGTGATATTCTTCATAGAAATAAAAAAAAATCTTCAAATTTATATGGAACACAAAAGACCCTGGATAGCCAAAGCAATCCTGAGCAAAAAGAACAAAGCTGGAGGCATCACAATGCCTGACTTCAAAATGTACTGCAAAGCTATAGCAACCTAAACAACATGGTACTGGCATAAAAATAGACAAATGGACCAATGGAACAGACTAGAGAACCACAAATAAATCCATGCATTTACAGTCAAATACTTTTCAACAAAGTTGCCAAGAGCATACATTGGTGAAAAAGAGTCTCTTCAATAAGTGGTGTTGTGAAAACTGATATTCACATCTAGAAGAATGAAACTAGATTTCTATCTTTCACCACATATGAAAATCATACTCAAATGGATTAAAGACTTAAATATAAGACCCCAAACTATGAAACAACTAAAATAAAACTTTGGGGAAACTCTTCAGGACAATGGTCTGGAAGGGTTTGTATGTAAGACCTCAAAAGCACAGGCAACCAAAGCATAAATAGACCAATGGGATTATATCAAGTGAAGAAGCATCCACCCAGCAAAAGACACAGCCAACAAAGTGAAGACACAGAATGAAGAGACAATATTTGGCAACTATCTGACGACTACTAACTAGAATATATAAGGAACCCAAACAATAGCAAAAAAACGGATCAAAAAATTGGCAAAGTATCTGAATAGACATTTCTCAAAAGAAGACATAAAAATGGCCAACAGATATGTTAAAAATGTTCAATATTACCAATGCAAATAAAAACCACATCTTACCCAGTTAAAATGGCTTTTATTTAAAATGGAATATCAAGCCTGAGCAACAGAGCCAGACACTGTCTCAAAAACAAAAAACCAACAACAAACAGGCTGGGTGCAGTGGCTCTTGCCTGCAATCCCAGCACTTTGGGAGGCCTAGGTGGATGGATCATGAGGTCAAGAGATCAAGACCATCCTGGCCAACATGGTGAAACCCTATCTCTACTAAAAATACAAAAATTAGCCGAGTATGGTGGCACACGCCTGTAGTCCCAGCTACCCGGTAGGCTGAGGCAGGAGAATCGCTTGAACCCAGGAGGCAGAAGTTGCAGTGAGCCAAGATGGTGCCACTGCACTCCAGCCTGGTGACAGAGCGAGGCGAGACTCCATCTCAAAACAAACAAACCAACAAAACACAGAATAACAGATGCTGGCAAGAATGCAGACAAAAGGGAATCCTTGTACATTGTTGATGGAAATGTAAACTGGTAGAGTCACTATGGAAAACAGTATAGAGGTACTTCCAAAAACTAAAAGTAGAACTACCATATGATTTTGCAACTCCACTCCTGGGTATATATCTAAAATAAAGAAAATCAACATATCAAAGATATATCTGCATTTCCATGTTTACTGAAAAACTTCATAATAACCAAAATATGGAATGAACTAAAGTGCCTATCAGTGGATGAATGAATAAAGAAAATGGAGTATATACACACAATGGAATATTATTTAGCATTATAAAAGAATGAGATACTGTCATTTGCATCAATATGAATGGAAATGGAAGTAATTATGTTAAATGAAATAAGCCAAGCACAAAAATATACATATTACATGTTTTCACTCATATGTGATATCTTAAAAAGTGGATCTCATGAAGAAAGACAGAAAATTAATAGTTACCAGAAGCCAAAGAATGGTAGGGGGAGGGGAGGAGTTGAAGAGAGGCTGTTGATTAATGGGTAAAAATATATAGTTAGATAGAACAAATAAGACCTAGTGTTCTATAGATTAGTAAGGAGATTATAGTTAACGTTACTGTACATTTCAAAATAACTAGAAGAAAATAATTCAAATATTCCTAGCATAAAGAAACGATTAATATTTAAGGTGATGGATATCCTAATTACCCTGATTTGAACTTCATACAGTATATGACTATATAAAATTATCATATGTATCTCCAAAATATGTACATGTATTATATATTGATATGGTTTTACTGTGTCCCCACCCAAAATCTCTTGAGTTGTAATCCCCACGTGTTGGGGACAGGACTTCTTGGGAGATGATTAGATCATGGGGCAGTTCCTCCATGCTGTTCTCATGATAGTGGGTGAGTTCTCACAAGATCTGATGATTTTCTAAGGGGCTTTTCCTCCTTTGTTTGGCACTTCTTCTTGCTGCTGCCATGTGAAGAAAGATGTGTTTGCTTCCCCTTCTGCCATGATTGTAAGTTACCTGAGGCCTGCCCAGCTATGCAGAAGTGTGAGTCAATTAAACCTCTTTCCTTTCTAAATTACCCAGTCTCAGGTATGTCCTTATAGCAGTGTGAGAACTGACTAATATGTATATCAATAGAAAATAATAATAATAAAGAAAAAACAGAAAACAAAAATAGATGATGTAATGTCTAACATATTAATCATTACTTAAAATTTTAATAGTCTAAATACAACAATTGAAAGAGAGATTAACAGAGTGGATTTATTTAAAACCCCAACTATATGCTATATATAAGAATATACTGCAAATTTAATAACATAGGTAGACATAAATTATAAAAGCAAAAAAGACAGATAATGTAAACTTTAAAATGTACCAGTAGCTTATTAATCTCAGATAAAATAGACATCAGCGCAAATAAAATTACTAGAGACAAAAAGGGACATTACATGATAAAAAGATAAGTCCTCAAGGAGAAATAATGATCCTAAATGTGTATGTAACAAACAACAGAATTCATGAAACAAAATACACGAAATATAAACCAATATATATTAAAGAAGAAATAGGCAAATCTGTAATTATACTGAAGAATTTAACATCCCATTCTCAGCATTTGATTAAAAAAAACTAGCCAGAAAATTAGTAAATATATGGAAGAAATGAATAATGCAATGAAACAACAGAATGTAAATCGAACACTTTAGGCAATGGCAGGAAACTATACCTTCTTTCCAAGCACCTATGGAAAATGTACTAAAATACACCATATTCTGAGCCATAAAGCCACCTTAACAAACTAAAAAAAATTGAAATCATATGAAATGTTTCCTGACCATTATAGAGTCAAACTAGAAATTAACTACAGAAATAAAACAAGAAGATCCTCAAACAGTTGGAAATTTAATAACACACTCTTAAGCAATCCATGGGTCAAAGAGGAGGTCACAAAAGAAATTTTTTACAAATACATAGAAATGAATGAAAATATTATATATCGAAGTTTGTGGATCATAGCCAAAGCAATGCTGAGAGGGACATTTATAGCACTAAATATTTACATTTGAAACAAAGAAAAATCTTAAGTAATTTAAGTTTTTTTCCTCAGGATAATAGCAAAAGAAGAGCGAAATAAATCCAAATCAAACAGAAGGAAGAAAACAACAAAGAGCAGAAACAAAACGAAAACAGGAAAAGAATAGAAAAAGTTTAATGAAATCAAGAGTTGATTATTTAAAAACATCAACAAATTTACTAAACCTATATTTTTAATCTTTTCCCTTTGATAACTTTGGTATTAACAAATTAATAAACCTATAGTAAGACTAACAAAAATAAAAAAGAAGACACACATCTCCAAGTTACCATGGAACCCAGTATGCTTGTCACAAACTAGATATAATAAGAGCTACCAAGCATTAAAGTTGGCTATGCACAGCAAAACCCCACCAACACATGAAGTGTTAGATACTAGTCTGGGCACCAGCAATTCCCAAAGGCACAAGGACATCACATGAGCAGGTGACTCATATTCTCATACACCTTACTCCAGTTACGTTGCCTCCTTTCTTGCAACCAACGCCTAAAACCTCAAGGAGAGTTCTTTGTGACCTGTTGACTGAGGATCTGGAACACTGGGCCTGATTTATATATGGTTCTGCACAACCTGCAGTCTCCATTCAGATGTGAATAGAAAAACACAACGGTTCTTATGAGAATTAATCGTAAAAGACAGTGGTTATAGGAAAGTAACATAATCGACAGAAATATGCCATGAACTTGATAGTCCATTTTGCCTGAAAGTAGAGATGGTTAGAGTTACGGCTCTATGCTATTCAGAGAAAGTATCTAATGGTTTGACTGAATAGCCTGAGATTTAGAAGAAACAGCAGAAAATGAGTGACAAGGGGAGGCTAGAGAGGAGCTATGTGCACAGGTATTTTTAAATAGTCAAAGAGGGGAAATATCTGTGTCCTTTTTAAATGGTCAACAAACTACAATATCTAAAAGTAGAATCTTAATTTTCAATCAGAGAAAATAATCTGTTCTGTGGACATTGGCGAGACTCTTTGCTCAGACACCTCTGTTCTTAAAGGTCTCATGACAAAATGGCATGGCAGTTGAAATGAAGGTCACACACGGGCTCAGTAATGTGCATTTTATTTACTGGTCCTTCCACATTTCCCCTAACTCTGAAGCAGGTTGCCTGATAGAATGGTTGGAAAGTATTTTGAAGACTTAGTTATTACAACATCTAGATGACAACACATTGAAAGGCTGGGTAGTATGATCCAAGATATATGCTAAATATTAGAAATTAATATATTTTACTATTTTTTCCTAGAAAAGATGTACAAGTCTGAAACTCAAAAGACAAAAAGAGAATATTTTCAGTCATTATTAACTCTAATAATCCATGAGCAAAACTTTGGCTTTTGTCCCTTCAAATTTGGGCCTTGCCGGTTCATAGAACTTATTCCCAAAAGGGCAATGCTTGCACCAGGGCCACAGCAATGATTCCATTAAACTAAAATTTAAGACTTCACTTAACCAGTTTAAAATTATTATACCAGTGAATCAATAGGTAAAGAAGATGGTTAATCTGATGACTGTATAATTGATTGTGACTGTCAAGTGAAAATTGTATTACTTTTACAGAATTGGGAGACTAGAGCAGTTTGTAGCACAAGGAATATGCATAGCAATGTCTTAAAATTATTATATTCTATGAGAAAAGTTAATAGAAAATGACAACATTTCTTACAGGCAAGGAACTACTAATGTCATAGATCCTTAAGGAATAAAAGTTTTGCATTATTCCATTAGGCAAGTAATCATGAACAGTTCAAATGATTTATATGGAAAAAGAAATAATGGAGTAGGTATAAACTGGAAATTACAAATATCAAATACCGCTCTATGACTCATTACTGAAATGAATCATATTTATTTTTCAATTTTATATTTATGTGTGTGTGTGTGTGTGCCACGTGCACACAGTCAGTCCCCAATTGAGGATGGATAGAGGGCTATTGTGGCTTTTATATTATGAAGGATAACTGTAATAGGTGTGTATGATTTTGCTATTGTCTTCAGTTGGACAAGGAGTGGTATGGAATGCCGAATTGACAAGAAGTGGATGTGGCAGCTGTCTTAGCCCATTTAGTGTTGCTATGAAGGAATACATGAGGCTGGGTAATTTACAAAGAAAAGGTGTATATTTGGCTGATGGTTCTGCAGAATGTACAAGAATCATGCTGCTGGCATCTGCTGAGTTTCTGGTGAGGCCCTCAAGCAGCTTCCACTCATGGTGAAAAGTGAAGGGGAACTGATGTGTGAGAGATCCTACGTTGAGAGAGGAAATAACAGAGAGGGAGGTGTCAGGCTCTTTTTATAAAACAGCATTCGAAGGAACCAAGAGAGCAAGAACTCACTCAGTATTCATCCTAATTTCTGCCACAGCCGCCCAACAATGATTGCAGGCCCTGAGCTAGAAAGAGAGGCATTAGGTTTCCTTACACTCTGCCCAGATTTTCCTTTACAGCACCACTCTCATGGCTAAACATGTGTGGCCTCAGGAGGACTGGTCAGTGACTTTGATCCTTGAACTCCCTATATTAAACCTTGGTTTCCATTTTTTCTCTATTTCTATAATCATTCCTTTGTTCCATAAGACTTACCGTGGTTCAGTCTTCCTAACTGAACCTTGACTATTACAGCCTGATTTTGGAATTTCTCAGTTACTATTGCTCTTGTGGGAGACTCTGACACTTTGGGACAGAGCATGGGTATGTAATTGACTGTATGAGGCATAGCAGTGGCACACTTTTTGGAGACTAAAGAACCCAGTTTCTCTGTATACATTTAAAGTTCGTCCAAAAATTTATTCTTCTTAACTACTTATATCATACTGATGATAAATTTGTTGGGTACAAGCTGTCTGTTTTCTTTGTAGCTAAAACAGAATTGTATATAAAAGTACTCCTCAACTAGGTCATACACACATATTAAGCATATACACACGTATTCATATATACATATATAAATATATAGTTGAATGTTACATTTTGCTAATGCTTTCTTAAGGTGAGAGACTTTTTTATCAAAAATTACTAAAATGTTATTTGTACACTATGTGAATCAACAACCATACTTAAAATATTTCCTCCCATATAAGAGTTAAAACAATGTTATTGGTATAGTTCTTTTTGACTTTACTGTCTTTAAGTTCACATAGTAAATCTTATTAGATGATAGAATTCAAGTATTTATTCAATCTTATATTTAATTTACCAGTAGTTGCTTGAATATAAAAAACTATTTGTCATGCACAAAATAGCAAAAGCAAACTCAATATGATATTATTTTACATCTCTTAGAATGTTAAAGACTAGAAAGTTGAATAATACTCCATGGTAGTAATATCATGGGGATATAGTAAACTTTTTGCATTCCTTGTAGGAAGGCAGGCTTGTGCATTCACTGGAGCAATCTGGCATCGGGTGATCAAATTTGTACCCATTTGTTATGACATTGCAGTTCTTCTTTAGAGTATATATCCCAAAGAAAGTCTTACAGAGCTGTATCGAGGGACAGGTAGGAAGATGCTTGATTATTGCATCATTATTTGTGGTAGTAGAATGTTACAGGCAAACTGGGGGACTATTGCTTGAACTGTAGTAGGTAAAATGCAATAAATCCACACCTAGAGTATTGTTCAGGACCTCGAAGCAACACAGTTACAAGCAACAAGGTTAACGTGCCCAAAAGCGCATGAAGAATGATGGGTCTTAAAGGTATGGTGATGAATGGAGTAAGTAAGAGATATACTTAATAAGACATGTAAGACAATAGAATTTATGTAAATTAAAAATGCATATAAAACAATTCAAAATTTGTTATAGCAATAAAGAAAACCAAATAAGTACACATTAAATGCATTAGAATGTTTCCTCTAAAGGGAGGGGAATAGGAGTAAATGAAAATAAATGTGTGATACAGGAAAGGGATTTTGAAGAGGCCAATAATGTTAATCTGCCATGACCAGAGAAGGGCTATTAAATCAGCCCTATGCAGTTATAGTCTTATAACCCACAGAAATATTAAAAAATATTTTAACAACTGATATAGCACAGCTATCAACCAATTAGAAGGTTAGCCACATGGGCACTTAGATAATCACAAAGAACACTGGCTATCAAAAACCAATATAGTCACAGTAGTGTGTACCAGCTAATACGAGTCATGCCTATAACCATAAAAGAAATTGAAACACCACACCAACTATTGCATCAAAGAAGACAGATGTGTGTTCTAGCAACATGCAAGTAAAAGAACATTTCAACCATAGAGAAAACTTCCAGAAAATAATAAAAGATAAAGTCCATAGATGAGTAAAATTATAGCCCAATTTTCTCAGAATAAATAAAATATTTGAAAATATTATCAAACCAAACATACAAAGATATATGTATAAAATGTAAACACATCAGGACCAAATTAGGTATCCAACGAAGTAACTTTAAATTGATGAGTAAAATTAATTAATGTCATTATTCCATAAACAAATTCTACAAAACATCTAATAATAGATAAACGGAGTATTAAAAACTTAATATGTGCACTTTAAAAATATCAAAAAACTAGGAATGAGAGTACTTCCTTAACTTTAAAATACATTGTATAAAAATAACCAATAGCAAATCCAATATAGGTGGTCCCTGACCTACAATGTTGCTATTTATGACTTTTGGCACATACAATGGTGCACATGCATTATGCATTTAGTGGAAACTATACTTTGGGCACCCATACAACAATTCTATTTTTCAATTTTTAGTACATTATTCGGTAAATACATAAAACATTTAACACTTTATTATAAAATAGGCTTTTCTTTAGATGATTTTGCCCAAGTGTGAGTTAATATAAGTGTTCTGGGCACACTGAAGGTAGGCTAAGCTAAGTTATGATATTTATCAGGTCATGTGTAACAAATGCATTTTTGACTTACAGTATTTTCAACTTATGATAAGTTTATCAGGATATAACCCCATCATAAGATGACGAACATCTGTATATTTAATTGTGAAATGTCGAGAGAATTCCCTTTGTAACTGAGAAAGACAAGGATGCCTTCAATTCACACTTCTATTCGAAACTGTACTAAAAATTTCAAACAGTTAAAGAAGATAAGAAAAATAAACATAAAGCGTAAGTATTTGAATGAAGAGACAAAGTTATGCTATTATAATATTTAAAAACACAAACAGATCTTCATCAGAGTCAAAGACGAAAAAAAAAGTAAATTACAGACCAGTATTACTGATAAACATAGATGCAGAAATCCTCAACAAAATACTGGCAAACCTAATTCAACAATACATTAAAAAGGTCATTCATCAGGATCAAGTGAAATTCATCCCAGTGATGCAAGGAGGATTCAACATATGCAAATCAATAAACACGATACATGACATTAACAGAATCAAGGATAAACATATTTGTTTAGCCCCGTTCATATTCTATGATAGAAATTTTTCTTTTCATTTGATTTTTATTTTTTGTAAAACATTAACATGGTTCAAAAATTTAAAGCCACACTGAAAAAAAAACCAAACTCTGTAGTTACTCTCTTGATTCCTTCAACCTCATTCCCATCCATTGATCTACTGATTTCTAATCTATGCTTCCTATGTTTCTCTTTGCATAATAGTTACGTTTGTATTTTTATATTTCTGCTTTATTCTTACCTAAAAGTTAGAAAACTAGATATACTTTTTGCTTTTTATGAACTCACTCTACTTCAGTTCATGAAGATCTTCCTCATGGTTTCTACATCTGTGTGGTTCCCCACTGAGGAGATGTACTATAGTTTCTGCACAGTGATTTATTTCTTTAGCCAAAATTGGCATGTGCAAGTTTTCTTTCTTTCATAAAATCAAGTTTGATAAACTGCATTTTCCAAAGAAATAATTGACTGTATTTAGTTGTTTAAGCATATTTAAAAGTAAAGAATCTATATTATTATATTTCTCCCATCCTTTCTTTTCTTCTTTTATATTGTGTGTTTCTATCTTTTATTCTTGATTAAATTGGCTTTTTAAAATTTGGGTTTATCGATTGGTATAATCATTTGTGTTTTTCTTGTTTCCTTATTTATGATTTCTTTATACTTATATCATTTTCTTTGTCTTGCTTTTTGAGTTAGACTTGTGGTTCATTTATTATCATTCTTTTATATTTTTACTGATATAAACATGGATATAAATATTACTCTGAACACTGATCAAATGCTTGTGGTAAGAGTGCAAGGAAAAGCTCTACTGGAAACTGTTTATTTTTTCTATTTAAATTAATTCTTAAATTCTCAGTGTTTTCTATCTTTTAGCTATGCTGAAGATGTAGAATGTGTGTTCATTTTGTTCTTGCGGTTCATCTCTACAGTTTTTGAAATACTATGCAGAGAGATTTGCATTTAGGCCATTAGTATGGCTATCTGAAAGTTTAAATATTTTATTTGATCTATGGTGGTTATATGTATTAATTCATTTTGTTAAACTTCGTGGAAGTGTGTATTGATGATATGTACATTTTACTATATGTGTGTTATAATTAAATGTAAATAATTTCCCATAAAAGAAAACTTAAAAAATTAATGCTTTGTATTAGGGTTAGGTCAAGACACTTTTCAGGAGGATCAGGTAAGTGACTTTTGTAATGGTGAGATTAGCTGATCATACCAGAAGCTATAATGGTGATAATGAAGTTTCAGAGAAGGAAGTGGCTATAACGTGAACAGAATTTGGTAATAAAGAATTCTGTCTCACTAGATGTAAACAATGACAAAAACGACAAAAATAATGATTATTCATAATTTTTTATTTCAGGGACTTCATTGATTTAAAGTATTCATGTTGCGGCTAGTTGTGAGCATTGGGGATGTGGATGGGTATGTGAAAAATCGGAAAACAGAGTGAACAATGAGAAAAAATATTGCAATTCAGTGAATGTTATAATTCAATGAATATTGAATATGTATTAAGCAGCTATCATGCTGTAAAGACAGTAAAGAGCTACATATGACCGGGCGTGGTGGCTCACGCCTGTAATCCCAGAACTTTGGGAGGCAGAGGCAGGTGGATCACCTGAGGTCAGGAGTTCAAGACCAGCCTGGCCAACATGGGGAAACCCTGTCTCTACTAAAAATACAAAAAATTAGCTGGGCATGGTGATGGGCGCCTGTGATCCCAGCTACTCTGGAGGCTGAAGCAGGAGAATTGCTTGAACCCGGGAGATGGAGGTTGCAGTGAGCTGAGGTCATGCCATTGCCCTCCAGCCTGGGCAACAAGAGCGAAACTCCGTCTCAAAAAAAAAAGCTACCATATAAGATCATTTTTAGAAAAAATTAAATTTTATACCAAGTAAGTATCTAGGAACAACCAGGCATTATGTATTTTAGTGTGTGCCTTAGAGTTAAGATGTAAGTACTCAGATTGGTCACTGATGCAAAAGATGTTTCATGCTAGATGTGCACACAACATTGAACAGTACACATTTTGTGGCTCTCTTCTTTTGGACCTCTGATGACAAGCTTCATGGTAAGAACATTACCCTCCCCTGGCATCCTGTGTGCTGAGATCCAAAAGCAGTATGATATGGCATAATCCTAGCC
Source organism: Homo sapiens (assembly GCF_000001405.40). Classification (NCBI taxonomy): domain Eukaryota; kingdom Metazoa; phylum Chordata; class Mammalia; order Primates; family Hominidae; genus Homo; species Homo sapiens. The sequence goes on along the minus strand of NC_000006.12, from coordinate 140,786,252 downwards.
TCCAGCTTGATTCTTCCTCTTCAGCATTCATGGTTAGAGAGAACTGTATTTCCTCTGATACAACCAAGGGCTGACTTCCAAGACTCATAACCGTAGCTTTTGGAGGTATTATACCTTTGGCCTTGGATCCTGGCCTGCCATATCTTTAGAGTTCATGAAGTCTTAAAAGTCCAGCTGTCTTTCTAGAAGATTACTTTACAAGAAGTCAGTCTTGAATAATTAACAATTACTACCTTGAAGCAGTGTGCAACCCCTGAAGCAGAAGACATGATACTTACAGTGAGGTGATAATTTTATTTTTAGTTTCAAAAGACCTGGGGAAAGTGGAACAAGTAGTAGAAAAGCAGGAAATAACATGGGAGGGATAGACATAGATATAGATATAGATATAATCTCCCATATATGTATATGTATGTGTGTGTATATATATATATGTATGTGTGTGTATATATATATGTGTGTGTGTGTGTGTGTGTGTGTGTGTGTGTGTGTGTGTGTATATATAATGTATGTGTATATCCCTGACTCTCTGGCAATCAGTTCAGAAATTAAGGAGTAAGCCTGAATCACCAGGACAAGTCATAGTTCTATGGAATAAACAGGTAGCCAAAATAAAGCACAAAATAAAAATTTTGGCAGATGTTCCAAGTTCTCCCTATTTGCAAAAATTAGCAAGAGAGAGAGAGAGAATTAATGACCAAAGGCCCAACTTCCACCTATGGAATAGAAGAAAGAAAGTAATTTAAATATTTTCCTGAGCCAACACAATATATTTTCATTTCTACTTTATATTGTTTTTGTTGTTCTTTTCACATCATTTATTTTATATTGTCATCATTTTGTTAGTTTCCTAGCTTAATATCACTACAGTCCCTTACCTTTTCTCTTACCTTTTTTGCTTTTCTTGAATATATATTCTTTTCCTTTGAATTAAAAAAGACCTTCTCTGTGTCTGTATTTAATTTGTATAATTTCTCCTGAGATAACTTCAGGTGCACAGGCAAAGAGCCAGATGTGCAATTTCTGCAGAGCTCTGCAAATTGTGTGAAAACAGGGAAGGTTAGATTTTTTTAGACTTGCTCTAAAATCATGAGAACACACCAACCAGGAAGTTTAGATTTTAAATAGTAATCCTTTGGGAAATTCCATTCCAGTAGTATTTTAAGAAATTGAAAACAAAACTTTATTTTTTAAAAGGAGATATATTGTGAAAGAGAGAGGTGATTGAGTTATGACTTGACAATTATAAATATTGGAGTTTGATTTATGATATACTATTCTTAATATTCATGTAGAAGGGAAACATTCCAAGATTGAATTAAACCTGTTTCCCATTGTGTTACAAGTCTCTTAATATACATGTTTCTGTCACAATCTGTGTGCATTCTTTGACCTTTACTTCCTGCCTTCCCCCTTGTCTTTTCCCATACAACAGTTTTGCATGGCTTATGGAGTGCTCACCTCATGAACAGGCACACTGAATCTGAACATACTGCTATTTCTGAGTCACTGGGAAAACCATTATTACTTCAAAATGATGCATCATTCATCATGTCACTGATGCCACTGTTAAAGCTTTATTCTTCGATTAAGTTGAATGTCAGAAAATACAAGTCTCCCTGGGAAAGATAACACAAAATGTTTAAATTAGTCTCTCGGAATGTAGTATAAATTCAATTTGGGTCTTTTCTTGAGAACAGAGGTTAATAGATAAAGAGGGGAAGGAAAGGATTATAAAATCACTGGGTGCCTAAGGAATAGGGAAGTATCACTAGAGAAGGAAATAAGAGCACAGAGAAGAGGCCAGAGAGGTCAAAGGTTAATTTCCCCTACTTTTCATTTGGGACAAGGCCACAGAATATAGAAGGAATCAGTCATAATTTTGTTGGGTGCTGATAATATTTTATTTTATTTTATTTTAGCTCCAGGATACATGTGCAGGATGTATAGGTTTGTTACATAGATAAACGTGTGCCAGGGTGGTTTACTGCACCTGTCAACCCATCACCTAGATAGTAAAACCATCAGGCATTAGCTATTATTCCTGATGCTCTCCCATGCTCCTTCTCCACCCCCTGACAAGCCCCAGTGTGTGTTGTTCCCCTTCCTGTGTCCATGTGGTCTCATTGTTCAGCTCCCACTTATAAGTGAGAACATGTCGTGTTTGATTTTCTGTTCTTGCATTAGTTTGCTAAGGATAATGGCTTCCAGTTCCGTACATGTCCCTGCAAAGGACATGGTCTCGTTCCTTTTTATGGTTGCATAGTATTTCATGGAGTATATGTATCACATTTTCTTTACCCAATCTGTCATTGATGGGCATTTGGGTTGATTCCATGTCTTTCCTATTGTGAATAGTGCTGCAATGAGCACACATGTGCATGTATCCTCATAATAGAATGATTTATGTTCCTTTGGGTATATATCCAGTAATGGAATTGCTGGATCGAATGGTATTTCTAGTTCTAGGTATTTGAAGAATCACCATACTGTCTCCCAAAAGGGTTGAACTAATTTACATTCCCACCAACAGTGTAAAAACATTCCTATTTCTCTGCAGCCTTGCCATCATCTGTTGTTTCTCAACTTTGTAACAAATGCCATTGTGACTGGTGTGAGATGGTATCTCATTGTGGTTTTGATTTGCATTTCTCTAATGATCAGTGATGTTGAGTTTTTTTCGATATGTTTGTTGGTTGCATAAATGTCTTCTTTTGAGAAGTATCTGTTCATGTCTTTTGGGAGGCTGATAATTATTAGTCATCATTTTTGGTAACTAATTCTACTCAATGGAGAACATTTCCATATTTTTAATGCCTCTGCCATAGTAATATTACAAAATGAAAATACAGAGCTGACAATCAGAAAGTTTGGTCATTTAAATAAAGACAGAATTTACCATTTTGGAGAGATGTGAATTTGAAGGAATCCCAAATGGGCAGTGGTTTCCTCCCTCCTTCCCTCTTGTTACACTCAATGTACATTGAGCTCGAAAGAGCTATCTTTGTTTATCAGGTCAGCATAGGATCTGTCCTTAATTTTCACATACCTAAAATAGCCAAAGTATACAATCAAAGAGCAGAATGGTGACTGCCAGGGGCAGAAGCAGGAAGGATTTGGAGCTGCTAATCAACAGGCAAAGTTACAGTAATGAGAGATGAGTAAGTTCTAGAGATATGCTGTATAACACTGCCCCTGTAGTTAACAGTGTTGCTTTGTACACTTAAAAGTTTAAGAGAGCATATCTCATGTTGTGTTCTTGCTATAATAAAATACTTTTTTCAAAAAATGAGATAATTCAATGTCCTTAAAATGCCTTTTAAAAGACTAATATTGGCTTGACTAAGTGTGTGTATAGTTACCATAATCCCAATATGTGAGTTAGCGCATAAAACTTCCATGAAAAATTCAACTCATTATACACCATACAATTTTGTCCCTAAAAAGAATCATCTTTGTTCATAGACATCCAAGTTATGTTTCTATACTCTCCCTTTGATTCTACATTAAATAAATATACTCTAAATACTACTTTTTAAAATAAAAGAGACTAATGTATTGGAGGGTTATCCTTGTACATCCTTGAAACTGAAGAAATTTGGACTGAGCAAGGTGGCTCATATGTGTAATCCTAGCACTTTGGGAAGCCGAGGTAGGAGGATTGCTTGAGGCCAGGAGTTCCAGACCAGTCTGGGCAACATAGTGAGAGACTATCTCTACAAAAATAAAAAATATATAAATAAAAATAACCAAGCATGGTGGCACTTATGCCAATTGTATTCCTAGCTACTCAGGAGATTGAGGTGGGAGGATCACTTGAGTCCAGGAGTTCAAGGCTGCAGTGAAGTATTATCATGCGACTGCACTTCAACCTGGGCAACAGAATGAGACTCTGTCTCTAAGAAAGGAAAGAAAAGAAAAGAAATTTGGACAAAATATCCAAAGCTATTCTAAAACTATTGATAAGCATAGACTAATTTCTAGATATGCAGATATTTTCTGGTCTAGAATATGAAACATCAAACTCAATCACCTAATGAGAAAGGATAACTTAAAGAAATAAGGCAGCCTGAACCCTGGATCTAGAGATTCAACTCAGCACTAATGCTACTGACAGTTTTCTATCTATTCTTGAATTTCTTCTCCACGTCACATGTCCCTAAGGTGCCTCAAGATCAGCTACTGTGTAGCATTAATCTTACATTTTAACCTTTCCATGTGAAGAAGTCTGCCATTTAGCTTACATGAGTGTAGATACATGGCAAGTTTTTTAATCACTGAATTTGCACATGGGGACCTATGTCATAGATTCTAAATAGGTTGATTATCTCCATTATAGGTCATATTTGATGACCTTGAGATGTCATATAATTATGGTCAGAATGACTTTGACTTATTTAAAAACTCTCAGTTCTTTTGGAAATATCCCCATTATTCTTAAACTGTAGAATTATAATTTGCTGATTTGACTTGCCTGGGACTTTTTTTCTTGGGAGCCAAAAATCTTTACAAAGGACACCTGTCTCAGGTTTGTCCTAAGCCAATTATAATCTTATCTTGGATTCAATAACTATTAACAAACAAATGTGAGATGACTAGGTAGGTCAAAGTATAATAAATTACTAGTCATGCATAGGTAGTTCATTTCTTTTTTGTTCATGTACTACTCTCTAATCAACAAGGCTTTCAATATTTATTGTAGAATCATATCAAATTGTTAAATAGCTTTTATCATCTCAGGCCTTAATGCTGTTTTTAAAAAGTATTTAAAATTTTATATAATATTAAAATATTTAATGAGTTGCTATAAAATAATGCCATTTGAATCCCCATTCAAAATAATAGTGCCTAGGTTAATATTCAAGTAGGTTTTAATAAACATATTTAATTAGTGGTTAAAATCAACACTCTATAAATACATAGATCCCAGAGTCCTATTTACTTGAAATATTGATAGAAAATAGTAATGACATATGAGCAAGTTAAAAGCATTTTGTTTTGAGTTTTTCCCACTCTTCCCTTCCCTTTCCAAAGACAGAGGAGCCTCACCTTGTGGCCTCCACCACCACAGGCCCATGGGGACAACTGCCAGACTACTGCCCATGTTCCCTTAAGGCCCAAGGGCTTTTCAGTTGGCTTGGAGTGAATGCTGCCTGGCTTGGGATTCACCCTTCAGGGCTGTGAGCTCTGCTCTGGCCCAAGGCAGGTCCAGAAATGCCGTCCAAGAGCCAAGTCCTAGAGGCAGGGACTCCAGGGGCCTACTTGGTACTCTACCTCTCTGTGGCTGAGCTAGTACCTAAGCAGAAAGGCAAAGTCCCCTTTACTTTTCCCTTTGCTTTTCATAAGCAGAAGAAGTCTTGCCCCATAGCTTTCATAGCTGGGAATATGCTGAGTCTCACTTGAAACCAGCAAGTCTCAGAGTCTCAAACAAGGCCCTCAATGTAGTACCTGGGTGTCACTGCTGGGCTCTTCAGTTAGCAGATGCTGAATCCTGCCAGAACTGCATCCTTCCCTTGAAGGCAGTGGGCTCCCTTCTGGCTCAGGGTGTGTCTAGAAATGTTCATTGGGAGCTAGGGACTGGAATGGGGGCCTCATGACTTTGACTTGTGTTATATCCTGCTGTGGCTGAGCTGGTATCCACGACGCAAGACAGAGTCCTTCCCACTCTTCCCTCTCCTCTCCTCAAGTTAAACAAAGGGGTCCCTTTTGGAGCCAGGAGCTGTGCAACCTGGGGTTAGGGGAGGGGTCAAGCCAGCACTCCCTTAGCTGGCTCAACTGATGTCTCAGTAGGTAGTTGGCCCTACTCACCCAGTCCCCTGGCTCTGAGCCCAGTTCAGCACTAGGACTCACCTAGGAATTGCAGTCTGTGTGGCTTAGGCTGCCTTTCAAGATTATTTAGAACCCCGGAGCACTTTAGCCTGCAGTGGCGAGGCTTGTGGAAACTGGAGTTCAGACTACTGGGATGGAAGACTCCCCTCTGGCTAGGGCTGGCTAAAATGCTACCTCTGTGGGTGAGTGTCAGCTGAGTTTGCTCTGGGTTTCCTTTCTGCTCTAACAGGACAGCACTGATTGCTGTGCTCTGTCTCTCCCTAGTGCACAGAAACGCGCCCCTTGCACCATACTGTGGCTGACAGGGGATGGGGAATGGGGGGATGATCATAATTCAAGACTTTTTTCTGCCTCTTCAGTGCTTCTTTCAGCGATATGAAGTTAAAACCAGCTCACCTGATTGAGTGCTCACCTGATTTTGGTTTTTATGAAGGTGCTTTGTGTGTGTGTGTGCGCGCGCATGTGTGTATGTGTGTGTAGATAGTTGTTACGTTGTTGTCCTTGCCCAGGGGGTTGTTGTGGGGAACGACTGGTGGAGCCTTCTATTCTGCCGTCTTGCTCCACTAATAAAGTAGAGCTTTTAACTTGTTTATTGACCATTGGATATCCCCACCAACAATGTTTCTGTTCAACTCCCTTGACATTTTTCCATTTGCTTGGATAATTTTGTCTTAGTTGAAATTTATTGTAAAAGCAGGATATGAATATATTTTCCCATTATGTACCTTGTTTTGCATTTTGAGATTCTTAATTTATGTATTATTAGTTAAAAGAGAAATCAATGTTTTAATTTTTTCTTTATTACTAATTCTTTCTTTGTCCTGTTTATGTGGCAATGCACTTATCCTGTTTGCATGACACATTCTTGGTTCATGCCTCAGCATATTTGTTAATAGCTCCTCCCTTTCTCTGTCAAAACTTGTTCCAGATAGAACGTTGAATTGCATAGTCATACTATGTTTAATACATTTTTACCTTGAGTATAATGATTTTTTCTTATATTATTGTCTAAAAGATGTGTCGTTTTCTCTTTTATATTTATGTAAAAATCCATTTAGAAAAGTTTTTGTTTATGTGATAAGAAAAAGTAAATTTACGTTATTTTCTTCCACGGTTAAACAATTGATACAATATTATTTATTGAAAATATTATCCTTTATCTTTATCCTTATGCCACTTCAATACATTGCCATATGTTTAGTAAATAAACTAATCAGAATATTCTCAAGTCTATTTCTGATCTATCCTGGTCCATTGGTCTTTTTATATATATCCTATATATCCTGAGTCAATGCCATGCTATTTTATTTAATATAGCTTTATGATGAGCTTTCATATCCAGGAAAGCAACATTTTCCACCATGATCTTCTCCTTCAAGAATGAGTTGATTCTTCTTGATTATTTATAGTTTCTTAATAACATTGTGAAATTCTTAAAAAAATGAAATTTTGAGTGGAATTGCATTTAGCTCATTTAAATTTGGGGATATTTGACAGCTTTAAAATTTTGAATCTTTCAATTTTATGTGAACATCCCTTATGTATTAACATTTTAGAATATTTAGTATCTTCAAGATCTGTGGTAACATCCTCTTTTTGTATTACTGACACTGATTTTTTGTACCTTCTCTCATTTCTTGATCACTTTCATCAGACAAAATCATTAAAGAACCACATTTTTACTCTATTGACTCTATTTTACAACCATTTTCTATTTACTAATTTATACGCTTAATTTTATCTTTCCCTTCTTGTATATTTTGGCATTTAATTTTGCGATGTTTTTCTAATTTAAGAAGTTAAGTCATTGAGTTAGCTTTTCTTGTTTTCTTAAATAAGCATTAAAGCCATAAATTTTCCTGTAAGTATAGCTTCTCTATATCTCATAACTTCTGATGTGTAATAATTTATCATGATTAATCTAAACTATTATTATTCCCATTTTGATTTCATTTTGATCTATGGCTTATGTAGAAGTACATTTCTTAATTTCCAAATTATGATTTTTTTAGTTATCTTTTTTGATTTATAGTTTGAGTTATTGTACTCATAAAACATATTGTAATAATTTTACTTTTTATAATTAATTGAGGCTTGCTTTGTGGTGAAGGATACAGTCAATTTTTTAAAAAGTTACACGTGCAATTGAAACTATTGAGCAACTTGCTTTGTGTATATTTACAATGTTTCACGTTTATCAAGTAAGTCAAATTTGCTAATTATATGAAATTTTCTATATTTTTGTTGATTTTTTTGTCTATCAGTCACAGGGAGAAGTTTATTAAAATCTCTCACTATCACCGTATATTTGCCCTTCAGTTTTGTAAATATTTGTTTTATTTCTATTGGAGAATATGTTATAGGCTTATAGACCTTGGGATGTTTACATGTTCTTGGTGAAATTAATATTTTATCATTATCATGTTTCTTTTTATATATATGTCAGCGTATTTGTGTTTGTGTGAGTGTATACTTGTGCACACACTCTAATAGCCATTGTCTTTTAATTTGCACAATAGCTGAGTTGAAATGAATGTAATTATGTACACGTTTGAGTTTAAATCTACCATCTTGCTATTTGCTCTTTATTTGTCCCCCTGCTCTGTTTTTTTTTTTTCCCCCTCGTTCCTTTATCTTTAGGACAATTATGTGTGCATGTGTGTGTATTTAATTTATTCTTTGGGACAGTCATGTGTGCATATGTGTTTGTATGTGTATGTATTTAACTATATTTCCTCCTCTATTATTTTCAGAATTTTTTACTCTTTCATTATAGTGTTAGTGCTTAGCCGAGAGATTACAACATACATTTTAAAATGACCTATGTATACTATTCATGTGTACTTCTGGCTTATTCCTGGGCAATGTAAGCAACTTAGAACAATTTAAATCAAGTCACTTTCTCACAAATCGTATGCCTTTGAACTCCTATATTTAATTTGGTATATACTTTAAAAGAAACAAGCCATAATCATTGCTTATACAGTCAATATTGATTTAGATTTGCTCTTTATTCCTCTGATTTTCCAACAGAGATAATTTTCTTTATGCTTGAATATTTTTTAGTATGCCCTTTAGTATGGCTCTTTAGGGATTAGTTCTTATAACTTTTATTTGTCTAACAAATCTTTAGATACTTTTGGTTTTGCTCATCAAGTTGCTTAGGAATAATTTATGTACAATAATTACATCTCTTTACAGTGTACAACTTTTTGAATTTTGACAGGTATAGGAACTCACAAAAATAGCACTAAAAAATAAGGTAATAGAACTTTTACATCACCCCAAAAAGATTCCTCATAGCTCCTTGTTTCTCTCTGTGTCCCTGGGCCTAAGCTACCACTGATTGGAATTCTTCATGCCATATTAGGCTAGTTTTCATGTTACACAAATTATAGCTTTGTGTTTTTTATTTATCTGGCTCCAGATCCTTCTTCTCCCTCTTATATAATGCATCTACTCAGCAATCACGTCCTTTTTAATATAAAATTTATTTTTCTTTAAGGGGAAAGTTATTTTGGAATTTTTATTAATGTATAATATCATCTTGGCCGGGCGCGGTGGCTCACGCCTGTAATCCCAGCACTTTGGGAGTCTGAGGCAGGTGGATCACGAGGTCAGGAGATCAAGACCATCCTGGCTAACACGGTGAAACCCCATCTCTACTGAAAATACAAAAAATTAGCCAGGCGTGGTGGCGGGCGCCTGTAGTCCCAGCTACTCAGGAGGCTGAGGCAGGAGAATGGCGTGAAACCTGGGAGGCGGAGTACAGTGGCACGATCTCGGCTCACTGCAAGCTCACTGCAATCTTGCAGTGAGCCGAGATTGCACCACTGCAATCCAGCCTGAGGGACAGAGCAAGACTCCGTCTCAAAATCAAATTTGTTTTTGTGTCCTGTTTGATCCACATTGAAGATATTTTCTTTTGTTTCTATGTCTATTTGTTTAATTTGTTGGTTTTATATTTGTTTCTTTAATATTCCTATTAAGTAATTGGTTACTTGCAAATAATAAATGACCAGATTATAAACATTTTATATTGTGTGTCACAGTTATTTACCAGAGATTCACAGTATTGGCAAGATTGATGTGGCATGTATGAAGTCTTTAAGGTTTTCAAAGTGTCTAAGAGGAAATCTATGTTTTAAAAATACAACAAATTTGTATTACATATGCTTTACAAGTAGTATCTAAAAAATGAGTCCTCTGGCCAGAAAACTATTCTTAATATCTAAACCAAAACACTATAGTTTTATAAATCTGTAATAGTATTTCATAAAATTCCAAAAAGATCCAGTATCTCTAAAAAGAAATCTTATTTAAGATTTTCTTTTTTTAATAAAAGGGCAAAAGATAGATGTCATATAAACTTATATGGCAAGACTTACAGATAAAACATTTCATCTCAGAACCCTAGTGAGTACTCTTTCATTCATTCAGCAAGTATTTAAAATCACCTTCTGTTTTTCAGAAACTATTCTGTTAGCAGACAAAAGACACTGCCTTCATGAAACTTATATTCTAATTAGAGGAGATAGATCATAAACATAATTATATGCAAATTACATAATATTTATGAAAGAAATAAGTGCTACAAAAATAAAGCAAGATAAAGAGAATGAAGGGAACTGGCAGAAGAATTGCAATTTACGTAAAATTGTAAGTGGTAAGTCCTCATTGAAAAAGTAATATTTTTGAAGGGAAGGATTTATTTCTACTATAAAATTATAATAGCTAAGAAATCAGATTGGTAGAATATATGTTAGAGGCATTCTATTTTGATGGAAACTGGACCTATGCCTGTAACTTCAGTGGTCCAGATTTCCTTTGAAGTTTTTACATTAAGGAATAAGTACTTAATAATAGCAGCAAGAGACACAATATAAAATATTTATAATATGGTTATTTATTATTTGCAAATAACCATTTACTTTACAGGCATATCAAAGACACAATCAAATATAAAACGAACAAATTAAACAAAGAGACACTAAAACAAAATGACATGTCTTCAATGTGGATCAAACAGGACACAAAAACAAACAACAAAAATGAATGCATTCAGATTTGTGCACACACGTGTGTGGAGTAAGAAGACTACAACTGGTTTTATGACATTAACATGCAGTCAGGAAAACCTCTGATTTAGATTATAGGCTTGAGAGCAAAGGGCGGGAATGGTTTGGTCACTAACTTGCCTGATGATTAACTGACATAATCTTGTTCAACTTTTCTATTTGTGGGCAATTGTATATGTGGCCATTGAATTAAAAAATGAAAGCTTGTGTTGTTTTGGTAAAATATGGAGCAGAAAAAAATTATTTCTACAGGACTACAGTAAAGACTAATATTTTACTTAACATATTTTATGAATACTCACTTTTTGACATTGGCAAGTGTTCATTTCTTACCACATTCTTGAGCAAAATAATATATCCTTTTTTAAAATAAATGAAAATTAACCTTATTTCACATTAACTCAAACTTTGAACCTTTTTATGGCAAATCCCCCATACATAACTACTCCAGCTGACACCTTCTTCATAAGAAATATTCATTGAATTCTGTTTGAATACCATATATCCAGTGAACAAGTGAGTGTCCTCATTATTCATGAATCAGATAGCACCCCAAGTGTACCCAGCATTAAATTGCTTTTGAACCATCTGTAATCTCTAGAAATGTCTCCTTCCAAAATGCATTTTGCAGGAAAACTCAATTTGAATTCTGCATTTACTCTAGCAGCACACAAAAGTCTATAGATAGGCTTGAAGGTCATTTTGACATTGTTCCTTTAAATAAAACTTTTCTATATTTATGGAACAAAACCCAGGAATGTTCTACATGTCACAGGATAAGATGATAGGATGCCAGATTGGTCCTTTTCTGAATAATAATAAAGCAAACCCACCCTTCCTTTAAAAATAGATGCTTGTTCTTTCTAAAACAGAAACAACATACAGCTTTGAAAGAGACAAGCAGAAAGCCATGAAATGAGTCATCAGCTGTGTTAGGTTACAGTGGGTTTATCTATGACTGTGTGTGAAAAACCACTCAGAAGAAGTCAGCAAAAGTGCAGCCAATTGCTGAGAGCTAATCATTCCGGGTTATTTTTGGAGGAACATGGTGTTTGTAGGTAGCATTGACAGTTACCAATTATTGCCTCTACCTGGCAAAATGCATGGGTTTGGAACAGTTATCATGAAGGTGTTCTCAGCAAGAACTATATTTAAACTGCTGACGCCAGTAATTGTGGATAGCTCACCCAATCCTGAATTTGATCTTAAGTGTTTTACAGTATGCAGACAAATACACTTAACTGGGGCTTTCATCGTCCTCAAAGTGTGCCTGATAAACAGCTTGCACCAAAATCCATGTTTTACAATGTTCCTTTAACTGTCTAATTTCTGTTGAGTATCATGGTATTGAAAGGAACTCTTTTACTATGGTTGCTTCAGAAATATTTAGGTGTAAGATCCTATAATCAAATCACTTATAATACTCATATAAAGGCACCCTGGTGCATAATAATATCTATATTTGGTTTTACATGGATAATTTATAGCTATTGAGATGTAATAATAAACTTGCCTTGGGAAATATAACCAGGAAAATGAATGCATTTGTTTTATTTCTGTTGATTACCTTGAAGGTGCACAATATAAAAGAAAACATATTGTTGGTATCTTTGCCTTTATGGGGGAAAAACCTTCCTTGTTTGAGGTTGTTGTGGTGATTATTGCTATTAAGAGCATGTCAAAGAAGATTGGTACTTTTTGTTCAGACTTTCTACTTCCAATTTTCCCAGGGTACAAATAAAATTTAAAGGGAAAGAACTAATAAATTATAGGCACAGCATGACTACAAAGGAAACATATAAGTTCAGAATAAAAAAATAATGAATTAGTTCACATCAGTAGAGTGGAGAGCAAACAATTACTGACTGCACCTCAGTGGCTCTGACTCATTTCCACCCATGCCTACCCTCTAGGATCAGTGAGAGCAGTACTATTTTCCTCTTTTTTAATCTCTTTATTGGCTAAAAATGTACTATATTTTACAATGACTCTCAAGAGTCTTTATTCTAACTTTATAGGATAAAGATTTCCCAGATATATATAATTGTTTATTTTGATGAAAAGTACTTCTATTTCTGTTCATTTGGATTTTAGCTGACAAAACAAAGTAAATTTGGAAAAAATACATGGAACTATAAAGAGGAAGTTTTAAAATAAATTATTTCCATAAAAGGGTGATCTCCATTGCCTAAAGGATTTTAAGTACACCAAAGAAGTTAATAATTACAATAGTTGATTCTGTTGACTATCATAAATGACACTAAAATGTGGAGAACAACTCTGACTAGGTTAACATTATTTGATTGGTTATCTTACCCTTGTTCAATTCTTTTTTTTGCCTATGGTTTTGTAATTTATGAAGTTGAAAAAATAACAATTACGTTAACTTTTTTTTGCTGTTGATTTTGGAATAAGTTAGTTGCATATGTTAAAATGGCTTTCTTGAAGAATGAATGTAGCAGCCTACTGCTGCAATAAAGATGTCCCTGGGAATTGTCATTTTTTCACTGTAAAGATAACACAAGATGTTATCTTGGTTCTAAAGAACACGTAGTTTCTTTAATAGGAACTATTTTAAAGTAACTCATATTCAGCTGCTGGGATTGTATTACATTCCAAATCAAATCTTGCTAATGCTTTCTCATCAGATAGAGTCCTCCTGTCCTTATATTGTTAATGAACGAACATACTGCAGGAGTCTCTGAAGAGCCTATGAATCTTGGTTTGTATAGGGGGGATTTTATACAATAAAGTCTCTTGTCTATTTTAAACAAAAATAAGAATGTGGTCTGCTTAATATAGAAACGAATGTGTAAATTTCTGAGCAGCTGAATTCTGTATCAATTTAGCCATCCACTCATTAAGGAAACAAACTTTTTCATAAGAGTGAATCAAGTATTTTCTCAATTCTTAGTATTATCATTCAGATATGCAATTTTTCTATAATGTATTTTATGACCAAGTTGTCTTTGTCCAAAAAGTCTGAGATAAAAAATAATTTTATATTTTGCATTACTTAAAATACTACCTGATATGGTTTAGATCTATGTCCCCACCCAAATCTCATGTCAAATTGTAATCCCCAATGTTGGATGTGGGGTCTGGTGGAAGGTGATTAGATCATGGCAGTGGTTTCTCATGGTTTAACACTACCCCCCTTGGTGTTGTCCTGGAGAGAGTGAGTTACTGTGAGATCTGGTCATGTAAAAGTATGTAGCACTTTCCTTCCCTCTCTCTTCTTCCTGCTCCATCCATGTAAGACGTGCCTGCTTCCCCTTCACCTTCTGCCATGATTGTAAGTTTTTTGAGACCTCCCAGCCATGCTTCCTGTACAGCCTGCAGACATGTGACCCAGTTAATCCTCTTTTCTTTATAAATTACTCAGTCTCAGGTACTACCTTATAGCAGTATAAGAACGGACTAATACACTACCAATCTACAACTGGATCACTCAAACATTTCTGCCAGCAATGTAAAATGGACAGTCCCACTGACAGTTTCATAACAGTCTGTTTCTTTAAATGTTAAACATGTTAAACAACTTGTTAATTTTTGCAAGTTCAAATGTTAAACAACCAGTTTCATAAAATGTTAAACAAGCTGTATTAGTCTGTTTTCGTGCTGCTGATAAGGACATACCTGAGACTGGCAATCTATAAAAGAAAAACATTTAATGGGATTTACACTTCCACATGGCTGGGGAGGCCACACAATCATGGTGGAAGGCAAGGAGGAGTAAGTCACCTCTTACATGAATGGCAGCAGGCAAAGAGAGAGCTTGTGCAGGGAAACTCTCATTTTTAAAACCATCACATCTCATGAGACTCATTCACTATCACGAGAACAGTGCAGGATAGACCCGCCCCCATGATTCAATCACCTCCCACTGGGTTCCTCCCACAACATATGGGAATTGTGAGAGTTACAATTCAAGATGAGATTTGGGTGGGGACACAGCCAAACCATATGACATACTAATAATACAGCCCAGTAATCACACTCCTGAGTGTTTATCCTAGAAAGATAAAATCTTGTGGATAGGAAAATCTTTATACAATGTACTCAGCAGCTTTCTTTGCAAATCCCAAACTAGAAACCACCCATGTGTCCTTCAGTGAGTGGATATGGATGGATTTAAAGAGGCATGGTACAGTCATACAATGGAAAACTACTCAGCAATATAAGAAACAAATAAATTATTGAGATAAAAACTTGGATCAACTCAAGGACATTATGCTCAGTGAAAAAAATCTCAAAAATTGCATAGTGTTGCATGACTCCACTTATACCATATTCTTCAAATGACGGAAATACAATGATGGAAAATGATCAGATAGAAGTTGCCAAGAGTTAGGAATGGGATAAGGATGTGACATAAAAAGGTAGCAAATGGGAGTTTCTTTGTAGTGATCAAGCAGTCTGACAGTGGTGATTACATGAATTTACCCATACAATAAAATTCCATAGTACTACATTCCTGGACCACACACATACTCTCTCTCTCTCTCACACACACACACACACACACACACACACACACACACACACACACACACAAAGTGTATGTAACAACCTATGAATTCTGAAAAAATCTGTAATTTAGTTAATCATTTTGTACCAATGTTGATGTCCTGGTTTTGAAATGACCCCTGGGTAAGTACAACATCATCATTGTAAAAACATGGGTGTAGGGTCCAGGGACTCTCTGTACTGCTTTTGTCACTTCTTGTGATTCTTAAATTTTTCAACATGAAAATTTAATCTCTATATTACCAAGATGTTATGAAAGTTTGCAATTGCTTATTAAGTTGCAGGCATTAGCTATTTTATACCTGTAAAAGAAGAATTGTTTTATCCCCATTTTATGATTGAAGAACTTAAAACTCACCAATATTTTTTTCATAAAGTCACACACATAGGAGCTGGGCCTATGAACAAACCCTGAATTTTTTTCCCCAAATTTGTACTATTTTTAGTCTTTCCATTCTACTCAATTGTCTCCTATTGTCACTAAATGTTTCTTTCTTTCTTTCTTTCTTTCTTTCCTTTCTTTTCTTTTTTCTTTTTCTTTTTTTTTTTTTTTGAGACGGAGTTTTGCTCTTTTGCCTAGGCTGGAGTGCAATAGCGCAATCTTGGCTCACTGCAACCTCTGCCTCCCGGGTTCAAGCAATTCTCCTGTCTAAGCCTCCTGAGTAGCTGGGAATACAGGTGCCCACCAATACCCCAAGCTAATTTTTGGTGTTTTTAGTGGAGATGGGGTTTCACCATGTTGGCCAGGCTGGTCTCAAACCTCTGACCTCAGGTGATCCACCCGCCTCAGCTGTCACTAAATATTTCTAAGGGTGGTGAAACTCATTTTACCACTTCATATCTAATTGGTTATCTAAGGCTTTCCTTTATTGTCTTCCACGAGAATTCAAATATAACACGTTCAAAGTTCTTTCTCAAATTTGGGAGAGGACTCAAATGCTCCAGACCTATACATCTGTCAGTTATTATCCAGAAGATTAGTAAAATCAAAGATCCCCATCTGAATTTTTTAAAAAGTGCTGCAAATAGTAGATCTGAAAATGAGCCATGGTCTCCTGAAAACAATTCAAGACACTCCCCCAATATCATCAATAATGTTCTTGAAAGCAGATTTTATTGGATGATCAAAATGTTAAGTTTTATGTATCATTCTATAACTTTTTTAAAAATAAAAGTTTTCATTGCTCAAAATCCTTAAAAATAAGTCAAGTACTTCATACATGTTGCAAAACAGTTGATAAATCATATTCTCCTATAGTGGTATTCTAAATATAAGGCATTTCAAAAATACTCACCTTGGCATAGCATAAATAGGGCAGGCAAAACATCTGTGTACCATAAAAAAAATTGAAGAATATAAAAACGATGACAGGATGGGCCATATAGTAAAACATTATGCACAGCATATTTAAACTAAATGCTAATATTGAAAATACAATACTTAATTATTCCATATGAGTATTTTGAGCCTTAAAACTAATGTACCTATAAAGGTGTGCTGGGTTTACATGTGAACATCCCAGTTTTTAATAGAATTTTGCTATTTAAATCTTGATGGACTTGTTAAAAAGAACTGTTAGGAAAATAGCTATGTCTAAGTTAAAAATAAAAACATCTAGTTGTATAAAATCTTTAAACACAAATTTTACTTAATGATGCAACATTAAAAATAAACAAATTTGGCACTTAACTTTAAAAACAGTTTAGTTATTGATGAATGCAAGAGTTTTAGCATGCTCATTATTTAGTTTTTAATCAATCCAAGTGTTTGTTCAAACTCATTAGTAAAGATTATTAAATGTGTTTTCACTACTTTTAATTAATCATTGATTGCTTTTGAGAAATATTTGATTTGGGGAACAGGATAGTTGTCTCATTTGAATTTTGTTACCAGTGGGCTAATCTACCTTTGTTTGTCATGTTATTTTTCCAAGGATAACCCAACACAGATAGTCACTTTCAGATCCCTATTTGTTGCTCATATGCTAGATAATTAAATAACAAAAGACAGGAAAATTTAACCTAGATGTAGAATATGGGCCTTTGCAACACTATATAGAAGGCCTAGAAGTTAATTGAAGTCACCCCTTTAACAATTATTTCATTTAATGAAAAGAAATAGAAACATTTAAAAGAAAGATCACATAATGGGTAAATAACCTAACATGATGTGGTAGAAAGCTAGCATTATATACAAAAGCTATAATGATAAAGAATTAGGTAAAGAAAGAAACCAAATAGATCATCAGTGTCTATTCTCAATGGATTCATGGATGATCTTCCTCCTTCTGCTTTCCTTTTCCTTTCTTTTATCTCTTTTATCAGTCATTTGCATGTATATGTGTGTGCATGTGTGTTGTTTGTTACCACAATACCAGGGGTTTGGTCTAGGTCCTGCTGCTTGCTGCACAGAAAGCCAATCACTGAGAAGACAAATATTGCCAAGGGAGAAGGCTTTAATCGGGTGCCGCAGCAAGGAGATGGGAGTTCAGTCTCAAATTCATCTCTCTGACTGATTAAAACTAGGGTTTTATACAGCAGGGAAGAAATGTAACAATGTTTAAGAAATCAGGAACTAGGGAGGGGCAAGGAGTTATCTGGTATGGTGATCTAGTGAATTTCAGTTCTTCGATACTTTTTTGAGAGAACTGAATATCCTTTCCTGAGGAAGGAACTCAGATAAAGCAAATACAAGTTTGAAGCTTTAACAACAGAAGGGTCAATTTCTATGTTTATCCAAAAACAACTGTCTATGGGACTAATATGGTTACATAATACCTATCAGATATAATTGCTTTATCTGCAAAAAGAAGGCAGTAACACAAACTATCTTACTTTGCTAAGGCTACCATAACAAATATAATATACTGGTGGCTTAAACAGCAGATATTTATTTTCTCACATTTCTGAATGCTGGAAGTCCAAGATCAATGTATTGGCAGATTTGGTTTCTCCTGAGGCCTTTTTCCTTGGCTTGCGGACAGCTTCCCTCTTGCTATGTCCTCACATGGCCTTTTCTTTGTGCACACGCATCCCTGATGTAAGAACACAGGTAAATTTGGATTAGCATCCCACCTTTATGACCTCATTTAACCTTAATTACCTCCTTAATCTCCAGTTTCAGTCACATGAATGGTTAGGGCTACAACATATGAATTTTGAGGGGACACAATTTAGTCCATCACACAAACCTTGAAAGATTTTTTTTTCAGAAGTTTATACTTCTTTTAGCAAGACGCCTCAACAAATAAGCTGGCATGATTTATATTTTTTTCTTGAGGAATTATAATGAAATGGTAAGTTGTAAAATAGATTAGTAGGTTTATCAGTTAGCTCTTGGTGCATAAGAAAACAACCCAATACCTAGTGGCCAGAAACAACTATTTATTTAGCTCATAATTTTATGGTTTGCTATTTGAGCTGGACTCAGCTGTGTAATTCATCAAGTCTCGGCCAGGCTTGGTTGATCTCAGCTAGGCTTGTTCAGGCATATGCAGTGAGCTGATGGATTGACTGGGGCTGGGAGGCTTATCATAGCCTTGTCTGGAATGGCTGGGATCTGTGGGGTCTCTCTCCATGTGGTCTCTCATCTTTCAGCACATGAGTCCAGGCTTGTCCACATGGATGTGAAAGAGTTCCAAGAACCACAAGAGAACAAGCTCCATGTGCACGTTCTTTTCAAGTCACTGCTTGTTTAACATTTGTTAATGTTCTTTTGGTCAAAGCAAGTCTCACAAGTCTCACAAACAACCCAGATTCAAGGGGTGAAGAAATAGAAGCCATGTGATGGAAAAATCTGCAATATCCCAATGTAAATATGTGATGACTGAAAGAGAAAGAATCTGTGGCATTTTAAATAAACTATCACAGAATCCCTGATCAATAGTCTTTAACAGAATGCTTCTGATCATCAATCAGGATGTCTGATCAAACCATGGAGTGCTAAGATCATAGAACTTACATCAATGGAATTATGTTCTGTAGTTATTTGGGATAGATAGGTAAACATACACAGAACAATGTGTTGTTGCTTTAGGTGTATTTTCTGAGGGCTTCTCAAAGAAAAACACTATTTGTCTATCCACTCTCTGGCCTCCTACTTCCTATTACCAGTATAATAGGTACAGAAAGTAGACTGATAATATAATGGTTTTGAGATCATCTTTGTGATAATATTAAAGTGTTGGGAACCTAACCCTAGGAAACCAACACCTGTATACAAAGCTCTACTCATTCAAGAATAAGATTTCTAAGTCTTAACATATGTGGTTTATATTGCCACATTTTTCTTTTTATTCTTTATTCCTTTCATAATAAGTAAGTGTTACATATTGCCTCAGAAGAGATTCAAATTCTGGAATGAAAGAAAAGAGTTACATCTTGATGTTTTACTTTAAAAATGTTTCTTGTGGTTAGTACTCAGAGGATACAGAAATATGTGATCAGTCAGAACAGATTTTTGTCTTCCCCTTGGATTAGAAATGGGTCTCCAAGTTCTGGAAGGTTTCAGTAGAGTTTTCATCTATACTTGGAATCTGAAAACAGAGGACATCTGTGACATAATATCCACTGATGAAGTCTGGAGAATAGACAATGTACCAGAGCATCTCTATGCCCTGTATGTGGGTAGCAGAATAAATTTTAATGTTCAGTATGTAGGCAAATGGGCCAAGGGCACCTCTTCCGAGTTTCAGTATGCTTCGGATGAGGATTACACCCAGCTGGGGCATAGACTTCATCAGGGAAGATTAAAGGACTTATAGAGGCTCTGCAGCTGTTATTGAGGGACAACAAAACACCTACCTTCAGCCATTGAAGCTGATTGCTCAAAGAGGAAAGGACAGATTCTTGCAGATGTAGCTTAAGCAGGTGAAGACTAGGGAGCAGAAGCCCCTACCAGAGCTTTGAACCTAGGAGCATAAATATCCTAGTCCTCATAGTCCTCAATGAGAAGTTTTATAGCTTGAACCATAGACCTTTTTACTAATTTTAACAATAATTTATCAAGGTGAAATTCATATACCGCAAAATTAAACATGAACAATTCAGTGGCATTTAAAGTATGGTATCTAGTTCCAAAACCATCATTTCCATCACTGGAAATTAAAACCATTACCCATCAATCAGTTTCTCTCCATTCCTTCCTGCACTCAGCCCCTGGAAACCACCAATCTGTGTTCTGTCTCTATGGATTCATCAGTTCTGGATATTTCATATACATGAAATCATAAAATGTGTAACTTTTTGTGTCATGCTTTTTTCACTTAACCAATTTTGGAGGTTCATTCATGTTACAGTTTGTACCATATATATCAGTACTTCATTACATTTCATGGCTGAATAATATTCCATTGTATAGGTATATCGAAATTAGATGATCAATTCTTCCATTGGTGGACATTTGGGCTGTTCTACCTTCTGAGTATTGTGAAAAATGCTGCTATGAAAATGGGTGTACATGTACTTGTGTTAGTACCTGTTTTCAATTATTTTGTGGATATACACTAGAGAGAAATTGAGGAATCATGTCATCATAACTCTATGTTTAACTTTTTGAAGAACCACAAAACTCTTTTCCACAGTGGCTGAATTATTTTGCATTTCTACTAGATCTTTCTTATTAAGCAGCTATTTCTAAAGACCTTGAGAATATTATGTTTAATTTATTTTTCTATTCAGAACTGATGCATACTAATTGCACATATTTATGGAGTACAATGTGATGTTTTAATGCAGGTATACATATTATAATGATCAAATTACTATATCCATCACACTGAAAACCAAATAGATAAAGTTGATGATCATAATTATCTCAAATATGACTCATAGAATATGGACGTAAGTTGAACATTTTTAACACTGACACAAGTATCTGTCAATCTGTATCTCTTCATCTGTCATCTATTAATTTGTCATCTATGTATCTATCACTCATCATCCATTTATTGATCTGTCTACAAGCACTATTTATTAGAGGTGAAATAATAAGAAATTTGCTTTACTACATAAAACAAAATAAACATTAATAAAAACCTGTATCACAACATAATACTACTGAGAAAATTCCTAGAACTTGACTAAAAGGTATATTAAGAGGCTGATAAATTTTTGTCAAATCCTCTGACGACAACTGGTAGAAAATGCTCTTTGAATCTGAAAACAATCATTGATTCTTGAAAAACCCCAATTTCATAGAAACACTCCATATAATTTTTCTAAGCATTTTAAGAAATTTAGATTTATGCTGCATCTATAAAAATATCTTTGTTTAGTTCAGACAGGAGATTTTTTAAAAGTACCAACCAGTAGTTACTTAAAAAATAATTTTAGTAAACTACTTTATATTCATAGTCTCACTTACACTGTGAAACTTCAATGAAACAGTGACGAGCATATTTTTTGTAGAGTATACACAAGCTGATAACAAAATTTCTTTCTTCCTTACTCATAATCTTATGTCCTGTTCATTTTTTCCTTTAACTTAGGTGGCAGTAAAAAATGTTTTCCAAATATGGCTATTTACTGAAATAATAGGGTAATTAGTTTGATTAAACTGATGACCAACTCAGGCAAACAAATTCTGTCAACACAATCTGTTTATTAACTTAGGGAATATTCATAAATTAATGCAAATTGTGTCCAAATGCAATAATTTATGTAGATAGATCCCTGGCCAACCATGGAAAGCTAAACAACTTTTCGGAATATGCTTAGAAACCAATTAAAAGATAAATTTGACAAAGAGGAAAGAAAGTCAATCATGGATAAGAATCCGATTCGTGTACATTAATTTCTTTTACGAAAGATGTGCAACTTGATTTGAATCTGAAAACATGACTGACAAGGAAAACAGATGTGGGAAGCAAAATAATAGCCCACCAAAGTTGTCCAATCCTAATCCTCCCACCTGAATCCTGCTAAATGTTATGTCGTGGCAAAGAGACTTTGCTGACGTGATTAGGGTAATGACCTTAACTAACCTGGAGTATCTGGTGGACCCAATCTGATCACTATGAGTCCTTTAGAAGTGGAAGATGGGGCAGGAGAAGACAGTCATATTGATGCCAGGTGAGATGAACTTGACTCATCATTGCTGACCTTAAAGGGGGATGTAGGTCAAGGAATATGGGAAGCTTCTAGAACCTGGAAAAGGCAAGGACACAGAGTGTCCCCTGGAAACTCCAGAAGGAAGTGGAACGTTGCTGACACCTTAGTTTTAGCCCAGTGAAACCTATGTCAAACTCCTGATCTAGAGACTTGTAGAATAATAAGGCACTAACTTTGTAGTAACTTGTTCCAGTAGCAACAGAAAACTAATACTTCAAATAAAACAGCAGTGAGTCAAGAGTGCAAATTCTAAGTTATGCCTTCTTTGTGGCATTATATTCATTATGTAACTACTTTATTTCCATTATAACACTCTAATAAAAGTAACAGCATTCGCACATCCAAGGTTTACCCCTGTAAAAAAATTAACAAAATAAACAAACTAGGGAAACCTATTAATGTAAATAAAGAAAATAAAAACAATCATAAATATAATACATTGCGCAAAATTGCTTTCATGATTAATTTGCTAAAGTTGAAAACATCAATGAAATGGATGATTTTCTAAATAAATATGTGATTTTATATACTACACAGAGAAGTCAGTGAATCAATAACTGACAATAACATTGAGAAACTTATAAAAATGTTTATTAATTTTTACGGAATTATTTTATTTTCTCACAGAAATGAATTAATTGGCATTTTATAAACTGTTCAGGTCATAAGAGATAAGAAGCTACATAAATCATAATATGAAAAAATAGATATGAATCCTATAAATAATTAGCATGGAAATAGAAGCATGAGTTAACAATGATCAGTATACTAATTTTCAAAAAGAAGTATAAAGACAATCAATATAAGCAGACTACTTAAACAATTTATAATATAAGTAAGTTAAATAAATACATTTCATTCTCATACAGTGTGACCAACTTGATTGGATATGCTAGAACACAAATTGGTATTCAAAAATGTTATAAGGAAAATTAACAAAAGATGTTTTATTTTCAAAGTAAATACACTTTAAACAAAATACATTATAATGAATGATGGAATATCAATATGTATTAAAATTATCAACTTGAGGAAGATGTCTGTTATTATCACTATTTGTAAGATTCCTTTTGAAAGTTATGTTTCATGAATTTAGAATAAAACAGAAATAAGAGAGCTACAGTGGAAGAAGACTAAAAGGCCATTATTTTATACAATGTGTATATGCACTAAAATACCAAGGAAATAAATTGAAAAACTTTGGACACAAAGAATAATTCAGTACAATGCCTGATAATAGGAGGTCTATAAATAGGTTTTCTGAGGCAGAAAATAGATTGCTAATATTGCCAAACAGAAAAACACTCAGAAGTCTTATCTATAGGAAAAGGGATGTATCTTTCTTACAATACAACAGAAAAAAATTATATAGAAAGCAATATCATGATGTTTTTTTTTCTTCACATACAGGATTTTTGTTTGTCACTATTAAACATCTGAATTTTAAACAGATTCTTGGACTGGCAGTTCATATCCATAAGCTTTTCAAGAACTACTACCTTCAAGTTTTCCCAGTTCAAACTTTGAATTTTCTAGTGAAGACATCATTGAGAGTATAAATAAATTGGCAAATCTTTTTATGACCTTTTAATGAGTTTTTCAAAGCTGCGTGGGATCCATTTATTAACTGCTTCTTTCAGGAAATCTCTCTGCACCTCTTGGGTGGGAAGCTTCATCATCTTCTTCTGGATTTGGCAGACCTGTTGGTGCTGAGAATAAGAGGTCTTCTGTATCTGATTGTTGTATTTTTTTTTTTTTTTTGTAAAACTAACACAGAATAGACAAATCAAATAGCCATTGGTAGTCTTGACATTGACGTGAACTTCAGGTATGGTCTGCCATTTTTTGACCGTGAAACACATTTTGTCACAAGTAAGATTCATGCCATGGACGTTAAGCAGTTTTTATCCTGAACATCCTCAGTAATTAGCTTGAACTTTCTAAATACAACATCATTCTTCAGATCAGAAAGGCTCACTTCAAAGATAGTACCCTTGAGATCATTAGATAAAATGTAGGTTCCTCGAGTCCTGGTGGCAAGCGTTTTTCTAATATTTCTTATATTGAACGTAGCTAGTGCTTTCATGCCATACCAGTCTTTCTTAGAAAATGGATCAAGCTGTTTCTTCTTGGCTCCCTTTTGCCACCATTTGTAAGGCATTTGTTGTTGCAACCACTGTGCTGCCACTCCTCATGTCATAATTTTTTCAAAATGTTTATTATAAGATTTAATTAATCCATTAAATTCATAGGTTAATTCAGTCCTAATAATTAGCCTGTGGAGACACTCTGGCTACTCAAGAATAAGTTTCTTAACATTTAGCTGTATTCTTGACAGAAGTAACAGAGCGTTATCAAGACATAATGAGAGAGTTTTAATGGAAAATTATAAAATAAACTCCATTTGTTATATTCTTACTGTATTGAAGAGTATAAGTCAAGTCAAGGTATTCTCCCACATGATGACTACCTGTTTTTGGCTAGAAAGCTCCAATATTAAGCCTTCTAATTAAGACTGGATAAATTACATGTTACGCGCTGAATGTGTCACCCCACAATTCATATGTTTAAGCCCTAACTTCCCATGTGATGGTATTGTGAGGTTGGATCTTTGGAGGGTAATTATGTTTAGATGAGGTCATGAGGGTGTTGCCCTTATAAAAATCAATGCCCTTAAAAGAGGAAGAAACACAAGATCTCTCTATCCTCACACATACACTGAGGAAAGCCTGTGTGAGGGCACAGCAAGAAGGCAGCTGAAGTCTGGAAGCACGCTCTCACCAGAGACAACATCTACAGGCATCTGGTTATTGGACTTCACAGCCTCCAGAACTGTGAGAATATATTTCTCTTGTTTAAGCCACACAGTCTGTGGTACTTTGCTATAGCAGTCCAAGCAAACTAAGATATTAAAGACACTACAGGCTGGGCATGGTGGCTCATGCCTGTAATCCCAGCACCTTGGAAGACCGAGGCGGGCGGATCACGAGGTCAGATCGAGACCACAGTGAAACCCTGTCTCTACTAAAAATACAAAAAAAAAAAAAAAAAATTAGCCAGGAGGGGTGGTGGGCGCCTGTAGTACCAGCTACTCGGGAGGCTGAGGCAGGAGAATGGCGTGAACCCAGGAGGCGGAGCTTGCGGTGAGCGGAGATCGTGCCACTGCACTCCAGCCTGGGCGACAGAGCGTGACTCTGTCTCAAAAGAAAAAAAAAAAAAAAAAGAAAGAAAAAAACACTACAGCTTATAAAATCTCATTCTAGATGCTAATTTGGAATACATGCTTCATTCCTGCCCTCTTCCCAGCTCAGAGCCATCTCTGCAGGTTAGATCTTTTAGTTAATCACCTCATCACTTTTTCAAAACTATTTTAAACAATAGAATATAGTAAGAAGCATGACCTCTCTAAGCATGACCTTCCTATTGATACCAGGATTCTTCCTGCCTCTAGCTTTGGTTGTACCATGTTTTATTTCTGACACTGGGTTGTACTACCATGAGATCTAAGATCATTTTGATAGGTCAGTGGAATTTTAGTTTTTCAAAGTTTTTTTTTTTTTTTTTAAACAAGAGGTGAGAAAAGAATGTTTTACCAACAGAAAAAGTATGATAAGCCCAGTTTTCTGTCTGGAAGAGACACAATGTTTCTAAGTTAGTAAGAATTTGGGAGTACATTGCTTCTTTTTACCTTTGAAATCATCAAGCAACATAATGTACTGGGAGTCAGACTACAATTTCTACTAGAAAACATATTTGCATTTTAGCCTGATCTTTCTGCATGCAAAAATGTCATAAGTTTTAAGTAATAGTTTCCCTTTTGTAATTTATCATAACTCTCATTTAATGTGTAAGAAGAACAATCTTACAGTAAATAAAGTAAATATTAACAAAGGTTTATTTTGCAAAGGTTTACTTGTTGAAAAACATTCTTAAACCAGAGTAGCAAATAAGTACCGTCAGGCCAAATCCAGCCCCCATGTATTTTTGTAAAGAAGTTGTATTGGAATACATCACAAATTCATTAATGTGTTGTTTATGGCAGGTTCATGCTACAACAGCACAGTCAACTATTTGCTGCAGAGACCATGTGTCTAGAAAAGTAAAACATAACTACAATCTGATGCTTTGTGGAAAAAAAGTATGTTGACATCAATCTAAATAATATCTGATACTGAATTCAATGATTTTGGAAAACTTAAAATATATGCATTCACATATTTATTTAAAATGAAATACAATAGAGCAGATGAATACTCCATATGTTTGTCAAATGATATTTTGTAAAACAATCTTATGTTTCTACTGTTTCTGGTAAAGAGCAGAGTTGTCATTAAACATGCAACATTGAGAAACTACATCAACAGCCTGTTGCCATTTAAGTAATATATTTCAGACATATATTAGGTGACAAAATAGTTTTATATAATTATCTTTTGTTTCATTTTTGAGGTGATTGGAAAGAAAAAATCCTTTAATGTTCATTTCATCCTCCAAGTATAAATAAAAATATTAATATTTTTAAAACCCTATATTTTTATAATTTGTTTACAGTGTGAATAAATGTATGAGGACAAATATTGGCTTAAAAAGGGTACTGTTGTGTGCACTATTAAAATCAAGTTTCAGTCAGACCTGTATAAAGCAGTTGAATTGTCATAGAAGATTTTAGTTTAGAAGCCCACCATAGTGACAGAGTTATCTTTTTAAATTTATTGTTCTTTTAGTGTATTGCTTGGAATATTTGCATAAAAATAAGTGTTTTATTTCTTGGTTCATCTGCTTCTACAAATGTCATATTCTCATGATTATGATGCCCCAACTAGAAATTATAATGACATTAGAAACTGATTATGACTTCTGAATGAGACAAGCTGGAGGACCAGGCTAAATATACAAGTAATGAAAAGAATGTGTTTTCATGCAAAGTCTTGAGTATTATTAAAGAACAAAGGGAAAGGGAAACAAGGAAATGGGAAGATACAAATAAAAATAATGAGCAATTATATTCTGCTTACCAAAATTCCCCCTGCAGTTTCAATCAATGTCTCTGCTTTTGCTTTCTGTTCTAAAGAATTATGCTACTTCTGCTAAATAAATCCAGCATGATCCAAAGCAGCTGTGACTGTCTTTCTGTGATTAATTAATTAATTCTCACTATTTTTTAGTTTACCGTTTCATTGCATAGGTTTCAAACACCCTACTTCAGCTTTTACTTCTTGTTCAATCTTGCAATGCATAAATGATTTCATGACAGAAATTTGACCCTTGACATTAGACTCCAAAGTTACTAAGGAGTCTCATATTCAAACAAACGCCCCACAAGGAGAGGAAGTATGCATGATGCAATACTTGACTTAGGCAGGTCTCTAAACTTTAGCTCTACTTTCTATAAAATGGGCACAAAAATATCACCTAACCCAAGGAGTTGTTGGAGAATTAAATGAGACAACATATGCCTAAAGTGGATAAGACAATGTGTAGCACGTGGTCAATGCTCAGTAAATGTTAACTAATACAGTCACAAACTTGTAATTTATATGCTTATTCAAACAATGGAACAACCATTACAATTATGGATAACTTCTTGACTTAAACATTAGAAAAAGCTTTATACTTATAATTACATATTTTGTTTATAACCACCAAATAATATTTTATGTTCGTTTAATACCTGCTTTTCTCTGCAAAGCTGATGTTGACTTGCTGTTGGCTATGTTAAGAAATCAGATCTACGTTGGAAAAGAGATGCTTGGCATAGACACCAGAATCCTCACATTGGACCCCCCTGTCATGGCAGTGATGAGGCAAGACCTGCAAAGAAAGCAGACTCAATGAGTGTCCCAGAGGTTCTGTGAAGAGCATTAGTTATTAGTTGATGTTGTATACCAGCTGCCTCCCAGTTAAAAATGGGTGAGCCTCTGAGAGAAAACGTGTTATATAGGTCTCTATTGAAAAGCGTCATTGGAATTAGATTTACTAAAACTAGTTTCACCCTATTTGCATGGCCAAGTTGATTACTCCCACCCAAAAAAAGGTATATTGATAAAATATTTCTGACTGAAACTAGCCTACATTAAATTTGCACCACCTATAACTAGACTACAGGAATGACCCCTTAATTAGTGTATGCCCATCATCAGGGCTGCTACACTCAGTTCCATAGTCCATTATTATCTAAAAATAAAATATAACTAGGCCACCTCCCTCCACATTCAAAATCTGTTGGTGTTTGCACATACAAGCTAAAGCTCAACCTTCATAGCATCCATACAAGCTTCTTGCTCACCTGGACCTTGCCTTCTTCTCCAGCCTCATTTTTCAAGGCTCCCCAACCCTACCCTCACCTGTGCCCCTTGCTAGGAGCTTTTTCCTCTGAGAATCTCAAAGTATGGTACTCTGAGCTGAATTTACTTGGTGTGACTGAGGTTTCATCAGACTTATTTCTGTTTCAAAGCAGACAATGTTTCTCTTTATTACATTCAATAAACATTTATTCAATAAATGCATTTCAGTTTTCTTATTATTCTTAGTCATGAGGTGTTTCCTAATGACTTGCCTAAGACTTTCTTTTAAGAATTCAAATGCTTTTCTGGCAAGCCACCCCTTAAGGAAATGTAGAATTAAATCAAAAGACATTGCACACATTTCTTCATATACTAAAAGATGTTGTAGAGCAATAATATATTGTCTTTTTTTAAACCATTCATAGTGTCTATCATAGAAATTTGCATCTTAATAGATGTTCAATAAACTTTTGAATAGTGATTATGGGTGAAGTATCACTTTGTTTCACTAGACTGATATAAACAAAACTTAGAGACTTAGATTCTCATCTATTAAAATGGATAGTAACTGTTACTTTGTTAGAAAATGTAAAAATTACAAAATAATTGAAAAAATATCCTCATATGCCCTAATATGTCAAGATATTGATTACTATAAGCAAGTAGCAAGTGTGGAAAGCTTGATACATATTTTGATTTATTCTCCTAAGCGTTTGGGCATCCTTGAGCTAGTATTTCTCTAGAGAGCAACAGTAAAGTGGGCAGCTGCTACTCATACTGGATCCATATAACAGCTTTCCCACAACTATGATACAAGTTTCTACATAATTGGATTTTTGGATGAGGTGACAATTACTTCCAAGTTTTCTGTCAGTTATTCTCCAGGGTGTTATTCAAAATATTGTATATAACAACTGGTACAATAAGTGCCAACCAATCAGAGCACACACCCATCCATTCAGAGCAGACAACAGCCATAAACAACCAGTGCAGCAACTTGGCTTGAGCCATTTCTTACTTTGCTGGAATTCTCATTAAAAACAGAAGCCATTTACCTTTCATGCACTAGGGCAGGGCTTCAAAATATACCTCTCTAAACATCAAGAGAAGAAAATTCGTCTTGGACTTTCTTCCCTTATTTTTTTTCTTTAAGCACAATAATCTGTTAAGAGCCGTTATTGTGACAGAAATTAAACTGGGACTGGAAAAATTGCTAGGCATGCTATATTTTAAGCAGGTAAAATTTTAACAGTGCATGTAAAAATGTAGGTTTTTTTTAATAGTACTAGGTTTCCATAGAATATGATCATTTGGCTAGTAAATTTCAGTTAGAGTAAAATAATGCCTTCTTTGGGAAACTTTAGCTTCATGCTACTAATTCTGTAATTTCCCTCATATATCTTCATTTGTTCCTGTAAATCAAGATAATTTCTGTGAACATTTTCAAAGAATTTCAAAAAATACATAGTAACTACTCTAAATATCCCACTACTTCTATTATATTATTGGTCTTCGTGTTTTTGTTATTGACACTGAAAAGTCATGAATAGGGCAAACTCAAGATGAAATTGTGCAGCAGAGGAATGGTATTTCATGACATAAATCAGGCTCCCTTCACTGGCCTGTGCACTTTGACACACTTTCCCTCATTGCCGCCTACATCTGGACAATAGTTCATACACCTGATGTCTCCCTTTCTTCTCTTTTCCATGTACCAATGACATGTATTCATACTTCTTGCAAGGCTCTGCTCACAATCCTTGAGAAGAAAGTCATTCAAAAATTTTAACATGGACAATAATGTATTTTTGTGTCCATGTTCTTCAACATGCTTATATTTTAACATGGATCTTATGGAGACATAGTGAGTATATTATTTTAAAAACCCCCATGGCTATTGAGAATTTCAGAGAGGGTGGCAATCAGTAAGAGAAAGAAATATTGCTATTTGAACATCCATTCACCCCCACAGTATATAAGGCCATGTATGTCTCTTAATTTTTGTTAAAGAGAAATAGACTTCTAGCTTATTATATTTTATAAGCATATGATATTTATTCATTTAAAACTCCTATTAATAGTGAGACAAAACCTCAGGTCAGGAAAAGGTCAGCATATTTTGAATCTTTCCATTGTGTTTTCAAAGGAAACTTCTAAGAATAATTGAAGGAATACAAGCTATGGAAACAGTCTTACTAAATTTAGTTGAATATTTCCAGTTTTATTCATAAAATTCTTTCTCTTTTTTTGGTGAGGTGGTTCAGAATAAGAACTGTGGGACTGGACCCATTAAATTTATTTTATCACTTTTAATGCAAAGATTATTACTGTAATTTACATATCTCAGTAAGAGCCAAAAGCTTCCTGCTGTGGCTTTTTCCACCAATGTGCTACAAATTAACAACCCAGCTACATTAAAGTAAATGAAAAAAAAAGTTAATTCTTTTCAATATAAGGAAAATTATCTGCCCAGGGGACTATATAATTTCCTCAATAAGATTCCCAGAAACAAGAAAACAGAGTTTTTGCATAAACTACAATAATGCTTTACTCCCATGTAAGACAGTAACGTAGATCTTAAGAAAATGTAGTAAAATCTGTATTGATCACCAACAATAAAAGCATTAACTTTGAGGCTGTGAACCATGTCAAAGTTGCAAGAGAAAAAATATGCACCAACAATATTTTCAAATATCACTAAGGCCTTAGTAATATAGAAATTATTATAGTATGACTTTTCTTCCTTATTTCTCATTGGTATCAAAGCACCAACTTCTGGTAAACAACTAGCCCAATACTTCAATAAGGAGCTTCCACAAGGAAACACGATCTCTGGAAGCTGGGTTAAGATGTCACTACCCAAACTAGACCAGTGGAGTAATGAACACATTTTATGCCTTATGTCTTGATGGGAATCACTAGATCCCCCAATGATACTTGTGCCAATATCACTTCCAGGCTTTTCCATGATAACAGAAAAATAACTTCAAGGGTCTGTCAACAGTGAACCAGTCTCCCAATGACCTGTGCTTATTTCAGATACCATTTACATCCTTAATCTTGTTCCTACATCTTCACTAATTTGTCTAAACCCAGTAAAGATTATCCCTCAAATTTTACTTTGCTCTGCTCCCTTTTGAAGCCAAAGTCATTCAGTTAACTTTAGGATATACGATATAATGTAGTCAGTTAACTGATGAGTTGATTATATAAATGAAAGAATGGACAGTATTTGAAAAAACATACCATAATATTTCAACAAATTTTTGTTCCATATTTTCCCTAAGAGCTATTTGTTAGGACATCATATTTAATTTTAACTATTAGTTGATGCTAAATAATGTAAGAACATAATATCTAAAGTTGGGTATAAACTCACAGAAATTCTGTTACTCTACAATTAACATAATAGACTGTCCAAAAATAATATACAAGCTCTCTGAATTGAGGTCATCTATTTTTTAATTAATACCTAATTTTGTTCACATACTGGGCTAGGCCTTAGGAAACAAAAACAAAATATATATTTTCCCTGAAAGATTTCACAGTCACCCTTATAAGAAACCATTTCAGTACCAACACATTCTTTTTATACTGAGAGATATTAACTACATCTTTGTAAAGACATCCTTACAAATATGTGTTATATTACTATTAATAAAACCAAAACAATATAATGAAATCTCAAACAACACTGAAGTGAAATCAGAGAGTGAAATAATCCAACTACCTGTAATCTTCCCTTTTGACATCTTATAGATAAGTATGGGTAATGTTTACCTGCATGTAACCTTTTGTCTTAAATATGCTGAATCACATTATACAAACTTTTCTATAATTTCCTCGGTATCCCATTTTATAGATGGGCAACAATAGATTTAACTTGTATCATTTAAACTATTTCACATGCAAGTCAATGTATTTAAACACATGGAAAAATTCAGTAGAGTTAATTTCCTTTCTCTATTGTGTTTAAAGTTACCCTGGCCATCAAAAAATCATTAATATATCTATCTTTAAAAATATTAATTCCACACCATTTATACTTGATATTTATTATGTATGTAATACAGAATAATTTGACAAATTAATTAAACATGTTTAAAGATAAGAAGATTCATTATCTTGAAATAGATTTTGAGGAATAAGGCGGATATTGTTAAAGGACTTTTATAGATAAAAGGAAACACAGTAAGAATGTGTCTGGTTCTCTACTGATCATAACTGATCATAAAAAGGAATATACACCAAAATGTTGGTGAACGCTTTTTTTTAAAGAGGATAGCATTAAATTTTCTGCATCAGCTTTAAAAGCTTCATTTTATGTCTATAATTGTATTTATTCCAAAGAGGCATGTGTTTGTATGCGTGCATGTGCATGTATATAAATTCACAAATTTCTTCCAAAATTCATATACAGATGCAGTGTACCTACATTATTTAAGACAATCTTGAAGGAGAACAAAGCTGAAGAAATTAAATTACCTAGATATCAATAATTACTATAAAATTTCAGTCTTTATGCTATTGGCACACTGATAAATTATTTGATCAATTGAAAAGAATAGGTAATCCAGAAAAAGACTCACTAATGTATGATTATATAATCCATTCCAAGAGTACTGTAGAATTCGGTGACAGCAAGGGTGGTGGGCTTTTCAATAAATGGTGCTGGGTCAATTAGATAGCCACACGGGAAAAAATTAAAACTTGACCATTTATTTTATGCCATTTACAAAAATTAATTAAAGGTGGAACACAGACCTATGATGAAAGTAAAACAATAAAGTTTCTAGAATAAAACATAGAAAAATATCTTCATAATCTTGGGGTAGGCCAAGATTAATAACTAGGGCACAAAAGCACTAACTTTGTCTCTTTTTTTAAAAAAAAGACTGATAAATTGGATTGCATAATTAAACTTAACACTTCTGTTGAGCAAAACTGACCATTAAAAGAATGAAAAGACAAGCTGCTGACTTGCAGAAAATATTTGCAATATCATATCAAAAAATCATGTATCTAGAAATCAGTAATATAACAATAGGAAACCATATCTTAAAATTAGCAAGGGACATGAAAAGGCACTTATTAGACAATGAAAATATACATATGATTGATAAATATGTATAAAGGTGTTCAACATGATTACTCGTCTGAGAAATGCAAATTAAAGCCATAATGTGGTATCAATAGGTAACCACAACAATGGCTAATCTTAAAAGAATGCATAATTCTGTACTACTCAGGATTATCCAGAGAAATAAAACCAGTAGTATGGTTAGGTAGCAAACTAGATGTAATATAGGATATATCACATATATCCCACAAAGAAATATCCTAGAATCATATATCCACAAAGAGATTTATAACAGTATATTGGCTTTGTGATTATGGAAACTGAGAATTCCCATGATCTTCCATGTCCAACTTGGAGATTCAGCAAACCCAGTGGTATAGTTCGAAGACCTTAGAGCCACAGAGCTGATGGTATAGATTCCAGTTCAAGTCCGAAGGCCTGAGAACCAAGAGCATCAGTGGCAAGTCGGATAGATGTCTCAGCTCAAGCAGTCAGGCAGAGACCTTCTTCCAATTTTTCTTCTACTTAGACTGTCAATGAATGGGATAACACCCACACTGGCGCCATCTGCTTTAGTTAGTTCACCAACCTAAATGCTAATCACTTCCAGAAAAATTCTGAAGACAAATCCAGAAATAATATCTAACCAGATATTTGTACAACTTGTGGCCTACTCAAATTGACACATAAAATTAATCACAACAGTCCACCTCTTGTAAACTTGGCACTCATACACATGCCATTAAACCATACTTAGTCTCTAATGAAAATAATAACAAGGTCAAAATTTCACTTAACATGATACAACTATCCACAATACAATCCAAAACATGCCACCCATTCCCCAGAAGTGGAGGCAAAATCCTTGAGTGATGTTTACTCTTTTCTTTGGCATCATATAATTTAAATACTAATACAAAATTATCAAATACTATGATAAAAAGTCAACACATCTTATGTGATAAGGGAAGAAGAGAGAAAAGAAAAAGATACTTAAGAGTTACACACACACACACAAACCTGGTTACAGTAACTGAGTCATGGGTCATAATTGGTATTACAAATACCTTCTTCTACTACCCATTCTGTGTTCTCTTTGCCTCCAGCTAGCACCTCAGCTGGTAGTGGTTCATTACCTGGTGGCATGAACCACTTTATTGACCACCACCAAACATTTATTCCTGAAGCATCTAAGCCATTAGTATTGAATTCTTGTAGTTTTCTATTTACCTTAATCACAGGGCATGATAATACTAAGAGATGCCTGAAGGGATCTCTTATATTTCAGACCTACTCTTCCTTACCTTCATGGTGGAGCAGTCGTATAATTTCCCCTTTGTAGTCTGGACAGATCACCTTAGCCAGGACAATAATTCCCCTTATTGCCTGTTGATTCAGAATCATGAGGAGCCCAAAGAAGCCAAATATCAGTCTTAACTTCCATTCCAAAGGACTTCTTGTTGTGTTTCTTGGTGGAAGTATTCCTCTCTTTGAGAGTAAGATTGTGAGGCCAACAGAGCATAAACTTGAGATAATAGGAAGCAAAAATTGTGCAAGTGTGTCACTAGGGATAACTGTGAGTGGTGCCACCCCCTTTTCCAACTCCACTCCCAGTACCAATTTCTGTTTCAGTCCATTGGGCTGCTACAACAAAAATACCACAGACCGGGTGGTTTATATAACAGAAATTTATTTCTCACAGTTCTGCAGTCTGGGAAGTCCAAGATCCAGGTGGTGTCATGGTTGAGTTCTGGTGAGGGCCCTCTTCTTGGTTTGCTGATGACCATCTTCTTGTCTCCTCACATAGTGGGGGTGAGGGGGGTGGCGAGAGAGAGAGAGAGAGCAAGCTCTCTTCAATTTCTTCTTATAAGAATACTAATAAATTAGGCCAGGCACGGTGGCTCACGCCTGTAATCCCAGCACTTTGGGAGGCTGAGGCAGACGGATCACAAGGTCAGGAGTTCAAGACCAGCCTGGCCAATATGGTGAAATCCCATCTCTACTAAAAATGCAAAAATTAGTCAGGCGTATTGGTGGACGCCTGTAGTCCCAGCTACTTGGGAAGTTGAGGCAGGAGAATCGCTTGAACCCCGGAGCGGGAGGTTGCAGTGAGCCGAGACCAGGCCACTGCACTCCAGCCTGGGAGACAAAGCGAGACTCTGTCTCAAAAAAAAAAAAACAACACTACAATTACATATAATATTATGTGTTTTTCTGTGTACCTAGTATTAACAGTGAGTTTTGTACTTTCACAGGTGAATATTTACTGCTCATCAATGTTATTTTCTTTCTTATTGAAAGAATATTTTTAGCATTCCTTGTAGGATAAGCTTGGCATTGATGAAATTCCTCAGCTTTTGTTTGTCTAGGGAAGTTATTATTTGTCCTGAATGTTGGAATAATATTGTCTCCATATATAATATTCTAGGGTAAAAGTTATTTTTCTTCAGCACTTTAAATATATCATACCACTCTCTCCTGGCCTGTAAGATTTCCACTGAAAATTCTACTTCCAAACATACTGAAGCTCCATTATATGTATTTGTTTCTTTTCTCTTGCTGTTTTTCCAATCCTTTCTTTATCCTTGACCTCTGGGAGTTTGATTATTAAATGCCTCAAGGTGGTCTTTTTTAGGGTTAAATCTGCTTGATGTTCTACAGCCTTCTTGTACTCGCATATTGACATATTTCTCTAGGTTTGAGACGTTCTCTGTTATTAATCCCTTTGAGTAAACTTACTACTCCTATCTCGTTCTCTACTTCCTCTTTAAGAGCATTAACTCTTAGCCCTTTTAAGGCTATTTTCTGAATCTCATATGTGTGCTTCATTGTTTTCTATTCTTTTGTCTCTTCTGACTGTGTATTTTCAAATAGCCTGTCTTGAAGCTCACTAATTATTTCTTCTGCTTGATCAAGTCTGCTATTAAAGGACTTTGATGCATTATTTAGTATGCCAATTGCATTTTCAGCTCCAGAATTTTGCTTGATTCTTTTTAATTATTT
The DNA here is from genome assembly GCF_000001405.40 of Homo sapiens. Lineage (NCBI taxonomy): Eukaryota > Metazoa > Chordata > Mammalia > Primates > Hominidae > Homo > Homo sapiens. The sequence continues at coordinate 140,749,338 of NC_000006.12, read as the reverse complement.
CAAGATCTTTGTTAAAATTATCTGATAGAATCCTGAATTCCTTCTATGTTACCTTGAATTATTTGAGTTCCCTCAACATTGCTATTTTAAATTCCGTCTGAAAGGACACACATCTCTGTTCTCCAAGATTGGTCTCTGGTTCCTTATTTTGTCCATTGGTGAGGTAATGTTTTCTTGAATTGGGTTGATGCTAATAGATGTTCTTCAGTTTCTGGACATAAAGGAGTTAGGTACTTATTGTAGTTTTTGTGGTCTGAGCTTATTTGTAGCCATCTTTCTTGGGGAGGCTTTCCAGATATTTGAAAAGACTTGGATGTTCTGATCTAAGCTGTGTCTTCTTTAGGAGGCACCACAACCCAGTCATCCTGTGGTTCTTGCAGACTCTTAGAAATACTGCCTTGATGGTCTTGAACCAGATCGGGGAGAATTCTCTGGATTACCAGGCAGAAACTCTTGTTCTCTTTCTTACTTTATCCCATACATACAGCGTTTCCCTCACTGTTCTGAGCCACCTAAAACTAGGAGTGGAGTAACACAATCACCCCTGTAATCACCACTTACTATGACCTGAATCCAACACAGTGCTGGGTCTCACCAAGGCCTGCTGTAACCACTCCCTGGCTACTGCCTATGTTCACCCAGTCCCTGTGGCTCTCCAATCAGCAGGAGACAAAGGACAGGCTTGTGTCCTTCCATTCAGAATGGCAAGATCCCTCAAGCCCCAAATGGGTCCAGAAGTGCCAGCCAAGAGACAGGGACTGAAGTAAAAAAAACTTAGAATTTGTATTAGTTTGTCCTCACGCTGCTGATAAAAACATATCCAAAACTGAGTAACTTAAGAGGTTTAATGGACTCACAATTCCACATGGCTGGGGAGGCCTCCCAATCATGGCAGAAGGTGCACGAGGAGCAAAGGCACATATTACATGGTGGCAGGCAACAGAGCCTGTGCAGGGGAACTACCCTTTTCAAAACCATCAGACCTCATGAGACTTATTCACTATCACAAGAACAGCAAGGGAAACACCTGCCTCCATGATTCAATTACCTCCCACTGGGTCCCTATCATGACATGTGGGGATTATGGGAGCTACAATTTGAGATGAGATTTGGGTAGGGACACAGCCAAACCATATCATTCCACTCCTAGCCCCTCCCAAATCTCATGTTCTCACATTTCAAAACCATCATGCCTTCCCAACAGTCCCCAAAGTCTTAACTCATTTCAGCATTAACTCAAAAGTCTGCAGTACAAAGTCTTATCTGAGACAAGGCAAGACCCTTCTGCCCTTGAGCCTATAAAATCAAAAGCAAGTTAGTTACTTCCTAGATACAGGCATTGGGTAAATAAACATGCTTCACATGTTAGAAACTGGCCAAAACAATGGGACTACAGGCCCCATACAAGTCTGAAATCCAGTGGGGCAGTCAAATCTTAAAGCCATGAAATGATCTCCTTTGACTCCATGTTTCACATTCAGGTCATGCTGATGCAAGAGGTGGGTTCCTATGGTCTTCATCAGATCCACCCCTGTGTCTTTTTAGGGTACAGCCCCCCCTCATGGCTGCTTTCTGGACTGACTTTCAGTGTTTGCAGCTTTCCCAGGTGCATAGTGCAAGCTGTTGGTGGATGTACCATTCTAGGGTCTGAAGGATGGTGGCTGTCTTCTCATAGCTCCACTAGGCAGTGCCCCAGTGGGGACTCCGTGCAGATTCTTGCACCTCACATTTTTTTTCTGCACTGCTCTAGCAGAGGTTCTCCATGAGGGCTCTGCCCCTGCAGCACACATCTGCCTGATATCTGGGCATTTCTATACATCCTCTGAAATCTAGGCAGAGCTTCTCAAACCTCAATTCTTGACTGCTATGCACCCATGGGACCAACACCATATGTAAGCCAACAAGGCTTGAGGCTTTCAACTCCTGAAGCAGCAATCTGAACTGAATGTTAGCCCCTTTTAGCCATAGCTGGAATGCAGGGCACCAAGTCCCAAAACTGCACAAAAGAGCAAGGCCATAAGCCTGGCCCAGGGAACCATTTGTTCCTCCTAGGCTTCCAGGCCTGTGATGGGAGGGGCTGCTGTGAAGACCTCGGACATGTCCTGGAAACATTTTCCCCATTGTCTTGGTGATTAACATTTGGTTCCTCATTACTTATGCGAATTCCTGCCACAGGCTTGAATTTCTCCTAAGAAAATCAGTTTGTTTGTTTGTTTGTTTTTACAGAGTCTCACCCTGTCACCCAGGCTGGAGTGCAGTGGTGCGATCTCGGCTCACTGCCACCTCCGTCTCCCAGGTTCAAGCAATTCTCTGCCTCAGCTTCCCGAGTAGCTGAGATTATAGGCACATGACAACACTCCCGGGTAATTTTTTTTGTATTTTTAGTAGAGATGGGGTTTCACCATCTTGACCAGGCTGGTCTTGAACTCCTGACCTCGTGATCCATCTGTCTTGGCCTTCCAAAGTGCTTGGATTACAGGCATGAGCCACTGCACCCAGCCTTTTTTTTTTTTTTTTTTTTTTTTTTTTTGAGACAGAGTCTCACTCTGTCGCCCAGGCTGGATTCAAGCTATTCTCCTCCCTCAGCCTCCCCAGTAGCTGGGACTGCAGGTGCCTGCCACCAGGCCCAGATAATTTTTGTATTTTTAGGAGAGATGGGGTTTCACCATATTGGCCAGGCTGGTCTCAAACTCCTGACCTTGTGATCTGCCTGCCTCAGCCTCCCAAAGTGCTGGGATTACAGGTGTCAGCCTTCGTGCCTGGCCCAGTTTTTCTTTTTTATTGCATTATCAGGCTGCAAATTTTTTGGACTTTTATGCTCTGCTTCCCTTTTAAACATAACTTCCAATTTCAAACCATATATTTGTGAACGAATGAAACTGAATACTTTTAAGAACACACAAGTTACCTCTTGAATGCTTTACTGCTTACAAATATCTGCCACCGGATACCCTAAATCATCCCTTTCAAGTTCAAAGTTCCATAGAAGTTTAGCGCAGGGGCAAAATGCTGCCAGTCTCTTTGCTAAAGCATAGCAAGAATCACCTTTGCTTCAGTTTCCAATAAGTTCCTCATCTCTATCTGAGACTGCCTTAGCCTGGACTTTATTGTCCATATCACTATCAGCATTTTGGTCAAAACCATTCAACAAGTCTCTAGGAAGCTCCAAACTTTCCAATATCTTCCTGTTTTCTGAGCCCTCCAGGTCTCTAGGAAGTTCCAAACCTTCCCACATTTTCCTACCTTCTTTTGACCCCTCCAAACTGTTCCAACCTTTGCCTATTACCCAGTGGCAAAGTCGCTTCCACATTTTGGGGTATGTTTACAGCAGTGCCAATTTACTGTATTAGTCCCTGCTTTCTCACATTGTTAATAAAGACATACCAAAGACTGGGTAATTTATAAAGATAAAGAGGTTTCATGGAGTCACAGCTCCTCATGGCTGGGGAGGTCCCACACTCATGGCAGAAGGTGCAAGAGGAACAAAGTCATGTCTTATATGGTGGCAGACAAGAGAGCATGTGCAGGGGAACTGCTCTTTATAAAACCATCAGATCTCATGAGATTTATTCACTATCACATAAAAAGCAAAGGAAAACCCTGCCCCCATGATTCAGTTACCTCCCACTGGGTCCCGTCCATGACACATGGGGATTATGGGAGCTACAATTCAAGATGAGATTTGGGTGGGGACACAGTCAAACCATGTTAAAAATCTACTTGGTATTAATTTATTGCGGCTGATCTGTGACTCAACCCAAAAGATACAGTCCTTCTCCCTCTTCCCTCCCGTTTTCAAAGGCAGAGGAGCCTCATCCCATAGCCACCACCACTGATAAGTACAGCCATGGGGAGTACTGCCAGACTACTGCTGATGGTCTCTTAAGGCCCAAGGTCTCTTAAGTCAGGTTGTGAATGCATTCTGGCCCAGTATTTACCCTTCAGGGCAGTAGGCTCCTCTCTGGCCCAGGGCAGGTCCAGAAATGTTGTCCAAGAGTCAAGTCCTGGAATCAGGGGCCCCAACAGCCCACTTGGTATCCTATTCCCTGTGGCTGTACTGGTACTTAAGGTGCAAGACAAAGTCCCCTTTACTTTCCCCTCTGCTTTGCTTAAGCAGAAGGAGTTTTGTGCCATAGCCACTGCAGCTGCAGTGTGGCTCAAAATGTGCTGAGTCAGACTTGCTGAGGCCAGCAAGTCACAGAAGCTCGCCAAGGCCCTTGTGATGACTAATATTGAGAGTCAACTTGATTAAAGAATGCAAAGTATTGTTCCTGGGTCTGTGTGTGAGGGTGTTGCCAAAAGATATCAATATTTGAGTCAGTGGACTGGGCAAGGCAGACCCACCCTTGATCAGGGTGGGCACCATCTAATCAGCTGCCAGTGTGGCTAGAATAAAGCTGGCAGATGATGTAAGAGCAAAAGTGCTGAGTCTTTCAGCCTTCACCTTTCTCCCATACTGGATGGTTCCTGCCCTTGAACATCAGACTTCAGATTCTTCAGCTGGACTTTTGGACTTACATCAGTGGTTTGCCAGGGCCTCTCAGTCCTTTGGCCACAGACTGAAGGCTGCACTGTCAGCTTCTCTACTTTTGAGGTTTTAGGACTCGGACTGATCCTCCACTGGCTTCCTTGCTCCTCATCTTGCAGATGGCCTTTTGTGGGACTTTATTTTATGAATGTATGAGTCAATTCTCCTTAATAAACTCCCTTTTGTATGTACATATATCCTATTAGTTATGTACCTCTAGAGAACCCTGACTAATACAGTCCTTGATGTAGTACCTGGTTTTTCAGGATCTAAGGGTTCTTCAGTTAGTAGGTGATAAATGCTGCCAGGACTAGGTTCTTTCCTTCAAGGCAGTGGGTTTCCTTCTGGCCTAGGGTGCTTTAGAAATGTCATCTGGAACTACTCTGACCAGTGCCCTATCTTGCTGTGGCTAAGCTGGTATCCCAGATGCAAGACAAGTCCTCACCCTTCCCTCTCCTCTGCTCAAGCAGAATGAAGGGAAATCTTTTAGAGCCTTGGGCTTTGCAGCCTGGGGTTAGAGGAGAGGTGATGTCAGCACAGCCTTGGCTGCCCAAGCTGGCATCTCAGTATGTCGCATGCCCCCTCATCCACTGTTTCTGGTTCTAGTTCTGCACTAAAACTTGCCTAAAAGTTACAATTATGACCTAGACTGCCTTTAAAGTTTACTTGGAGACTCAGAGTGTGGTAGCCCTTGGTGGTGAGGTTTGCAAGCACTCAAGTTTGGACCACTGGGATCAGTGATTCCCTTCTGTCTAGGGCTGGTTCAAATGCTCCCTCCATGGATGAGCATCAGCTGAGTTTGGTCCAGATTTCCTTTCTGCTCTAACAGGACAGCACTGAGTTCAATGCCTCACGATTGCTGTGTTCTCCCTCCCCAGCACCCAGAGACACTCTGTACACCATGCTGCAGCTGCTGGGATTTGCAGGGTGGGGGGTGCTGTTGATAATTCAAGACTGTTTTTTTATCTCTTCAGTGCCTCTTTCAGTGATATGAAGTTAAAACATGGGACTGACTGGGCACCTGAGTTTTGGTTCTTACGAAAGTGTTTTTTTCTGTGTAGATAGTTGTTAATTTGGTGGACTTGTAGGGGGCATGATCGGTGGAGCTTTTCTAATCTGCCATCTTGCTCTACTTCCAATATTGAGGATTAGAGATTCAACATATGAATTTTGGGGGTACACAAACATTTAGTACCTAGCTATTTCAAGTGTTGATGGAGATGTAAAGCAACGTGGAAATCTTGTACATTGATGGTGAGAGCATACACTGATCAGCACATCACTTTGAAAACCCGTTGGGCAGAAGTTTCTATGATGAAACACATGCCTACCTTATGAACCCTGAAATTAGAAGCCTGGGTACATATATAGAGAAATCAGTGCATGTGTACAACAACAACAACAAAACAAAAACAAAACTATGCACAAAATGTTTATAGTAGCTATATCATAATAGCCTGGACTACAATAATGTAAATATCTACCAATAGTAAAATGGATATATACATGGAGGTATATTTATACAATGGAATTATAAACAGCAAAACAAAAATAACAAAGCAAGTCTATGCATAATAGCATGGATCAATCTAACACACAGTGTTGAATGAAAGAAGCTAAACATAAAATAATACAGTGTGTGATTCCATTTGCATGAAGTTCAAAAGCAGGCAAAACCAATATATGGTAGTAGATAAAACAGCATTTACTTTGGAAGATTACTGATTGAAAGGGCGTATTCTGTAATTTTGCAAAATGTTTTTTATCTTGTAAAAGTTAGTCTAGGTGTCAATCGAATGTTTACTTTACTATATTTAAGTTACTCGTCATAAAATTTTAAAAATCAAGTAATGATTATTTCTCTAATGGGTGAATTTCTTGATTCTTAAAACAATGTACAGCTAATGTTCTAATATATGTTCAAACTACACAAATAATTATTTAAAAGAGATGTCTGTAGTTAACTAACAATAGTTAACAATAATATATTATATAGCTTCAAATAGCTAGGAGGATAGTTAATGTTCCCAACTCAAAGAAATGATAAATTTCTGAGATGAAGGATATGCTCATTATCCTGATTTGATTACCATGTGTTATACATATGAAAACATCACTATGTACCCTATGCATACATAAAATTATTTATTTATCAATTAAAAAATAAAGTGAATTAAAACTGTATTTTGAAAAATGATTTGACCTAGAACCCTGAAGTAGAGGCAAATTTAACTACTTGTAATTAAATTTCTATCTTTCCTGGAAAGACTTAGGCCTTTCTAAAACCAGGAAAATAGATATCATAGGTTCTTTCCATGCATCAAGTGAATCTAGAGGATGCTCTTTGAAAAAAAAATGCATATGCAGTGATAATAATGTTATTGCCAACCAATTTAATTCAGACTGTAATGAATCCCTTTTAAGAATAATGGAGAAAGATTGAATATTCAAAATTAAATGCTCTTTCTTTACCTGTTGCAATTCATCAAACATAATTAAGTTTGAGTTATAGACCATTTATTCCTATAATAAAAATAGGTTATTTTTTGTGAATAACTGAAAAATATGGTAATTATGCACAAAAGCTATGGCATTATCATTGTAAGTGATTAATAATAAATGGATAAGAATGAGTAAATCAATGAATGAATTGATTGATTATTTAGAGACATTTTCATACTCAGTTCTGGATATAGCTCTTCGTCTCATAAAGTAGATCATTAAAAAGCCTGACAAGATACATGTAAAACCCACAAATAAAACGTTATGTCATTATTAAAGCAACAGAAATTTTTTGAATGCTTCATATGTGCCAGCTACTCTTCCAGGTTTTAAGGTTACAGCCAGGAACAAAATAAATTCTCTGCTCTAATGGAGATTTCATGGAACTTATATGTCTTTCAACTTTTTTGAGCTCATTTTTCTGTAATAAAAAAGTGATGAATCTCAAATGAGAAGAGAGAAAATGGAACTGAGCCCTTAGGTTCTGATATAATGCTCTATTAGCCCCTGTCACACATGTGCATTTGCATAAGCCTCAGGTTCAGCCCCACAAACCTGCCTTTGTAAGTCACATTTACTTTAAAGACAGGAAAAAAAAAAGAGAAAGAAGGGTAAATAAAAGGAAAGAGAAGTTTATCTTTAGCACTTTCCCTAGAGACCAGTAGCCCTACAAAGAAAATATTGTTATTACAACATTGATGCAAAATTACACTAAGATTTCAAAGGCCATAATTGCACAGAGAATAGGCCAGGTATTAAGTGCAAGGTTTTATTTCAAGATTCACCTTATGCCTCATCTCATTGGCTTGCTCAATTTTTCAGTCACTGAACCTGCTTTTTACTGTAGATGTTCTCATGAATTATATTGCTATTTGGTGCTATAATTTACCGTATATGCTATATGGGGAATTTTATTATGTTTCTTTTTACCTTTCTAGCCACAATTACATTATCTTCTGCTGGGTTTGTTTGTGCTTACAGGATTGGCCATACACATGAGGTAAAATGAAGCACTATTCACATTAGTTATGATGGTAATAGTGGTGGTAATAGTAAATGTAATAACAGTAGAATAAGTATTATTTGCTGCTGTAGACCAAATGTTTGTGTTCCCCTAAAAATCACACGTTGGAGCCCTAATGTGATTGTGTTTGGGGGTGGGCCCTTTGGGAAGTCTTGAGGGCCGAACTCTCCTAATAGGATTAATGTCCTTATAAGAGGAAGAGCTTTCTCTCTCTTTTTCCACCATGTGAAGATACAGAAACAAGCAGACAAGGTCTGCAAGCCAGGAAGAGGGACCTTACCAGTAAATGAATCTTCTAGCCCCTTCATCTTGGATTTTCCCACCTCCAGAACTATAAGAAATAAATGTCTGTTGTTCACGCCACCATCTGTGATATTTAGTTATGGCAGCCCAACGTGACAAAGACATTTACTAAAGACTTACAATCTGCCAGGCAAACACAAGTTAATGACTTAATTTTTTATTATCTCCTTTAATATTTAAAACAACTTGATGTGGTGGCTATTATTGCCTGTTTATAGATGAAGAAACTGAAACATAGATTAAGTAATTTGCCCAAGCTTACACAGATAGTCCATGGCAGGAAATCTGTCTGACCTCAGGATCTATTATCTTAATCACAACAACATGCTGTTATCTAATAAATTTGTGTAATGTTGCTTTTCAATTAAAATCAGAAGCCACTACAAATAAATGACCTCTGAAATTCAAAGCTATATATCTCAATTTAGCAGCATGTAATCAAGAATAGATATGGTATATTTTAATGCTGAATAAATAACTTCATTTTAGAAAGAAATCAACAACATAAAGAGTGTTATGGCATTAAAATATTTCCTGTGTCACTTTTGAGCTTTTATAAATGTGTGTAGTAAAACAGGCTTGCATTAATTCATTATTTTATTCATTTAACATACATAAATAAGACATGGTCCTTGTATTTAAGAAGTTTAATATTTAAACAGGAGGACAGATCATTTATTAGATGACATATATGTGTTGAGAAAGATAGAGCATTGCAGTGGTGTAGAAGTGTAGATAAAATAACCAAGTCTGAGAGGTCAGAGAATGTCAAGGTAGATGTAATATTTATGTTGACATTGGACAACAAAAAGTATTCTTTTTCAAGTCTGATGGTGTCTTAATTTGAAAACTTGAGTTTGTTAGCTGATAGATGATTAAAAATATTTTTTGCTAAGTCTACACTATATCATTTTTCTTACATAATCCAGAAGGAGGTTACAGCAGTGACATTGGTATAACTGATGTAACAATTATTTAAATATGCAACATGTGTATGTGTATATATATATATATATATATATGATTTCTCAGTGCTTATGCTCAGAAAATGTAAAAAATAGTAAGAGAAATAATGTTGAACATTACCTGAAAAATAAGTAAATTTCATCAACGAATACATGGATGCATTATAACAAAAACATTACAGTAACTATTTTAATAATAGTGTAAAAACATATTATTATAAGCAATTATAATATACTAATGATGCTTTAATCAATTTACACTAATTCTAAGTGTCATGATAATCAGCAGATATTTTAACCCTTTATCCAAATTGGAAAAGAAGTCAGACTATCATTATTCACCCATGATATGATTGTATACCTAGAAAACACTAAAGACTCTTCTAAAGATTCCTATGTTTAATAAATGAGGTCAGTAAAGTCTCGGATTGCAAAATTAATTTTCACCAATAAAAACCAAGCCGAGAATTCGATCAAGAACTCAATCCCTTTTATAACAGTGACAAAAAAAAAATAAAATACCTAGGAATATTTGACCAAGGAAGTGAAAGATCTCTTCAATGAGAATTACAAAATACAGCTGAAAGAAATCATAGATGACACAAACAAATTTCAACATGTCTCATGCTTATGAACTGGAGGAATCAATATTGTGAAAAGGACTGTACTGCCCAAAGCCATCTACAGATTCAATGTAATTCCCGTGAAAATGGCAACATTATTTTTCACAGAATTAGAAGTACTATCATAAAATTCATATGGAACCAAAAAAGAGCCCAAATAACCCAAGCCATTTTCAGTCAAAAGAATAAATCTGGGTGCATCACATTACTTGAATTCAAGTTATACTGTAACAGTATAATCACCAAAACAGCATGGTACTGATATAAAAGTAGGCACATAGACCAATGGAACAAAATAGAGAACACAGAAATAAAGCCAAATACTTAAAACCAACTGGTCTTCGACAAAGCATACAAAAACATAAATTAGGGAAATGACACCTAAATAAATGTTACTACAAAAACTGGCTAGCTTCATGTAAAAGAATGAGACTGGATCTCTGTCTCTCACCTTATGGAAAAATCAACTCAAAGTTGATCAAAGACTTAAATCTAAGACCCAAAACCATGAAATTTCTAGAAGATAAGCTTGCAAAATCTCTTTTGGACATTGGCCTAGGCAAAGAATTCATGGCTAAGACCCCAAAAGCAAATGCAACAGAAATAAAAATAAATAAATCAGACCTGAATAAATTAAAAATCTTCATAGCAAAGTAAATAATCAGTCAATTAAACAGACAACCCACAGAACGGGAGAAAAGATTTGTAAACTATGCATCTGACAAAGGACTAGTATCCAGAATCTACTAGGAACTCAAACAAATCAACAAGAAAAAAACAAATAATCACATCAAAAAGTGGGCAAATAACATGAATAGACATTTGTCAAAAGAAGATACACAACTGTCCAACAAACATGACAAAAATGCTGAACATCACTAATCACCAGGAAAATGCAAATTAAAACCACAATGAGATACCACTTTACTCCTGCAAAGATGGCCATTATCAAAAAGTCAAAAAACAACAGATTTTGGCATGAATATGGTGAAAGGGGAACACTTATACACTGCTGGTTGGAATGTAAATTAGTACAACCTCTACAGAAAATAGTATGGAAATTCCTTAAAGAACTAAAAGTAGATTGATATGGTTTGGCTGTGTCCCCACCCAAATTTCATCTTGAATTTTACCTCCTATAATTCCCTCATATTGTGGGAGGGACCCAGTGGGAGATAATTGAATTATGGGGGTGGTTTCCCCCACACTCTTCTTCCGTAGTAAGTCTCATGAGATCTGATGGATTTATAAGGGAATACCTCTTTTTCTTGGCGCTCATTCTCTTCTCTTGCCTGTTGCCATGTGAGACATGCCTTTTACCTTCTGCTGTGATTGTGAGGCCTCCCCAGCCACGTGGAACTGTGAGTCTATTAAACTTCTTTCTTTTGTAAATTGCCCAGTCTTGGGTATGTCTTCATCAGTAGCATGAAAACAAACAAATACATAGGTCTACCATTCAATCCAGCAATCCCACTACTTAGTATCTACCCAAAGGAAAATAAATTATTATATGAAGAAGACATGTGCTCACATATGTTTATTGCAGCCCAATTCACAATTGCAAAGATATAGAACCAACCTAAGTGTCCATCGACCAATAAGCTGATAAAGAAAATCTGGTATATATGCACCATGGAATACTATTCAGCCATAAAAATAAACAAAATAATGTATTTCACAGCAACTCTGATGGTACTAAAGGCTATTATTCTAAGTGAAGTAACTCAGGAATGGAAAACCAAATGCTCTATGTTCTCACTTATCAGTAGGAGCTAAGCTATGAATTCATAAAGGCATGCCAAGTGATATAATGGACTTTGGAGACTCAGAAAGGAGAGGGTGAGAGGCAAGATGAGGGATAAAAAAGTACATATTGAGTACAACATACACTCTTGGGGTGATGGGGTGGACTAAAATCTCACAATTTACCACTATATAATACATCCATGTAACAAAAAACCATTGAAATAAAAAAATTTGAAAGAAATTTAACCCTTTGAAGCTTATGGTCACAGGAAATTGATCTTTGAAGATTATTCTTAAACTTCTCCATGCTTGGGTAGTCAATGATCTTTTAAAATGATATATATTATTTTGGATGAAGTCATTGTGAGTTAATTTAAGTGCAAAAATAAAAAGAAAAGATAAAATGTAAATATTCTGCCTGGTAGGGAGGCAGTCATTCAGGATTTTATAAATAGATGATAGTAGCTAACAAAACACTTTGGTATTTAGATTTAATTGGCTACATTTTAAAAATTAATTGATAGTTTTGTTTGGAGATGAAAAAGTTTTTAATATGCCAGAAATAGTATCTTTATAGCTGTTTAAATTTATAAAGAAAAATTTTAATTTTTTATAATAATTACTCAAAGTCCATTGTTTCAAAAATCATAGATAACATAAAGTATTTTAATGTCACTTATCTGAAGAATGAGGGCTAATCTATGACACAGTATCAGATAAAATATTGCTGTAAAGACATAATGACAAGGAAAACATCAATTTGAGAATACAAGGCAAAAGATAACAAATATTTCCAGTAGAATACTTTAAACATCACAGCATGCTTTCCATTTTCTCTCTAAACCATAATACTTAATATGGTAAAGTAAGTGCTAGTGTAAGTTATTGATGTAACTGTTTGAACTGCTATATGACTGCATATAATTTGATTACATGCAGTCATATATTTAGTCGGGTCTACCAGACATATTTTTCCTAAGCTATTATCCACTATAGCATATATTGATAAACATTGATAAATCTTGATCCCAACATACATGTTATATATGTAGAACATGAATGTTAAAATTGTCTTCTGAATGTTCATTGTGGATTATTCAGGGTAATACACTGCAGGAATTCTTCTGTGTCACTGTAGGTTAGAGTTGATGCATGAACTATGTTAGACAGCAAGACAGAATTGTTTTCAATGTAATCCTCAGGGAGTCCTTCAGAGAAGGGAAAACAATGATTTTGAAGGTTCATTTCAGTGCCAGCTGGCAGAGATCTTAAGGGTTATTCTATTTTACCCATACTACATAGTTATTTAAATGTCTCCATGTGGAACATGTGAGAGGAGTATGTATTTAGAAACAGTGGAATTTTAAAAATGTGTTTATGATGGCAAAAGAAGAAAAATAGGAGGAAACTGTGTTAAATACCACTTAATTTGGCTGTATTGCATTAGTATTCCTGTTTTACACATTTTTGGTCTGTGTTTATTAAGAGATTGAACATTGGATCTGAGATATTAAGCTCCATATTACCTGGAAGTCAAAGATCTACCTCGGTATCACCTGTCTCTATTTTCTGCCAAATTAAGTATTTATTATATGGGAACAGTATTCTACAAGTCTAGATTCATTTGGTTAGAACAAGTTTGGAGTTGAGTAAAAAGGGGTTAAAAGATAGAAAATTCATTTTAAAATAAGTAATTGACCAAAGTAATCAATTGTCATAAGTGATTTTCTTCAAGAAATTGTCCTATAAAACTGGGATCATTTACACTGAGTCTAGCTGGATAATTCTAAATATACATATTTTTCACCAGAAAAATAAATAAATAAATAAAATTAATACAATCTAAAGGTAGCATTATATAACTTAAGATTTACTTTTGGCCAGTCGCGGTGGCTCACGCCTGTAATCCCAGCACTTTGTGAGGGTGAGGCAGGTGGATCACGAGATCAGGAGATGGAGACTATCCTGGCCAACATGGTGAAACCCTGTCTCTACTAAAAATACAAAAATTAGCCAGGCGTGGTGGCGCGGGCCTGTAGTCCCAGCTACTCAGGAGGCTGAGGCAGGGGAATCGCTTGAACCCAGGAGGCAGAGGTTGCAGTGAGCCGAGATCACGCCACTGCACTCCAGCCTGGGCCGACAGAGCAAGACTCTGTCTCAAAAAAACAAAACAAAACAAAACAAAAAAAGGACTTACTTTTGTTTAAAAATTTTAGGTGTTAAACAACATAAATATTATATAAATATCTTTTTTTTTTTTTGAGACAGAGTCTCACTCTGTCACCAGGCTGGAGTGCAGTGGTACAATCTCGGCTCATTGCAGCCTCCACCTCCTGGGTTCAAGCCATTCTCCTGCCTCAGCCTCCAGAGTAGCTGGGACTACAGGCGCCCGCCACCACACCCAGCTAATTTTTGTATTTTTAGTAGGGACGGGGTTTCACCACGTTGGCCAGGAGGTTCTCAAACTCTTGACCTCGTGATCCACCGGCCTCAGCCTCCCAAAGTGCTGGGATTACAGGCGTGAGCCACCGCGCCGGGCCAAATATCTTATTTTTTTAATGAAGTCTTGAATTTTTTTTTTTTTCTAAACCATGTTTTGGTCATTCACTAGTAGAAGTCACATGAGTATTCTATTGGCAAGGACAACTTCATGGATTAAAAACCTGTGCAGTCTTACAGGGCCCTGTGGTTCTGCTAATGCTCTGATACCATCACTTTGAAATGAATAATAAATAATGAACAAGTAGTTGCACATATCTATTTTGCACTAGAACTTGCAAATTAAGTGCCTGGTCTTGGCTGATGGAGTTGGGTGATGCTAGGCAAACATAATTTATTTCTTTAAAACACTCTTGGTTATATAAAACAGGTCTTGATGGTTAGTGTGCTGAGAAAAATACATCATTGCTCTTTTAAAATACTTTGAAAAGGAAGTAATTCAATAGAGATATTTTGGGAACCATTTCAATAATAATATGCAAACAAATTTCTTTAAGAATATTTTAATGAAACAGGATTAGCACAAGGAACTAAGTATTAGATGTGTGGAAAATTTGCAGAGGTGCCTGAATATAGCAGGACTAGTTTCCTAAGACGTTTCTTTACAGACTATTATCAAATCTATTATAAATGCTTGTGATTAGAAAATGACTTAAATATAGATTATCTACTATCTATCATTTTTCTTTCTAACTCAGTGGCTCTCACACCTTTCTACATGCAGTGGCATGCTCAGCAGTGGTTTTGAATTTAAGTATTCTGGTTTATTAAGCCCAGTGTAAGGCCATAGCAATCACTATTAACAAACACCTGTAGGTAGTCCTAAATGAAGCTCATCCATGCATCATGCTTTAAAAAATACTGATCTAGGTATTATAGGTCTGTCTCCATCCATCTGGGCTCCCATAACAAAGTACCGTAAACTGGGTGCCTTATAAACAAACAAAATTTATTTCTTAATATTCTGAAGGTTGGGAAGTCCAAGATTAAGACAGCCTTTGTGTCTGATATGGGCCCACTTTTCAGATAATAAAGGGCACCTTCTATCTATATCCTCACATGTGGAAAGAACAGGGAGTCTCTCTAGGGCTTCTTTTATAAAGACATTAATCCCATTTATGAAGGCTATGTCCCCATGACCTAATAACCTCCCCAAAGCCCACTCTCTAATACCATCATGGGAATTAGGATTTCAATGTAGGAATTTTGGGGGATACATTCATACCACAACAATATTCAATTGGTTTGAAAGTGAAAGTGCATTTTTCACCCATTAAACAACCCTATCACTAGATTCCTTATTAATGAATTGAATGCTTTAGGTATACAATAAATGTTTTTGAAGAAATAAACAATTTCAGATAGGAGTTATGCTTTTGGTTTTATGGAAAAGTTTCCTCCAATGAGTAGAAGATCAAAATCCCTCAGTAAAAGAGCTGGATAGATAATGTAAAGAGAAAGCTATGGTTAAATCTAAAACAAACATTTAGAGAATTTATACTATCCTCTTTGATGGAATTATATCGTGAGTTATCTTTTAAGACAAGCAGTATGTGGACTGAAATAAGAAAATCACATACTAGTAGCAGTAAGAAAATTAAGTCATACTACTAAGTATTTTTTTCATTCACTAAAAGTAAAGGTGGGTTAATTTAATATGTAACAATGTTATTGAAAAAATGTGTTTAATATTATTTTGTATTTATGAAGAAAGAAGCATTACTCAAAACAACATGAATGTCAAGACTCAGTTGGCTTTTTATATATTAAGTGATTAACAGTTATATTTTATAATCAAATGAATGTATTATAGAACCAGAAAATACTCTCTTGTGTGTGTGCTTTTTTCTTCCTTAGCATCTAATTTTAACCAACTGAATTATTTTAAGTATCATCTTATTCAACATTTGAAATGAAAAATGTGCTTTTTAATGGGGATCTACATTCATCATAAAGATAAAACAAAACGTTCTTGGCAGAGGTTTTCTTCACAGAAGCAGACTATTTTTGTACTGTACACTTAGCAAATTGTAAAAATACAAATTCTAGAAATTGCATCTCAAGAATTTAAAAACAAAAAAGCATGTATTTAAGAACCTATGTTTTGTTCATTATATTGCTTTTAAGTAGCAAAAAATTTCAGCGATGGCATTATTATAATTACTTTTAAAGCCAATAATTTGTGAATATGTATTTTAAGGGGAAGTTGAGAGGACAGTCAACTACAAATACAATCAAATGAAATGAGACCAACATTGTTCACTATTTGCTTATTTGGGAAAAATGAAGACCATGCTTAAGGAACATTATGACCTATATGAGGTAGATCTTCAGATAATGTAATAGAGGAAGATAATATTTGATATTTTTTAAGTTGATATCAATATTATTAATAATATTATCACCTAAAATATAAAATACCATTGGTGACTGATATGATTTGGCTGTGTTCCCACCCAAATCTCATCTTGAGTTGAAGCTCCCATAATCCCCATGTGTTGTGGGAGGGATCTAGTGGCAGGTAATTGAATCATGGGGGCAGGTTTTCTCATGCTGTTCTCATGATAGTGAATAAGTCTCACAAGATCTGATGGTTTTATAAAGATCACACTCTTGCCTGCTGCTATGTAAGACAGGCTTTTTGCTTCTCATTTGCCTTCTGCCATGATTGTTGAGGCCTCCCCAGCCATGTGGAACTGTGAGTCCGTTAAATCTCTTTCTTTTATAAATTACCCAGTCTTGGGTATGTCTTTATTAGCAGTGTGAGAATAGACTAATACAGCAATGATGTAATAGAACTGAGAGTCTATATTGAATTACATTAGTCAGAACTTGTTTGTTCAGTAGCTTGTTTCATTGCATGTAAAAATGTCTTATCTACAATAAGATGATAAACTGGAGAAAACACAGATATTTTAATAAAAAATTATGAACACAGTCAACTGGCAGCAAGTTGAATGCGAATAAAAAATATTTCATATTTATTATTCTGAATAAAAATATTTCATATTTATTATTCTGAATAAAAATAGATTCGAACCAAGTATATTTATGATTATGTTTTTATTCTAGTTATAGATCTAATGACAACATCAAAAACACTACTTCCTTTCCTAGTAAAAGTAGTAACTTGTGTTCCGTGTACATGCAGTGCTACTGCCATAAAAAATAACATACTTAAAAAGTGACTGCTTCATTCTCCAGAGGCCTATCAAAACATTTACCATGCCTGATGAAATAAACATTTTAGCTCTGATTCTTCAGAGCTGAAATAACTTCAATTCTTCCTTCCCTATATGTCACATCGCTACCTACAAGAAAAGAAAACAACAGGAGAACTCAAATGAAACTGTTTTCCTAAAATTTGTTAACACTAAATTCTTCATTGACTCATCTGTGAGGTTCTACTTGTACTCTAATTATCTGTAGCAGATAGGTGATTACGTACTAGCAAGAGATAACAATAAGATTATTTTTCTTACTACAATGATTAACTAAACTTAAAACATTATTTGGATTTCACAAGTTTTGCCATTAATGTCCTTTCTGTCCAGGATCCAGTCAAAGATAACACAACAGTGCTTTGAAAACTGCTTAAGTTTTAAAAATTGTGTTGCATCTTTTCTAGCCTTTTCTCCCATTTTGGTTATCCACTTGTTATTTCTGTTTTAAACTATATTAAACAAGTTCTAAATAGCATCCTTCCGATAAATTGTCACACCTTTGATAGCACTCAGCAAATCGTCCACAATCCGTGTCTCGCACTCTATTTCCGCCTTCAAAACTGTATTTTTTGTATGTTATAACGTACTTCTCTGTAAAAATCATCTCTTTTTAAAAAATGTACTCATCTGAAATTTATTTACAAAGCTATGTTAGCAGACTTTAACCTCTAAACTGAATTCTATTTACCTGTCTCCAATTTAAAAAAAATAAATCTCTTTTGCATGTTCCATCGATGTTTAAATTCAAACAATGTAACAAATTTTCCTCCTCCTAACACTAATCTCTTATTTCTATCAATGGATTAATTTCTCCAGTCATTCAAATTTAAAAACTTAAAGCATTTCTGATTTTAGCCTTTTATCTGCCTCACATATTAGCAAATCTTAAAATTCCATCATGTTCCTTAAAAAAATAAGTTTATTGCAATTTCTTAGATTTCTATTGACCCAAATAACTCATGACATTTTTAGCTTACTTCTACATATTTTAGAAGTCTCCCAACTTGCCTGCCTTTATCAAAATATTCTTCAATAATTCATCTACAATTTCCAGAATACTTATTGACGAATCTTACTGTCCAGGTTACTCCTTCAATTCTAAATATTGAGGATTTTCTCTTACTTATGGGGTAAAATCTGAATATTTAATACTGGCATTTAACTCCCACTTCCACAGGTTCTTACTTCAATTTACTGTACCACTGCTCCCCAGCTGTGTTCATCATTCTACTCTAGCTGGGATATTAATGCATTGAGGGTAAGATCTATGCTTGTTAGACATTGCCTTCTGGAATGGGGAAATTAAGACCTGAGTGAACCTGCTGCACCCCTAAAGGCAACAAAATTAGGCAAAATAATAAAAAGCAAGCATTTCAGAACTGTGGAAATCAATCCAGTTCACAGAATGAATGGAAAGCACCCATTCAAGAACTACTACTAAACCTCAGTCAGAATAGCATGGTCTGTGACATTTTAACTTGGGGATAGACCCATCCTGCCTTACTCCCCACATCAGAGGCATGGTAGGCATAAAAGCTAGCCCACTTACAGCCAAGCTCCCATTTGGAGCTTTGTTGAAAACCCCATTATCAGAGCACAGCCTAGAGTATGACAAGACAAAAGCGTTTCTGAAAAAAATCTTTATTCCCATGGCCTCATAATTATTTAGTTTGGGGTTCAGCTCTGCAAAACAAACAGCCAAAAGCCAATGAATAAAAAGCCTTTCCCCAGGACATTACTGAAAACAATAGTAATTTGTTGGTGACATCACAATAGCCCAAGACAGTGAGTGCAGTTGAGGTAGACAAAAGCCTGACCAAAAATGTAATAGAAACCACCAAGTTGTTTATCTTCTCTACAGTGTTGTCTTTTCCAGAATGTCATATGAATGAAATTGTGCACTCGGTAGCCTTTTCAGATTGACTTCTTTTACTCATTGATATGCATTTAAGATCCATCCATGCTTTTGTGTATCTTGATGATTCTCCTTTTTATTGCTGGATAGCACTCTATAGTATGGGTTGCTACAGTTTGTTTTAATTCATCTGTTAAAAGATATCTTGGGTCCTTCCAGGTTTGGCAATTATGAATAATGCTGCTATAAACACCTATGCATATGTGCAATTTTTGTGTGCACATGTGGTAAGGCTATGCTCATGTGCCTTTTGTAAGAAATTTTGTAAGAAATTACCAAATTCTCTTCAAAATACCTACATTGTTTTGTACCCCACCAGCAATGAATGCTACACATGCCCACATCCTGTTGCTACACATCCTTACTAGCAGTTGGTATTGCCTTTTTAAATTTCATATATTCTAACAGGTATGTAATGCCATCTCATTGTTTTTATTTGTACTTTTCTAATGACAAATGTTGTTGAGCATTTTACCATATGTTTATATGATTTTTCTACATCTTTTTTAAAGTAAGCTGTTTATTTAAATATATTGGTCACTCTTACTTGGGTTATTTAAACAGAATAAGGCCCTTAAATATGTTGACACCTGAATCACTGGAACATTAAATGACCTTGCAAATATGATTAAGTTAAGGCTTTTGAGATGGGAAGATTAACCTGGCTTATCTGAGTGGGCCCAATGTAATCATAAGGGATCGTAATAAAGGAAGGGAGGAAAATCAGAATCAGAGTAGATGTGATGTTGAAAGTAAAGGGTGGAGTCATGCAGGACTATAAGTAGCCTCTAGAAGCTCAAAAAGGGAAGGAAATAGCTTCTCCCCTAGAGCTTCCAGAAGGAATGCATACCTGCTGGCCATTTTTGAACTTGTGATCTCTCAAAATGTAAGATAAATTTTTATTGTTTTAAGTCACTGTCTTAGTTCATTTGTGTTGCTATAAAGAAATACTGGAGGCAGGGTAACTTATAAAGGAAATAGGTTTATTTGGCTCATGGTTCTGCAGGCTTGAGGGGCCTATAAGGGGCATGAGGCTGGCGTCATCTGCTTCCGGTAAGGGCCTCGGGTTGCTTCTACTCATGGTGAAAGGTAAAGGGGAGCCTGTGTGTGAAGAGATCACATGATAAGAGAGGAAGCTATTAACTACTAGAATGGCACCAAGCCATTCAGAGGGATTTGCCCTCAAAACCCAAACACCTGCCATTACACCCTACCTCCAACTTTGAAGATCAAATTTCAACATGGAGTTTGGCAGACAAACATCCAAACTATAGCAGTGACTAAGTTTTTGATAATTTGTTACAACAGAAACAAAAAAACTAGCACAAGTTATCTAATTTATCATTGTAGAGTCTTACAATTTCTTTGTATCTTCACAAGGTAGGATTTTTTTTTCTTAACAGTAGCTTTTTAATTTTAGTAAATGATATGATTTGGATCTGTCACCCAGTTTAAAGCTCATGTCAAATTGTAATTAATCCTCAGTATTGGAGGTGGGGCCTGGTAGGAGATGATTGGATCATGGGGGCAGAGTTCTCTTGAATAGTTTAGTACCATCCCCATTAGTACTGTATAAAGAATGATTTCTCATGAGATCTGGTTATTTAAAAGTGTGCAGCACCTTCCCCCCTCTTTCTTCCTCATGCTCTGGCCATGTAAGACATGCCTGCTTCCTCTTTGCCTTTTACCATGATTGTGAGTTTGTTGAGGCCTTTCCAGAAAGCCAAGCAGGAGCCACTATGCTTCTTCCTGTACAGACTGCAGAAATCTTTTTTCTTTAAAAATTTTCCAGTTTCAGGTATTTCTTTATAGCAATGCAAAAATAGACTAATACAGAAAAGTGCAACTCAAATTGACTATTTTTTTTCAAGGATCTTGACGGTGTATCTAAAAGTTATTTACCAAACCCAACCACATAGGTATTTTTCTTAATTTTTCATTCTAGAACTTTTATATTTTCACATTTCATTTAGTTCTATAATCCATTTTGACATAAAATTTGTGTAACATGTAAGATATAGGCCTAGGTTGATATCTTTGCATATGGAAATTCAATTGTTCCAGCATCATTTAGTGAAAAGACTTTCCTTTTACCTTTGAATTGCTTCCATGCCTTCATCAAAAAAATCAGTTGACTATATTTCTGTGAATCTATCTCTGAGCTCCCTATCTGTGAATCTATCTCTGAGCTCTCTGTTTTGTTCCATTGACCTAAGTGTCTATTTTTGCATCAATATGATACTCTCTTGATTACCATAGATTTGCAGTAAATGGTTGAAATAGGACAATGTGAGTCCTCCAACTTTGTTCTTCTGAAGTATTATGTTGGCTATGCTAAGTACTGTGCCTTTCTATATAACATTGAAAAGTAACTTGTCAATATTGACAAAGTCACTTTCTGGGATTTTGGCAGGTATTGTGTTAAATTTGTGCATCAGTTAGAGAAGAATTGACATTTTCATCATATGGTAATAATTATGAACACAGAGCATCACTCCACTTATTTACATCTTTTATTTGTTTTTTTAGTTTTATGAATAGGGAACTTAGACAATATTTTGTTAAATTTATGCCTAGATACTCCCTTTTTGGAAGTTATTGTAAATAGTTTTTTTTTTAGTTAAAAATGTCAATAGTTTAATACCTTATT
Source organism: Homo sapiens (assembly GCF_000001405.40). NCBI lineage: Eukaryota > Metazoa > Chordata > Mammalia > Primates > Hominidae > Homo > Homo sapiens. The sequence goes on along the minus strand of NC_000006.12, from coordinate 140,727,359 downwards.
GATAATATATAGGGAAATTTTTGAATATGGACTTATATTCCACAAACTTGCTTATTAATCCTGGGAGGCTTTTGTAGAGTATTTGGTGTTGTCTACATAGACAATTATTTCAACTGTATATAAGGCAGTTTCATTTCTTCCTTTCCAACTGTCTAGGTCTACTTTGGCTGTTATAAGAAAATACCACAGTCTGGGTGACTTATGAATAAAGGAAATTTATTTTTCATCAGTTCTGGGAAGTCCAAGATCAAAGACCCATTAGGCTCAGTGTCTGGTGAGGGTTCACATTCTCATAGATAGCCTTCTTCTCACTCTAACATTACATGGTGAAAGAAAAGGGATCTCTCTTGCACCTTTTTTATAAAGGCATGAAGATCTCAATTATGAGGGCTCCATACCCATGACTTAATCACCTCCCAAAGGATTTACCTCTCAAGGTTAATACTATCACCTTGGGAGTGATGACTTCAGCATTAGAATTTGGAGATATGAGGAGACACAAACATTCAGGTCATATCACCAAACTGTATATATTTAATTTCATTTTGTTATTGCACTAGCAAGAACTTCTAGAATGATGTTAAATTGGAATTATAAGGGAGGATGCTCTTGACTTATTCCTGATCTTAGAAGGAAAGTATCTAATCTGTCACTGAAACTGGCCCAATAGTCCCATAGATATGGATAAACATAGAAATTGACCACTGTGGTCTTAAAGCTTGAACCTTGCATTTGTTTTATATTAATTCCTTCCTCAGGAAATGATGTTCAGGCCTCTCACAAAAAGTATTAAAGAACTGAAACTCACCAGATCACCACATTCAGACAATGAAATGCTGGACCCCTATTCATCATGATTGCTTCCTTGACCTCCCTAGTTTCTGCTTTCTTACATATCATTATATTTTTTCCCTGCTACAAAAAACCATAGTTTTAGTAGGTCGGAGAAACGGATTTGAAACTGAGGCCCTATATCCTCAGCTGCAACAACCAATTAAGGCCTTCTTCCTTGGCATTACTCATTGTATTAGTGATTGGCTTTCTGTGCAACAACTGGCAGGACCTTGACCAAACCCCTGTTGTTTTGGTAACATCACCATTAACTATATTGTTAGCTCTAGTATTTTGTAGATGTTCATTATTAATTCAAAGAAGTTCCACTCTATTACTAATTGGCCAAAAATTTTTATCCTAAATGGGTGTTAGATTTTGTCAATGGGTGTTGCTTTTTGTGAGTCAATTGAAGTGGTCATATGTTATTCCTTCAACAGCCTGTAGATATAGTAGATTTTATGTATTAATTGTTTGTATTTTTAAATTTTTTAATTGAGTCAGCTGTGCATACATGAAATAAATCTCACTTGGTTGTGTAATAATTCACAGAATAAATTCCATTTGTATGAGATCAGTTGGAATACCCCATTTCTGGTTTCATTTCTGATACTGGTAATTTGTGTCTTCTTTGTTTTTTTTCTTGGTTAATCTGGCTAGACGCTTACCAATTTTATTGATATCTTCAAAAAAACAGCTTTTGACTTTATTGATTTTCTCTTTTGTTTTCTTCTTGTGAATTGGTTGATTTCAGCTCCAATACTTATTATTTAATGGCTTTTACTTGTTGTACAGTTAGTCTGCTATTCTTCCTCTACATTCCTAAGGTAGAAGCTTAGGCTATTGATTTTAAGTCTTTCTTTTGTTTAATATGTGCATTTAATGCTATGCATTTTCCTCTAAGCATTGATTTTGCTGCATCCTGCAATATTTACTAATATGTATTTTTGTTTAGTTCAAATTATTTTTATTTCTCTTGAAACTTCATTTTGATCTATGTGCTATTTACACGTGTATTTTTTGCTTTCAAATATTTAGGAATTTTCCATCTCTCTTTAGGTTATTAATTTCTACTTGCTTTATGGCCTGAGAACATACTTTGTAGGATTTCAATGTTTTAAATTTGTGAAGGTGTGTTTCATGGGTGGGTCTTCGATAAAGCACCATTTGACTGGTTAAAAGGCATCATTCAGAAGGAACCAATCGAGACAGAGAGTGAGTAAACGGGGAAAGGGATGGAACTTTTCACCGCAGTGGCAGACTCTGGAACTGGCAGTTTGGTTTTCTGGCTTTAAACTGTGCTCAGTTTGAAAGTTGAGTTTCACCAGGGACCCGTCCCTGTCTGCTTAGTAATTTGTCTGTCTCCTGTCGCTATCAGTTTCACAACTTCATATACTTACTAAAATGTATTGATTTGTACACTTGAAAAGAGTGAATTATATGATATGCAAAATATGACTGGGTAAAGTTATTTAAATAAAACAATTGGGAGGAGGAAGAAACTATTCTGTCAACTGAGAATACAAAGATGAATATGGCATACATAATCTCTGCCTTTATTAGCTTGCAATGTAGTAAGTCTAGTGTGTGAAACAGACATGCAGAAACCAGTACTACAAAAAAGTTGAAAAGAGAAAAGAATCTACCAATGAATTCTAGTGGAATTTTTTGTTTGAAACAAGGTTGAGTATTGGGATTGCACATCGTCTTGCTTGAGGAACTGAAAGAAGCTGTATCTTGTTGAACCTATAGTAGCATGTAGCATGCAGGGGGTTGTTAAAGGTGAAAGCCAACTGACAATTTTGAAACAGAAAAGCATCTTTTTTGCAGTGTGTATAATAGATTAATTCATGAGTAAAATGACAATTAACTGAGCTAAGATAATGAAAGGGAGCCGCTTAACTGGAAATAGGAATTCAGTGATATTTAAGATGTACACTTGCCCTGATTTAGCATGAAGTGACTTGATAATTGCCTAAAAGTAAATTCAAGGAATTTTGTCATGTTCAAATATCTAAAGCAGGATGAGTCTAGACAAAAAATTATATTTGCAATAGTGCTTATTTTAAGTTAGGATTTGAGGATAAAAGTTTGTACTAAAAGTGTAAATATGCCATTATACTTTGCAGTTGAGGTCACCATGCTTTCTAAATTACAGTGATGGATGATGTTCCTTAGAAGTAGAGAGTTGTGAATGAATAGTGTATTTTCCACAGAAAAACTTCTACCAATCAACACTTAAGTGTAAGCTACTTGAAGTCGGAGAATTTTGTCTGTTTTGTTTACTTTTGTATCCCTAGCCCAAGACCGTTGCCTGTATACATAACAGGCACAAAATATATATTTGTTGAATAAACGAATGTACACAAAGAAGAAAAGTCTTTTAAGAAAGAACATGTTTGTCACCAAAGGAATCAATTTTGAAGCAATTCTTTCAACTGAGATGATATTACAATATTGAAAATATATTTCTCAGGAATTTGCAACAGAGTTAATCAGAGGCGGTTGTTCCAATTTACTTTGGACCCAAGCACAATGAATTAGATATAAAGAACTAGAAACTTACGTCCCTCTTTAAGAGCAAACCAAAAAGAATTTAAGAGATAACATATCTTCATATCATTTACAGAAACAGAATGACTCTTGTAATTGTAGTGATGAAGTCAAATAATTTGTAAGACTTTGTGAAGTAATGTTTCATGCCCTATGAATAAAGCACTTGGGCAGCAACGGTGTCATTGCCTGAAGGCAACTACCTCATTTCAAATCCAGGGAGCAGGAGTGTGAAGATTTCCTCCATCTAACCTGCCCATGCTTATCACCATGTTTTATTGTTACAATTCTCATGATGATTTATTGAGACTTGCTATGGACCAGGAACTATCTTAATTGCTCTCTGCCATTATCTAACATAATCACAGCAACAATCTGAGTTGTTGTGCAGATGAGGAAATTGAAAATTTAGACACATTAAGTACAACGATATAAACTCCAAGATAGCAGAGCTTTTGTCTACTTTATTCGGGGCTAAATTCCCATTGCTACTTTGTAGGTGCCTGTCATGGGCTTAATTGCATCCCTGCAAAATTCATATGTTGAAGCCCTTTCCCTCAGCACCTCAGAATGCCACTGTACAGGTTGAGCATCTCTAATCTGAAGCTCTGAAACCCAAAATGCTCCAAAATCCAAAACTTTTTGAAGGCTGACATGATGCCACAAGTGGAAAACTCTACACCTCACCTCATGTGATGGGTTTCAGTAAAATGCAGTCAAAACTGTGTTTTCTATGCTAAATTATGTAAAATATTGTATAAAATTACCTTTAGGTTATGTTTATATGGTGTTTATGAAACATACATGAATTTCATATTTAGTATGGTCTCATCCCTTAAGATATCTCATTTTGTGTATAAAAATATTCCAAAATCTGAAATCAGAAATCTGCAACACTTCTAGTCCCAAGCATTTCAATCTGTATTGGGAGATAGGGTCTTTAAAGGGGTGATTAGGATAGAATGAGGCCATTAGGGTGGGCCTTAACCCAATTTGATGATGTTCTTAAAAGAAGAGAAAATTTGGACACACAGAAAGACACACACGTGTGTGTGTGCGCACAGAGAGACAACAGGATGTGCACACACAGACCAAAGACTATGTGAGGGCATAGAGAGATGGCAGCCAAGGAGAGCGGCTCTCAGTAGAAACCAACCTTGCTGGTATCTTAATCTCGAACTTCTGGCCTTGAGAACTGTGAAAAATAAATTTCTCTTTTTTAAGCCACCCAATTGGTGGTACTTCTTTAAGGCAGCCCTAGCAAAACGAGCTAATACAGTGCCCACAATATATTTTGTAAAAAGTAAATATTGTGTTAAAGATCATAAAATCTGAAGTCTAGCATGTCTGCAGTCAGTCTGCAGTCAATTTGTTGCAATCATAACGAGAAACTTGTGGCTTGTAGGAGCTAATCTTTTATACTCCTGTGACAGCCAGATTCTATAAGCAAATTCCAAATTAGATACCTTCAGTTCAAGGTTCTTTTGCCATGGAAATGTTTCCATTTTCAATTTATAAAAGATGAATTTTTCTGTAGTGTAGGTGTTTGAAACAATCTTTTCATGATGTTGAGAATTGATCATGGAGCCTATTTCAAGATACATATTGAAGAAAATGTAGCATTTATCCTTCAGAGCACCCAAGAACTAAAGAATATTCTCTCCAGGTTAGACATAGTGGCTCACACCTGTAATCCCAACACTTTGGGAGGCTGAGGTAGGAGGATCTCTTGAGGCCAGGAGTTCAAGAACAGCCTGGGCAACATAGTCCGAGCTAATTTTTGAATATTTTGTAGAGACAAGGTCGTAACTACTCAGGAGACTGAGGTGGGAGGATTGCTTGAGCCCCGGAATTTGAGGTTACAGTAAGGTATGATCGCACCACTGCACTCCAGCCTAGGTAACAGAGTGAGACCCTGACTGTAAAAAAGAAAAAAAGAATATTCCATCCAACCAAAGAAATCAGCAGGCAAAATAAAGATAAAATTAAACCAAATCCAATATAAATAGGTCCATAGAAAATTAAACAGAAACATTGTATGCAGATATACAGCACCAATACAACTGAAATGTTGAGACACTTTCTGAATAACGGAATTTACATATTTTTAAATATTTAAGAAAATAAAGTATTAGCATCATTTTTATTTCTCCGATTGAATCCAAATGTCAAAGACCAGAAGATTTGGTGAGCCAGATATCATTTTGGACTTTGCAGATATATTTTATGGTTTATTAGCAGATTTACTTGATGTGGGCCACAGAATTACCTTTAATTGTTGAGAGTATGAGTACAGTAGAATAATTCAACTAAAGAACACTGGGAAGAAAATAACTAAGTTTATAGAGGCAGAGGCAGGTGTAGTTGAAGAAGCTACACAGGTAGGCCCAGATGACGGACATATTCAGAATACATGAAATAAAATACCATAAGAAAGAATGCAATGGCATTGTCTGAATTTATTCCTAAACTACAGATGGTCCTCTATTTAGGATGGCTCAATTTAAAAATTTTCAAGTTTACGTTTATTGTGAATGTGATCCCACCATAAATCAAGGAGCTCCTTATGCCTGAAAATGGGGTTACACTTTCTACTGAATGCTTATTGCTTTTGGGCCATTTTAAAGTCAAAAAGTTATAAGTAGAACCCTTCTAACTCAGGGTCTACCTGCTGTGTTGCCAGCATTAAATGCATTTTCTTTATCTTTTCTTTGAGACAGGGTCTCACTTTGTCACCCAGGCTGAAGTCCAGTGGCAGGATCATGGCTCATAGCAGCCTCAACCTTCCCTGCTCAAGCGATCCTCCCACCTCATCCTCCCAAGTAGCAGGGCCCTCAGGTGCGTGCCATCATGTCCATCTATTTTTTAAAATTTTTTGTAGAGAAGGGATCCCTCTGTATTGCCCAGGTTGGTCTCAAACACCTGGGCTCAAGCAATTCTCCTGCCTCTACCTCCCAAAGTGCTGAGGTTACAGGCATGAGCCACTGCACCTGACCTAAATGCATTTCTTTCCATTTATGATATTTTCAATGTAAAAAGAGTGTATCAGGAGGTAGCCCATTGTCAGTCAAGAAGCATCTGTAGTAGATTTGACTTTTTTTCCACATGAAGAACTAAAGCTTAACTCAAATATTCCGTAGGAGAAGGCTGCAGGTCATAGTCAATATTTATTCTCAGTTGTGAACTGCAATCACACTTTCAGTTCTGCATTCATTTCGTCTCAGGGATTTCCTACAGGGAAAGTATTTAATGGTAATTGTGTAGGTCCTTGCAAATCTAAATAACTTCTTTAATATGACAACTGAATAGAACTTAATTAGGTAACAAGGATCTTTTCCTAAAAAATCCATTCTGTTGCTTTAAGAGATTATAATACAATATATTAAAGACATTTATGACCAATAAAATATGTCACTGATGAATCTGTGTCTGTGTGTGTGTATGTGTGCATGTGTGTGTCTCTTAATCTCTGTTAGCAGTCTACCTGTTCTGATGAGCTGGAGCAGTCTTGCGACTCCTATAAATAGACAGCTTGCCAAAACTTTTGATTATATTATTAGCAATTAGATAGATAACAACTGATCAGCATTCACTATTCTAATTGCACTGCATTTGGGTTCTTCAAAGCTCCCTGCAATTTTGTCTTTTGATAGTGAAAAACAAAAAAACACAAACTCTAGTACTTTTATTTTGTATAATTTTGCCAAAATTATGATTTAATAATAATAGAATTTTCAATAGTGAGGCAATTTTCCTATTTTTATCCCAAAGTCACATCAAATGAACCTGAGTCCATGATGAATGTCTACATTAAAGCTATCATTGCTAATAGTATTCCATATCATTTGTCTTTGGTTCCGTGGGACCAAATTACAATCACCACATGACTGTAGCTTATCTTGTGATTAATGATGGTTTTACTAAGTCACTGACAGTGAAGCTTCTGGGAGGAAAATGGTAATATGGTTTGAAATTTTAAATTGCACATTTAAAAAATCATTACCTGGTTTTCAAAGAGATGGTTAATTTGTTCATGATGGGGGGTAAAAATCCAGGCCGTTAGCCACTAAAGAGAAGAATTTCTCAAGTTAATTATTCCAACTTTTAAAGGTTGTAAGGTGCTATAAATAACAAAACATTTCCAGAAGAGGTGCAAACATCTCTTAGAAAAGATGCAAAGTTTTTCAGATAAATAAAAATATAATATGCAAAAAAATACTAAGACTCAAAAAAAAAACAACAGAAAATAAGGTTGGGTGAAATATTGAAGAGTATTCTGTGTGATATATTGTAGATTCAGAAAACTGCTCTGCATCATTTCCCTGAGAGTCATCAGTGCACGTCTAAGTCATTAGTGAAAGAATATTATTAACATCCATTGGACTTTTGATGTTTTCCTCTAAATTACCTCAGCTTCAAAACTAATATGAACTTACATTATTACTTCTGGGTCTAATTGGCATTGGTTCGGTTTAAGCAAAGAGAGATTTTAAAATCCATTTTGCTTTAGGAAAGAGGTGGCCACTATTAGGGAATTTGCTTTTATTGTAACTTTATCTATTTTTCTACATAAAATTCAAAACCTTGTTTTGCAAAAGTAGCTTCAGTTAAGTTCCATAATAATAGACTATTTGCAACTCAAATGTACATAAAATAATCTCAAAACTCTGATTAGTCATAAATGGCTTTTTTGTCCTATAGTTTGGTAAAAATAGAACAGTGAATCTGAAACTTCATTTCTATCCCTTCTACAAGTCAATTGACCATATCTTCTATGATTGAAATGGTCAAAATATGTCCATCTTTCAAAAGCCCATAATCATCCAAGTGACTGCAGCAGTAACAATGCCAGCTTGGATTGTTATTTTATTTCTGTGCTTTTCATGCTAGGTTAGCTGCAGAAAAATATTTTTTTTGGTAGTGTGTTGATTCTCTATGGGTACTTGGGCTGAAATAGTTCATCTAATGCTTGATATGGTATTGTCTCAAATAATGTGAGTATCCAAAAATTGATAATCTCTTGACATTATTATTCTCTATGCAACAGGGTGTATGATGGTGACTTCTGTTTCTAGTAAGAATCATCAAAATGTTGGGGCTGTATTGCTAAATCTGGGCAAGTGATCAATCCTACTTGGGCTCACTCTGTTGTTTAGAAGACTAATTATTGTAGCAATATTAAATGATTTTATTGTGCTAAGAGAGCTTAATGGAGACTGTTAAACATTTATTGGAAACATACTTGCCTCTATGAACCTCTAAAACAAGGATATTACTGCATTTTAACCATTTATTTCTTAGTAATGATGCTGACATTAATTTTTGATGCTTATAAAGCTATTTGATTTTCTTAATTAATATAATCTTTTAATGTACTGTTCCAAATAAATAAGGAAGATGGAGTTAATGATATAGACCATATGAGTGGTGACAAATGACTCATGCCATATTTTTTAAAAAGACCAAGTTAATGAGACATTAGAGGCAATTACTCAAAAAAGTAAAATTATTCAAAAATGTAAAAGAAAGAGAAGAAACTACATTTCTTGAAGAACAGTCTTTGGTATGACTGCATAAGAAGCCTTTTGGACTCACCTCCTAGTGAAGTTAGTGAAAATTATTATTTAATAAAAGCACCAATTAAAATGTCTAGGAATGGTGTTCAGGGCACATAGCCAATGAAGAAGTATCTATTCAAGGACATCTACTAACATTCACTAACAGTCAAGTCTATGGTATTTGAACTTAGATTGCTTCCTCCCTATCCCATCCCAGCTCAGTCAGCCAGAAATTCCACCACAGACTGATGCAGCAAAGAACTCAGGGGCCCCTCTCTCCCACCTCCCAGTAGGAGGACTACCTTCCTAGGACAGTCAGGCTGTCAACATTTCTTATCCTGCCCTACATGTAGCTGAGTCCTAGTTCTGGGTAAGAGGTTGCTCTGGCTCCCTTTTTCTGTCCAGATCCCACGGGTGGAAGGAAGCTCTATCTTGAACTTTGCACTACTGAGAATTCTCAGTCTCTAATGACCATTTCCCAGGCTCATAAGGCAGTGGCTCCATTCCCCAGATGCAAGCTGAGAAGACCTGATGCTACTGCCTCTCTCCCCTGCTACATCTAGCACTTAGTTCCTAGAGCAGGGATGTCACTCAGAGAGATATGCACCATTGTCCCTAACCCCAGCTCCAGAGATATGAACCAATAATTTTACTAAAGCCTGGTGCCTGGTAGAGTGGGTGGTGAGTGTAAGAGGTGGGAAGGGAGAAGAAAGTCATAAAACAAACAGCTTCTGATCTCTTCCAAAAGTAACAAACTCCACTTGCAATAGTATGTGGAGAAATCAAAGCCTAAGTGTGCCTTCTAAAGCAATGGAAGTTGTGGTGAAAGAAGATTGGAAAGTGATTTATGAATTCACTAAAAATAAAGGCTAAATTATTGGCTGCCTCATTTGCCAGAGAACCTTCTTGGGATCAGACTAAATCTCAAATACTAATCACCATAACTATTTTTTGAAAGTTTCTTTATAGAAACTTCATTTGATTGTATTAGAATACAGAGGAGTCTATGTCCCTGGAACACTGAGCCAGCAGTTAGTAGGATGTGGCCAGAGAAAGAGACAGTTAAAGAAAAGAAAACCCTGAAAAAACAATTATCATCCCAAAGTGGCTCTGGGTGCCCAATGACAGTAACATCAAAGGCCTATTATTGAGAGAGTAGAACAGACTTCACTAAAATAATCTAATGAGTTCCTAAACAAACAAGCAAATACAAATAACAAGTGGCAGGTGGGGGAACATGAAGAGGTAGTACTTACAGTTGCTATATCATCTAAAATGTCCACTTTCCAACAAAATTTATGAGATAGCCAAAGAAATAAAGTATGACCCATAAACTGAAAAATGTAAACACAACCGAAACTGCCTGTGAATGACTAGATGTAGTATTTATCATAAAAAGACTTCAAGCAGGCATTATAAACATATTCAATAAATAAAGAAAAATGTGATTAAATAAGTAAAGTATGATGACAATTATTCCTCAAGCAAAGAATATAAAGACATATAAATTATCTTAAAAAGAACAAAATGGATATTCTGCAGTTAAAAACTGTAATAACTGAAATAAAAAATTCACAATAGGGCTTAACTACAGAATTGAACTGGCAGGAATAAGAATTAGTGAACTTGAAAACAAGAAAATAAGAATCATGCAATTTGAAGAAGGAAAATATGAAGAAAACTCAACAAAGATTCAGAAAAAATGGGAGATACTAGTAACACAACAAAATATGCATAATAGGACTAACAGAACTAGAGGAGAGAAAAGAAGAGATCAAAATATTCAAAGTGGTGATAGCTGAAAACTCCAGAAATTTATTACAAAACAATGATCTGCACATCCAAGAATCTCAATAAACTCTACATAAGATAAATACAAACAAATTCACAAATAAAAACATCAAAATAAAACTACTGAAAGCCAAAGACAAGGACAAAATTTTGAAAGCAATAAATGAAAACTGACCTCTCACAAGGGAACCACAATAAAATTATTTAGAGTTTACTTATCAGAAACTATGAAGACTAGAAAGCAATGGGTTAACACGCAAAGTGCCCAAAAGTTAAAAAAAATTTTTTTAAAAACAACCCAAAATACTATATGCAGCAAAACTATATTTCAAAAATGAAGGTAAAAGAAACACTTTCGGCCAGGTGCAGTGGCTCACGCCTGTAATCCCAGCACTTTGGGAGGCCAAAGCGGGTGGATCATGAGGTCAGGAGATTGAGACCATCCTGGCTAACACAATGAAACCCCATCTCTACCCAAAATACAAAAAATTAGCCGGGCGTGGTGGCAGGCCTCTGTAGTCCCAGCTACTGGGGAGGCTGAGGCAGGAGAATGGCGTGAACCCAGGAGGTGGAGCTTGAAGCAAGCCGAGATGGTGCCACTGCACTCCAGCCTGGGGGACAGAGCGAGAGTCTGTCTCAAAAACAAACAAACAAACAAAAAAGAAACACTTTCCCAGATAGATAAAAACAGAGAATTTGATACTAGCTGACCCATCTTAAATATTAAAGAAAATACTTCAGGCCAAAATTAAGTATGAGAGGACTTCAAAATGTTCGTGAAAATGCATATTATGAAAGAAACAGTGCATAGATTTCATTTTTTTCCACAAAATAAACTCGTACTAACTTTTTATAACATATCTGAACAGGATCAAGTTCGAGGAACTAAGAAAAATAAGATATTAGTTTGAAAAAAAGCACCTATCAGAGCAATATATTTTCTGTCAAAATTGAAGCAAGAAAAAAACATCAAATTAATATGAAGCTTGAGTGGAAGAATAATGAAATCCTTGATATTTTACAAAAAGTTTATGAAGACAATGTCTCAAAGAAATCAACAGTTTACAAATGGATAACTTATTTTAAGAAACAACAAGATGACATTGAAGAAAAAGCCCACATAGACAGACATCCACCTTTACTTGGGAGAAAAAACTACGTCTTGTTCTTGCCCTAATTGAAAAGAATCAATGATTAACAGCAGAAATAGCCAACACCTTAAACATCTCAATTGGTTCACATTACACAATTTTCATTAAAAAAATAGAGTTGAGCAAATTTTCCACTTGATGATTACCAAAACCACCCAGATCAGCTTCAGACAAGAGTAGGGCATCAACAGAAATTATAAAAAAGTGACATCAAATTATGAAGCACGTCTTCAAAGAATTGCAACAGAAAGTGAAACGTGGCTTTACCAGTATAATTCTGAAGACAAAACACAAAGTATTCGAAAAAACAAGCAAACAAAAAAAACAACAAATGGAAGTCATGCAGTCAAAGCAAAAGCATACCAGTCAAGAGAAAAGATCATGGCAAGAGTTTTTAGGGATGCTCAAGACGATTTGCTTGTTGAATTCCTGTATGGACAAAGAATGATAACGTCTGCTTATTTTGAGAATGTTCTGAGAAAGTTAGACAAAACTTTAGCAAACAATGTGCGGGAAATCTTCACTAGAGAATTCTTCACAACTACAAATGGTCCAGCTCCTTTCTCTCATCAAAAAAGTCAATTTTGTGAAAGTTTCAATGGGAAATCATTAGGAATGCACCATACATTTCTGATTTGATTTCTTCTGATTTCCTTTTATTTCCTAGTCTTAAAAAAAAATCTGTAAAGGGTATGTAGTTTTCTTCAGTAACATAACATAAAAAAGATGACATTGACATGGTTAAATTCCCAGGACCCTCAGTTCTTTAGGGATGTACTAAATGGCTAGCATCATCACTTACAAAATTGTCTTTCATTTGATGACATTTATGTTGAGAAATAAAGTTTTATATTCTTATCTTTTACTTCTGTCTTTCCAGCAATTTTTTGAAATGCTCTTGTATTTTGAATGCTTGTACAAATAAATAGCACCAGAAAAGGTAATTATGTAATTATAAAAGACAGTATACACTTGTATGTTTATTCTTTATTCTCTTAATTTATTTAAAAAGCAATTAAATAAAACAATAGGATATAATATGTCTTTGTGCCTGTATCATACAGAAATGAGACACATTTGCCAATAATAGCAAAAAGGTGACGAGTAAAAGGAAGTTTTAAATTAAGAATATGACCCCAGATAGTAACTGGAATACACAGAATGAACAAAGAGAACCAGAAATGATAAAAAGAATGTTAATATAACTAAAGTTATATAAAAAGTGTCATTCTTCTTTAAAACATTTTTATTAATTACCCATACTCATTGAATATAAGGTAAAACTTAATTATTGGTTTCATTTGCAATATAGACATTGCTTTGGGAAGAGTAGTGGATAAATTAGCCCAAATTAATGATATTTAAAAGAATTATTCATTTTCTTAAATATTAAATAAGTCATTAAAATATTATTTTAAATGTTGATTAAACAGACTTCTCTTGTTATATTAGAATAGTCACTATAAGTTAAAAGAAAACAGCTTTAAATTGCATTTGTGAAAATCAACAAATTGAAACAAGCCTTTAAACAAGAGATTTTGACTTAACAAAATAGCTAACATCTATTTGGTACTAGGCTTAGTACCACAAATTGAAACAAGCCTTTAAACAAGAGATTTTGACTTAACAAAATAGTTAGCATCTATTGGGTACTGGACTTAGTCCCACAAATTAAAACAAGCCTTTAAACAAGAGATTTTGACTTAACAAAATAGCTAACATCTAGTGGGTACTAGGCATAGTACCTGAGTGATAAAACAATCTGTACAATGAACCCCTGGGACATGACTTTATCTATATAACAAACCTACATATGTACACTCAAACCTAAACGTTTTAAAACAAGATGTACAGAAAGAAAAAAAACTGTCTAACATATAAACCAAGATTATTTTGTGATTATTTCACCTTTCTAAGTCTTACAGATTTTAGCAGACTAATTCTAGTTTGAAGCCTTTCAGATATATATATATCTGAAATATATATAAATATATATATCTGAAATATATATAAATATATATCTGAAATGTATATATGAATATATATATCTGAAATGTATATATGAATATATATCTGAAATGTATATATAAATACATATATCTGAAATGTATATATAAATACATATATCAGAAATGTATACAAATACATATATCTCAAACATATATAAACATACATATATCTCAAATATATATAAACATACATATATCTGAAATATATATACATATATCTGAAATATATATATAAATATACATATATCTGAAATATATATATAAATATACATATAACTGAAATATATATACATATATCTGAAAGATATATAAATATACATATATCTGAAATATATAATATATATCTGAAATATATATAATATATATCTGAAATATATAAATATATATGAATATATGAAATCTATATAAATATATGTATGAAATCTATATAAATATATGTATGAAATCTATATAAATATATGTATATATGAAATCTATATAAATATATGTATATATGAAATCTATATAAATATATGTATATATATGAAATCTATATAAATATATGTATATATATGAAATCTATATAAATATATGTATATATGTGAAATCTATATAAATATATGTATATATGTGAAATATATATAAATATATATCAGGCATATATATACATATAAAAATATAAATATATATTTATACATAAATATATAATTTATATGTATATAAATTTTATTTATATAATTAAAAATTATATAAAATTATAAATTATATAAATATATAATTATAAATTATATAAATTCTATTCATATAATTATATTCATATAAATTCTATTCATATAATTATATTCATATAAATTCTATTCATATAAATTATATTCATATAAATTGTATTCATATAAATTATATTCATAATTTTATTTATATAAATTATATTCATATAATTTTATTTATATAAATTATATTCATATAATTTTATTTATATAAATTATATTCATATAATTTTATTTATATAAATTATATTTATATTTTATATTGATATATAATTTATATAAATTATATTTATATTTTATATTGATATATAATTTATATAAATTATATTTATATTTTATATTGATATATAAATTATATTTATATTTTATATTGATATATAAATATATGTTACATATTATATGTATATATAAATATATATTTATTATATATAAATTTATATATTTATATATTTATAATATATTATATATAATAACTATTATATATATAAATTATTATATATAGATATAATAATTTATATATAAATATAATAATTTATATATAAATATAATTATTTATATATAAATATAATTATATTTATATATAAATAATTATATTTATATATCAGGCATATATATATATTTATATATATTTCAGATATATATATATGCCATAATTAGCATTTACTGATCTCAACATTAAATGAATGATGGCAAGAATTTATCTTTCACATATGCAAATTTGACATTACAAAAGTAATTAAGAAGAGTGAGAAAATTTGGATATTGTCATAGAGTCATTTAGCTCATTGTTTCGCCCCTAAGCAGAGTTATTAAACTATTTCACAAATATGGAAATATATAACATTTTAAATCACATCTAAGAAAAGAGTCCCTGGGAAACACTTTCCAATTTTTAATCCTTTATAACAAAAGAAATAAGTTTAACATGACCTAAATAAGTCTATCACTGAAGTATTTTTAGTTCATATAGAAAAGGTTTCTTGATATTATAATCTATTCATTACACTTCAATACTATTTTCCCAAGAATGAGAGGTCAGAATCTCAAGGTATAGTTTTCATTGTGAAGTATAATTACTGAAATAATTTTATAGTCTGTCTCTCGGAAGTTCAAAGTAGAAAAAGCAGTAAGAGGAGAAACGGAATCTTAAGAAAGACTAGACATTTTTCATTGTCTTTTTAAATCATCAGAGTTGTAATTAGCAGTTACACTAGATCTCATATATGAAACATCTTTTATACTTTGTAGATGCTTGATATGTTTGATGAGGAGGAAGATAATATCTCACTTCCTCATTTTGAAAGCAATGAAGTAAAACGGAGAATGAAGAATAACCATAATTGAGTTAAAATTATCTCCACCAAGATTCTCTTAGGCAGATGTCCTACACAACCTTTATGTTGAAATGTCAATATTCAACTATGGGTCAGTCTTAAAATTTCATTGTTCTTTATTTTGGCATCTAAAAGTCATCTGCAACAGATGTGACTCATAGGAATATAAGGAAACCCGTGTCACAGGAGAGAATGAATATGTCACCCCTAAGTGTGGGATAGTCCATATCTCTTCTCTCTGTATTCCTTTTAAACCTGTTCTTTTCTTCTATTTTTCCTCTCATTCTGACTTTAATATATCTTTTAATCACTGATCTCCTTTTCCTGAATGCTTAACTAAATAAGCTGTATAAGAGGAATGTGTTTGTGTCATATGTCTATGAAATCAAATAGACACTTGAGCCAGCTGCTTTCCTTATGTTAGTCTCAGTCTCTGCCTTTTCATTTAATTAGTGATGTCTTTCCAATAAGATAAGTATTTTAGTGAAATATCATTTATCAATTTTTTTCTTTTATAATTTTTCCTCTCACTGCCCTGTTTAAGAAAGGTACCCCAAGGTCATAAAGATTTTTTTCTGTTTCATCTAGAGTTTTAGAGTGTGTGTGTGTGTGTGTGTGTGCGTGCGTGTGTCTGTGTGTGTGTGTGTGTGTGTGTGCATCTCCACTTTGAGTTAATATGGGGGTATATGATCCTTTAAGCATCAAGGTTCATTATTTCACCATATAGACATATATATCTCCTACTATCATTAGTTGAAAAGACTGACTTCTCTTTATTCAGTTATTTCAGCACCTGCTTTTAAACATCAATCAACCATTCTGGGTTTGATCTGCATTTTCCTGATGACAAGTGACACTGATGTTAAGCATTTTTTCATATACCTGTTGGGCATTTGTACATCTTCTTTGGGGAAATGTCTGTTCAAGTCCCTACCTCATTTTTTAATTGTGTTATTAGTTTTTTCTATTGAATTGTAGAAGTTCTTTATATATTTTGGAGATTAGTCCCTTATAAGATTTATGGTTTGCAAATATATTCTTTTATTCTATATTTTATTGTATAGGTGGTCTTTTCACTCTGTAGATAACATTTCACACCTGTCAGGATGTTCATTATCAAAAATACAAAAAACAAGTGTCATTGAGGATGTAAAAATATTGGAACTCTTGCACACTGTTAGTGGAAATGCAAAAATGGTGCAGCTACTATGGAAAACAGTATAAAGGTTCATTATCACTCTCATGTTCATTATAGTCAAAATGTAGAAACAACATAAATGTCCACCAGCAGATGAAGGGATAAAGAAAATGTGGTATATACATAAAAGGAAATACTACTTAGATGTGAAAAAGGAGATTCTGCAATAGGCAACAACATGGATAAACCTGGAGGACATTATGCTAAGTGACATAAGTCAGTCACATAAAGACAAATACTGCATGATTCCACTTACATAAAGTGTCTAAAATAGTCAAGTTCATAGAATCAAAGAATGGAATGGTAATTTTCAGGGGTTGTGTTAAGGGGGAAGTGGGGAGTTATTATCAATAGGTATAATGCTTCAGTTAGGCAAGATGAATAAGCTCCACAGATCTGCTGTACAATGTTGCGTGTACAGTCAACAAGACACTGTAAACTTAAACATTTGTTAAGAGGGTAACATTTGTTACATCTTATGTTAAGTATTCTTACTACAATAAAATAAAATTTTGGAAAATCAGTTGACCATCGTATGTGGGCATATTACTGAATTCTCTATTCTGATGCATTGATACATTTATCTATCCTCATTTCAAAATCATTGTATTGACTACTGTAACTTGATAATAAATCTTGAAATAATGGGCTGGAATTTCTCCAGCTTTGTATATCTTTTCCAAATTATTCATTTTAACGTTTTTATCTGCTAATCCCACTGTCTCTTCCATTTCTGAGATTTATTTCCTCCTAGTTATTGCTCACATTTTTCTGCTTTATTTCATGTCTAGTTTTTTGTTTGGATACTGAACTTACTGATTTTTACATTGTTCAGTATCTGGATTTAGTTCCCTAACTTCATGAATATTGAGGTTTGTTGGTTGGTTTATTTATTTATTTATGAGACAAAGTTTCATTCTTGTTGCCCAGGCTGGAGTGCAGTGGAGTGATCTTGGTTCACGGCAACCTCCATCTCCCAGGTTCAAGTGATTATCTTGCCTCAGCCTCCCTAGTAGCTGGAATTACAGGCATGCACCCTCACCACGCCTGTCTAATTTTGTATTTTTAGTAGAGATGGGGTTTTACCATGTTGGTCAGGTTGGTCTGGAACTCTTGACCTCAGGTGATGCACCCGCCTTGGCCTCCCAGAGTGCTGAGATTACAGGCATGAGCCGCTGTGCCTGGCCAAGATATATTTAGTCAGGTCATTCAGTTACTTTAATAAGCTTGGTCCTTTAGAGGCTTGTTTCTAATTTTTGTTGTCATGAGTCTAAAGTAGCCATTACTATGGGACTAGTTTAGTCCTGTAACTTCTTTTTTTCTTCCCTTCTGGGTCATTTGTTGGATGTCCTGTGTGTTCCACAAGCTCTCTCCACTTTGTTGCTATCTCCAATATCTCCCAGCTATGTATTATCTCTAATAATGCTTTAGCTTACAGATCTCTAGTAGTTATTTCTTGCTCTTTTTGGGATAGTCTTACTGTGCAAGAGGAGCTTCGATATTTGGCAAAAGAGTCAAGAAGACTTAAATGCAGATTTAAAGAGCTTTTTATCTATATAGCTTCTTATTGAGACACTGGCTTACAAATTCCAGCTGTCACAGCATTCCTAAACCCTAATTTTTTTTTTCTCAGCTCAGTGAAACCATTGTGCTTTGTGTTTGCTTTTCATGTGTAAAGGTTCAGAAAATTTCTCCAGACAGAATATCAGGCATTTCCTCTCCTCTCAAGAGTTACAATCCTTCATTGCCCATGATCTGGTGTGAGAAAATGTTTGTTTATATTTGTTGTTTTGTTTTATTTGTTTTCTACTTGCCTATAGTGGGAAGACAAATATAGTGCCAGCTACCTCATCAAGGCCAGAAGTGAAAATCTCTCCAATTTATTTTACAAGGATAGCATAACACTGCCAAAGCCAAAAAGCAGAGCATAAGAATAAATCAGAGCTCAATTTTACTTATGAATAGGAGGTCAATGATCTTAAATAAATTAGTGTCAAATTGATTCCTGCAACACATTAAAGAATAATGCCCTAGAACCAAACAAAATTTGTTTCAGGGTTTCCATAATGATACAATGTTCTGGAAGCTTAACATCATGTACAGAGGTCAAAGAAGAAAATCCTTTTAGTTATCATAGTAGGACCCAATAAATCCTCAGTGTGCAGCTAGCAAAAATAAAGCTCTAACATAATAAAGCATATCCTTTTCAAATGCAAAGTTAGTATCAAAAAATAATGAACTGAATTATAGAATAATTTGTAATAAATATACAAGGAATATAGAAATGCTTGATATCAATATGAATATTTAATATTTGACCAGCACTCAGAACCAAGGTAGTTTTAGAAATTAAACTGTTTTGAATTTTCCACCAACTGGTATTTTACTAATATTATAAGTATAATTTTCTATATATTTGCCAATCTATTGGACTGTTCTTTCCTTTTGACTGTTTACTACCTGCTACCCCCCATTAAAACTCAAAAGGGAAAGAATATGATTTTTTATTGTTACAAATATAAGCAAGATAGGATTTCAGAAAGCCCAAAGATTGGTTGCACTGAATTGTGAAAATTACATGTTACTCCTTAAGAAAGATTATGTAATTTTCCAACAGGGAGGGTTATGAGTCAAGTTGGCAAATTTTCCCTTGCTGTGGAAAGATGGGAAAGGGTGGCCCCATGATCAATATATGTAGTACAAAGCTTCAAGAAATGTAATATGGCAAGAAAAAGAAACACGTTATATCACTGTAAATAATAATCATTGCCTTTAAGACTATCCATGGAAAATTGTATAAGAAGGAAAAGAAACAAGAAGGTAGAAAGCAATGAAGGGAAGAAGAAAGGAAAGAATGAAAGGAAAGAAGGAAAAATAAAGTAAATCAAGTTTGTGAGGTGATTTGTTTAAAAAAGTGTAAAAGTCTTAAATGCTATCAAAAGCATGCAAAAATAAAAAAACTAGCAGAAATAGGCATTAGATATATAATAGAAAATGTAATATTTTACTAAGAGAGATAAAAGTAAAAATAACGTGTGAAGTACAGAAGAGGCATAGCTTGTTTTATTGTGCTTCACTATATTGTACTTTGCAGATATTATAATTTTATAAATTGAAGGTTTGGGGCAACTGAGCATTAAACAAATCTATTGGTACTACAATAACATATGCTCTTTTTTGTTTCTGTGTGACATTTTATTAGTTATTTCAATATTTCAAATTTTATTATTATTATATCTCTATGGTAATCTATGACCAGTGATATTTGATTGTACCATTGTAACTGTCTTGGGGAGCTAGGAACCTTCCCCATATGATGGTGAATTTATTCAATAAATATCATGCGTGTTCTGAGGGCTCCACCAACCAGCTGTCCCCTCATCTCTTTCCTTCTCAGAACTCATATTCTGAGACACAACGATATTGAAATTGGGTCAATTAATAACCCTACAGTGGCCTCCAAGTGATTAAACAAAAGGAAAGTTTGCATGTTATATTAGTCCGTTTTCTTTTTTTTCTTTCTTTCTTTTTTTATTTTTTTGAGACGGAGTCTCGCTCTGTCACCAGGCTGCAGTGCAGTGGTGCCATATTGGCTCACTGCAACTTCCGCTTCCCGGGTTCAAGTGATTCCCCTGCTTCAGCCTACAGAGTAGCTGGGACTACAGGTGTGTGCCACCACGCCCAGATAATTTTTGTACTTTTAGTAGAGACGGGGTTGCACCATGTTGGCCACGATGGTCCCCATCTCTTGACCGCGTGATCCGTTCGCCTTGGCTTCCCAAAGTGCTGGGATTACAGGTGCGAGCCACCATGCCCAGCCATATTAGTCCATTTTCATACTGCTATAATGAAGAGCCCAAGACTGGGTAATTTAGAAAGGAAAGAGGTTTAATTGACTCACAGTTCAGCATGGCTGGGGAGGCCTGAGGAAACTCATGGTCATGGCAGAAGGCAAAGCAGATGCAAGGCACCTTCTTCACAAGGCAGCCAGAAGAAGTGCCACACAAAAACGGAAGAGCTGCTTAGAAAACCATCAGATCTCATGAGAACTCACTCACTATCAGGAGAACAACATGGGGGAAACCCCCCTCATGATTCAGTTACCTCCCATTGGGTCTCTCCTAAGACATGTCGGTATTATGGGAACTAGAATTCAAGATAAGATTTGGGTGGGGCCACAGCCAAGCCATGTCACATGTCTCTCACTTGAAATCAAAAGCTGGAAATGATTAAATTTAGAGAGGAAGGCATGTTGAAAGGCAAGATAGACTTAAAGCTAGGCCTCTTGTGCCAAACCATTAGCCAAGTTGTAGATGCAAAGGAAATGATCTTGAAGACAATTAGAAGTGCTACTCCAGTGAACACATAAATGATAAGAAAGCAAAACAGTTTTATTGCTGATACAAAGAAAGTTTGAATCATCTGGATAAAAGATCAGAGCAGCCACAACATTCCCCTAAGCCACAGCCTAATTCAGAGCAAGTTTCTAACTCTCTTCACTTCTATTAAGGCTGAGAGAGAAGAGAAAGGTGCCTAAGAAAAGTTTGAAGCTAGCAGAGTTTGGTTCATAAGGTTTAAGGAAAGAAGCCATCCCTGTAACATCAAAGTGCAAGGTGAAGCAGCAGGTGCTGATGTAGAATCTACAGCAGGTGACCTATAAGATCTAGCTAAGACATTGATGAAGGTGGCTACATGAAACACCTGATTTTCCATGTAGCTAAAACAGCCTTCTATTGGAAGAAAATGCCATCTAATCTAGGACTCTTGTAGCTAAAGAGGAGTCGATGCCTGCAAATTTTCAAAGGACAGGCGCTGACTTTCTTTCTAAGGATTAATGCAACTGGTGAATTTAAGTTGAAGATAATGCTTATTTACCTTCTGAAAATCCTAGGGCCTTGAAGAATTATGCTAAATCTACCCTGCCTGTGCTCTATAAATAGAATAACAAAGTCTGGATGACAGCATGTTTTACTGAATATTTTAAACCCACTGTTGAGACTTACTGCTCAGAAAAAATATTCCACTCAAAATATTGCTACTCATTAACAATGCACCTGGTTACCCAAAGCTCTTGTGGAGATATACAAAAGATTACTGTTGTTTTCTTGCCTGCTAACACAATATTCATTCAATAGCCCATGGCTTAAGGAGTAATTTCAAATTTCAAGTTTTATTATTTAAGAAACACATTTCATAAGGATATAGCTGTCATAGATAGTGATTACATTGATGAATCTGGGCAAAGTAAATTGAAAACCTTCTGGAAAGGATTCACTATTCTCAATGCTGTTAAGAACACTCATGGTTCAGGGGAAGATGTCAAAATATCAACATCAACAGGAATTTGGAAGAAATGGATTCCATACCTGAAGGATGACTTTGAGGGGCTTAACACTTCAGTGGAGGAAGTAATTGCAGATGTGGTAGAAATAGCAAAGGAACCAGAATTAGAAACGGAGCCTGAAGGTGTGACTGAACTACTGCAATCTCATGATAAAACTTAAATGGATGAGAAGTTGTTTCTTCTAGATGAGCAAAGAAAGTGGATTCTTGAGATGGATTCTACTTCTGGTGAAGATGTAAACATTGTTGAAATGATAAATAATAAGGATTTAGAATAGCACATAAATTTAGTTGATAAAGCAGCAGAGTTTAAGAGAATTGATTCTAATTTTTGAAGATGTTCTAAATGTAGGCAAATGCTATCAAAGATCATCACATGCTACAGAGAAATATTGTTTTAAAAAGAAGAGTCAATCAATGGGGCAAATTTCACTGTTATCTTGTTTTAAGAAATTTTCACAGCCACCTCAACCTTTAGCAACTACCAGCCTGATCAGCTGGCAGCCATAAACATTGAGGCACACCTCCACCAGAAAAAAGATAGGAGTTACTGAAGGCTTAGATAATTGTTAGTGTTTTAATGCAATCAAGTATTTTTAAAATAAGGCATGTATTTTATTTTATTTTATTTATTTATTTATTTATTTATTTATTTATTTATTTATTTATTTATTTTTTGAGACACAGTCTCACTCTGTTGCCCAGGCTGGAGTGCAATGGCACGATCTCAGTTCACTGCAACCCCTGCCTCTTGGGTTCAAGTGATTCTTCTGTCTCAGCTTCCAGAGTAGCTGGGATTACAGGTTCCTGTCATCATGTCCAGCTAATTTTATTTTATTTTTGTATTTTTGTAGTGACGGGTTTTCACCACGTTGGTCAGGCTGGTCTTGAACTCCTGACCTCAGGTGATCCACCTGCCTCAGCCTCCCAAAGTGCTGGGATTACAGGCTTAAGTCACATGCCCCAAAGCATGTATTTTTTATACATAATGCTATTGCATAGAATAGACTACAGTATGATGCACTTATAGCTTTTATATGCACTGGGAAACCAACAAATTTGTATAACCTGCTTTATTGTGATATCTGCTTTATTGTGGTGGTCTGGATCCAAACCTGTACTATCTCTTCGGTATGCCTGTAGTCTCTCCTCAGTTACCTATAATCAACTATAGCCTAAAAATGAAACTGACCCAATACTCCCATACATACACAGTTTGTTTTTAATAAACAGAGAAATTGACCACTCTCGTCTGAAAGCTTAAAACTCCCATTTGTTTTATCTGAGCTCCTTCCTCAGTAAAGGACCCCTAGGCCTCTCAAAAAGTGTTAAAGAACCAAAACTTCCCAGATTATCCCATCCAATGAGATGCCAGGCCCCTCATTCATCAGGACTGCTTCCTTACCCTTCCTGAATTCCTGTTTTCCCATACATAGTTCTATTTCTCCCCTGCTATATAAATCCCTAATTTTAGTTGGTCAGGGGGATGGACTTGAGACTGATCTCCCATCTCCTCAGCTGCAACACCTGAATAAAGCCTTTTTCCTCGGCAGACTCATCATCTCAGTCATTGACTTTCTATGCGGCAAACGGCAGGACCTATACCAAACCCCAGGTATTTTGATGACAAAAATATTAAATGGAAAATTCCAGAAATAAGCAATTAATAAGTTTTTTTTTTTTTCTGATGTGGAGTCTCACTCTGTTGCCCAGGCTGGAGTGCAGTGGCGCCATCTCAGCTCGCTGCAAGCTCTGCCTCCCAGGTACACGCCATTCTCCTGCCTCAGCCTCCCAAGAAGCTGGGACTACATGTGCCCACCAGCACGCCCTGATAATTTTTTTGTATTTTTAGTAAGACAGGGTTTTACCGTGTTAGCCAGGATGGTCTCAATCTCCTGACCTTGTGATCCGCCTGCCTCGGCCTCACAAAGTACTGGGATTACAGGCGTGAGCCATGGCACACGGCCAGCAATTAATAAGTTTTAAATTGCACATGGTACTGAGAAGTGTGATGACATTTTGTGCCACCTGCTCCATCCCACCTTGAATTGTGACACATCCCTTTGTCCAGTGGATTCACCTGTAGACACTGCCTCCTCATGAGCCACTCAGTAGCTGTCTCACTTATCAGATCAACTGTCCCAGGTATTGAAGTGTTTGTGTTTAAGTAACTCTTATTTTACTTCATTAAGGACCCTGAAGTGCAAAAGTAGTGATTCTGGCAATTCAAATATGTCAAAAAGAAGCCATCAAGTACTTCATTTAAATGAAAAGGTAAAAGTTCTCAATAAGGAAAAAAATCATATGCTGATGTTGCTAAAATTAGCAGTAAGAACAAATCTTCTATCCATGAAATTTTACACAGGATACTGTTTTAGTCATTCTATAGCATTACTAGTTATTGCTTCTAATATCCTACTGTACCTAATTAATAAGTTAAACTTTATTGTGGATATATATGTACAGGAAAAAACATAGTGTATACAGGGTTCAGTTTCAGGCATCTTCTGAGGGTCTTAGAATGTGTCCCTTGTGGATAGTATTCATCAAAGTGAACCCTTACATAAAGCTGTCACTCTTCCAAGATTAAAATATTATTTTAAAATTTAGGAGAACTAAAAACTACTACTCAAGGAAATAAGAGAGGACACAAACAAACGGAAAAACATTCCATGCTGTTGGATAGGAATAATCACTATTGTGAAAATGGCCATACTGCCCAAAGTAATTTATAGATCCAATGTTATTCCCATCAAGCTACCATTGACCTTCTTCATAGAATTAGAAAAACTACTTTAAATTTCATATGGAACCAAAAA
The DNA here is from genome assembly GCF_000001405.40 of Homo sapiens. Classification (NCBI taxonomy): domain Eukaryota; kingdom Metazoa; phylum Chordata; class Mammalia; order Primates; family Hominidae; genus Homo; species Homo sapiens. The sequence goes on along the minus strand of NC_000006.12, from coordinate 140,702,026 downwards.
AGAGCCTGTATAGCCAAGACAATCCTAAGCAAAAAGAACACAGCTGGAGGCATCATGTTACCTGACTTCAAACTATACTACAAGATTATAGTAATTAAAACAGCATGGTACTGGTACCAAAACAGATATATAGACCAATGGAACAGAAAAGAAGCCTCAGAAATAACACCACACATCTACAACCATCTGATCTTTGACAAAACTGACAAAGGGAATCAGTGGGTAAAGGATTCCCTATTTAATAAATGGTGTTGGGAAAACTGGCTGGCCATATGCAGAAAACTGAAACTGGACCCCTTCCTTACACCTTATACAAAAATTAACTGAAGCTGGATTAGTGATTTAAATGTAAGACCTAAAACCATAAAAACCCTAAAAGAATACCTAGGCAATACCATTCAGGACATAGGCACGGGGAAAGATATCATGACTAAAACACCAAAAGCAATTGCAACAAAAGCCAAAATGGACAAATGGTATGTAAGTAAACTAAAGAGCTTCTGCACAGCATAAGAAACTATCATCAACATGAACAGACCACCTACAGAATGGGAGAAAATTTTCGCCATCTATCCATCTGACAAAGGGCTAATATTCAGAATCTACAAGAAACTTAAACAAATTTACAAGAAAAAAAACAACCCCATCAGAAAGTGGGCAAAGGATATGAACAGACACTTCTCAAAACAAGACATTTATGTGGCCAACAAACATGAAAAAAAAAAAAAAACTCATCCTCACTGGTCATTAGAGAAATGCAAATCAAAACCACAATGGGATACCATCTCATGCCAGTTAGAATGGCAATCATTAAAAAGTCAGGAAACAACAGATGCTGGAGATAAGGTGGAGAAATAGGAACACTTTTACACTGTTCGTGGGAGTATAAATTAGTTCAACCACTGTGGAAGACAGTGTGGCGATTCCTCAAGGATCTAGAACCAGAAATACCATTTGACCCAGCAATCCCATTACTGGGTATATACCCAAAGGATTATAAATCATTCTAGTATAAAGACACATGTACACGTATGTTTATTGCGGCACTATTCACAATAGCAAACCCTTGGAATCAACCCAAATGCCCATCAATGTTAGACTCAATAAAGAAAATGTGGCACATATACACCATGGAATACTATGCAACCATAAGAAAGAATGAGCTTGTGTCCTTTGCAGGGACATGAATGAAGCTGGAAACCACAATTATTAGCAAACTAACACAGGAACAGAAAACCAAACACCACATGTTGTCACTCATAAGTGGGAGTTGAACAATGAGAACACATGGGCACAGGGAGGAGAACATCACACACCAGGGCCTGTTGAAGGGTGGGGGGCAAGGGGAAGGATAGCATTAGGAGAAATACCTAACGTAGATTACAGGTGGATGGGTGCAGCAAAACACCATGGCACATGTATACCTATGTAACAAACCTGCACATTCTGCACATGTATCTGAGAACTTAAAGTATAATAATAAGTAAATAGAATAAAATAAAATTTTTAATCAAAATGCTAATGAAAAATTTTTATAATTTAACAAATTGATTCTAAACTTCATCTGGAATTATGACATAGAAAAGCATTGACAAGAACATTTTGAAACAATTACTAAGTACAGTTTTCCTTAGTAGATAATAGATTGTAGTCTTAAAATACAGTAAATAAAACATTACTGGTGCTAGAATAGACAAAACTGAAAATGGAACAAAAACAAAAGGATAATATACCCAGTACAATGTATACAAGCAGGAAATCATTTTTTAAACTAAGCCATTACTACACACTACATATCAAAATAAATTTCATATAAATGATTTAATTTAAAAAGCTAAATCATAAATCTAGTCAAATGAAATCATGAGACGTATTTGTATAATTTTACCATAACAACTACGTGCACTATTACAGAATATAGGGAGAGCTAGGTTTGACAAGGTGAAAATCTAAAATGGTTATGCCAAAAAAAAAACATTATTTTTTGGAAATGCAAAAGGAAAAGTAAAAACTACACTTGTTATATATTCCACAACTTAATTTTCATACATGAGCAGTATTGGCAATCAATAAGAATTCAAAAATTCAAATAAAAAATGATCTAGGACAAATTAGCAAATCATAAAATTAAAATGTAATTAGATAATAAACATAGTAAAATGTGCAATGTTACTCATCAAAAAATTCATAAAACATTAATGGTTCAGGGCATGGGATTCATAGATGAACACTTATGAGTGTGAGTTCTAGATTTGACAGTTATAAAGATTACATGATATAATATATTGTGGAACTTAATATGCTTCCTTTACACTGTGTGTTTTCACTTAATATTTTTCTTGTATTATGTTCAATTCATATTTATTATTTCATAAAATAATAATATGTCATCTTCACCAATCAAGCTGGAAAATATTTTATGGTAATGATAACATATTGTGTTATTATATAAATATCCATTAAGATTGGATATAGGAAATCAATATTCTCATATATTAAGAATGGCTTGTATTTCTAGATATTTGCTTAAGATATAATAAATTATATCTAAATAGGTCTTAGCTACAAAAAAATTATTGATATTTTATTTATAGTATTAATTCCTGATTCTGACTCCTTTACTTACCAGACTTGTAATGTTAAACATGTTAATATACCTTCCTATGCTACAGTCTCTTCATTTGAGATATGGGAGTAGTAATAATGGTTGTTTATAGGGATGCTTTAATCATTAATTTAGGTTTTCTTTTGAAAGTGGTTATTAAGCAGTTATTATTTTTCTGTTCAGTAATGATTTTTGTTGTGATTTTTATTATTCAAACCCCACCCCAAAACAGTGATTGGTTTTGTTAAAATAATTTAGTGTATATCCAGTCAAATGGAATCATAGTGCATCATTAGAGGAAATGATGCAGAAGAAGGATTTTTAAAGCATTCTCCATGGAAGCCCAATTCCACAGAGGAGTTTCAAGGGGCTGTTGGGGAGTGAGGGTGAGAAGCTACCCTGGTAGGCACACCTCTGCTTTCCCCTGCTTCAACCAGAACAGGCCTAGCTCTATTGTTGTACCTATTCAAGGTCCCCTTCATACTTGTTTGTACAAAGGATTCTTCTAAAATGTAAAACTACTTATTTGGAGCACAAACTGACAGAGAAAAGGTACATAACATATTGTTCAGTTTTAAAGATCAGATTCCAAATTATTATAAAAACTGTTTTCAATATGGAAAATAGACATCATGACAGGCTAATGGATTTAGGGTCATTCTTTTTCCTTTTTGGTCACTGTGTAATCTATGATGAGTATATTATTATATAACTGAGATATAATAACATTTGTATAAAGTAATAAACATTCAATGGAACAAATCAGGAAACTAACTTTATCTTTCTTTTACAATTATCTAGAAAAATATCACCATCAGATATTAATATTTGAATCTGTTTTTATGTTGACTAATGATGGTTAAAGCAAATAAAATAACTTACATTTCCATAGTAAAAACAACAATACACATTGGAATTAATATATATTTTAATGCCACAAACATTATGTTGTAATACTACGTATTTGATTTGTTAAAATAAGCAGAAGCAAACTTCTTAATCTCGCTGAACCTCAGGTTGCTCATCTATAAAATGTAGATAGAATAATTAATTTATGTTATTAGGAGATTAGAGACAATGTAGATAAAAGGCCGAGTTTATAAGAGGCACAAAGAGAGATTAACTTTAACTCAATGTATCATTTCTCCATCTACCTTAAGGAAGACAAACTTTAAAAAACACTCAAATTCTAATACTTAATTGTCTTTAAAAGTTAGAAATGTCTTCATAAGACATTTGTCTTTTAATTTTTGCAAAAATGGCAAAAATAATAAACTCAATACATCATGAATTCATACTTTGTAAAAGGAAAAATTCTTTTAATTCAAAAAAATGTTGGTATAGAGATGCTCAGGAGTACCTATAGTACTGTTGATTTCCATGAATTTTTGTTTTCTGTTCACCTTCTTTTACCATGGAAAGCTGCCTGTGTTACTGAAAGATTGCTGTTTGCATTTCACATAGATTTGTTCTTGTTAATATTTTATTAGTTGCTATTTTTAGTTTTACTAAAAGACTATACCTAACTCTTTTCTCTCCAGGTTTTTGTAAGTGGATTGTGCTGAAAATGGAAGTGCTTGGGAAATCTACTGGTTGTGCATATTTTAAAAACTCTTTGTAAAATAACATGTTGGGTTCAAGATTCCAAGTGGCCTCCAGCCTGGAATACAGCATATTGGCAGGAGCCTCCACACCTGTTTGGCCACTTGCTCTCTCTTACTCTCTGTTTCTCTTTCTCTCTCTCTCTCTATCTTTGTTTTCCTCTTGTTGGCCACCACAACTGTGGTGATATTTACATTTTTACTTTTATTAAATGGCAAATAAATCTGACTTTAAAGATACCTCCTTCCATGATTTTAAACCTGTTATATGTTAAAAAGAAGTTCCATTTGCACAGCAATTCCCAACACCTTTCACCAAGGTAAATTGTGAAATTGTCCAGCAAATATGTGTTTCATTAGTAATAACATTCAACAATTTACCTAGTGCTGACCAGGTGCCAGCCATTCTGCCAACATTTTCTCATATAATTGCTTTTCATTTCTACAACATCCTTATGAATTAAGATTTTGAACACCCACTTTACATTTTAAAAGTTTACAATATTTTAAATATTTTAAAGTTAAAATGATCAAATTAATGAACTAGTCAGTTTTTTGACCTCAATTTCAGAAGAGACATGTTTCTCATTTTCTTTAGTTGTTCAACTTCTGATGATTAAAATTTGTGTTATTGATGATTTTCATACAACTGTTCCCCAAAAAGTTACCTTTTTTATAATTAATTTCAATGATAAGAGGAAAAAAAGATTATCATTCTAAGAGGAATTGAGGATATATTTTAAAATTAAAAAGCTAAAGATTTTTTTTCGACTGAGATTTGGTTTGTTCCTCCAAGGCTCATCTCCTTTCAGCTTCTCTTACCCCCAGACCTTGTCCCAAGACCTGAGATGAGGCAGAGGCTGGTGCCCATCTACACCCTTGATGCATAAAGGTACAGGAGGGGCTGAGTTCAAGAACCATCAAAAAAAAGTTAGATTGTGTTTATATTATTGTATTTTTCTCAACAAATACCCTAGGCCTCATGTTTAGTCTGGGTAATCCACAGTGTTAAAGAGTTAACCAAACAAAAGGAGAGGCAATTAAGTTATGCTTAACTGGTATTTTCTATCCTTCAAACTAGAATAGGATTAGTTACTATAAAATTTAGTGGGTTTTGCAAACATTGCTAAAAATTACATTAGAAAAATCCTTTGATCTCTTGAAAGCAGTGTTCTGTATAAAACTAATGTGATTTGGATATTGTATATGCAAAATTAATTACCGCTTAAAAAAGGCAATTAGCTTATTTAAATATTCTTGCTAACAGTGAAGTGAATTGTTTTAGATAAAAAAGAATAAGATCAACTATATTTGTATTTGTAATAGCTTAAGTCAGTCTACCTAATTGTTAAAAATATGATTGGCTGTTGAGGACAGAACTTGTTGCTTTTGAAGTAGTGGTAGGTATACATTTAAGTTTGTCAGTAATATATTGTGATGGTTAACACTGAGTGTCAACCTGATTGGATTGAAGGATGCAAAGCATTGATCCTGGATGTGTCTGTGAGGGTGTTGCCAAAGGAGATTAACATTTGAGTCAGGGGACTGGGAAAGGCAGACCCACCCTTAATCTGGGTGGGAACCATCTAATCAGCAACCAGTGTGGCTAGAATATAAAGCAGGCAGAAAAATGTAAAAAGACTAGACCGGGCTAGCTTCCCAGCCTACATCTTTGTATATATTATGTATAGGAGGATATATAGATATATATAGAAATATATAGAGAGGAAAAGATATATAGATATATAGATAATATATATTTCTATCCTATTAGTTATGTCCCTCTAAAGAACCCTGACTAATACAGATTTTGGCACCAGGAGTGGTTCTAGAGGAGCAGAATATTAAGGGTGGAGTTCTTTCATTGGTTTGGGAGTTTCTGGAGTTGGCTGCTTAATATGATTAGACCCAAGAATGCTCAAAAAAAGGACTCTACTTCTAATAGTATGGAGAACACTGATAGTCCTTGGCATAAATTGTTTAGAGAGATATGCAAAATAAATGCATTTGACACTCCTGAATCACTGCTCATGAGAGGCAAGGAGTTTAGTGACCCTGTACATAAAACCTTTAACCATATGTGGAGAACCAACGAACATAATGAAGCTGGTTGGTTGCTCCAAATTTCAGTGGACAAAGTGATGAAAGAAAATGATGAACTCAAGGATTCTAACTCCCAGCTTCAGAAGCAGATACTGAGCCTCAAATCTGCTAAGATTGCCCTGAGTGAGAGTATTATCTCCTGTAGAGAAAGAGCTGAAATTGTGGAAAAACAGACAGAAGCTTTTATCATGAAAGTGGCTGACCTGCAACAAAAGAGGCATGCACAGTGTCACCAGATGTCTACTGTTAAAGTGAGGGCATTAACTGGAAAATAATGGGACCCTGCAACTTGGAATGGGGACATGTGGGAGGACCCTGATGAAGCGAGGGATGCTGAGTTTGTCAATGCTGATCAACCTTTTTTGCCAGAATACCTTCCCCATCCCCAGTAGTGGCAACATCCTCTCCCCACTCATGCTGCCATCAGCCTTTCCACCTTTGTCTGAGGAGTTGAACTCTGAAGTTCCTGAGGCAACAGTGATGGCCTCCCCTGAGGCAGTTACCAGGCAAAATAATGTTAATTCTCTTCAGGAGCCACCCCCAACACCCCTGTTTGCACCTAGACCTATAACTAAAGTCCTGGTGGACCCCTAGAGGTGAGATTGAGAGGGTGACCCATGAGGAGGTATGCTACACTTTAAAAAGACTGCTTGAATTTTCTAATTTACATAAACAGAAATCTGGAGAATAGGCATAGGAATGGATATTAAGGGTGTGGAATAATGGTGGAAGGAATCTAGAGTTGGATCAGGCTGAATTTATTGATTTGGGCCCACTAAGTAGGGACTCTGCATTTAATGTTGCACCTCAGGGAATTAAAAAAGGTTCTAATAGTTTATTTCCTTGTTTAGCTGAAATACAGATTAAAAGATGGCCCACTGTGAGTGAGCTGGAAATGCCTGATCTCCTTTGGTTTAATGTAGAGGAAGGGATCCAAAGGCTTAGGGAGATTAAGATGGCAGAGTGGATTAGTCACTTTAGACCTACTCATCCCAGCTGGGAAGGTCCAGAAGATATATCCTTGACAAATGCCTTGTGAAATAGATTTTTGAGAGCAGCACCTGCATCTCTGAAGAGCCCTGTAATTGCTGTAGTCTGTATGTCAGATCTAAAACTGGGAACTGCAGTCACTCAACTACAAATTTTAAATATAACGGGAAAAGTTGGGTCCTGAGGTGGCAGGAGCCAAGTGGCAGCACTCAACTGTCAAACGCAAGATGGTCATAGCTGTCATAACAGACAGCAGAGACAAAGCAGCAATCAGAATAGTCTGACTCGTGTAAAGCTCTAGCATTGGCTAATGAATCACGGTGTTTCTAGAAATGAAATTCATAGGAAGCCTGCTGCATTTCTACTTAATTTATATAAGCAGAAAACTTCTAGGTCAAATGGACAAAAGACTAATTTGAATTAGGAAAACAGAGAATCAGAGCCCCTCAATCAATTTTCAGACTTGAGTCAGTTTACAGACCCAGAACCCCTTGAATGAAGGGGAGCCTGGTTCCTCTTGAGGAACTGACAATGTATGCAAAAAATCTTTCTCCCATCATTCCTCAAGGAGACATTTAGCCTTTTACTAGGGTAACTGTGCATTGGAGAAAGGGAAATGATCAGATACCTCAGGGACTACTAGACACTGGCTCTGAGCTGACGTTGATTACAGGGGACCCAAAACATCATTGTGCTCCTCCAGTTAAAGTAGGGGATTAAGGAGGTCAGGTATTTAATGGAGTTTTAGCTCAGGTCTGATTTACCGTTTGTCCAGTGAGTCCTCGAACTCATCTCGTGGTCATTTCCCCAGTGCCAGAATGCATAATTGGCACAGACATTTTTAGCAGCTGGCAGAACACCCACATTGGCTCCCTGACTGGTAGGGTGCAGGCTATTATGATGGGAAAGGCCAAACGGAAGCAATTAGAGCTGCCTATACCTAGAAAAATAGTAAATCAAAAACAATATCACATCTCTGGAGGGACTGCAGATATTAGTGCCACCATAAAGGACTCGAAAGACACAGGGGTGATGATTCCACCACATCCCCTTCAACTCTCCGTGTGGCCTGTAGAGAAGACATGTTTCTTGGATAATGACAGTGGATTTTCGTAAGCTTAACCAAGTGGTGACTCCAATTGCAGCTGCTGTACCAGATGTGGTTTCATTGCTTGAGCAAATTAACACGTCTCCTCGTACCTGGTATGAAGCCATTGACTCGGCAATTGCCTTTTTCTCCATTCCTGTTCATAAGGCCCACCAGAAGCAATTTGCCTTTAGCTGGCAAGGCCAACAACATACTTTTACTGTCCTACCTCAGGAGTATGTCAATTATCCAGCTTTGTGTCATAATCTTATTTGGAGAGATCTTGATTGCTTTTCACTTCTGTAAGAATATCACACTGGTCCATTATATTGATGACATTATGCTGATTGGATCCAGTGAGCAAGAAGTAGCAAACACACTGAACTTATTGGTGAGACATTTGCATACCAGAGGATGGGAAATAAATCTGACTAAAATTCAGGGAATTTTAGTAAAATATTTTACTTCAATAAAATTTCTAAGGGTCCAGTGATATGGGGCCTGTCGAGATATTCCTTTTAAGGTGAAGGATAAGTTGCTGCATTTGGCCCCTCCTACAACCAAGAAACAAGCACAATGCCTAGTGGGCTTATTTGGATTTTGGAGACAACACATTCCTCATTTGGGTGTGTTACTCTGGCCCATTTATTGAGTGACCCAAAAGGCTGCCAGTTTTGGGTGGGGTCAAGAACAGTAGAAGGCTCTGCAACAGGTCCAGGCTGCAGTGCAAGCTGCTCTGCCACTTGGGCCACAAGACCCAGCAGATCCAATGGTTCTTGAGGTATCAGTGGCAGATAGGGATGCTATTTGGAGCCTTTGACAGGCCCCCATAGGTGAATCACAGCAGAGGCCTCTAGTGTTACGGAGCCAAGGCCATGCCATCTTCTGCAGATAACTACTCTCCTTTTGAGAGACAGCTCTTGGCCTGTTACTGGGCTTTCGTGGAAACTGAATGTTTGACTGTGGGTCATCAAGTAACCATGTGACCTGAACTGCCTATCATGAACTGGGTGCTTTCTGACCCATCTAGCCATAAAGTGGGTCATGCACAGCAGCATTCCATCATCAAATGGAAGCGGTATATATGTGACCGGGCTTGAGCAGGTCCTGAAGGCACAAGTAAGTTACATGAGAAAGTGTCTCAAATGCCCATGGTCTCCACTCCTGCCACCCTGCCTTCTCCCCCACAGCCTGCACTGATGGCCCCATTGGGAGTTCCCAATGATCAGTTGACAGAGGAAGAGAAGAATAGGGCCTAGTTCACAGATGGTTCCGACAGATATGCAGGCACCACCCGAAAGTGGAGAGCTGCAACTTTACAGCCCCTTTCTACAACATCCCTGAAGGACAGCAGTGAAGGGAAATCTTCCCAATAGGCAGAACTTCAAGCCGTGCACCTGGTTGTGCACTTTGCATGTAAGGAGAAATGGCCAGGTGTGTGTTCATATACTGATTCATGGGCTATAGCCAAAGGTTTGGCTGTATAGTCAGGGATTTGGAAGAAGCATGATTGGAAAATTGGTGACAAAGAAATTTGGGGAAGAGATATGTAGATGGACCTCTCTGAGTGGTCAAAAACTGTAATGATATTTGTATCCCATGTGATTGCTCACCAATGGTGACCTCAGCAGAGGACGATTTTAATTATCAAGTGGATAGGGTGATCCGTTCTGTGGACATCACTCAGCCTCTTTCCCCAGACACCCCTGTCATCACCCAATGGGCCCTTGAACAAAGTGGCCATGGTGGCTTGGATAGAGGTTATGCATGGGTTCAGCAACAGGGACTTCCACTCAGCAAGGCTGACCTGGCTATGGCCACTGCTGAGTGCCCAATTTTCCAGCAGCAGAGACCAACACTGAGCCTTTGATATGGCACCATTCCTCGGGGTGGTCAGCCAGCTACCTGCTGACAGTTTGATTATATTGGACCTCTTCCATAATGGATAGGGCAGAGGCTTTTCCTCACTGGAATAGACACTTATCCCAGATATGGGTTTGCCTATCCTGCATGCAATGTTTCTGCCAAGACTACCATCCGTGGACTCACGGAATGCCTTATCCACCGTCATGGTATTCCATACAGCATTTCCTCTGACCAAGGCACTCACTTTATGGCTAAAGAAGTGCAGCAGTGGGCTCATGCTCATGAAATTCACTGGTCTTACCATGTTCTCCATCATCCTGAAGCAGCTGGATTGATAGAATGGCGGAATGTCCTTTTGAATTCACAATTACAATGCTGACTAGGTGACAATACTTTGCAGGGCTGGGGCAAAGTTCTCCAGAATGCTCTGTATGTTCTGAATTGGTGTCCAATATATGGTACTGTTTCTTCCACAGCCAGGATTCACAGGTCCAGGAATCAAGGGGTAGAAGTGGAAGTGGCACCACTCACCATCACCCCTAGTGATCCACTAGCAAAACTTTTGCTTCCTGTTCCTGCCACATTACGTTCTGCTGGCCTAGAGGTCTTCATTTCAGAGGGAGGAATGCTGCCACCAGGAGAAACAATGACAATTCCAATTACATGGAAGTTAAGATTGCCACTGGGACACTTTGGGATCCTCCTACCTACATTTACGTCAACAGGCTAAGAAGGGAGTTACAGTGTTGGCTGGGGTGATTGATCTGGACTATCAAGATGAAATCAGTCTACTACTCCACAATGGAGGCAAGGAAGAGTATGCATGGAATACAGGAAATCCATTAGGACATCTCTTAATATTACTATGCCTTGTGATTAAGGTCAATGGGAAACTACAACAGCCCAATCCATGCAGGACTACAAATGGCCTAGACCCCTCAGGAGTGAAGGTTTGGGTCAGTCCACCAGGAAAAAGCCATGACCTGCTGAGGTGCATGCTGAAGGCAAAGGGAATACAGAATGGGTGGTAGCAGAAGGTAGTCATCAATACCAGCTGCAAACACATGACCAGCTGCAGAAACGAGGACTGTAATTGTCATGAGTATTTCCAGCTTCTTTTGTTAAAAACATGTTTGTGCATCTGTACACTTGTACTAAGAAAATATCATTTTATTTCCTTTTTGCTTTATCATGTGACATAAGACATACTGATTTCATATGAGCATTTATGTATTGTTAACATTACATAATAGTATTTGGGTTGGGGATTGGTGCATTTCCGGTAGTACAAAGGATAGTTGTTTTATGTTAGGCATAATTATGACCTTATTATTGTTTTTAGTGAAGATTATGTATGATCTCAGGAGATGTGCATGGGTTCAAGTTGATAAGGGGTGGACTTGGGATGGTTAATACTGAGTGTCAACTTGATTGGATTGAAGGATGCAAAATATTGATCATGGTTGTGTCTGTGAGGGTGTTGCCAAAGGAGATTAATATTTGAGTCAGTGGGCTGGGAAAGGCAAACCCATCCTTAATCTGGGTGGGCACCATCTAATCAGCTGCCAGTGTGGCTAAAATGTAAAGCAGGCAGAAAAATGTGAATAGAGAGACTGGCCTAGACTTCCAGACTACATCTTTCTTCCATGCTGGATGCTTCCTGCTCTCCAACATTGGACTCCAAGTTCTTCAGCTTTGATACTTGGACTGGTTCTCCTTTCTTCTCATCTTGCAGATGGGCTATTTTGGGACCTTGTGATCGTGTGAGGTAACATTTAATAAACTCCCCTTTGTGTGTGTGTGTATATATGTATATCTCCTATTAGTTCTGTCCCTCTAGAGACAGAACCCTGACTGGTACTTATATCTATGTCCTGAATGCTTGTAATCCATACACAAACTTTATTTTATAGTTTATTTTATTGATTTACTTCATTTGGACTGTGGTTTTTGCAATATGAAAAAGTAAGAGCAGAGTTTGTGATTATCTGTTTAATTTTACCAAAGCATATATATACACACAAGACAAATCAATCAAAGACAAAGCAGATATTGACATGAGTTATAAAGTTTGATTTAACACTTGATTAATTTGGAAATTGCTAAATTCCCCCTTTTTTCTATAATCACTATTATAATTTATCTCTATATATTATTTTTTATAGGTTTACTTGGTGTCAGCTTAAGGGGGAGGGAAATAATGTTGACTATGTCAAATAGTGTGCAAATTTGAAAAATGTTTTGAAATCAAGTTCTTTACTTAAAGCTTTGGAATAATGGGAAAATAACAGATCTATTTTCATAGGAATTAATTGAATCAATTACTTACTGGTATTTTTGAAAATTTCATATAACCAGTGAAAATGTCTTTATATATGCCTGTAAATTTGCATATGCCCTGTGAAGTTTACTGGCCACATTTAATTCTGAGAACTAATTTTAGTAAGTTAATGAAGTCAAGAAAGACAAATTCCTGAGGGAGAAAATTTTAAGATAATAACCTAAATTTTCAAAGGCCAAATAGAGAACAGAAAAGTGTAAGGTGGTGGCAATGAAGAAAGCATTAAGAATTAAACTCAATTTTGGATCTTTCCTGCTTTCTCTTGTGGGCATTTAGTGCTATAAATTTCCCTCTACACACTGCTTTGAATGTGTCCCAGAGATTCTGATATGTTGTGTCTTTGTTCTCGTTGGTTTCAAAGAACATCTTTATTTCTGCCTTCATTTCGTTATGTACCCAGTAGTCATTCAGGAGGAGGTTGTTGAGTTTCCATGTAGTTGAGCGGTTTTGAGTGAGTTTCTTAATCCTGAGTTCTAGTTTGATTGCACTGTGGTCTGAGAGATAGTTTGTTATAATTTCTGTTCTTTTACATTTGCTGAGGAGAGCTTTACTTCCAACTATGTGGTCAATTTTGGAATAGGTGTGGTGTGGTGCTGAAAAAAATGTATATTCTGTTGATTTGGAGTGGAGAGTTCTATAGATGTCTATTAGGTCCACTTGGTGCAGAGCTGAGTTCAACTCCTGGGTATCCTTGTTGACTTTCTGTCTCGTTGATCTGTCTAATGTTGACAGTGGGGTGTTAAAGTCTCCCATTATTAATGTGTGGGAGTCTAAGTCTCTTTGTAGGTCACTCAGGACTTGCTTTATGAATCTGGGTGCTCCTGTATCTGATCTTTGACAAACCTGAGAAAAACAAGCAATGCGGAAAGGATTCCCTATTTAATAAATGGTGCTGGGAAAACTGGCTAGCCATATGTGGAAAGCTGAAACTGGATCCCTTCCTTACACCTTATACAAAAATCAATTCAAGATGGATTAAAGACTTAAATGTGAGACCTAAAACCACAAAAACCCTAGAAGAAAACCTAGGCAATACCATTCAGGACATAGGCATGGGCAAGGACTTCATGTCTAAAACACCAAAAGCAATGGCAACAAAAGCCAAAATTGACAAATGGGATCTAATTAAACTAAAGAGCTTCTGCACAGCAAAAGAAACTACCATCAGAGTGAACAGGCAACCCACAAAATGGGAGAAAATTTTCGCAACCTACTCATCTGACAAAGGGCTAATATCCAGAATCTACAATGAACTCAAACAAATTGACCAGAAAAAAACAAACAACCCCATCAAAAAGTGGGCGAAGGACATGAACAGACACTTCTCAAAAGAAGACATTTATGCAGCCAAAAAACACATGAAAAAATGCTCACCATCACTGGCCATCAGAGAAATGCAAATCAAAACCACAATGAGATATCATCTCACACCAGTTAGAATGGCAATCATTAAAAAGTCAGGAAACAACAGGTGCTGGAGAGGATGTGGAGAAATAGGAACATTTTTACACTGTTGGTGGGACTGTAAACTAGTTCCACCATTGTGGAAGTCAGTGTGGCGATTCCTCAGGGATCTAGAACTAGAAATACCATTTGACCCAGCCATCCCATTACTGGGTATATACCCAAAGGACTATAAATCATGCTGCTATAAAGACACATGCACACGTATGTTTATTGCGGCACTATTCACAATAGCAAAGACTTGGAACCAACCCAAATGTCCAACAATGATAGACTGAATTAAGAAAATGTGGCACATATATACCATGGAATACTATGCAGCCATAAAAAATGATGAGTTCATGTCCTTTGTAGGGACATGGATGAAATTGGAAATCATCATTCTCAGTAAACTATCGCAAGAACAAAAAACCAAACACCGCATATTCTCACTCATAGGTGGGAACTGAACAATGACAACACATGGACACAGGAAGGGGAACATCACACTCTGGGGAGTGTTGTGGGGTGGGGGGAAGGGGGAGGGATAGCACTGGGAGATATACCTAATGCTAGATGACGAGTTAGTGGGTGCAGCACACCAGCATGTCACATGTATACATATATAACTAACCTGCACGTTGTGCACATGTACCCTAAAACTTAAAGTATTAAAAAAAAAAAGAATTAAACTCATCTGGAGGCTGAAAAGAGTAATGCAACAGATTGATTTCTTATTGCTCAGATCTATCCTCTCTCTCGCCTCTCCTGCCAAAGATATACTTTGAAAATAATTTTAAAACAAGACCTTGCTTTTAAGAAGCCATCTGCTAAATGATCCAATCTATACCTCAAGTTCAGCCCTTTGTCAGCAACTAAGTTTGTAAACACCAATTCCATGTTTTCTTTTTCCCACCATTTTTTTTAGGACAAAACAAAAAAACAAAAAGCCAACATCTAGCTAAACTAAAGTAAGCTACATAAGTGACCTCAATTATCTGGACTCCAAGATTAAATTTATTCATATCATCTAAAAGTTGAGTATGTGTCAGAACTGAATAAATGTCTTGCTTTTTCTTTTTTGCTTTTAATGTTTTCATTCAATATTGTCAAATCCTACTCAAATCTTACTTTTCAATCCTTTGCTTCATAAGTGTGGAGCCAACCTGAAGATACAGTGAATACTGTTGTCGTTTTTTTTCTCAAACTATTAAATCAGAGCTAATTTCCTTGAAACAAAAGACCTCAAAGAGCCTGATTGAAATATGTTTGGGAAAGGATGATATGAACTGTGGCCATCCCTTTCCAATGCTAGTTTAAAAAGGTCTTGATTGCAGGCAATACCTGATAGAAATAATATTAATAAGAGTTTTCTTTTTCTTTAACTTTACCACATTTTTATTATTTTACCTTGTTCTTAATTCTGGGATTACTCTTGTATGCCTGTATCACATGCATCTTTATCTGTAGCTTTAGAACATGATGATTTTTACCATGTTTGATAATGCATTACCTCTTATTTCTGTCTGGGAAAAGTGTAGAATGCAATACAATATCAAACTTTACTTTTTGGCAATAGTCAAAATCATAGCCTGATATATCATGATATAGTTTGAGCAGAAATGAATTATTGTGGAAACACAGGTAGTAGATGATAATTAAACCTATGATTTGCTAATTAAATTTTGATGTAAGTAGGGATGGTTGTCCACATTATGACATAAGGCAAAATGTACATAAAAATCCCTTAGAAAAATCTTGGTGCTTTTATTTTTACCCAAGTAATCTTTTCTTTAATCTGTAAGACTACTATGATGGATTACTATGATATCCTTTTAGCTAGAAAGAAATCTAAGTTGGAACGGTATTAAATTTATTATAAGTAAAATAAAAATGAGCATTCTTCTCTGCATTAATTTTTATTGGAAAGTTCATGTTCTATCATTAATACATCTTTACTAAATACAACATTTATTGAGTATTCATAGAGTGAATATTATTCTATCATTTACTCTAAAATTTGATCAGGAATGGTGGCTCACACCTGTAATCCTAGCACTTTGGGAGGCTGAAGTGGGAGGATCTCTTGAGGCCAGGAGTTTGAGACCAGCTTGGGCAATATAGTGAGGCCTCATCTCTACAAAAATAAAATAAAATGAATTAAAATTAAGTAAAATAAAATAAAATTCATGGAGGTTTGTGGTTTTTTACTTCTTTTGGTTGTGATTGTATGCATATATATAAATAAATATACATATAACATTCAAAGACTTTACAGTTTATTGAAAATCAGAGGGATAAAACAGAGGCAATACAACAATGCAGCGTAATTAGAATTATAGAATATAGAGCTTACAAATAACTTAAGGCTCCATCTGGTCATTATCTATAGTAACATTTCCAGAGAACTGAAATCAAAGTAGATGTAACTACACAATGGTAAAACTGTTCCAGTGCATGTCATAGGATAAATACTCCAGAAAACTTTAATGAACAAATGAATTGTTCACTACCTACTTAGCAAATAAATTCAGATCTCCTCTAAGTCTTAAGCTTCATTTTTTTTCCTCAAATGAATATATTTTTTAAATATTTAAGATCCATTCAATTTACTTTGGATTGTGTAACTGTTGGGAAATGACCTAAGTTGATATTTCCTGTGTAAAACAGTAACACTCTCATTTTTATTTGGATCTACCTTGAGCCATAAATAATATTGGAATCTGGAGAAATCCTGAATGACTTAGCATTTTACAACTTTTTTGTTTTTCTCTTAATTGAACTAGAACATGAAAAAGTGCCAAGGAGTGTATATAAAAGAAAGAATTATCACTCTTACGATTTCTGGAGATTGACTTCTTAGTTTTAAGAGAATTTTGAATTTTCTACATTTATTTTGATAATCTTACACCCATATATATGAGCATACCAAAGATTGTTTGTATGACCAATTTATACCCATGTCCCACTGCTTTACTGAAGTCCTGGAGTTTGCATTTGCATTGGCCCCAAGTAAAGGACAAATTACATCATGGCAAGCTGTACAAATAAAGCTTTTACAGCCATTTACATAAGGCATAGTAGGGGGGAAATTGTCACCAAATAGCACATGGTCTTTCAACTCTGAAGAACTCAACAGAACCTGTACTGTAGCAGTCAGTGTCATAATTATTTCACTGGCAGATGTGTTGTATAGATTTAATTTTGAACAAGTAATGATGATACTAAATATATAATAAAGGACTTCATACTCCAAAATTTTTTTGCCTTTTATGAATATGATTGAATTGATTGGATCTTCAAAATAATTCCCTGATAGTTAAAATTTTGAGTTTTTTAAAGGCAAAAATAAAGGCAACGATAACTACTATAATTTAAATAAGGGTCAAAATAAGAATGACAAAAGTGAGAAAGTATTGCTTCATAGTTTTAATTTCATTGGTAATTGTATTTTTTTATAAAAATTATAATCTATGGCATATTAAATTAATGTTGTTAATTTGAATTTTAGTGATTTGGTAGGAAGCTTTAGTATTTTATTTGAAAATGAAATTTAATAGATTTCAGAGCTATAAGTAAAATAAGTTTATATCTTATTTTACATAAAAATTTTATTTTATACAATTATATCAAAACATATATAAGTTTTGTTGGTATGTTTTTAGCTGATATTATAAAAATTGATACTTAGAATTAAAGTGTACTTATCATTAATTATTTTTTAGCTGAAAATGGTCCATAGATTAAGGAAGTTGAAAAAACACTGGGAGAGTCCTCATTATGGTTGCTTTAAATGTAGACCGACATTTGCTCTTTTGTGTTTCCTGCTGTTTCTTTTTTTTTTCATAATTAGTAGCAATAAAATGCCATAAATATTTTTAACAATGTGTATGTTCATTTCAGGGTTAAAAGAGAAAAGTAGAGTAAATAATACTTCCTTCTTTTTTGCAAGAGGTTTAAGGGGACCTATTTAGTGGCACAGGTAGTATCCATAGAAGCGAAATAAGCAAGTTATATGCTATTGAAACTAAAAACAAACCAAACAAGAGATACATGCCCCACTTGTGACGGAAATATGCTTGTGGGAATGCAATCAATGAAAAGCTCTCATGTGTCCCCTGGTCAGACTACTTGAGGTTCCATAGTAAACCTCAAATAGCGTGCCAGGGGACACATGAGAGCTTGGGCTAGACCAGAGCAGGGCTGTCTAAGAAACGAACTTGACAAATTCAACTGTAACATCCTTTGTAGGCAGCACTACCAACCGTGGTACCTCCTGGACATCTCTCCAGCATAAGGAGCAAGGCAAGCCCTCTTTTCTCAAGGCTTTTATTCTCTCAGCCACGCCTTCACCCCCATTCCCTTCCCAACCCCACACACATAGAACAAAACTTAAAAGAACAAAAATTGCATCCTCTTCTAGAAATGGTAAAACTAGAGAATTTTTTCTGGATGCAGTTTGTTAAATTCAACATATTTTGCTAGATAACGATTTTACCTCTTTAATTAACACAGATAAATGATCTATTACTATTGCTTTCTTCTAGGCTTGTGCCATATGTGTAATATTAGACACTATATCTAATAACAATAAAATGTCGGAAGGGTTGCATGTTTGTCTTGCTATTAGAGATTTTGTCTAATATTACATACATATATATGTGTGTATGTAATTATATATAGAGAGAATATATATTTATATAGATAACATATATCTATAGAGATATATAGAGAACATATATCTCTATATCTATAGAGATATGTAGAGAACATATATCTCTATATCGATAGAGATATGTAGAGAACATATATCTCTATATCGATAGAGATATGTAGAGAACATATATCTCTATATCGATAGAGATATGTAGAGAACATATATCTCTATATCGATAGAGATATGTAGAGAACATATATCTCTATATCGATAGAGATATGTAGAGAACATATATCTCTATATCGATAGAGATATGTAGAGAACATATATCTCTATATCGATAGAGATATGTAGAGAACATATATCTCTATATCGATAGAGATATGTAGAGAACATATATCTCTATATCGATAGAGATATGTAGAGAACATATATCTCTATATCGATAGAGATATGTAGAGAACATATATCTCTATATCGATAGAGATATGTAGAGAACATATATCTCTATATCGATAGAGATATGTAGAGAACATATAGCTCTATATCGATAGAGATATGTAGAGAACATATAGCTCTATATCGATAGAGATATGTAGAGAACATATAGCTCTATATCGATAGAGATATGTAGAGAACATATAGCTCTATATCGATAGAGATATGTAGAGAACATATAGCTCTATATCGATAGAGATATGTAGAGAACATATAGCTCTATATCGATAGAGATATGTAGAGAACATATAGCTCTATATCGATAGAGATATGTAGAGAACATATAGCTCTATATCTATAGAGATATGTAGAGAACATATAGCTCTATATCTATAGAGATATGTAGAGAACATATAGCTCTATATCTATAGAGATATGTAGAGAACATATAGCTCTATATCTATAGAGATATGTAGAGAACATATAGCTCTATATCTATAGAGATATGTAGAGAACATATAGCTCTATATCTATAGAGATATGTAGAGAACATATAGCTCTATATCTATAGAGATATGTAGAGAACATATATCTCTATATCTATAGAGATATGTAGAGAACATATATCTCTATATCTATAGAGATATGTAGAGAACATATATCTCTATATCTATAGAGATATGTAGAGAACATATATCTCTATATCTATAGAGATATGTAGAGAACATATATCTCTATATCTATAGAGATATGTAGAGAACATATATCTCTATATCTATAGAGATATGTAGAGAACATATATCTCTATATCTATAGAGATATGTAGAGAACATATATCTCTATATCTATAGAGATATGTAGAGAACATATATCTCTATAGATATAGAGATATGTAGAGAACATATATCTCTATAGATATAGAGATATGTAGAGAACATATATCTCTATAGATATAGAGATATGTAGAGAACATATATCTCTATAGATATAGAGATATGTAGAGAACATATATCTCTATAGATATAGAGTTATGTAGAGAACATATATCTCTATAGATATAGAGATATGTAGAGAACATATATCTCTATAGATATAGAGATATGTAGAGAACATATATCTCTACAGATATAGAGAGATATATAGAGAACATATATCTCTACAGATATAGAGAGATATATAGAGAACATATATCTCTACAGATATAGAGAGATATATAGAGAACATATATCTCTACAGATATAGAGAGATATATAGAGAACATATATCTCTACAGATATAGAGAGATATATAGAGAATATATATCTCTACAG
Organism: Homo sapiens; assembly: GCF_000001405.40. Taxonomy (NCBI): domain Eukaryota; kingdom Metazoa; phylum Chordata; class Mammalia; order Primates; family Hominidae; genus Homo; species Homo sapiens. The sequence goes on along the minus strand of NC_000006.12, from coordinate 140,681,585 downwards.
ATATAGAGAGATATATAGAGAATATATATCTCTACAGATATAGAGAGATATAGAGAATATATATCTCTACAGATATAGAGATATATATAGAGAATATATATCTCTACAGATATAGAGATATATATAGAGAATATATATCTCTACAGATATAGAGATATATATAGAGAATATATATCTCTATAGATATAGAGATATATATAGAGAATATATATCTCTATAGATATAGAGATATATATAGAGAATATATATCTCTATATCTATAGAGATAGATGTAGAGAATATATATTCTCTATATCTATAGAGATAGATGTAGAGAATATATATTCTCTATATCTATAGAGATAGATGTAGAGAATATATATTCTCTATATCTATAGAGATAGATGTAGAGAATATATATTCTCTATATCTATAGAGATAGATGTAGAGAATATATATTCTCTATATCTATAGAGATAGATGTAGAGAATATATATTCTCTATATCTATAGAGATAGATGTAGAGAATATATATTCTCTATATCTATAGAGATATATAGAGAATATATATTTTCTATATCTATAGAGATATATAGAGAATATATATTCTCTATATCTATAGAGATATATAGAGAATATATATTCTCTATATCTATAGAGATATAGAGAATATATATCTATATAGAGAGATATATGTGTGTAATATTAGACACTATAATAATAATAAAATGTCTGAAGCGTTGTGTGTGTATTATTAGATATTATATCTGTATCTCTATATAGATACACCTATATATACACATATACACACATACACAGACACACACATACACACATATATATATTTTATTTAGATATATATAGAGAGAGAGACAGAGAGAGAAGGTTAAAAATAAATAGAAGTATTAAAATTTTTCAGGAGAAAGATTTAAAGAAATGTAATCCTAGACTAAAAGAGAGTATCATGGCCTCACTGATACTACTATTATTTCAAAATAAGCTAATCTTTTATGTGTAACTATGATGTCTGACTGTTTTATACTGAAGTAATACATCTAATACTGATGACACATATGTGTGTATGACTCTGTCATATTTATCTTTTCAATTTCTGTCTCATTTTATGCCTGACATATGGAGAAGTTGAGAATAGTTAAGTCGCCAATAAAAAATACAAAAAAAAAAAAGAAACATTTTAAAAATAGGGAATGTATGGCTTTGTGACCTAGAAAAAATAAAGCCTTTATAAAAGGACCGTTTGAGGTATGCATGGGACTTTGACAGATAAGTATGAGATGAAGGAATTCCACATAGAAGGAACATGGACAAAATCAGAGATGGCAACGTATAGAATATTCTTTATATTTATAAATTAAACAGTTGAACTACAGAGTAGAAAACTTGACAAAAGGAAATTTAGAGTAGGCTATACTGGATGGCCTTGAGTGTAAGGGAAAGTGCCAGGTATTTAATTTGAGAGCCATATACTTTTATTGAAGGATTTTCTGCAGGAGTAAAATATAGTTTGGTTTACTTTTTTTTTTTTTTTTTTCTTGAGAAAGAGTCTTGCTCTGTAACCAAGGCCAGAGTGCAGTGGCGCAATCTCTGTTCACTGCAACCTTCACCTCCAGGGTTCAAGCGATTCTCCTGCCTCAGCCTCCTGAGTAGCTGGGACTACAGGCGCCCGCCACCACGCCCGGCTACTTTTTGTATTTTTAGTAGAGCCGGGGTTTCACCATGTTGGCCAGGATGGTCTCAAACTCTTGACTTCATGATCCACCTGCCTTGGCCTCCCAAAGAGTTTTTAGACAAAATATCTTGGAGAGATGTGAAGGAGATTGGATGAAAAGATAGAGGTGTAGGAAAATGGGACACTATACATAAAATGAGAAAAATCATGAGAACATAAAGCCATGCAGCGTCAATGAAAATACCAAGGACAAGATGAATGATGAAGAAGTTACAGAGGCAAATGGTATAATTCAGTAACTAGTCCTAAGTATTGAGTGAAAACAAGTTGTTGCAGATGTCTCTGTGTTTCAAGGATGAGCAACTGAAGAAACTGATGAACTGGCATTAATGACACTGGCATTAATTTTTTGAGGTGAGTGAAGTCAAATTTAAAAACTGGCCGGGCACGGTGGCTCACGCCTGTAATCCCAGCACTTTGCGAGACCGAGGTGGGTGGGTCACGAGGTCAGAAGACCGAGACCATCCTGGCTAACACGGTGAAACTCCGTCTCTACTAAAAAGTAGAAAAAATTAGCCGGGCGTCTTGGCGGGCGCCTGTAGTCCCAGCTACTCGGGAGGCTGAGGCAGGAGAATGGCGTGAACCCGGGAGGCGGAGCTTTCAGTGAGCCGAGATCGCGCCACTGCACTCCAGCCTGGGCGACAGAGTGAGACTCCGTCTCAAAAAGGAAAAAAAAAAAAAAAAACAGGGCCGGATGCAGTCGCTCAAGCCTGTAATCCTAGCACTTTGGGAGGCCAAGGCGGGCAGATCACTTAAGGTCAGGAGTTTGAAACCAGCCTCGCCAACATGGTGAAACCCCGTCTCTACTAAAAATACAAAACAATTAGCTGGGTGAGGTGGCGGGCACCTGTAATCCCAGCTACTCAGAAGGCTGAGGCAGGAGTATTGCTTGAACCCAGGAGGCGGAAGTTGCCCTGAGCTGAGATCGTGCCACAGCACTCCAGCCTGGGCGACAGAGCAAGACTCTGTCTAAATAAAAATAAAAATAAACAGGTGAGGACTTTTTTTTGAACATGTGGAGTGTGAAATGTCTATTGGTAAACCATATGGAGCTCTCCAGCAGGAAATTTGATATGAAGGTCTACAGATTAGGCAAACGCTTAGGGTTTGATCAGTATATCAGGAAATCAACTACTTAGGAGTTGATCTTCCCCAAGGGAAAGATTAGAACGAAAAAGTATTGTTTAGCCCAGTGTGTGCTTGTCGCATTTTTATTTGATAAGCGCTGCCTGTAAGGAGAGTCCCACTCTCGTTTCATACTCCTAGCTACTTCCATACTTCATTTATCACACAAACACAGACATGCATACATACACATATGTGTACACACTGCCACCAACCCCCACAAACACATGCATAAACAATTTCACCACCTTATGTTAGTACAATACACAGCATCTTGCGTGCCGTGCCTGAACTTAGGACACATTACCAAAGCCTGCATAGTTAAATGGGGTCAGAATGTCAATCTAAATTAAACTCATAGTTGAGATGATGGACATCATCCCATCTGTCTCAGGCAGTGTTTTGCTTCACCAGAGAGAATCTGACAGCTGTTGTTTAAAAGAAGTCTCACTTCCACTCATTTTCTTATTATGACATTCAATTTCCTTCCTGAGACCTTCTTCCAAGTTCTTGATCCTAACCCTAGAAATTTGCATATAAAGTTCCCCGGGCAGCAACAGTATTGAAACAACTGCATGATTACTCCAGCAATCATTCTTCCACCTTTCAACTCTTAAAGCACCTGCATTTTTGCTCCTCAGGCAGCGCTCTGTTCATACTGCCTTGCAAAAGAGCTGTCTTGGACTAGTCTTATGACTGCTACTAAAATTGTAAACAGTGAGAGGGCATTAACCTTCCTCATGCTTAGCATACAGAAGGAACTTAAAAATAGTACATACTGGATAGTTGAATAAATTGCTAAGTGAAAGAAGAGCTTTATCTGTGAGAATTCTTTTAATTGTTTGACATTGTTAAAATAAACACAATGCCTTAGATATACTCTGAGATCTATCAAGGGTATGCAAAAGTCAAATGGGATTCCGCATTCAAGAAATCTGAACAGGCAAGAGCTTGCCTGTTTCTATGGCAGAATATTGAAAGGGGTATTATTTTCTTTTAATGCTTAAAATAGGTTTTGAAGAATAAATATTTTAAGAATTTATTAAATAGTGAGCAGATTCAATGTAATATTTATAAACTATCTGTTGTCAGGTATAAAGAATAACGATAGCCTGAACACCTACGTGCAGTAGTATTGAGATAAATGTTAAAAAAAAAAAAAAGTCTCACACTGTAGATTCTTGTGTGCCCTTACCAATTTCTTTTCTTCCCAATCTAGTAACCCAAACTTTATTTTCTCCATTTCCTTTTGGTTGCTTTTACTATAAAATTTCAAACTTCTAAGCAAAATGTCACTTTGTTTTGAATTGTAAAGAAATAAATTTTGAACAGATATTCTGCTACAATTTATTTTTTTCATCTTTTATATTCTCAATATTCATTTACATCATTGCATGAATACATATCTATCTTCTAACATGATTTTACTGTAATATATTTTTATTCTAACATTGATGAGTATTTTGATTGTTTTCAAAGTTTTGCTATTGCATAGGCTACTAAGAATATTCTTCCACTTATCTCCTGGTGGACATGCACAGGAGTGGAATTCTTGGATCATAGAGTATTAATATCTTCAAATATTCTATATACAGTCATGTAGTATTCATTGACAAGGATACGTTCTGAGAAATGGGTCATTAGTTGTGGGAACATCATAGAGTTTATCGCACAACCCTAAACGGTATGGCGAATCACACATGAAGACTATATGGTATAGCCTACTGCCCCTAGGCTACAAACTTGTACAGCATGTTACTGTACTCAATACTGTAGGCAACTGTAACCCAATGACAGGTATTAGTGTATCTAAACATAGAAAAAGTACAGCAGGCCAGGTGCGGTGGCTCACGCCTGTAATCCCAGCACTTTGGGAGGCCAAGGCGGGCGGATCACAAGGTCAAGAGATCGAGACCATCCTGGCCAACATGGTAAAACTCCATCTCCACTAAAAATACAAAAATTAGCTGGGCATGGTGGCACGCGCCTGTAGTCCCAGCTACTTGGGAGGCTGAGGCAGGAGAACCACTTGAACCCGGGAGGCGGAGGTTGCAGTAAGCTGAGATTGTGCCACTGCACTCCAGCCTGGCAACAGAGCGAGACTCCATCTCAAACAAACAAACAAACAAAAAACAAGAAACAGTACACTAAAAAGTATGGTATAGAAGATGAAAAATTGTACACATACATAGGGCAGTTACCAAGAAGAAAGCTTACAGGACTGGAAGTTGCTCTGGGTGTTAGTGAGTTAGTAGTAAGTAAATGTGAAGGTATAGGGCATTGTGGTACACTACAGCAGACTTTATAAACACTGTACACTTAAGCTACACTACATTTATTTTAACGTTTCTTTAATAATAAATTTAGCTTACTGTAACTTTTTTACTTTATAAACTTTTTAATTTTTAACACTTTTGACTTTTGTAATAGTTTAAAACACAAACATACAGCTGTACAAACAGTATTTTTTCTTTATATTTTTATAAGATTTTTCATATCTTTCCGTTTTTTGCTTCTACTTTTTAAACTTTCTGGTTAAAAACTAAGACAAAAACACACACATTATCCTAGGCCTATGCAGAGTCAGGGTCATCAATATCACTGTCTTCCACCTTCACTTTTTGTCCCACTGGAAAGTCTTATCATGTAGGGAGCTGCTGTCTCCTATGACAATAATGCTTTCTGAAATATCTCCTGGAGGACCTGCCTGAGGCTGTTTTACAGTTAAGTTTCTTTAAAAAATAACAGGAGTATGCTATAAAATAATGATAAAAATTATAGTATATTAAATAAATAAACCAGTAACATAGTCACTTATCATTTTCAAGTACTATGTACTGTACATAATTGTATGTGCTACACTTTTATTAAATTGGCAGTGCAGTAGGTTTGTTTACAACAGCATCACCACAAATGTAACTAATGCATTGCACCACACTTGAATGGCTACATCACTAGGGGGTGGGAAGTTTTCAGTTTCATTGTAAACTTACAGGACCCCCATCCTATATGCTGCCTGTGGTTGACTGAAACATGGTTATTAGGTGCATGACTCTGAAGTCAAAATTTTTTTAAGTCGTTCACTGATATCCACTTCCAACAGCAGTGCCTCTGTGCTCTCCTTACTCTGTATCCTCACCAACACTTGGTGTTGCCAGACCATTTGTGTTGGCCAGTCTAGTATGCACAAAATGGTATATATCATGTTATGAATTTATGTGTTCCTGGCAACAAATTAAGATTGGACATCTTCTCACATGCTTATTGATTATTTGGTTTTCCTACCATGTGAACTGCCTATATATCCATTTTGTTATTTTTATCAGATGTCTTTTTACATGATTCAGCTCAGTTATTCATTCATTCTGAATACTTACATTGATCGCTTCTGTGTGTTGTATGTATTTTCTCCAGTTTGTAACTTTTGTTTTCATTACCATTAACTGGTTTATTCTTTTTTTGTTTTTTTGAGATGGAGTCTCACTCTGTCTCCCAGGCTGGAGTGCAGTGGCGCGATCTCCGCTCACTGCAAGCTCCGCCTCCCAGCTTCACGCCATTCTCCTGCCTCAGCCTCTGGAGTAGCTGGGACTATAGGCGCCTGTCACCACGCCCGGCTAACTTTTTGTATTTTCAGTAGAGACGGGGTTTCACCGTGTTAGCCAGGATGTTCTCGATCTTCTGAACTCGTGATCCGCCCGCCTCGGCCTCCCAAAGTGCTGGGATTGCAGGCATGAACCACCAAGCCCGGCCAAGTGGTTTACTCTTAATGTACTTGAAGTAATCAGTGATAACAGGCTTAAGGAATTCTTCTCTATGTGAACTTACAAAGGTATTATCTTGCCATCTCATATTGCTTTATTTATTTACTTATTTTGGGCAGGAAGGAATAAAGAACTATGATTTGTTCTTTTTTTACACTCAGAAAAACACCATAAAGTGAGGCACAGAACAAGCCTTCATGAACTTGAACCGCTATATACTTCTGTGTATTTTGTGGCCTAACACGTATTTCCAGGGCTCACTTTATCCCGTATTAACTAAAAAAAGAAAGAAAGAAAGAAAAGAAACAGACAGTAGAAACAGTAATAGTAAAACATAAAGAACTGATATTCAACAGATACAGATGTTAAGATGTGTGCATGCATACAAACATAAATAGATACAAAGATTTGCCTGGACACACTGAGTTGTCTCAAGTTCTCATTTTAGAAGTAAATTAGATGGATAGTTCAAAAGCCAAAGAATCCTTTGGAATGTTAAAATAATTTAGAAATTGTCCATTTAAGGCAGCCACAGAGTCAAGGGACCTACTATAGTCCATTCTAGTCATTATAAAATGATACGTAAACATTTGAGTAAATCTAAGAATACATTTGTACATTTGTCCTTCCAGACTGAAGTCACATCACAACTATGAATGTTTATAATGCAGTTTTTAATGTCTTAAGAGTGGAATGATACTTTTAAAACTGCAGTATGTACAGAATGTCATTGAATTTGACTTTCTAGAGGGAAGACTGTACTGGTGATTACAGAATACCACCAGCCGTTTTACACAAGCCGGACTAGTGCTCAATTAATGCAGTGTTATCAGTGAATATTTGGCAGTTTTTTTGTGCTATCACATTGACGCATAGATGCTTTTAAGACTCCGAAAATAAATGCACATACAGACACAAACATGTTTTTACAGATATTCACAAAAGAATGCCATCTAGATATCAAAACTAAATTGTATTTGAATTTTACCTGTAGTTATTATGATTACGTTTTTGAATAAGCTCAATAAAAACTGGAGCTATCATGCTGGGTGCTGTGGCTCACGCCTGTAATCCCAGCACTTTGAGAGGCCAAGGTAGGCAGATTACCCAGGAATTTGAGACCAACCTAGGCAACATGGTGAAACCCTGTCCCTACAAAAAAAAAAGTACAAAAAATTCGCAGGTGTGGTGATGCACATCTGTAGTTCCAGCTACTAAAGAGGCTGAAGTGGGAGAATCACTTGAGCCCTGGAGGTTGAGGGAGCTGTGATCACACCACTGCACTCCTGCCTGAGTGACAGAGTGAGAACCGATCTCAAAAACAAAAAACAAAGAAACAGACAAAAACTGTAGATATCTATTCTTTGTCACTTTCAGTCTTTTCAGTACCTAAAATAGTACATAACAATTACAATGAAGTTCATCTCTAAAAAATAGAAAGGCTACTTTTTTCTTTTGTCCAAGATATTAGCAAACTCATAGAGGGTACCAAAGTAAAGCACTAACACTTAACTTCAAAAAAATTAAAATAGTATAAAATGTTTATAAGGCTCTTAAATAGGTGATTTTACCCTAACATCATGAAGCTTGTTCTTTCTCTAATTTCCAAACAAATATTTTCAAATATTCATACTTAGGCACTACTCAATTTCTTGGGAGTGTAGGTCAAAGAACTGTATCTCCTTCTTTGTGAACATCTGCCATATTCTCCATTCCTAGACAATTCACCATAAACATGTATCTACTATGCATCAGGAGACACATTTTTTATTTTCTTCATATAGATAACCAATGTATGACAGAATTTCTTGAAAGTCTATTCTTTTCAATTGCTCTTGAGTGAAACTCTGTTATAAATCAAGTGTCAATGTGCAGGTAGGTCTTTCCCTTCACTCAATTTTTCTATCGATATCAATACCCTATTGTGTTATTAAATACAGCTTTATAATAATTGTTGATAACTAGTAAGGTAAATCCCACCCCTCCATCCCCAGGTCTTTCTTCTTTAGGAGGGTTTGGTTGCTGTTCCGTATCAATTTAGAATCATCCCCTTATGTTTCACTCTCTAAAAGGAACAGAGAAAGTGACAGAAAAATAATTATGTGGAGATATTAATTGGAATTCATTTGGATTTATAAATAACTTAGGGTAAAAATGAGAGCTACACTTGTTATCCTATTGTATATTATTTTCACAATGATGCTTTCTACTTGATTGAGGCAGGAGTATATAAATGAAATTGATTTTTGTACTATGACTTATGTCACAGTTTTGAAAATTTTGCTAAATTTCACTGACTACTTGAAATAATACATCAGCCATTTATTTTGGTTTTTCTATATAGATAATTATATCTTTATATAATGACCATATTCTATTTTAGCTTTATTTGTTCTTCTTGCCAAAAGCTGCCTTACACATTGAGTATAATGTTGAAAAGAAAGGCAATATGCAAGTTTGTCTAGCTTCTGAATGCCTTCAATGCATTTATATTACAAATTTATGTGCTACATTCATTTTTTATAGATAACTTTGTAACATTAAGGAATTTTCTATTCCTAAATTGATAATTGGTTTTGTTATGACTAAATGTTGAATTTTCACACATAGTTTCTGTGATTATCACCAACTGACAACACATTAATGAAATTTTTAATGTTAAATATAACTTTGAAGCTTTGAACATAATGTATTATCTTTCATATAATGTTTGCCTTAGGGTAGTTTTCCCTGAGACTGGGTAATTTATAAAGAGACGATACGTAATTGACTCACAGTTTCACAGGAAGCATGACTAGGAGACCTCAGGAAAGTTACAATCATGGAAGAAGGCAGAAAGGAAATAAGCATGTCTTCCTCACTTGGTGGCAGTAGAGAGAGAGAGCAAGGGGGAAGTGCCACACACTATCAAACAACCAAATCTTCTGAGAACTCACTCACTAACATGAGAACAGCAAGAGAGAAGTCTGCCCCCATGATTTAATCACCTACCACCAGGCCCCTCCCCTGATATGTGGGGATTACAATTCTAGGTGGGATTTGTGTGGGGACACAAAGCCAAACCATATTAGTGTTCATAATAACACTGTGATAGCAAGAGAGTTTATACTATATCTTATGTTTTAATATAGGATAGCCCACCTTTTCTTTCCTACACATATTCTATTATGCCAGCATATAATTTTAATATTTGCTATTGAATCCTCTCACTTGTAGTCTAACAGTTTACTATATTTCACAATGTTTGTCATGGTCCATGATATACCTAACTAGTGTACCAAGTGGCTGGCTGGTGTGGCATTGTTGGATACTTTGTTTTATCACAGAGTACACCATATTTTGTCTTTGAGGGTAAGATGTTAGTTACTATTCAATGAAAATAAACAAAACAAAACAGAGCTGAATCATTGGTGTTCTTCCATATGTAAAAGTAAAGTTCTATTCACTAAACATGTCTTTCAGACTCCTAGATGAGGCAACTTAGACCTATTTTGATGCAACTATAAATACTACTACTTCATTGAAAAATGAAAACTCCACAATAAGTTATAAGCTGGGACTATGCTGGGCAAACTGGAACATATGATTGCCCTAATCTGATCCAGCTTATTATGTGTCGAACATTGTTCAAAGCATTTTTCATTTAATTTCTAAGTGTTTTAAGTTTCTTAAAACTTTCCACTTAATTTTCATAACAACCCTGCAAGGTAGGCACTATTATTTACTCTATTTGAGTATGAGAAAATTGAGGAAATTGAGAAATTGAGACATGGAGAATGGGTGTCTAAGTCCATTTGCCCTGCTATATCAAAATATCTGAGACTGAGAAATGTATAACAGGTGTATTTTCTTACTGTTCTGAAGGCTGGCAAGTCCAAGATCAAGGCTCTGATGGGATTAGAGTGTGGTGAAGGCTACTCTGTGCTTCCAAGATGGCAGGCAGCACTTTGCTGCATCCTCCAGAAGGGAGAATCACTTTGTCCTCACCTCCTAAAATAAAATAAAATAATAATAATAATAAAAACAGAAGGGACAAAAAGAGTCAAACTCCCTCTGTCAAGTCCTTTTATAAAAATGCTAATCCTAGTCATGAATGGGGAACCCTCTTGACTCAATCACCTCTTAAAGGGCACACCTCTTGTTGCACTGAGAATTATGTTTCAACATGAATTTTGGAGGAGACAAAAACATTCAAACCACAGCAGAAGGATTCAGTACTTCGCCCAAGGTCTTAGAAATTACAGATGGCAGAACTGGGAAAAATCAACACTAGGCAGTCAGGTTTTGGAGCTTATTCTTTTAGTTCCTACTATCGTCTATATTTTCTTCCTTCTACTTAGTTTGGGTATATTTTGATCTTATTTTTTTGAGATTTCTTTTTTCTAATGTAAGCATTTACTACTATAATTTTCTTAAACTTGAGTAACATACCACTTTTAAAACTTAGAAAAAGTTTCATAAAGCTCAGATAGTGACTATTTTACTAACCCACAGTTGAATGGTACAAACATGAATAATTTTATGATATTCTTATTCTTACTGCTTTTATACAACTTTATCTAAAATGAATGGGCAAAATTAAAGGAATTCAAATAAGTTATGTTAATATAAAAATGAGGAAGTGTTTCTTAAATGAAATAGCTGCTCACAATGAGCATACAGAGCTAAATAAGCTGATTAACTGCAGTGTGCTTTTGCTGAGCACATTATATCTCTATTACATACACCATGTGCCATGTGATGACTCAACTTTATGAACACATTTCTCTGTGTAAAAGTTCCTTTGTTCAACTAGCCACGATATAATTTAATCTTCATTTGGCAGGAACATCATTTATGTTTTAAGTTCCATTGAATTTTTGTTAATTAAATGTGTACCACAAAGCCAAAAACATAAACACAAGAGGCATTGGAATTAAATATATGAGTTTATAATTGCAGAGCTCAATCATCAACAAACCTTGAAAAGATTCAAACTGTACTTTTATATATGTTTTAGTCCATTATTAAGGTGAAGACATTTGAAAAATCATGTCTGTATGATACTAATGTTGCCTTTGGTGTGCTTCATTTCCTACTGAGGGAAATGAATCTTTCAACTTGTGGTTAGAGATTTTCACTTTAAGAAGAACGTAGGCAGTAACCACCTACCTCTTCAGATTCATCAAATTGCATCCCAAACTCACCTTTTCTAGAAATCTAGAATTCTCTGTATGTCTTTATCTGCCAAAGTGTGTGTGGTAGACTGAATAACGGTCCTAAAATATGTGCCTGCCCTAACCCCTGGAACTTGCAAATGTTACCTTCTATTTCAAAAGGAACTTCGCAGATGTGATTTACTTAAGGATCTTGAGATGGTGAGACTATCCAGGATTAACCTGTGGTCCTGGAGTAATCACAACCATCTAGGAAGAGCCAAATTTCAAAAAATGCAGTGTAATGACATGATAGAAGCAGAAATTGGAGGAATGCATTTTAAAGATAGAGAAAGTGGCCACAGGCCAAGGAATTCATATGGCCACTAAAAGCTGAAAAAAAGCAAGAAATTGGATTTTTTTCCCCTAGAGCCTCCAGAAGGATCTAGCCTTACTGAGACCTTGATTTTAACCCTGAGAAATTAATTTTGACTTTCTGATCTCCGGAACTTTAAGAGAAAGAGACTGTATTGTTTTAAGCCACTAAGATTTTGGTTCTTGACTACAATGCCGATAGGAAACAAACACAATATTCTGTTTGGAAATGTCCCCAGTTTTTGCCTAATTAATTACTGAGTCTCCCAGTTGTCTTAGTCTCCCCACATTCTTTCTTCAGGAAAATTATACTGGAAGGCACAGGAAGGAATAAGCCTTCCCATTTAACAGCTTTTTTTAGTTCCAGGGTCATACGTTGACCATGTCACCTACACTGATACTTTTAAAGTTGTCGTTTGAGTTTCTGCCCACCTAGACTATAAGCTCTCTGATGCTAAAGGCATACTTTTATTCCTACCTTTATTTTTCAGCAAATAGAATAGAATATGAAATAGAGTGAACAATAAATATTTAATTGATTTTTGCATACAGGAAAAGACTTGCAAAATATTTTTAGAGCATATGCTATCTTAGAAAAGATGAATCTGGATCATAAAACAATTTATACATACATATCACCAAAAATATTCTGAGTTTTCAATGGGCATTGACCTTTTGAATGCATTGAATGTAGATGATCTATATGACAGACAAGTGAAAAAAGTTCAGGGTGGGTATTCTTGATTTTGCTGACCTATAATTATCCCAAGAGGTAGAAAGAATATTAGAATTGCCAAAGCTAGGTATAAACAATCACTAGAATACATATATATAGGATATTACTACATGAAAAATAATATTCTGAGTCTCATATAATGTCCATTATTTTGTTTATGCTCTGATTTGTTCACACTGATGAAAATAGATCACAAGACTTGGTTACTGAATGATTTCTTTGAAAATGAGTGAGGTTCCTTTTCCTTGAAAATATTTGCTTAGGAATCAGAAAAGCACTATATGTGGAAAACGTAGTTTTTAGAAGGTATTTTATAGCATCAGATTGACTTTATGGTGATTGGCACCTAAAGCTATATCAACCATTCTCTTTGCTTTTTCTTTTGTTGTTCTTGTAGTTAGAATTCTTTCTGTACCTGGAATGGAATTACAGAGCCAAGTGTAATCCCTAAGAATAGTGAATGATTGGAATAATTAAATGTGAACCATATAATATCTCAGCCAGATTTCAGTGCACAAAGCATGCTTTTATTTCTGGGACTGATTTTCATGTTGGTTTTGACAGCCATAGTATCACACTAAAGGGGAACACACAAAGAAGAGGAGCCAATGCATGTCCTGTGACCATGGCTTTGTGGAATCACTTTATCCCAAGGATTGCTATATTCCATGTCAACAAAAATTGTCATGATCTATGGTTTATGTACATATATTAATCAAGTGATAGCATTATAATACAAGTTATGTTCAGTCAGGACTTATAAGCAGAAGTCTTATCTGCCATCTAGCTGCATGAATATTTTTTAAATGTTGGTATTGCTAATGGTTAAAGAAACAAACATTGATTCAATGCGAGGTTTTTTGTATTATCATTATTTCCAGATTTGTAAGCACTGAAGTACTTAAAATATGTGTCCATAATGGCACATTTCTAAAAGCTTCCTGGTTATTTAGATTTGGATTTTTGAGGACCTGGGAAGAGGTACGAAGAGTACCACTTCCCGTTTGCTTCTCTGTGCATTATTAAAGGTGTTTAGAGCTAATATTTACATTGAAATTTCTAATTTTCACATATGCAAATGTACTGTATCTCTATATCCTACCCTAAAATCTATAACAGGAGACACCTATTGAGTTGAATATGTTTCATGGGGTCCTGGTCTCACAACTGTTTTAACTGCAGAACATATAAATCTCCATCCTTGTTTGACCCAGAAGAAGCCATTCTGTACATAAATTAAGTATGATTAGATAAGAAAAATGAGAAGGAAAAACTCCATCCAGAGCTGCAAAAGATACTGTTCTAATCTCTCAAGCCTATAGCCTAATATATATAGCTTCTATGTATAGAACAACTTCATGGTTCTTTGCATGTTCTAAGATGTACAAGAGGAAGAGAAATTTTAACATAAGTCCCCACCCTTTAGATTTTCCTGGAAGCCAGAAGCACAGAAAGATGCATTTGACCAGAATGTGATGGCTTGAGGAGCATAAGGTATGGAGAGTGATTGGTGAAAGAACAGACTCTCTAAAAGTCACCAGGGCCACTTCCCTTGAACCTCCTTTTTCCTATTACAAAGGAGATTACTGGCAAACTGGTATAAAAATTTTGTGAAAATTCTACGTATCTGTCTGCTTATGATTCAAAGGAAAAAGTGGAGGATGCATGTATCTACATCTACAATTGAATAAACTTAAGGGAAAGTGATAGGTCCTTCTGCTCCTCAATGCAGAAGGGTTTTAAAGTTATAGAATAAAAATTTAAGTGAACTAGACTTATTTTTCCCTCTCTGTAATCCTTTATCCACACTCCTTATATCCACTCCATTAAGATTTCAGAATACGGCTTTAAGTTTATTTTTTTTCTTGTTTATTTGTTTTTTAATGGAGGGAAGACACAAAATAGAGAAAAATGGCCTCTAGGCTTTGTGTTCAAAACAGACTACCAAAAACTATAAGGGATTATAGTTTTAAAATTCAGTGTTTTCATATGCAAGAACCAAGTTACTTTGATAATCATGTTTGAATTTATGTGTAAAGATTGTTTACGGCATTCCCCTATTATACCCTAATGTCTGATAGGGTCTGTAGCGATACCTCCTCCATTAGCTCCTGATATTGGTCATCTGCTCGTTCTCTTTTTTCTTGTCAGAGTTGCCAGACATTTGAAAAATTTATTGAATACTTCAAAGAACCAGCTTTGGGTTTCATTCTCTCTCTCTTCTCTCTCATTCTCTCTCTCATTGCATTGATTTCTGCTTCTTTTTCTTTCTTTTGCTTACATTGGGTAAATTTTCATCTTATTTTCCTAATTTCTTGAAATAGAAACTTAGGTTTTTGTTTTGAAATCTTTCCCCCTTTCTGACATAAGCACTGAGTAGTATAAATTACCCTCTATACCCTGATTTAATTAAATTCCACAAATCTTGAGATGTTGCATTTTCATTTCTAGTCACTTTAATGTATTTTCTAGTTCTCCTTAAAAACATTAGAAATTGCTCTTTAATGCATATATTAGTTTGCTAGAGCTGCCATAACAAATACCACAGACTGGGTGGCTTACACAAAAGAAATTGATTTTCTTACAGTTCTGGAGGCTGGAAGTTCAAGATCAAGATCCCTGCAGGCTTAGTTTCCTCTGAGGCCTCTCTCCTTGACTTGCAGATGGCAGCCTTCTTGATTTGCCTCTTTACATGGCCATGCTTCTGTGCATAAGTACCCTTGGTGTCTCTCTAAGCATACCAGTCTCCTCTCTTATAAGGACACCAGTCAGATTGGATTAAGGCATATCCTGAAAGCTTATGACATCTTTATAATGACATCTGTCATTAACTTACAACATCTCTAAAAGCTTTATTGTCATATACAGTCACATATTGAAGTACTAGGGATTCAGACAAATTATGATTTTTGGGGGGACACAATTCAGCCCATAACACAAATTAGTTAGAGTTGTGTTGTTTAATTCCCAGAAAAATATAAATGTTGTTATTCCTTTATATAATTTTATTATTTTTAAATATGTTGTTTTATAAGCCAGTATATAATCTATATTGGTGAATATGGCATGTGAACTTGAGAAGAATATGCATTCTGCTGTTTGGGGAGAAGTATTCTATACATGCCAGTTAGATTTCATTGTTTGATGGTGGTATTCTATATCTTTGCTGATTTTCTGTCTAGTAGTTGCATTAATTATGAAGAGATAAGTTTTGATGTCTTCAATTTTAATTTAAAATTTTTATTTTCCTCCATTCTGTTTTCATCAGTTTTTTTCCTATGTGTTTTAAAGTCTTTTTCTTGTAAATATATATTTAGGATTGTTATACTGGTGACTTTTTATCATAAATTACCATAATTTTATAATTAAGTAATTTTCTATTTTGTTCATGATATTTACGTTGTGCCCTAAAATCCACTTTGCCTGATATTAATATGGTCATTTTAGTTTACTTTTTATTATTATTTTTACAGTATATGTTTTTTTCAGCCTTTTGTTTTTAAGGTCTCATATCACTACATTTAAATTGAGTTTTTTTTGTAGACAGTATAAAGTTGGGTCATTTTTTAAAGATCCATTTTACTAATCTGTTACTTTTAATTAATAAGTATAGACAATTTACATTTAATGCAATTAGCAGGCACATGTATAGTATGTTTGAATTTAGGCCTACTATTTTATTACCTGCTTCCTGTTTGTTTCCTTCATTTTATTTGTTGTTTTCTGTGTTTCACATTTTTTGCCTTCTTATGGGCTGTTTGAACTTTTTTTTTTTTTTTTTTTTTTTGAGATGGAGTCTTGCTCTGTCACCCAGGCTGGAGTGAGTGGTGCGATCTTGGCTCACTGCAACCTCCATTTCCCAGGTTCAAGCAATTCTCTGCCTCACCCTCGAGTAACTGGAATTACAGGTGCCCGCCAACATGCCCGGCTAATTTTTTTTTATTTTTAGTGAGATAGGGTTTCACCATCTTGGCCGGGCTGGACTGGAACTCCTGACCTTGTGATCCACCCACCTCGGCCTCCCAATTGAACATTTTTAAGTATTCCTTTTTTTAACTTGTTATGGTAATTTGACTATAAAATTATGCACAATTTTTTGATAATTCTTTTCCAGCTGAAGGAAGACTACGAGAATTTATCACCAATAAGCGTACTCTAAAAGAATGGCTAAAGGAAGTTTTTTAAACAGAAAAGAAATAAACAGTAAAGAAGATATCTTTGAACATTGGCAATAACAGAGGAACAGAAATAGTAAATACCTGAGTATGCTATTCTTTTCCTTTTAGCTTATTAAAAACATGTTGGATGGTTGAACACAGACATACAAAAAAAGTTATGTATGATATTTTAGCTCTGTTCTTTCTTTAACTCCATAATAACAGACTTCAGTTTGATTATGATTTTATATTATTTGTTTTGATGTGCTTAAATTTTTGCCAGTTGTTTTCTGAATATTTTCCTTATATTCCAGTTTTCTCATTTGGATAATTTACACTTCCACCTGAGGAATAGGTGTATTAGTCCATTCTTGCATTGCTATAAAGAACTACCTGAGACTGGGTAATTTATAAAGAAAAGAGGTTTAATTGACTCACAGTTCTCCAGGCTGAACAGAAAGCATGACTGAGGAAGCCTCAGTAAACTTACAATTATGGCAGAAGGTGAAGAGAAAGCAGACACCTCTTAACATGCTGGAGAAGGAGGAAGAGAGAGAGAAGGGGGAAGTCCTACACTCTTTTATAAACAACCAGATCTCATGAGAATTCACTCACTATTACAAGAACAGAAAGGTTCTTGGTTCATGGTTCAATCAGCTCCTACCAGGCTCCTCCTCCAACATTGGGGATTACAATTCAACATGAAATTTCAGCAGAGACACTGACTCAAATCATATCAGTAAGTTTTCGGTGTTTTTTCATGGAATATATGTTCTCGATAAAGTCTATTTGTGTTTATCTTTAAATGTTTCTATTTTGCTTTTGTTATTGAAGGATTTTTTTCTTGTTATTAAGTAAATAATTGTAGATTTACTATTACTTTGTCTCAAAATTGTGAAGAACTTATGATGATATCTCATGGCTTCTGTTGCTGATGTACAAACTGCAATCAGTATGTCATTCTTTCAAAGTTGTCTTTATTTTTTTTTCTCTCATTGTTTTAAATATCTCTTTGTCTTTGGTGTACTTCCTTTTCATTAAAGTGTGACTAAGTATAAATGTTTTTCTTTTAGGTGTACATTTAGTTTTTTGTGTCTATAAATGTGTCTGGAAAGTACTCAGCAATTAACTCTTCAAATATTGGCTCTTTTCACTGTTTCTTCCTTTGAGGATCCTTATTAAACAAACTGTGGTCTCAGGATATTTGTACCTTTTGTTCTTTCTCTTTGCAATGACCCTCTCCTTGAACATTCTCCTCCTCCTGCAGACACACGCATATACACATATACACCCACCCTCCCTGGACTTTGAATAGTCCTTACACATATGGTCAAATATCTATCACCGCCTATACCAGATTAGCTCTCATTATTGTATGTTCTTTTTGTATCTTTTCCTTCATAGCATGAAAAACTACTATAATTAGATGAATGATATATAATAGTAATAAGAGCTTTTTTGTCTCTTTGACATCTTCCTATCCTCAGTACACAGCACAGCTCCTAGCTCCATAAATACTATTAAGAGAATAATTTAAAATAAGTGGACAAAGAAATGCAATTTGTCACAGCAAGTAGGGGTAGGGTACCAAAATTGACCTCATCAAAATTAGAAGAATTAGATGAATAAATTAAATTTGAAAATCCTTTTTACTACTCAATATATAAAGCACATAACTTCCAAAATGTCTTATAAGCCAAGGTTATTTAAAACCTAATTTTGAGTAGCTTAACAGCAATTGAAACTAGGAATTCAGATGTAAAAGGCCATATTCAGGCCATTGTGTAAAATATTCGAAAAGCCTATATCTTATCATAAATATTCTTTGAATATATCTCTTGAAGAAATAGATACCTGATTTGTAGAGATTTAATAAATAGCAGATATAAATAGTTACTATAAATAATAACACTGATTATCCTGTGTAATCAAACCCTTCACCTGCTGTGATATGCACTGCGTTTATGCAGATCAGCTGTAGGCCTTTCATCCATGAAATTATAGAATGTATAATGTGATGGGCCATGATATATTCAGTGTAATTGCTTATTTATAAAAAGAGCTATCAACAGCCCACTTTAAATAAATTCAGAAATCACCATAGGGCATTTAGAAATGAATATTTTATATGACATTTTAAAAAGATTATGAGAATTTCTTTGAACAGTAAAATTAATGGCTGTTTGGCTGTTTAAACTCATCCAGTGTAGATTCAGGATAATAGCATATAAACTGTAATTACTATATTTGTGTCTTAATTAGGAATAACCCCATCTACCTTACTAGTAATGTGTTTTTAGTCTAAAATATGAATAAAGGGAAAACAAATTAATAAGTTAAATTCCCTCATGGGTCATTTGAATGTAAAGCAGAATTTAATCATAACTCTGTATGCTTTTCTATCTATATATCTATCTGTCATCCATCTATCTATCCACACATCTGTATTTTACTACAATAGCCTTTAAGTATAAGTTTCCCACCGAAAATATAAAATTTTTGAACTTTGAATGTAATATTTAAACATTTAAAGCTTTTAATACACTCAGAAACGATGCATCTTTTGTGTCTTTGATCTTTAGTATAAATGGATTTTACAGTAGTTTAAGATGTATTATAATGTTAGAATTACTCATCAGAACCCCAAATTTCCCAAATTCCCCAAATTCCCAAGAATAGTGATCTTAGTTCAAAATTAGCTAAAGAATATTAAAGTAGTGAATCATTCACAGTAGTGTTTATCACCGTAGAAAGGAAAGGACACAATTAGAATTTGTGAACTACAGGATAATAGAAGTATGTGTTTGTATGACAATAATTCATTAGACACTCACTGATCACTTCAGAGGGCCACAGAGTTTCCTGCATATTCTCCTATATTCTCAGAGCAAAGAATACTTTCCATATATTATTTTGTACTTTTTTTTCCGTGTTGATTTGGAAATCATTAAAATAGTACTGGATTGTCTTTTTACATATTTTTAAGTTTTCTTCTGATTGTAGCACATACCCTCATGCAAAAAATCTTATCAGTCTTAGCAGCAAAACAAATGCTGTGAGGGATACAAAAATACACAGAAAACAGTGTCTGGGGACCACTTTTAGTCAATAGAGCAAATTCTATGTTTAGAGAAACTTGGAAGCTCGCTGTAAAAGTAGTGGAAATCATTTCACTAAAAGTAAGGATAATTATGGCAATATATCAAGTTCATATCATCTGCGTAGGCTAGGAAGGCAAGTTGGAAACAACAAATTCATACTTTTAACTTTGTCATTGTAACACTGATACTGGGGATGAAGCATGAAAATAAAGTGAATATGAACTATAAAGAACATGGAGCTAAAACATTAATTTTGTGAGAATCAAGGAAGAACATTAGCCATGAGATCTACTTACGTGAGACGTGGCATCTATTCACATAAGAAATGTGACTTGTTTTTTATATATATATTTTTTTCTATGAAATACAACAGTAGATAGAATTGCAGGCAGTAATAGTAAGGCTGTAATGTTTAAGCTGATTTATCTAGGAATTCCACAAAAATATAGTGAAGATAAAGCCAACTGAAAGTGAAAACATACATAGAGGTGATACATTTTTAAAAATGGACTTAATTTTTTAGAGCACTTTTAGGCTTAACGGCAAAATTGAGCAGAAGATAAAAGAGATTCTCATATGCCTTCTCCCACACAAGCATAGCCTCCCCCATTGTCAACATTCCCCACCAGAGTAGTACATTTTTCCCCCAATGGAGGAACCTAATTAGCACATTATTATCACCCAGAGTCCATAGTTTACATTACGTTCACTTTCGGTGTTGTAAATTCTATGGCTTTGGGCAAATGTATAATGACATGTATGTATTAGGTTGGTGCAAAAGTAATTGTGGTTTTTGCCATAAAAGTAAGGCAAAAACCACAATTACTTCTACACCAACCTAATATCATTATAGTATCATACAGAGAAGTTTCAATGCTCTAAAACTCATGTGTGTTCTGCCTATTCATCCCTCCCTCCCCTACAAACTCCTGGCAACCACTGATCATTTTAATGCCTCCGTGGTTTTGCCTTTTCCAGAATGTCAGAGTTGAAATCATATGATATATAGCCCTTACAGATTGGCTTCGGATTGAGACAAGGACTTTTGAAACATGTGTAGGCATTAGTTTTTAGACAAAAGTCTAAACCAAGCTTATCCTGATGTCAGTTAATAATAAGACCTCCAGTCCTTTGACTGAATGAAGGCTTAAAGAACATCCAGAACTCTGAAGAAACTGGCAAGTGAGTGCTTAGGCACCCCTGTTCTCTGAGTCCCCTCTGTCCCTATTCACATGCCTTACAGGGGCACTTCATTAATTTGTGGCTGAAAATATATATACATGGGGAAAAGGAAAGGAAAAGAAATATCTTCTCCCCCCAATTGAATCCTGTTTTTATTTCAATTTGACATCTCTTTCCTTTACTTATTTTCATGAGTGCAGTAGCAAAGAAATTAATTTTCCTGTACTACATTCAAGTAGTAAAATATGTGGAAAGGGAGAATTAATTTCAAATCTTTAAAAATGAATTTAAATCACAGAGATTCCATGAATTTTATTTTCTCTATATATGTAATAAAAGTAAATGTTTTCTCATTTTAAGCTATTAATTCATATAAATGCTGTAGAGTTAATTTTATGATGCTACATTTTTATAATCTGTTCCCAAATACTACAAGACTCTTGGAGTTGAGCAAAAAGTAAAAAGATGTATTGTCATATTAAAATCAGGTGGTTATGCATTTACATTGTAAATATCTAGAACATGTTCCTTAGTGTATTTGTATATTTATAAATTATATTTGAATTCACTTTCTAGGAAAGTACTGATGAAAATGATATTAGATGTTTGCTTGAGTAATGGCACATATGATTTTAAATTTTTTGCTTCTTATTTTCTAGGGTATCTTAATGATGACAATCAGATTGGAGATTAATGATGAAGTTTATGTGTTTAAGGCTATTATACTACTTGAAAAAACTGTATAATACACATTACATTTTTAAAAGTTATTATTTTTCCTTCCTGTCAATTAAAGGGAAGTTTTTTTGTGACAGATGAGAGGACAATACATATGAACTTCAAAAAGAAAGTTGAAAAATATTATATGACCAACCAACATGGGAAAGGATTTTTCAGGTCGCAATTGTATCATCATATGGTCACATGCTTTGTTTCCTATTTTAATATGCACTTTAACTTGATGTTTCTATGTGCTAAAGCGAAGCAAATAAATGACTTGTGACATAGGTATAAAATAAAACTTTAACTCCATTTTCAAACACACGTACAAAAAGTGAACTATATTTGACAGCCACTACATGTTTTTCATATAGGAAAAGTAGTGTTGTTTATACCAATTTCTTTTGCCGTATAAAAACTATAATCTGTAGAGAATTAAAAAGTGGCTTTTTTTTAAAGCACAATATTTTCCCCCAAGGCAGATGGGAGAATATTCTAAATGAATTATTAACCCAGAAGAATTTAAGAAAATTTCATTGCACCCAGGAGAGGAAAAAAAAAGAATCCATCCTCCTTCTTGGTGAAGGTGAGTGATGGCCAGCATCCCAACATCCAATATGTGGTCAGAAAATGTCTCTTCTGAATTTGACATAAAGTGTGTGTTCTTGCAGTCAACTACAATGAATAGCCTTTAAAACCCTTTTTCAAGCTTAGTATTCTATAAATTAATGAATACCTACTAGACACTTGTAGGTGCACAATATTAGTAGAAACAGAGAAATCCAACACAATAAAAGAAGAAAAATAAACCCAACAGAGAGAAGTATTACAAAATAAAACTTGTATTATGGAGTGAAAGGAAACAGAAATAATTCAGTAATGGTTTGCACTTATATAAAAGCTAATTACATTTTATGTACATTATATTAAGTACAATTTCATGGATCAGAAGGTTTTTTTTAATAGTAACAAATGTGTTATGGGAGTTTAGATGAAAAGAAAAACTTTGAGTGTAATCAAACACTGGAATAAACCTCTCCAAATATTGGTAGAATGTCCATCACTAGAGGTATTTTTAAAAAGTTCATGTCAGACTAGAATATGACTTCAGGAGGTTTCTACATTTAAACAAAAATTCAACAAAATAATTATTAATAAGCCAATTATTCCAGGGCTATTGAAAATGGTTAAAAATAAACTTATTTTAAAAATAACATTGGAATAATAAAATTTATTCACAGGAGAAAGAAAGCAAAGAAAATCCTATATTTTTTATTGTGTAAAAAGATATATTTGAAATTATTCATAATATATGAAGCCAATCAATACTTATGCAGTTACCAAATGCAACTTAAGCCTTCTAATGAAAGTCTATATCTGTCTTTGGTTTGAGAAAGCTTTAGCTGTACAAATTTGAATGTTGGAATTCATGAAGAGTATTTTTTTCTGCTTTTAATGACAAGACATGAGCTAAACAATGAATTTACTAGTTTCACGGAAGGGCACCAGCAAGAAAATGAAGAAAAGTATCAGTGTAATAATGAATTTTCCAAAACTGTATGTGTGTATAAGAATGGATTCAGAAACATTGTAATTGAAAATTTTGAAAATTATGAGTTAAAGATAAGAGATTAGGCAGAAGAGGGAAGTAAATTTAAATTTGTTTTTTCATTATAAAAACACAAAATATAAAAATAGGTTTTTCAAATCAGTCATTATGTCATCTGATTATAATCACAGCTTGCTATTCTCTGCTCTTTGATATATTATTTTTAAAACTGTGATTTTAATGGATTTGTCTCAATTGAATGATTACGCCATAACTGATACCCTACTTCCAAGACATTTGATTATTTCCAAAGTTTTGTTATTAAAAATGTATTTGTTCTTTTAGATTTCCTGTATGTGAGAATAAATCTTCAGTAAGAATTCCCAGAAGTTAATTAACATGTCAAAGGCGAAAACATTTTTCTCTTGATGTATAAGCTAAAAATATTTTCAAAAGGTTTATGCCAATGTAAAATGCCATGAACAACATCTGAGAGTTTAGCTGCACCCTATCCTAGGCAACATAAAATACCCTGTTTCTCATTAAGTGCTAATTTAATAGATTAAAATTGGAAACTCATTTTGATTTTCAGTGTTTTTAAATTATAAAACCTGATGTGATTAAAATATATTATCATTTGATGTTTATGGGGGGATACTATATCTTTTTACTGATAACTTTTATTTTTCTTGGACTAAGTATCTACTGGTAAGGTGGTAAAATTTGCATTTCTATAATTCAGTTCAATGGAGTAGTAGGAGAACCAGGTTGCACACATTTATTTCTATTCTCTTGTGTATATAAAGTTTTGAGTTATTGGTATTGTTTTTCACCTAGTTGTAATAGGCTGAATACTGGCCACTCAAACATATTTATAAGGTAATATTTACAAATTCTAGGTGTTGGGGTTCTAGGACAAATTTTAGGACCTGGAGTTCCCCAACACCTGGAATTTGTAAATATTACCTTATAAAGAAAAAGGTTTTTTGTAGGTGTGATTAAATTAAGAATCTTGCCATGGAAGATTATCCTGTATTATCAGCTCTAAATCCAGCCCCGCCATTTTTATAACATAGAAGCAGAAGCAAATTTAGACACACACAGAAGGGAAGGCAATATAACCAAAATAATGGGAGGCAAAAACTGGAGTGATGTAGCCACAAGTCAAACAATGCCCACAGCCTGAAGAGACAAGGAAAGGATTTTCCCCTAAAGCTCCAGAGGAAGCACAGACCAGGCAACAGCTTGATTTTGGCTCAGTGAGAATGATTTTGAATTTGTGGCTTCCATAACTGTGAGAGTTTGGTTCTGTGTCCTTGCTATTGTGAATAGTGCTGTAATGATCATATGAGTGCCTGTGTCTTTTTGGTAGAGCAAATTATTTTCCTTTGGGTGGCTACACAGTAATGAGATTATTGGTTCAAATGATAGTTCTGTTTTCAGTTCCTTGAGAAATCTCCAAACTGCTTTCCACAGTGGCTGAATTAATTTACATTTCCACCAAAAGTGTGTAAATATTCTCTTTTCTACACAACCTTGCCTGAACCTAAAATAAAAGCTGAAATCAAAACTAAAATTTGAGAGAATAAATTTTTGTTGTTTTAAACCACCAAGTTTGTAGTATCTATTACAGAAGCCAAAGGGAACTAAAACACTGTGTATTTTCACTGATAAACCTTTGGAAAAATTTAAGTTGGTTTATCAATTATTGTACTAAAATTTGAATGCAGAAGATGTTACATTTATTCCTTTGTATTAGTCATGGTTCTCTAGAGGGACAGGACTAATAGGATAGACATTTATATGAAAGGGAGTTTATTAAGGAGTACTGACCCACAGGATCACAAGGTGAAGTCCCACATTCGGCTGCCTGCAAGTTAAGGCGCAAAGAAGCCAGTCTGAGCTCCAAAACCTCAAAAGTAGGGAAGCCGACAGTGCAGCCTTCAGTCTGTGGCCAAAGGCCCAAGAGCCCCTGGCAAACTACTGATCTAGGTCCAAAAGTTCAAAAGGTGAAGAACTTGGAGTCTAATCTTCGAGGTCAGGAAGCTGCCAGCACAGGAGAAAGATGGAGGCCAGAAGACTTGGCCAGTCCAGTCTTTCCACGTTCTTCCGCCTGCTTTTATCCTAGCTGCACCGGCAGCTGATTAGATTCTGCCCACTCAGATTAAGTGTGGGTTGTCTTCCCCCAGTCCACTGACTCAAATGTTAATCTCCTTTGGCAACACCCTAACAGCCACATCCAGGAACAATACCTTGCATCCTTCAATCCAGTCAAGTTGACACTCAGTATTAACCTTCACATTCTCTAACACAGTTTCCCCCATTCACCTTTTGATGAAGTATTGAGGTTAGTAGGTTGTTGTCATTTGAATGTTAGATCACTTCAAAACTTATGCTGAAATTTAATTCCCATTGTCACAGTATTAAGTGAGCACCCTAAGAAGTGATTAGGCCGTGACGGCTCTATCCTCATGGGTGAGACTGGTGACATTGTAAAATAGCAAGTTCAGCCTTTTCTTGCCTTTCTGTTTCTGCCATGGGTTGACACTGCAAGAAGATCCTCTCCAGATGCTGAACCTCAAACTTGGACTTCCTACCCTCCAGAATTCTGAAACAATAAATTTCTGTTCATTATAAATTACTCAGTCTCAGGTATTCTCTTATGGAAACAAAAATTAACTGAGATACACGTCCTGTCCTAAGGCTCTGGAAAAATCACTAAAGCCTTAAGATCTGAAAGTATACATCAATGAGGCAAGATGAACACAAAATTGCTTATCTTTCATTAATGGGAAAAACCCCCCACAAATATTCATTTCCCAAAGCAACTTTAAAATAAAAAATGTAACACTTAAACATAGATGTGTGAATGCCCTCCTTTTGCATTGAAATTTGATGGGGTTTAACAAGTTCTATATCATGCATCTAAAAATGTTTGTCTCATAAAACTCTAAATTTAAGTAGTAAATACTCATTCTAACAGCTTGTGCACATTTTTATGTCACATTTTTCACATTTTATGTAATCTATTAAATCATCCCACTTGTCATAAAAAGAAAAATGTATATTTTTTTCTATTTCTAGTAACTAGGATAATTTCTAATGAGGACAGAAATTAAAAACCTTATAATCTTCACAAATAAAAATAATGCATTTTTTCATATTCAGATATGTTGTATTTGAGAAATTTCTTTTAAAATATGTGCATAACAAGGACTATTAGAATGAACACTACATATAATGTGTGAGAGCATGAGTATCTAGCTCTGATTTGATACTTTCTCTTTACATTCAAACTGGGCAATCTAAATCTTTTGAAATTTCCACTGGAGATCTATTAAAAACAGATGCCACTTTACTTGCAGGAGTATTATAAAACTCAAATATGTAAAATCATTTGGAAAGTATAATGACTTCTGCAAAAATAAATATTATGTTAGAATACCAATATACTTGTATACATGGATGCTAATTTATCAATTAATTATAAAATGATGACCATATGGCATTAGTGTGAAGTAGCAGATTACAGCACTTTTTAAAAATTGATTTTTTTTATTTGTGTAGCAGTAGTGACACTGTTGTGAGGAAATGTAACCTGCCATTTTCAAACAACTTCCTCAGAATTATGTTGACTGGAATAGTATTCCAAAACTTTTCTTTTTACTATATTACTACAATATCACTGATATAATAGAACACAAACATAAGTTTAATTCTAATAATGAAATATGACTCAAATGCATTTAAAATCATTCTACATAATGAAATCATGTTATGTCAAATGCTTAACTTAATTCAATGGATGAGTCATTTCTAGTTTTCTGGGATCTGATGTGATAACAGACCCTTACACAGCAAACATCACTGGGTAAAAACACCTTTTCCTCTTCCAGGAACAATCTTTGTTTAGATAATATCATGGTGCACTCTCTCACCTTCTTCAGATCTTGACATATTTGTCTAATGCCCAGTGAAGACTTGCCTTTCCCCTTATCTAAATTACTCTATCCCTGACACTGACACCTACCTTCATTGCTTTATTATTTTTCTTGTCACCAGCTAACACACTCAATGCTTTATTTGTTCATCTGCAATGCATTTTGTCTGAGTCTCTTAATAGAATGCAACAGCCACAAAGTCAGACTTTTAAATTTCTTGTTTTATTTTTATTATATCTTAACACCTAATACCTACAATGGTGATGGCACTTAAACAGCTTTGAATAAATGAATTAATTTGCAAATGGATAAATGCCTGACTGAATAAATAAATAAAGAAAGACAGCAGAGAGTTTCTAACTTAATATTAACTTCTTTGGCTAATAAGTATCTAATTGGTAACTCAACTATGCTTAACTCCACATAGGGTGACATAAGAATAAGAGTAATGGAAACATAAGAGTGATAAAAAGAAATACTAAATGATTCTTTATGGGGGTACTTTAACCTCACCCTTTCCTTACATATGCAAGGTGATATAGATATCAGTTTTATAATAAAATAAAGAAATAACTAGAGATATAAGTTGCAATGAAAGTATAATCAAATATAATAAAATATAGTAAATGTAAAAATCTTTTTCATTGTTTTCAATAAAATGCATTGACCTTTTTTAAAAAAATAAATGTATATATTGAAATACTCATTGGAGGTCTAATAATAGAAATATAAATAACCAAATAAACGGAAAAGGACCAATTGGAAAGAACTTTCCAACTGTGTGTGTGTGTGTGTTTGTGTGTGTGTTATTGTCCCAGTTTTAACTTATATTTGTTTGGACAGTATACATTCCGTTTCTATCCCTTTAGTAGTTATCCTAGAAATTGCATCAAACATCATTAGCTTATAAAAATATGATGTTAACCCATATTTTAGCCTCATCTCCAACAGTCCGAGGAACTTACATAAATGTGAATAAAACTTATTTTACTGCCCTTCCAACTTATATCATATTGGTGCCATATACTTTAATTCCATCTATTTTAAGACTTTAGAAAATATTATTTATTAATATTATTGTATACATTCTAAGTTGATTTGGATTTACTCTTATTTTGAGTACCCATTTTTGTTTTTTCTTAAAATATTAGTAAAATAAGTAGTAAGCCTAAAAAATGAATAAATAAGATATTTTTCCTTCTGCATAACAATGTTTTTAGGTTTGGGTATTTTTTGGACTAAAAAACAATCTTCATTTAGCCATCTTCCTTAGTATGTCTTGATGGGTATAGAATTCTGCATAAAAGATAATTTTTTTCATCATATTGATACTATGCTTTGTCTTCTAGTTTCCATTGTTGATATAGAAAAGTCAACCAGCCTTTGTAAAAATCTTTATTTGTTTCTCTCGAGATGCTTTCAAGATATTTCTCTCTACTTTTTTTTTTGTAGTTTGACTGTGATACTTCTAGTTGTATTTTTTCTAATACAGCTTCTAGTTGTATTTTTTCTAATACAGCTTCTAGTTGTATTTTTTCTAATACAGCTTCTAGTTGTATTTTTTCTAATACAGCTTCTAGTTGTATTTTTTCTAATACAGCTTCTAGTTGTATTTTTTCTAATACAGCTTCTAGTTGTATTTTTTCTAATACAGCTTCTAGTTGTATTTTTTCTAATACAGCTTCTAGTTGTATTTTTTCTAATACAGCTTCTAGTTGTATTCCTTCTTAGAAATCTTAGGCATTTTTAGTGTATCAATTGATATCTTTTAAAAATCTGTAACATCCACAGACTTAATTCTTGAAATGCTGCTAATATTTTACTGCTCCATTTTCTCTCTTTCTTCATTTAAATCAACTATGTATGTTTAATTGATTTAATTGACTTAATTAATTTAGATGATTTGATTAATTTAACTTATATGGCAGGTTGATTGTATATGACTCTTCCCTCCATCAAGGAGAGATCAGCAACTTGTCGTCATTGAAATTAGAATTTCTCACTGAGTGTTCTGTTTCTCTTAACTGTACTTCTGTACTTTTCATCCTCTGTGAGCTTCAGAGGCCAAAGGATAATTCTCACTGACCTATTATTTAGCTCCTTATTTCTCTCCTTAGCTATTTCTAATCTTGGGTGACATTGATCCATTGAGTTTATAACTGCTGCTATTTTACTTTTCAATACTAAAATTTCTATTTGGTTCCTTTTGAAATCTGCACTCTGTGTTCCTTAAAATTTTTTTTCAAGATTTTATTTTATTTTGTCAACTATGGGAATGACAATTGTTTTGTATGCCCTGTTTGATACATTCAAGATGTAATTTTTTGAAACAATTTGTTTACATTGTTATATTTTCCACATCTTAACCTCATGGTTTCTTGTTTCCATAAAAGCCTGGTTACTTTTGCTTGTTAGATGTTCATTTATTTTATTTTAAAATATATAGTAGAAGTAAAATAAGGTTAAAAAATTCACTACTCCTTCAAGGAAGACAATTTTTTTGTTTCTTTTAGGGGATAGGAAATACGACCTGTCTCACTTTGATCCATATTGAAGGCTTCGGATTTCCTTCATTCTCCAAGTGATGCAAAACCAAGGTGAGCAGTAAATTCATAGGTGATTTACTTCAGGTATTTCTTTACTTTAAAGGTTTATCCCTTTGGGGATGCAGTTTAAGGCCTGAGCTTAATTTCTTGTATAATTAAAATTATTGTATTTCATAAGTTTATGTTGTAAAGGTTATATTATAAACTTATTTCCTTTATAAATCAATTTCATAACTTTCATAAAGCTTGAGCTTTCCATTCACTGAGGCCAATAGAATTGTATTTCAACTTCACAGTTTTTTCTTACTGATTGGCAAATGCCTTTAAAGTACAAAAAATTTTGGGTGATCTCCTCTTTTCTACGATTTTGGCCTGGAGATTCCTCAATCTCTTCAAGGCTCTTAAGCTGATTTTTTAAATAATTTCACCCAGCTCTTTGAGTTGTCCTCAGTAGGAGGGTTGGCCTCAATCACCTGGCCCATCACTACCAGAAACAGAATCTGTTTTACAGAAAGACCACTTGATCTCAGTATATTCACATCAATGCACTCTGAAATATGTTATAGATAAATTGGCAGATATATGTAGATGTACATATACATATGCACACAGATTGAAGGTATACATAAACAGAATACCCATATGAATAAAACCTTGTATATCTTCTCATATTTTTAATATTTACATGGTTTAAGAAATGTAGAAGTGATTCAGTTCAAACCGTAAACCAATAAGCAAGAAACCAAATGTATATCTAGCAGGTAATTGTATTGATTTATAGCTGCCAAGTATAATATTCTTCTTCATTTGATTTCTTTTACATTTTACCTAAAATGAGTGGTAGATTTCTCTGCAAACTAAAGAAGTTAAATATTTTGACAAATTTCATGTACTTACTGCAAATATTTATTAAGTATCTTTGTAACACCTTCCTTGACCTCAGGCTACTTAAGGCTTTCTGTTTGTGTTCCACAGACCTTTATTTATACTTTTATTTTGACATCTTTCATATTATTTTAATTAGTTATTTGGATATGTGTCTCCTCTTAAAAGAAACATTTTAGACAAATTAAATTTGACAGAGTTTATTTGAGCAAAGAATAATTTGTGAATGGGGCACAATAATTGTCAATGGGGCACAATAATTGTGAATGGGGCACACCAGGAGAGGTTCAGAGAGCACAACCAGCAAGCATGGGTACTCAGCAGTGGCCACACGAGGTCAGCCTTGGTGAACTGAAGTCCATGTTGCTGAGTCCATGCACAACTTCCATCCCTGCCACCATGGCCACTTTGTTCATGGCCCCATTGGGTGATGACAGGGTGGCTGGGGAAATAGGCTGAGTGGTGTCCACAGAACAGGTCATCCTATACACTTAATTAGTAAAATTTTCCTCTGCTGAGGTCCCCATTGGTGAGAAATTACATGGGATACAAATATCTGAGTGGTTTTGGACCACTCAGAGAGGTCCATTTATATACCTTTTCCCCAAATTTCTTTGTCACCAATTTTCTAATCGTGCTTCTTCCAAGTCTTTGGCCATCCAGCCAAACCACTGGCTACGGCCCATGAAACAGTATATAATCACACATCTGACCATTTCTCCTTACATGCAAAGTACACAACCAGGTGCACTGCTCAAAGTTCTGCCCACTGGGAAGATTTCCCTTCACTGCTGTCCTTCAGGGATGTCCTAGAAAGGGGCTGTAGTGCCTCAGCTCTCCACTTTCGGGTGGTACCTGCATATCTTGCAGAACCATCTGTGAATCAGGCCCTATTTTTCTCTTCCTCTGTCATCTAATCATAGGGAATTCCCCATAAGGCCATCGGTGCAGGCTGAGAGAGAGAAGGCAGGGTGGTAGGAGTGGAGACCATGGGCATTTGAGCCACTTCCTCATGTAACTTATTTGTGCCTTCAGGACCTGTTCAAGCCTGGTCGCATATATATACCACTTCCATTTGATGATGGGATGCTGCTGTGCAAGACCCACTTTATAACTAGATGGGTCAGAAAGGACCCAGTTCATAATATGCAGTTCAGGTCACATGGTTACCTGATGACCCATAGTCAAACTTTCCGTTTTCACCAAAGTCCAGTAACAGGCCAAGAGCTGTCTCTCAAAAGGAGAGTAGTTATCTGCAGAAGATGGCAGGTCCTTGCTCCAAAATCCTAGAGGCCTCTGCTCTGATTCACCTATGGGGGCCTACCAAAGGCACCAAACAGCAACCCTATCTGCCACTGACACCTCAAGCATCATTGGATCTGCGGGGTCATATGGCCCAAGTGACAGAGAAGCTTGCATGGCAGCCTGGACCTGTTGTAGAGCCTTCTCCTGTTCTGGACCCCACTCAAAACTGGCAGCTTTTCAAGTAACTTGATAAATAGGCTGGATTAACACACCCAAATGAGGAATGTGTTGTCTCCAAAATCCAAATAGGCCCACTAGATGTTGTGCCTCTTTCTTGGTTGTAGCAGGGGCCAAATGCAGCAACTTATCCTTCATCTTAGAAGGAATATCTCAACAGGCCCCATACCACAGACCCCTAGAAATTTTACTGAGGTCGAAGGTCCCTGAATTTTAGTCAGATTTATTTCCCATCCTCTGGTATGCAAATGTCTCACCAATAAGTTCAGTGTGTTTGCTACTTCTTGCTCACTGGATCCAATCAGCATAATGTCATCAATGTAATGGACCAGTGTGATATCTCGTGGAAGCGAAAAGCAATCAATGTCTCTCAGAATAAGATTATGACACAAACCTGGAGAGTTGATATATCCCTGAGGTAGGACAGTAAAGGTATATTGCTGGCCTTGGCAGCAGAAGGCAAATGGCTTCTGCTGGGCCTTATGGACAGGAATGGAGAAAAAGGCATTTGCCAAGTCAATGGCTGCATACCAGGTACCAGGAGATGTATTAATTTGCTCAAGCAAGGAAACCACGTCTGGTACAGCAGCTGCAATTGGAGTCACCACTTGGTTGAGCTTATGATAATCCACTGTCATTATCCAAGATCCATCTGTCTTCTGCACAGGTCAAATAGGAGAGTTGAATGGGGATGTGGTGGGAAGACCACTCCTGCATCTTTCAAGTCCTTGATGGTGGCACTAATCTCTGCAGTTCCCCCAGGGACACAATATTGTTTTTGATTTACTATTTTTCTAGGTAGAGGCAGCTCTTATGGCTTCCGTTTGGCCTTTCCCACCCTAATAGCCCTCACCCTACCGGTCAGGGTGCTAATGTGGGTTTTCTGCCAGCTGCTAAGTATGTTTACGCCAATTATGCATTCTGGCACTGGGGAAATGACCACAGGATGAGTCCAAGGACCCACTGACCCACTGTAACTTGGACCTGAGCTAAAACTCCATTAATTACCTGACCTCCATAAGCCCTTACTTTAACTGTAGGACCACAATAACGTTTTGGGTACCCTGGAATCAACATCAGCTCAGAGCCAATGTCCAGTGGTCCCCAAAATGTATTATCATTTCCCTTTTTCCAATGCGCAGATTCCCTGGTAAAAGGCCAGAGGTCTCATTGGCAAAGGATGGGAAAAAGTTTTACTGCATAAATTATTGGTTATGTAGTGGGGTCCTTCCTCAAGAGGACCCTGCCTCCTTTCATTTAAGGGGTTCTGGGTCTGTAAATTGGCTCAAGTCTAGAAATTGATTGAGGGGCTGTGATTCTCTGTTTTCATAGTACAAATTAGCCTTTTTTCCATTTGACCTAGAAGTTTTTCTGCTTGTATAAATTAAGTAGGAATGCAGTAGGCTTCCTATCAATTTTACTTCTAGGAACACCATGATTAATTAGCCAATGCTAGAGCTCTACATGAGTCAGACTATTATGATTGCTGCTTTGTATCTGCTGTCCATTACAATAGCTATGCCCACCTTGCCTTTGATGGCTGAGTTCCACCACTTGGCCCCTGCTGCCTCAGGATCCAAATATTCTCATCATATTTAAATTTTGTAGTTGAGTGACTGTGGTTCCCACTGTTAGATCTGACATACAGAGTAGAGCAATTACAGGGCTCTTCAAAGATGCCCTCACAAATCTATTTTACAAGGCATTGGTCAAGGGTATATCTTCTGGACCCTCCCAGCTGGGATGAGTAGGTCTAAAGTGACTAATCCACTTCACCATCCCAATCTCCCTAAGCCTTCTCATCCCTTCCTCTACATTAAACCAAGGGAGATCAGGCATTTCCAGCTCACTCACAGTGGGCCATCTTTTAATCCGTATTTTAGCTAACCAAGCAAATAAACTATTAGAACCTTTTTTTAACTCCCAAGCTGCAACATTAAATACAGAGTCCCTACTTAGTGGGCCCAAATCAATATATTCAGCCTAATCCAACTCTGTGTTCCTTCTACCATTAACTCAACCTTTAATATTCATTCCCATGCCTGTACTCCAGATTTCTGTTTATATATGTTACAGAATTAAAGCAGTTCTTTTTAAGTGTAGTGCGCCTCCTCATGGGTCACACTCTGTACCTGACCTCTAGGGGCCCAGCGGGACTTTAGTCTAGTTATAGGTCTAGAAGCAAACAAGGATGTCAGGGGTGCCACTACTGGTGATGGGGAAGCTGTTCCATCTGGAAAAAAGCTTCATCCATGTCCCTGGCTTCATCAGAGTCCTCTCACACTTCCCCATTCCAAGTTACAGGGTCCCATTCTTTTCCAATCAATGCCCTCACTTTAACAGTAGACACCTGACGAGGCTATGCATGCACTTTCATTGGAGGTCAGCCACTCACATGATAAGACCTTGTGTCTGTTTTTCCACAATTTCAGCTCTTTCACTCTAGGAGATAAGACTCTCACTCAGGGCAATCTTAGCAGATTTGAGACTCAGTATCTGCTTCTGAAGCCAGGAGACAAGATCCCTGAGTTGGTTGTTTTCTTTCATCACTTTGTTCACTGAACTTAGGAGCAATTAACCAGCTTCATTATGTTCCTTGGTTCTCCACATATGGTCAATGGTATTATGTATAGAGTCACTAAACTCCTTGCCTCTTGTGAGCGGTGAATCAGGAGTGTCAATTGCATTTGTTTTGCATAACTCTCTAAACAGTTCATGCCAAGGAATATCAGTGTTCTCCATACTATTAGAAGTAGAGTCCTTAGCATTTTTGGGTCTAATCATATTAAGCACCCAACTCCAGAAACCCCAAAACCAATGAAAGAACTCCATCCTTAATATTCTATTCCTCTCAAGCCACTCCTGGTACCAAAATCTGTATTAGCCAGGGTTCCCTAGAGAGCCAGAACTCATATGATATATCATATATATATGATATATATATGATATATCATATATATATGATATATATAGATATATAATATATATGATATATATGATATATATATGATATATATCATATATATATATATGAGTTATTAAGTATTAACTTACATGATCACAAGGTCCCACAATAGACTGTCTGCAAGTTTGAGCAGCAAGGAGAGCTAGTCCAAATCTCAAAACTGAAGAATTGGAGTCTGATGGAGTCTGATGTTTGAGGGAAAGAAGCATCTAGCATGGGAGAAAGGTGTAGTCTTGGAGGCTAGGCCAGTCTTGCCTTTTCGCATTTTTCTGCCTGGCAACACCCTCACAGATACATCCAGCATCAATACTTTGCATCCTTCAATCCAATCTAGTTCACACTCAGTATTAACCATCACAACATGATTGTGTTTTAAAATGTGAGGACATGAAATTTGGAGGAGCCATGGGCGGAATGAAATGGTTTGGCCCTGTGTCCCCACCCAAATCTCATCTCAAATTGTAATCCCCATGCATCAAGGGAGGGACCATGTGGGAGGGGATAGGATCATGGGGACTGTTTTTCCTACGCTGCTCTTGTGATAGTGAGTGAGTTCTCATGAGATCTGATGGTTTTATACGGGGCACTTTTCTCTTCACCTCCTCTCTTTCCTGGCCCCTTGTGAAGAAGATACTTGCTTCTTCTTCACCTTACACCATGATTGTAAGTTTTCCGAGGCCTCCCAGGCCATGCTAGAACTCTAAGTCAATTAAACCTCCTTGTTTATAAATTACCCAGTCTCAGGTAGTATCTTTATAGCAGTATGAAACAGACTAATACAACATACTAAGTTCAATTGCAGTTTGCTACCTATGGAGACAGCTTTGGACCAAATTTAATGTAATTTAACACTCTGCATCTAGAATATAAGACTCCATGTGTTGGAATTTCTTTTCATTCATGAGTTTCTTTTCATAGCTACCTCAGTGACTTATAGATAGGAGATACTTAGTAAATGATTATGAAATGAAAGCTAGGTGTGATAATAAACATGGAGATAACAGACAGGAATAAAGCATTGTTTCTTGGTAAAAGGACTGCTTAATGTAGCAGAATGATGTGGTTGGATTTGTCCCCACCAAAATGTCACCTGGAATTGTAGCTCCCATAATTTCCATGTGTTGCAGGAGGGACCCAGTGGAAGATAATAGAATCATGGGGGTGGGTCTTTCCTGTGCTGTTCTCATGGTAGTGAATAAGTCTCATAAGATCTGATGGTTTTATAAAGGGGAGTCCCCCTGCACATGCTCTCTTGCCTGCCACCATGTAAGACATGCCTTACTCCTCCTTTACCTTCTGCCATGATTGTGAGGCCTCCCCAGCCATGCTGGACTGTGAATCAATTAAACTTCTTTCCTTTAAAAATTGCCCAGTCTTTGGTATGTCTTTATTAGCAAAATGAGAACAGACTAATAAAGTAAATTGTTACTGGTAGAGTGAGATGCTGCTGTAAAGATACCTGAAAATGTGGAAGCAACTTTGGAATTGTGTAACAGGAAGAGGTTGGAACAATTTGGAGGGCTCAGAAGAAGACGAAAATGTGGGAAAATTTGAAACTTCCTACAGACTTGGAGGGCTCAGAAGACAGAAGATGTGGGAAAGTTTGTAACTTCATAGAGACTTGTTGAATGGTTTCAACCAGAATGCTGATGGTGATATGGACAGTAAAATCTAGTCTAAGTGTGTCTCAGATGGAGACGAAGAACTTGTTGGGTACTGGAGCAAAGTTCACTCTTGCTATGCAGAGACTGGCCACATTTTGCTTCTGCTTTAGAGGTCTGTGGAACTTTGAACTTGAGAGAGATGATTTAGGGTATCTGGTGAAATTTCTTAGCAGCAAGGCTTTCAAGAGGAAGCAGAGCATAAAACTTGGGGAAATTTGCAGCATAACAATGCAATTGAATAGAAAAATCCATTTTCTAGGCAGAAATTCAAGCCAGCTACAGAAATTTGCATAAGTAACAAGAAGCCCATTGTTAGTCACCAAGACAATGGGGAAAATGTCTCCATGGCATGTCAGAAACCATGCCGCAGCCTCTTCCATCACAGACCTGGAAGCCTAGGGGGAAAAATAATTGGTTCCTGGGCTGGGCCCAGGGCCCCCTTGTTGCATGCAGGCTAGGGACTTGGTGTCCTGCATCCCAGCCACTCTAGCCATGCCCAAAAGGGGCCGAGGTACAGCTGGGGCAGTATTTTTGGAAGGTGCAAGCCCCAAGCCTTGGCAGCTTCCATGTGATGTTGAGCCTGCTGGTGCACAGAAGTCAAGAATTGAGGTTTGGGAACCTCCACCTAGATTTCAGAGGAGGTATGGAAACGCCTGGATATCCAGGCAGAAGTTTGCTGCAGGGGTGGTGCCCTCATGGAGAACCTCTGCTAGGGCAGTGTGGAAGGGAAATGTGGGGTGGGAGCCCCCACATAGAGTCCCCACTGGGACACTGCCTAATTGAGCTGTGAAAAGAGGGCCACTGTCCTCCAGACTCCAGAATGGTAGATCCACTGACAGCTTGCACCATGCATCTGGAAAAGCCATTGACAATGACAGCCATGAAAGCAGCTGGGAGGGGGCTGTACCCTGCAAAGCCACAGGAGTGGAGCTTCCCAAGGCCATGGGAACCCACGTCTTGCATCAGTGGGACCTGGATGTGAGACATGGAGTCAAAGGAGATCATTTTGGAACTTTAAGGTTTAATGGCTGCCTTATTGGATTTTGGACTCACATGGAGCCTGTAGCCCCTTTGTTTTGGCCAATTTCTTTCATTTGGAACACGTGTATTTACCCAATGCCTGAACCCCCATTGAACCCAGGAAGTACGATGTGGCTTTGCTTCTCCTTCACCTTCTGCCATGATTGTGAGGCCTCCCCATCCATGCTGAACTGAGACAATTAAACCTCTTTCCTTTATAAATTACTTAGTCTTGGGTATATCATTATTAGCAGCGTGAGAACAGACTAATACACAGAGTAAATAAACATGAACAAAAGATTGTTCAACATATATTTCAAAGCCTCTTTTGCAGCTAAAGCCATGTGACCTAGGTTTTACAAGTCAGGTAACTCACATGTGATTGATTTTCAAGTGAAGTTCTGTGCAGGGCCCCAGTCTACCAATGGGAGGCAATAGAAGCTATGCCGGACATTTCTCCAAAGAGTTGTTTTTGCAGGATGATTGTGAGATTTTCCAGGAATTGGAAAATTAGTTCCCCTTAAGCCAGCCTGTGTGAGTATCTTGGAATATTGTTAATACATGCTTATCTTGGGGAGCATTGGGGAGCTTGTTCTTTTCTAGCCCTTCCATGAGAGCTATCTAGTTTTTTAAGCAATTTTTAAAAATCAAAGTATAACATATTTAAAGGAAAGCACAAATCGTAAGTAAACTACTTGATGTATTTATCAGAAAGTGAACACACCCATGTGCCAATTACACAAATAAAAAAATAGAAAATTATGTGAATCCCAAAGCTCTTTTATGGACCTTCCCATTTACAAATTCTCATCCTCCTCAACGCCAACCACATCCTAATTTCAACCACCACTTGGTTTGCCAGTTTTTGAACTTTATACATAGAGAATGACACAGCAGGTACTATTTTGTGTCTGACCTCTCTAGAATTCAGTTTCTGAGTCATTAGAGGATACTCCTCATTATAAGCACAGGACACTGCACCTAATAGTTCTTACCACTAAGTAAGAGACTCAAACTAGTACATATTCTTCCAAGTTTCAGTGAAATTCAGAGAATATGATAGGTGTCCAGCTTGTTCCAGCAGTAATGTGAGTGACTCTATCATGTACCTTTGAAAACCCAGCAGATCCAATGCAGCAGAAGTGCCTGAGGTTGTGCTGAATGTTGTATGGAGCCTGTTTATGCCCCAGTAAGTGAATTGCAGCAATGTCTGTTGGGTTTTGGCAGAAAGCAGCATTATACTTGTAAGTAGGCTTATATGAACAAAGTAGCCATGGTAGACTGATAACAGGTTGTATTTAGTTTCACATTATAAACTTTTCACTTTGATATCCCAGAATACAGTCACTGCTTGGTCAGTGCAAAATCAACTCTGACCTTCTAACACAAAACCTACTCCAGGAGACACCCTCCTCCTTCACATGATGGGTTGATTACATCGGAACCCTCTATGAGCAGCAATTTGTCTTCATTGAAATAAACACTTATTCTGGATCATAATCTTTCTTCCTGTCCATGGAGTTATTGACAGAAACACAAAGAGTGGTTTCCTTGAATATCTCCTTCACTATAATGATATTCTGTCATGGGATTTCTTACTAATAAGCTAATTTAATCACAAAAGAATAAGGCAATGTAGTCAGTAATGCTCATGGGATTCTCTAGTCTCACTATTTACTCCAGATCCCCAATATAGCCAGCCTTATAGAATGTAAAATGGATTGTTGGTCAGTCATATATATCTTCAGAGATAAGAGATTAAACTAATAATTTAGTGGAGTGGTGTTGTTAATGATGTGGTATGTGCTTTGAACCAGGAACCAATGTGTGCTGCCATTTTTTTTCCCACAAATTGAATATGTGGTTCTCAAAACAAAGAAGTAGAAGAGGAAGTAGCATTTCTCACTATGACACCTAAAAGATATTAAAAATCTTGAATACCATATAAGGTAGTTTGAAGTGTGCCCTGCAGGCAAAGGCAAATAATGATCAAAAGTTAAGATTGAGAGTGACCTGGATTTTTGGGGAAGAGGGGAAAGTTTTGCATGGAGAAGAGTTAGAAAGTGAATGCAATGGTCAGACACAAGCTGCTAATGCCTTGGACTCACACCTGGCATTGGAAGGGGTGAAGAGAGGACAACATCATATAGATTAAATCATCCAGATTTATGACTGATTGAAAATATATTGAAAGAGAAAAAATATTAAGGATAATATTATATTTTTTGATATTGTGTAGGTTCTAGATTTAAGAGCAGCAGGCTTGATGGTAACATTTTTGGGTTTTGTTTCTTCTAGATATGTAGTTCAGGTGTTCGGGAAAAAATTAGAATGCAGTAAAAAGAGCAAACTGCAGTTATGTGCAACATTGTTGCATCTTAGAAACGACGCTGTGGAATGAAAAAATAAGACACACAAGACCACATGTAATATGACACCATAATTACAAACAAAAAACCAAATTGATATTTTATTTAGAATTATCTAAATAGGTTAAAAAAATATTTTCAAGTGTCATGGTAATGATGCATGCAAATGCAAAATCTAGGGTAGTGGTTATTTCCCAATAGGAAAGTAGGAAGGTGGGATTGGAGAAAAGCATGGTAATATTTTATCTTAGGAAGGAGCATGAATTCATGGATATTTGTTTTATTATTATGACTAATAATAATCTATGTCTACCACATAAATATCATATGTTTAAATATTACATAATAATAAAGTACTTTATCAGATTCAAATGACTGTAGGATGGAGACAAAACTTGGAGTTTTTCAGCATTTAGATGACAGTTGTAAATATGCGTGTATAAAAATTTCCTCTAGTGAGAACATGGAGACAAAGAAGCTGAGTACAATATCCCAGAAATACCCACCTGTAATGGGTGAAGAGAGGAATCCATTAGTAAGAAGTCAGGGAGAAAGCTGGAAAACAGGAAGTAAATTGTGTCTTGAAGCAAAGGGAATAGAAATATAAGGGATCATCGACAATGCAAAACGATGTAGAGACATCAAAGTTTGGAAACAAGACATTAGATTTATCAATTAATAAGTATGCTATTTGGCATATTGTCTGCATTACAGTTTGAGGAATGAGGTAATTAATGGGAACAACTCATGTAGGTATTGATAAAGAAGCTCATATTAATAATTGATTTACTATGGCTAGGATTGCCAAAACAGAGTACCACAGACTGGGTAATTTAACAACAGAAATATATCTTTTACATTTTGGGGTACTAGAAGTCCAAGATCAAGGAGTTGGCAGGGGTGGTTTCTTCGGAGGATTGGATTAGGCCCCACTCTAATAGCTTCATTTTAATTTAATCACCTCTTTTAGGGCCCTCCCTCCAAATGTCATCATATTCTAAATTACTGTGGTTTAGGGATTCAACATATGGCTTTTTGAGGGGGGACACAGTTAAGTGCATTAACAAGGATCTTATTTTGGGTATCTCCAGATACGCCAGAAACTTTCAGTCATCTGGTTATTCATTAGTGCCTTCTATCAATTAAAAATTATTTTAACTATTGAACCGAATTCTTGTTCTGATCCCTCATTTATTATAAGTCATACAATTCCTATCACTGTAAAACTTAGATTAATAGGGATTAAAAGACCTCTTAACCGATTTGTAAGAAAGGATTTAATATCCAACGAATCTTACAAAATGACCAACATATCATAATGCTTGAAGAGGGTATATAGTAATTGTTATAATTATCTTTTTCTCCTTTCCCAGACAACCTAGTGATGCCTCTCCAGTATCATGAACATTTCTTAAGTTTGAATGATATTTTTGGTGTATGTTTGTTTTGGGGGTGGAATATGAAATAAAGCATTCTTGACAGGTGCCCTGGAGATATCCAGGATATTGCTCAGCAGGTCGGTACATTGAGGTGAAGGAGAAACTGTACCTCATTATGTAGTAAGTTCAGAGCCTAAAAGCACATCACAATGGAGTAAAATTAACTTCTCATTGTCATGTAAAGCATGGTATAATAACAGTCAAGTAAAACTCTTAATGCAAAGAGTGTATTATATCAGGTTGGCTTGGATTGTATAAAAATCTAATTTCAGTTTCAGAGTCTGGACAGGAAAACAAATGCAATTAGAAATTAATGTTAATCTGCTGGTAATATTCCTATAGGGAAACTGATATAGAAAGACATGTCCAAGACTTGAAAA
This sequence comes from Homo sapiens, assembly GCF_000001405.40. Lineage (NCBI taxonomy): Eukaryota > Metazoa > Chordata > Mammalia > Primates > Hominidae > Homo > Homo sapiens. The sequence goes on along the minus strand of NC_000006.12, from coordinate 140,639,324 downwards.
TTGTATAATAATCATGTATGTATTTGAATCCAGAGAGGTTTGATCCTGGGAAGTCTTTTTGCCTAACAGCTTTGACTTTCTGAAGGTCAGAGGTTTGGCCTGACATCATGTATCATGTCCTGGATTCTATATGGTGTCATATACTAGTTGTTGAAATGAGATATGAGAATGCCTGGCCAACAAGTGGGGAGAGGAGAGATATGTGAAGAAGAGGAGCGTTAGCACACGAACAGTCCCCAGGGAGAAACTAGAAACATGGAGTGGTATTTTTAGATACATTACATGTTAACGTTACATTAATTTGTTGTGAAGCCACCCTCAAGGACTTTATTATACAGAGAAGAATAATTTTCCTTCATCTTTCAGTGAAAGTGTTGTTCTAATCTGAGAACTAATGTTGACCAGCTGACAAGGTATTAGAACCTATATTCTCGTCCTCTATTCTTTTCAATCATTCTTCTCTGTTATTTTTTTCTCTCCTCTTCTGTATTATTTTTTAGTGTGATGTTAGGCAATTTACTTAATTCTTCTTCAGCTGTTCTCTTTGTAACCTAATTTTCTTTTATACTATTAAGCACATCCACGTTCTATTATGCATGAAATATATGGAAAAATCAATAAATGAATTAAATATGTTATTCTTGTTTATAAAAATTTCATATTCAAAAAAAGAAAAAAATACAGATTTGGAAGCATCATAAGAGGGTCTTCCAACAAAAAATGCTGAGCAGAAACCAATTTATGTCCAATTTCAAAAGGAATATTTTGATTTGTTGGTTTTCTTTGCATTATTCACATACTGTATCATGTTAATTTCTTGAGGTCTTGCAATGTGCTATACACTGTGGTCTGTAACTTATCTTTAATAAGCAGAAGATCATGTCAGCCCAAATAGTATTCTTTCATTTTATAAAACAGGGACAGAATTTTAAGAAATTTAACTAACTTGGCTAAGTTTGCATGACCAAATTACTCCAACTATTGCAGGAGAAACAGTTTTGGTAACCTATTTCCTACTGCTTTGGTTAGATTTAAGGGCTTTACTTATTTATTTGTTATATGCTAAATTTGTACTAGATCAAATATTTGGGGCCAATTTACATGATTTAAAGTAGATCCTACTTTTTGAGTCTTTTAAAATGATTGAATGACTAGAGAGGAATTGACAGAAACCAACCTAGAGTTTACACCTTTAACTCTCCTGTCCCTCAAAAAAAAAAAATCCTCTCTGTGATGATTACACATTGTGTGCCTGTATCAAAATATCTCTTGTATCCCCAAATATATGCACCTACTATATACTCATAAAAATTTAAATAAATAGGCCGGATGCGGTGGCTCACGTCTGTAATCCTAGCACTTTGGGAGGCCGAGGCAGGCAGATCACAAGGTCAGGAGATCGAGACCATCCTGGCTAACAAGGTGAAAACCCGTCTCTACTAAAAATACAAAAAAATTAGCTGGGCGTGGTGGCGGGCGCCTGTATTCCCAGCTACTCGGGAGGCTGAGGCAGGAGAATGGCGTGAACCCGGGAGGCAGAGCTTACAGTGAGCCGAGATCGCGCCACTGCACTCCAGCCTGGGCGACACAGCGAGACTTCATATCAAAAAAAAAAAAAAAATTTAAATAAATAAAAATCCTCTTTTTCTTTGCCTTTATTATTCATTTGCACAAGGATAAAGAAAAAACAAAAGAAAATCCATATTTTGGAATAAAATTTATATGTTACAATGTGTGTATCTTACAAGACTGAATTTGTACAGGAAATATAAAAATACATAAATAAGTGGTTTTCTATTCCCAGTGCCTAACAAGGCGTTATAGATGCATACTAAATTTTCATTGGATTGAATCCACACTGATAGAAAGTTGAAAGAAGATGATAAGGAGAAGAAAAAGACAAATAATCAATACGGGAAGATACTTGTATACATGATAATAGTTTCTAAGTACTGTAAATACTATGCAGAAAGCTGTTGTGTTAAATGCAAAATGATGCTAATCACACCATCATCATCACTATTGCTTGTTCTCAACTCAGCCAAGCAGCTTTCAAAGGCAAGAACAGCTTTACAGCTCCCGGGAATGAAGTGTGGAGCCAAATCTTCCTAGCGCAATAGTCTAATTACACTGAGCATCTAACACACACCAGAGCATTCTCTACCCTAACCCAGCAGTAGTCTGTAAATTCAGAGAGGGAAAGGAAAGGGTGCAGAGAGTGGGAGCAAAAAATGAAGTACCCTTGATGACTACCTAAGCCTCAGGGCTTTGTTGTTGTTGCTCTAGCATACTGTAGCATTTAGATTGTTCCTTCTTCTCTCCTTATATAGACATGGCACAGTTTCAAAAATAGCCTGTGCTTTTTTAGACCTTTAAAGACATCATCAATCATTGTCTTCTATGGTAATGCTTCAGTTACCCAGGAGGAAAAAAAAATACAGTAGCCATGGAAGTGACATCCTAATGTGCTGAAAATCAAAACTAAAAAAGGGCAGTGTTTGCATATTAGCAATGTAAGCAGTGCAAGAACTGTGATGAACCATTAATAAGCCACTCTCATGCTTTCTAAGTATTCAGGAAATGTGCCGCCTGACAGGCCGGATCTTTATAGGATTAGCTTAATGATTTGTCACTTTCTGCATTGCTTGCTGCCCTTCTGCCTTTTTTATGCTGAACAAAATTGTACGAAGCATTCTGTGTGGCCGAACAAGCCCACTGTTTCTCCATGATAAGCACCCCCATTTTAGACACTTACAGTCCGTCCATGTTTAATGACATTCAGCAAAAAGAAGCTCAAGAGCCGTCACCTTCTATTCAAATCACGTTGGTTTCTTTCTTACTGCCACGGTGGTTTCAAATTGACCACTCCCAAGTGATCACCCAGAATAATGAATACCCAGGGGTGCTGTGCCCTCCACTCCACACCATTTGTATCTCTGGGAAATGAACACATGCTACGTCAGCCTAGAGAGACACACAGGGGCAGCTTGTTTGAATGCAGCTTGTGTCAAACTCCCGTATGTTGGCCAAGGCGTCCAACATGTGTTTGAAAAAATAAAAAGCCATAGCACATACACATATATGATTTTGATCACATTGAGGTGCATATGTGAACTACTTCTGCAGAAAGAAAAGGTATGAATGCCTATTATTGAAATAAGCAATTTTTCTGCAGCTCCTTAGGTGAACAAAACATGTTCAGTTTCTACGTTAAAAGGTTAACTGTGGTTTTGAATAGATAACAAACATGAAATATTAAGAGGATAGGTTCCATCTGTTGATAATTTTATTGATACATTTGAGCATACCATTGATATACTGGCAGTAAATATATACTGTGGCATTATTTTTAATATGAAAGATTTCACACTGCAGTAAGCCTGTAATTAGAGTTTTCAGATTATCATCTGTAACTGCTTTATATATGTTCACCAATTCCCTTGAGACTTTTGAGGTACTACTGCTTGCACCACTGATTTTATGAAGGTTCACAGTCTGTGAATACCATCGAACTTAAACTTACTTTGTATGCCAGGCAAACCCCTAATATATACATCCACAAAATCACATTCGATCTTTACTGCTGAACACACATACGTACACACATTGTTTGTAGCACTTCAGGTTACTTTTTCTATTGTTTTAATATGCTTCAAGGGATTGATAATGGGATAAAGAGCTTTTACTACTTAATCACATATTATGAACCTACTTTGAGTCTGTAATGACTGCTAATGCTTAGTTTGAATATTGTTGTCTGCAATCCATTCTCAATGAACTGCCTATGTTTTAAATAACTGACTTTTGGAATATTATGAGACATTTTTCATGGTAATAACTTTTTGAACTTTAGTGACCGGCTGGAAACTTGTACAATGAAGATTTACTATATTTTAGGCTGTAATGATTTATCTTTAAATTGTAAAATTTGGAGTAAGAAATAATTAACACACATCATATATACATATAAATCAAGATTATTTGACTAGACAAAGTTAACCACTGCTTTATCTATCCCAGTATTCAGGCTATGAACAGGAACAGTTCTCTGCTAAAAACTAAAATACTAAAAGTCTATGCTAAATACTAAAGTACTAAAATTTTTTTTGAATAGCCTTCAAAGAAGCTGGTACTAATTCAAATTGGTGGCTGCTACAAAGGGCTTGTGATCTAAAAATCAAACAGCATTTATAAGACCCCCACAATGAATTTCAAACAATAGAGGCAGATATATAGAAATGGGTATATACATACATATATAAAAGAATGATACATAGATGCATACATATATAAAAGTAGATATAAATATGAAATGTATTTTTTTCCTCAATAATCTCTCTTTCATGAATTTTGGAATAGAAACCAGCATCTGGTGCAAAAACAAAAAAAAATTATCAAGATTCTATGAACACTATTCAGTATTATAATAATGACTACTAAAAGATTCCATCATTTATTATAGAATGCATCCCAATGGTTTCTGCCAAGTTCACAAGTCTTCTATTGAGTCATCAGAAAGTATACTTTAAGGCTAGGTTCACAAATGAACGGAGAAAGGAACAATTTCTTACTAGTGGCCTTACTCTAGGAAAAGGAGACAGTTATTAATACCAACATGAAGCTTGAAAATTGTACTTAAACATTTGTCTAAACAAAACTGTCTCTTGGGAAAGTAACACTTTGCAACTCTCCTGGTATCCTGTCTCCACAGTCCACATTCCACCTTGATCAGCACTGGCCAGTCAAAGGAGAAGATTCAAGTGGAAGACTAAGGTGGAAGGAAAATAAGATAGACATTGAAAAACAAAAACAAAAACCAAAAAAAAACCCCCCAGAGACAGAAGCATGGAAGATAAGAAGGAAGGAAGGAAGGAAGGAAGGAAGGAAGGAAGGAAGGAAGGAAGGAAGGAAGGAAGGAAGGAAGGAAGGAAGGAAAGAAAGAAAGAAAGAAAGAAAGAAAGAGGAAAGAGAGGAAGGAAGGAAGGAGAGAGGAAGAAAGAGAGAAAGGAAGGAAGGAGAGAGGAAGAAAGAAAAAGAAAGAGAGAAAGAAAGAAAGAGAGAAAGAAAGAAAGAGAAAGAAAGAAAGAGAAAAAGAAAGAAAGAAAGAAAGAAAGAAAAAGAAAGAAAGAAAGAAAGAAAGAAAGAAAGAAAGAAAGAAAGAAAGGAAGGAAGGAAAAGAAAATAGTCCACAGGATACATTATTAGATCAGCAACTGAAAAAGAATGTATAAGGGGCCTCAAGTGGTAAAGAATTATAAATCAGCTGCTGCTATTTGTCTCATGAGTCTCTGGCATGAAAACTGGACCTTCATCAAAACAAGGAGTATTCATTTTTTTACAGTATGGGATTACAACTCATCATAGACATACAATTGCTAAATAATGGAAGGTTCCCTGTAGACATACGTTGGTAGGAATACGACTCGTAGAAATGACCAAGGCAGGGAGATGAGGAAAAGGAAAATCAGAGGTCCTGAAATCCCTGTACAAAAGTGTGAATGGATTTAGCAGCAGCCAAATCATGACTCGGATTTGAATTTAGGATAATTTTTAGACAGGTAGATGTTGGTGGGCTTTTCTTTACTGAAATATACTTTTATTTACCTTGACATCAGAGTTATTCTGAAATATGTAAAATTTAAAAAAATGATTAAAGCCCTGGGCATTATGCTAATCTCTCTGTCTCACACACACACACAAATACACTTCATCTTTACTCAACCCCACTTTTCCTCTATTTTTTTTCCTTCCTATTCCTAGGTAGCATTTCTGTAGAAAATGATTAATACTTCTCCACTGAATTTTCTAGTGATGAAAATGAACAGATTTACATTAAGCATATCTATGTCTTTCTAGTGTCTAGTTAGCTGGCAAGACAATTTAATGGTTTACTGGTTTAAATGGAAGAAACACGGGCTTGACTAACTTTTTACTAAATATCATTTTCTGGATAATAGTCATGAGTCAATTTTTTAGTTGTAAATATCTCTGCAAATCAGTTTAAAGCAAAAATAATTTCTTTATAATTAGAGAAAGAAAAAAGGCTACCCCTATTCTTATTCCAATTTTCTGAGTATACTGCTTTTGTGTTTAGGCTCTTTCTCTCAGTGCCAGGCATCTAGAAGCACTTAATAAATGTTTAAGGTGATATATATAGTACTGTGTGAACAGGCCCCACAGAGGTCAAGAAAGTTATGATAATGATTTTCCCAGGGTCAGTTCCTGCACTAAATGTTCATCAGCTGTTAGATTATATTTTGATTTTTTTGATTTACTGCTTAGTTTTTGGTAGATTGTTTTCTGAATTATCTTTAAATCACAGAGAAAATTAGATTTGTTTTCTGGTTTGAAATAGTATCCATCTGTTGTATGAAACAAATTGTATTAATTCACGTCTCTCCTATTCAAAATTAGATTTCCTTTTTACAGATTTTGCCATTAACAAATTAGTTATCTAACAATGCTAAATATCAGCTTGATTCTTAGTTTAAAAGTTTCTATTTTGAAAATGAAATGTGATCACTATGCACACCATTTGGCCAAATATCGTCCCCTTTGTTTTCATTAACATTGAAGAAGGCAAAGTATGCAAGTAGGTATCTTGTATATTACCACATCTAAAGAGAACGTTTTAAACAGTATTTATTGGATCCAGTAAGTACACACACATTCAAAAAATTGGGATTTTTAAAAAATTTGTCATTTTATAAGAAATAGATTAAAAATATAGTTCGAAGAAGACATAGTATGTGAAGCTTAGGAAACAAGCATATTTTACTGTATAGTTTTTAAAAATTTGATTTTATTAAGTTTGTTAAGAAGTTAAATCTAAAAGAATAATTTACCTAATCTGAGATATGTAGATATAAATTATTCAGTGAGGAAAAGACATTGTGGACATTCTAGTTTATTTTACTGAATGCTGGGTAGTGGTCCTTTTACTTTTTTCATGTCTCCAAGTTTTTGGTAAAACCAGAGCTGGTAAAATACACAACATGCACCTATAAGTTCATCTCATTCAACTCTCTGGCAACAGGGACATTTAAGAGATGTTGTTCAATCAAAGCTGACTTGTTTAATATTTTTAACAAATATAAATATTGATTCTTGATATTTCATTTTTACAAAGTGCCGAAAAGCTACAGGAGAGCTCAACAATTCTTCTAAGTTATTGAAGAACATACAAATTTTTCCCAGTATAATTCTATTGTTGAAAAAATTTACATCTTCCAATTTTTATTTTTATAGGCAACCTACACAAAGCATGTGTGCTAATTATTCTTTTTTTTTTTTTTTTTTTTTTTTTTGAGACGGAGTCTCGCTCTGTCGCCCAGGCCGGACTGCGGACTGCAGTGGCGCAATCTCGGCTCACTGCAAGCTCCGCTTCCCGGGTTCACGCCATTCTCCTGCCTCAGCCTCCCGAGTAGCTGGGACTACAGGCGCCCGCCACCGCGCCCGGCTAATTTTTTGTATTTTTAGTAGAGACGGGGTTTCACCTTGTTAGCCAGGATGGTCTCGATCTCCTGACCTCATGATCCACCCGCCTCGGCCTCCCAAAGCTAATTATTCTTAATCACTATCCTTGAGTAATCCACAGATCACATGCTATAGCAATCTTTGTATTTTTTATTCTATATTTACTATATAGAATCTTATATGTACTATATTAAATATCATATTTATACAACACTGAGTTGTATAGTCCTTCAATAGGAAAAACCACTATTAGAAGCACATTTGTTGGGTTTTATCAAAATAAAATTACTGCATTTTAATAAATTCTGAGTCTTCAGTGTCTCCATTACAAGAAATAACTTGATTACAAACTATAACTCAGGATCACTTGTTCTTTTTGTGTTTTTTTATGAATCTAGAATACTAGGAAGAAAAAATTATATAAGGCTGCAGACACAGAATTTTATGATATTACTGTTTACAAGAATTCTTTAATTCTCCTGTACTTTATGGGCATTTTTATGAAAATGAATTATCAAGAATCAACAATTATATTTGTTAAAAAAATTTGGACAAATCAGCAGGGTGCAATGGCTCACGCCTGTAATGCCAGCACTTTGGGAGGCCAAGGCGGACAGATCCCGAGATCAAGAGATCGAGACCACCCGGGCCAACATAGAGAGGGTGAAACCCCATCTCTACTAAAAACACAAAAATTAGCTGGGCATGGTGGCACGTGCCTGTAGTCCCAGCTACTCAGGAGGCTGAGGCAGGAGAATCGCTTGAGCCCAGAAGGCAGAGGTTGCAGTGAGTGGAGATCGAGCCACTACACTCCAGCTCCAGCCTGGACGGCAGAGTGAGACTCCATCTCAAAAAAAAAAAAAAAAACTTAGACAAAAGAACTTCGATTGAACAACATTTCTTAGTTGTCCCTATTGGTATAAGGTGGGATGAACTGCACTTGTATATGTGTAGTGTGTATTTTACTGAGAGTCTGGATGCATAAAAAGAGAAGAAGGACCACTATCCAGAATTCAGTAAAATACTGTTTCAAGTTATGGGATATATTTTGAGTAAAGATGCATCTTCATGTTTTACACTGTCCATTGGAATCTGTGGTATTTGGAAGCTAAATCAGGCATACAAAATTGATTGAGAGTTTATTTTTTCTTCATAACTGAGTACCTGAATTCACATGTATACTCAGTCCCTCTAAGAAGAAATTACTAGTAATTCTACTATCAGTGAATAACACTATACTTCTAATTTGAAGCTTGTTTCCATATGCCTTTTTTTTTTTTTTTTTTTTTTTTTTTTGAGATGGAGTCTCTCTCATTCGCCCAGGCTGGAGTGCAGTGGCGCGATCTCAGCTCACTGCAACCTCTGCCTCCTGGGTTCTAGCAATTCTCCTGCCTCAGCCTCCCAGGTAGCTGGGATTACAGGCGCATGCTGCCATGCCCGGCTAATTTTTTGTATTGTTGTTAGTAGAGACAGGGTTTCACCATGTTGCCCAGGCTGGTCTCAAACTTCTGAGCTCAGGCAATCCACCTGCCTTGGCCTCCCAAAGTGCTGGGATTACAGGTGTGAGCCACCACACTGGGCCCCATAGGCTTTAATCAGTTGAAAAGTTATTCAACTTTCATTTGAAGATTCATTAAACCTTTAGTTCAAAGGTTTCCATCTAAAGAATTTTAAAATTAACTCTACCTATATTTATGCTTGTCAGGTAGCCTGACAACAGTGGATTTGATAATAACCATTGATAATAATTCACCTAATTGAAACTCTAAAGTGATTGAGAATATAAATATACTTGTAACTGAGGTCTCTAAGTGCTTCCACTTAACACAAAATAAAATCAACACTGGTAAGGAGACCGGCTGATTGTTTTTCTGATTTATAATCAGAAGGGAGGTTGTCAATTAGGTAATTTAAACAAGCTATATGAGAAGAGAATCGTGATTTCCATTTAAATTATTCAAAACAAAATTAGCTGGGGTAAACATATTTTAACAAAAACATTCTGCACTTATTATTGTCTTCTGAGCTTGACAGAAGAGTAAAATTTTAGTGTTTAGATTTGTTTATGCTTTGTTTGGGATATTGAGCAATACCAATTGAGCCTCCATGATAACAGCTCAGAGAAAAACTCATTGTTGCATCTTCACAATGAAACAGCTAGAGAAATGGCAGTGCTTAAAGGGAGCATGGAGGTTTGTGCTTAAAAACAATTAGGAGGCCGGGCGCGGTGGCTCACGCCTGTAATCCCAGCACTTTGGGAGGCCGAGGCGGGTGGATCATGAGGTCAGGAGATCGAGACCATCCTGGCTAACAAGTAGAAACCCCGTCTCTACTAAAAATACAAAAATTAGCCGGGCGCGGTGGCGGGCGCCTGTAGTCCCAGCTACTGGGGAGGCTGAGGCAGGAGAATGGCATGAACCCGGGAAGCGGAGCTTGCAGTGAGCCGAGATTGCGCCACTGCAGACCGCAGTCCGGCCTGGGCGACAGAGCGAGACTCCGTCTCAAAAAAAAAAAAAAAAAAAAAAAAAAAACAAACAAAAAAAAACAATTAGGATCATTTATTTATTGAACCAATATGTAGGAATTTTCTTAACAATTTCTATAAATTCAGAAATGTTTGAATTCATCTACTAGGGAACTTTAAAGACATTAATAACTTGCAATATTGGTATTACCACAGTCTCAGTATATATCCATGATATCCCAAAAGTTAGTGTACTATGGTATCATTAGAATTATTTTGGAAAGCCCCAAACCAAGGAGTAGTTTTTGGCCTCCCTGGAATTTTTATTGCTTTGAGAAAGATAGAAGAATGTATACAATTTAGAATCTTATGAGAATCAATCTCTGTCTGCATTCATCTTAGGACAATAGGAGAATTATATCAAGGACTTCTGGAATATCAGGTTATTTTAGTTACTCATTGATTTATAATGTGCCTTTAATAAAACATGTTTTGAATATCATTGAAAAATGGCCTTAGTGAATTGAAGATTCATTAAATTAAACATTAAGTGTATGAATTTTATAATACACTTGTGTGCTCCTGTTTTTTAAATTGCACCATTAACAATAAATTATTTCTATAAAATAATTTTTATTTTCATCATATTTTTAAAATGAAAGATTAGTGAAATCATTTTACATTAGGTTTATGCACATATTAGTATCTGCTTACATGAATCTTTACATAAACACAGCAATACTATATCTAAAGGTGTTCTTAGAACTGCCAGATGTTATATTTATTGAAAGTGATATGCATACCTGCTTCCTCCATTCAATCCATTTTGATTTCATAAAGTGTACTGCATGCACCCTCTGGACAAAGCTTTGCTTTACATATCTTATAATACATAAAATCACTTCTACTCAATGAGTTTACTATTTTATGAGAGTACAGCTAAAAGCCTCCAAAGTAATCATGATAAAATATAAAAAGAGGAAATGCCCAAAACATGTCTAAACAAAATATTAAAATGATTTATTGAGAAGGGGAAAATATTTTCTGTAAAAGTCTCAAGATTTTATCAAAGAAATGGTATTTGATGTGATCTTTGTTTGATTTTGAATATTTTATTGAGGTATCATTTAAAATGTTTACATACAATAAAATGTACAAAATAAGTGTGTAAGCTGAATGATATTTTCTGTATGTATACCTGATATGCTTTGGCTGAGTTCTCCACCAAATCTCACCCCAATAATCCGCACATGTCAAGGGCAGAACCAGGTGGAGATAATTGAATCATGGCGGTGGTTTCCCACATACTGTTCTCATGACAGTGGATAAATCTCACGAGATCTGATGGTTTTATAAAGGGGAGTTCCCCTGCACACACTCTCTTGCCTGCTGCCATGTAAGATGTCCATTTGCTCTTCCTTCATTTTCTGCCATGATTGTGAGACTTCCCCAGCCATGTGGAATTGTGAGTCCATTAAACCTCTTTCCTTTATAAATTACCCAGTCTCAGGTATGTCATTATTAGCAGCATGAGAATGGACTAATACAGTACATTGGTACCAAGTAGTAGGGTGCTGTTGTAAAGATACCTAAACATGTGGAAGCAACTTTGAAACTGGGTAACAGGCAGATGTTAGAACAGTGTGGAGGGCTCAGAAGAAGATAGAAAGATGTGGGAAAGTTTGGGACTTCCTAGAGACTTGTTGAATGGCTTTGACCAAATGCTGCTCATCTCAGATGGAGATGAGAAACTTGTTGAGAAATGGAATAAAGATGACTCTTGCTATGCTTTAGCAAAGAGACTGGCAGCATGTTTCCCCTGCCCTAGAGATCTGTGGAACTTTGAACTTGAGAGAGATGATTTAGGGCATCTGGCAGAAGAAATTTCTAAGCAACAAAGCATTCAAGAAGTGACTTGGGTGCTGTTAAACAAGCATTCAGTTTTATGTATTCACAAAGGTAGGGTTGGAATTGGAACTTATGTTTAAAAGGGAAGCAGAGCACAAAAGTTCAGAAAATTTGCAGCCTGTTGATGCAATAGAAAAGAAAATCCCATTATCTAAGGAGAAATTTAAGCTGGCTGCAGGAACTTGCATAAGTAATGTGGAGCCAAGACAATAGGGAAGATGTCTCCAAGGCATATCAGAGGTCTTCATGGCAGCCCCTCTCTTCATAGGCCTGGAGGCCTAGGAGGAAAAAATGTTATCATGTGCCGGGCCCAGGGCTTTGCTGCTTTTGAAGTCTTGGGACTTAGTGCCCTGCATTCCAGCCATGGCTAAAAGGGGTCAAGATACAGCTCAGGCCATTGCTTCAGAAGATACAAGCCCCAAGCCTTGGCAGCTTCCATGTGGTGTTGGATCTTTGGGTGGACAGAAGTCAAGAAATGACGTTTGGAAACCTCTGCCTAGATTTCAGAAGATGTATGAAAATACCTGGATGTCTAGGCAGAACTCTACTACAGGGGTATAACCCTCATGGAGAACCTCTGCTAGAGCAGAGCAGAAGAGAAATATGGGGTCAGAGCCCTCACACAGAGTCCCCACTGAGGCACTGTCTAGTGGATCTGTGAGAAGAGGGCTACTGTCCTCCAGATGCAAGAATGGTAGATCCACTGACAGCTTCCAACATGCTCCTGGAAAAGCCAAAGACACTCAATGCCAGCCTTTAAAAGCATCCAGGAGTGGGGCTGTACCCTGAAAAGCCACAGGAGCAGAGTTACCCAAGACCATGTGAGCCCACCTCTTGCATCAGCATGATCTGGTTGTGAGACATGGAGTTAAAAGGAGATCATTTTGGAACCTTAAGGTTTAATGACTCTCCCATTGGATTGCAGACTTGCTTGGGGCCTGTAGTCCTTTTGTTCTGGCCATATCACCATTGTATCTGGGAAGTAACTTACTTGCCTTTTTTTTTTTTTTTTGAGATGGAGTCTCGCTCTGTTGCTCAGGCTGAAGTGCAGTGGTGTGATCTTCGCTCACTGCAACCTCCAACTCCCAGGTTCAAGCAATCCTCCTGCTTCAGCCTCTCAAGTAGCAGGGATTACATGTGTGCATCACCATGCCAGCTAATGTTTGTATTTTCAATAGAGACAAGGTTTCACCATTTTGTCCAGGCAGGTCTTGAACTCCTCACCTCAAGTAATCTGCCTGCCTTGGCCTCCCAAAGTGCTGGGATTACAGGTGTGAGCCACTGTGCATGGCCACTAACTCGCTTTTGATTTTACAGGCCCATAGGTAAAAGGGGCATACCTTGTCTCAGATAAAACTTTGGACTGTGGACTTTTGAGTTAATGCTGAAGTGATTTAAGATTTTGGGAGACTGTTGAGAAGGCAATATTGGTTTTGAAATGTGAGGACATGAGATTTGGGAGGGGCCAGGGTGGAATGATAGATTTGACAGTGTCCTCACCCAAATCTCACCTTGAATTGTAATAATCCCCACATGTCAAGAGTGGGGCCAGATGGAGATAATTGAGTCCTAAGGGCAGTTTCCCCATACTGTTCTCATGATAGTAAATAAGTCTCATGAGATCTGATGGTTTTATAAAGGAGTGTGTCCCTTCACACACTCTCTTGCCTGCCACCATGTAAGAGGTCCTTTTGTTCTTTCTTTGTCTTCCACCACGATTGTGAGGCCTCCCAAGTTATATGGAATTGTAAGTCCATTAAACCTCTTTCCTTCATAAATTACCCAGCCTTAGGTATGTATTTAATAGCAGCATGAGATCAGACTACTACATGCCTCTGTTTGACCACCACGCAGATCAAAGTATAAAACATTCTTCACCCTCCAGTGATAATCACTATTTGACTTATATTATAGGTTAGTTTTGCCTAACCTTGAACTTGGCATGAATGAAATTATGCCATACACTATGTACACTTTTGCATCTCCCTTCTTTAACAAGACAAAATATCTTTAAGATTCTTCCATGTTACTGTATGCATAAGTAATTCTGTCTTCTAATTTCTGAATAGTGTTTTATTATATTCTCCAATTTGAGAAAAACTGAGTTGTTTCCATTTTGGGACTATCATGAAAGAGTCTTTTTTTTTTTGAGATGGAGTCTTGCTCTGTCACCCAGGCTAGAGTACAGTGGCGCGATCTCGGCTCACTGCAAGCTCCGCCTCCCAGGTTCATGCCATTCTCCTGCCTCAGCCTCCAGAGCAGCTGGGAGTACAGGCGCCTGCCACCACGCCCGGCTAATTTTTTGTATTTTTAGTAGAGACAAGGTTTCACCGTGTTAGCCAGGATGATCTTGATCTCCTGACCTTGTGATCTGCCTGCCTTGGCCTCCCAAAGTGCTGGGATTACAGGCTTGAGCCACTGCGCCCAGCCTATGAAAGAGTCTTTCATTAACATTCTTGTACAAGTATGTTTGTGGACCTAAGTAATCATTTCTCTTGAGAAGATTCTTAGAAGAATTGTTGAGTCATATGCTAGATATATGCAAACAGTATTCCCATAATGTTTAATCATTTTATACTCCTTTTCAATTAATGAGCATTATGGTGACTCCATATCTTGCCCTCACTTTGCATTTCTGGTCTTTTTAAGTTTTACCTTTAAAATGTTTTTATAATCACATTTCCTTGTGATTTTTATTTGTATTTTCTAGATGACTAATGATGTTGAGTGTCCTTATACACCTTTCAGATACATTCTTTGGTGAAACACTTGTCCAACTATAAATATTCTGTCAAAAATTAGAAGAAATAGAGAAAAAGAGATTATAAAAAGATAGAGACTGATGAGAAAAATGGAGTTAGGGATACAAAACTTTAAAACTTTGTCCATCTCACATACATATACACACAAATAAAGACCCTTTTAAAAGGACAGCACTATTTTCCACATCATAAATTATGAAGAAATGCATAAATATTGTAATAAATTGCCACTTTTTTCCTTGAAAAAGGCCAGAACTTTGCTTGAGGAAGTGGGCATCAAAAAGATTTCAGCTTGTGATTATTATGAATTGGTAGAGGGAGGGTTGTCTGAAATGTGTTGGAAAGTTGTAACACCAGATGGGGATGTGTGGCTCACAGCTCACATACAGTGAACTGAGGTAGCTGGTAGATGTTTGAGATGTGTGTGTATGTGTGTATTCTTTGCATTAGTATGCAGTTCTGTTCAGCTAGGTGCAGTATTTTTCTTTATTCAGGTAGTATCTTTTGCAGAAGAAATTATACATAAGCAAAGGCAAAATTTGTGTTATGCTCAAATTGTTCCCTGTTATATCAAATGTGTTGGAACAAATCCATGTTTCCTGAATAAGTGTTAGAGCAGAACAGACTGCATCCCCTTTTGAACATAATTTCCAAGATTTATGAGTAACAACATAAAATCCTTGGCTAATTGAATTAACAAATGTAAAAACCTTGAATACTTAAATGAAGAGTTGGCAAACATTTCCTCTAAAGGGCAAGATAGTAAATATATAAAGCTTTGCGAGTGATAAGGTCTTCAATGCAATTACTTAATTCTGCAATAGTGGTGCAAAACATCCATAGACAATGTGAAAATGAATGAGTGTGATTGCATTCAATTAAACTGTAGTAGTCCCCCTTATCCACCGGAGATACATTCCAAGACACTCAGTGGATTCCTGAAACTGCAGATAGTACCAAACCTTAAATATAACTATGTGGTTTTTTTTTATTTGATAACCAAGAGGGCTCCTAAATGACTAACAGGTGGGCAATATCTATCACGTGGATTTTCTGGACAAAGGGATGATTCACATCCTGGCAGGATAGAGCAAGATGGCGTGAGATTTCATCATGCAACTCTGAATGATGCAAAACTGAAAACTTATAAATTGTTAATTCCTGAAATTTTCCACTTAATATTTTTGGACTGTGGTTGACTGCATGTAACTGAAACTATGGATAAGTAGACACTACTGTATTTATGAAAGCAGACAAAGTGGGAAGTTTATAAATATTTGCTTCTTACTTTTACATGCCATAGAGAGCTATAACTGGGAGAAATTAATAAACTTGCAGTTTTGCCACTTTAATAAATTATAAAAAGGATGGATGAAGCTGGTGAAAGTCATTGTATATCTATTCTTAAGCTTTTCTAACCTGCTTAAAATGCTTAAGGACAATTTGCATTGTACCCTCCAGACTTTGTGAAATAGAAGTTAAGTTACTTTATTAAAATTTACAATTAATAGTGATTGAGGCTATTCTAGAATGAAGCAATAGTAATGGAAAAATACTAAAAATGTTTATGTAAGGTAATTTTTTTCAAGGAAAAAAAAAGAAGTTTTAACCCAAAATGAAGTCTTAATTATCTAGAATATGAATGAGTACAGTGAAGGACAAAACTTGAATGCTTTTAGCAAGTTGTAGAGGATTTAGGGGAAAGTAGTTTCTCATTTTCCTTGATTTATAATACTTAAGTCTGAAAAAGGCTATGAAATATGTTAAAATTTTGGAAAAATTGCTCCAATTACGGGCTAATTCACAAGATAATTATGTTATAAATTGGAGAGAGAAACTCATGAAACATTTATTGCAAGAAACTGTGTTCATCCAAATCTAGGTTTTGTCTTTTCCCTGTTAAAATAGTAAATTGGTCTTATAAATCTTAACAATGGCTAGTGAAAAGTATTCTTTATACTCTGTGTAACATGCTGGTATCATAGAGATTCCAAAACTCACCAGAATAATTTTCTCTGTTCTGTGGTGACTTTATCAGGTACTTGATTATTACATAACATTTTTAAAATAAAAAATTAAAAACCAAGGTTTCTCACTTGCATTAACATATTTATGTTTATTTTTAAATACTTTGTCACTTTGATTGAATATGTAACTAAGTCATCATTTCCTAGATGTCCATGAGCATATTTCATTATTGCAGTCAAATCTCCTGATATTCTTTTGCTTTTGCCTTTGCAAGAGCAGAACCAACAAATAAATAAATAAATAAATGAAAATTAATGATGTATTTTACCTCTACAGTCCTCTTTGAGCTATTCCAGAAAGCTGCAAAAAATCAAACATTTTTTATTTTACATTATAAAAATAAAAGTGGTAGAAATAATTCGACTTGTTTGGTATGCTCATTTTTGTTCATTATTATGTTGGTGCAAAAGTACCTGTGGCTTTTGCCATAACTTTTAATGGCAAAAACCACAATTACTTAATAGCTCAAGACTATTAAGAGCTGCATGGGAAGAGTTGTTGACCCAAAAAGATGCTCAGACTTTTCAAGATTAAGTTTGTATAGGTAAAATATTTTTAATACAAATATTTCAGATATTTTATGTTTTATAGAAAGGACCTGCCGATTCTTTTATGGTTGCACTGTCCATAATATTCTTACACTCAGGGCTGCTGGGCACGGTGGCTCACACCTGTAATACCAGCACTTTGGGAGGTCGAGGTGGGTAGATCACTTGAGGTCAGGAGTTCAAGACAGCCTAGCCAACATGGTGAAACCCCATCTCTACCAAAAATACAAAAATTATCCAGGTGTGGTGGCACATGCCTGTAATTCCAGCTACTAGGGAGGCTGAGGCAGGAGAATCACTTGAACCTGGGAGACAGAAATTGCAGTGGGCCGAGATCACGCCACTGCACTCCAGCCTGGGTGACAGAATGAGACTCCATTTCAAAAGAAAAAAAAAATGTGATTCACTGTAAAGTTTTACCAAACACTTATAGTATATATTTAATGGAATTGAACAAATAAATAAATGGATTGTAGATGACTGGAAGCAGATTTCTCACTGTTGGTGTAGGAGGCTACAGATAAGCAAGCAGAAGGCTAAAAGGATCCATGTGGTATTGGATTAGAATTGGAAAAAGCATTAGGAATGTAGATTATCTCAGTATAAATAAGGACAAACAGAAATATTTAAGTTATGTGTGTACATGTGAATATACACACACATATTTTCTTGCTCCGTCAACTGAGAGGGCAGAGAAGCAACACCAGTAGCTGTCAACATGCCTCGTGATCAAATCTTGGTTACTAATAACATTCACCAATTAAAAGAACTGAGATCCTTAGATAAATGGCTGACACTTGGACTAGGGCAATAAATATACAACATGGAGCAACTCGTAGTATCTAGAAGTCAGGAAGTCTTACACACACACACACACACACACACACACACATACACACACACACACACAAAAAGATGGGGCTATGTCAAAGAGACATGGAGGTTCCAATTGCCAAAGCTAGAACAATTTGGGCAGAAATAATGTAGTATTGGATTATAACTCAAAGAAGAAATTAAAGAACTGTAAGTCCATACTGATTATATTAGGCAGTTCTCATGTTGCTATAATGAGGTTACCTCAATTATACCTGAGGCTGGGTAATTTATAATGAAAATAGGTTTAATTGACTCATGGTTCTGCAGGCTGTACAAGCATGGTGATGGCATCTGTCCAGCATCTGGGGAGCCTGCAGGGAGCTTTTACTCAGGACAGAAGGTGAAGCAGGAGCAGGTATGTCACATGGCAGGTAAGAGTAGGAGCAATAGAGGAACAGATGGGAAGTGCCACACACTTTTAAACAACCAAATCTCACAAGAAATTATTCACTATCAAGAGGACAGCACCAAGCCAGGAGGTATCCACCCCAATGGCACAAACACCTCCCATAAGGCCCCACCTCCAACACTCGGGATCACATTTCAACATGAGATTTGGGAAAGACAAATATGCAAGGCATGCCACTGATATACATAATTGAACAAATAAATACATGGAGGAGAATAGATAAATCTGTCATGCAGAAAGATCCCAAATAATTTGTGCAGATGC
Source organism: Homo sapiens (assembly GCF_000001405.40). Classification (NCBI taxonomy): domain Eukaryota; kingdom Metazoa; phylum Chordata; class Mammalia; order Primates; family Hominidae; genus Homo; species Homo sapiens. Next base: position 140,620,589 of record NC_000006.12, on the reverse strand, counting down.
TCTGCCCTCACAAAGGTTGAGGCATAGCTCATAACTTCCCACTCACTATTATTGGTTGCATATAATGACTTCCTCCCATGAATGCAGTATGGAATTAGAGAAGAGTAACTTTGCAATGAAAAAGCATAACAGACACTAACTCATCCAGGTGTTGAACCATTTTTATAGTATGCATTCATGATTTGATGTGATGAGGATGGCATGTTTCCTCTGTGATTTTTCTCACAAAACCCAATAACCCCAGTCTACCCATGACAAAAACATGGGATAAATCACAATCTAGGGAAATCCTACAAAATACTATCCCAATATGCCTCAAAACTCCCACAAAGTCATCAAAAATAGGAAAAGTCTGAGAAACTCTTACACGTAAGAGCATTCTAAGTAGACATGAGGACTAACTGTAATTTTTATATGGGATAGAATTCTGTACGAGCAAAAGAACACTGGATGACAAACCAGGAAATCTAAATAAAGTATGGACTTTATTTAATTCATAATAATGCATCACTATTGGTTCATGAATTATAACAAATGCACCAATCTAAAGTAAGATGTTAATAATAGGAGAAACTGAGTTCAGGGTGTATGGGAACTATCTGTATTATCTTCTCAATTTTGCTATAAATCTAAAATTGTTGCAAAATGAAAAGTCTATTTTAAAAAACTGATAGGACTCAAAAAAGAAATGAACAAATCCTCAATAATAGTTATAGAGTTCAGTGCCCCTTTTTTGCTGATTGATAAAATAGATGGACATAAATTCATCTAGATTAAAGAAGAACTGAACCACTCCATCAATCAGCAGTATTTAATCAACATTTATAGAAGACTCACCACCAACAGCAGAATAGATATTTTCTTCAAGCATCCCTAGAGCATATACCAAGACAGGCCATATTCTGGGGCTTAAAATAATCCTCAAACATTTTAAAATATTTGAAATTATACAGAAGTGTTCGTTGATCACAATGGAATATATTACAGATTTGGATATTAAATAATATATTTCTAAACAATCCCATTGGGTAATATGAAATCTCAAGGGCAATTAAAAATATATTGAACTGACTAAAAATCAAAACTGGGCATAAAATTATTGTCTGAACAGCTAACACAATTTTGAGGGGGGGTAGTTTTTGGCACTAAACACTTATATCAGAAAGAAGGAAAAGCAATAATGTAATCCTACATCACAAGAATCTAGAGTAAGAAGAGCAAAATAAATGCAAAACAAGCAGAAAGAAATAATAAAGATAAAAGCAGAAATAAATGAAACTGAAAACAAAAAATAGATAAAATCAAATTAAAAATCTTGTTGTTTGAACAGATCAATACAATTGACAAATCCATAGCTAAACTGACAAAGAGAAGACACAATTACCAACATGAAAAATAAAAAACCTAGCATCATTACCCAATATTCAGGCATCAAAAGGATAATAAGGGATATATGAACACATCAACACGCACAAATTTGACAACTTAGATGAATTGGACCAGTTCCTTAAAATGCAAAAGCTATAATTTACCCATATGAAAAAAATAAGTGAATAGCCTTATAAGTTATTAAATAAATTGAATTCATAATTTTAAAATGCCCCAAAAGAAATTTCCAGGTCCAGGTGGTTTCAGGAGATAATTGTACCAACTGCTTGACATTTGAACATTTAAAGAAGAATAAAACAAATTCTACAGAATCTATTCTGGAAAATAGAAAAGGAATCATTTCCCAATTCATTTTATGAAGCAAATATAACTCTGAGCCCAAACTATACAAAGGCAGTGCAAAAAGACCAAACTACAGACTAATATCCTTCATGAATACATACACAAAAGTTATTAACTTTATTTTCACTAACAGAAACAGAAATCAAAAAAAAATATATATATATATATATATATATATATACCATGATCAAATGTGGTTTCTTCCAGAAATTAAAACCTATTTCAATATTAGAAAATAAATCAATATAATCTATTATATTAGCAGGAAAATGAATAAATCAATTGACATGGAAAAGAATTTGACAAAATTCACTACTTATTCATGATAAGAATGTTTAGAAAATCAAGAATATTTTAAAAATTATTCTTCAACTTAATAATAACATCTTCAAAATGCCTACAGAAAAGAATTATTTAATGATTAGAGACTGAATGCTTTTTCCCTAAGACTGGAAAGGAACAAAGGATGTGCTCTCATTACCCCTACTGAGCATAGTACCGGATGTTCTATTTAGTTCTATCTTGCAAAAAGGCAATAAAGTAAAATTAAAGGCACAAAAACCTCAAAAACAGAAATAAACTCTATTTTAGGATGACATGACAGTTCACATAGAAAATCCCAAGAAATCTAAAAAAGACAAACGAGAATTACTGGAAATAATAATTAAGTTCAGCAAAGCCTCAGGATACAGCATCAATGCACAAAAAAGTTTCAATATACTAGCAATGAACATGTGGACACCAAAATTAGAAATACAGTATCATTTACCACAGCCAAAAAAGTGAAGCTGGGTGCAGTGGCTCATGCCTGTAATCCCAACAACTCAAGGAGGCTGGGATGGGAGGATCGTTGAGCCCAGGGGCTCCAGACTGCAGTGAGCTGTGATCATGGCATTGTACCCCAGCCAGGGCAAAAGACTGAGACTCCATCTCTAAAAAAAAATAAAGAATAAAAATTTTAAGTGAAATATTCAGGCATAAACCTACATAACTTCTATGCCAAAAGCTACAAAATGTTAATGAGAAAATGAAAGAATATCTAAGTAAATAAATCAAGAGATGCCCGCTGGGTTCCAGGCTTAGAAGACAATGTAATAAAAAGCAAAAATAGTGTGGGACTACATCAAACTAAAAGGCTTCTGCACATTGAGGTGGTATATACATATATACACACACATATATAATGTATATGTGTATATGTATATATAATAAATATAATGTATATATGTATATGTGTATATTATATATAATATATATATGCACATTATATATACATAGATATACAATAGAATATATCCAGCTTTAAAAAAGAGGAAATTCTCAATACTTGATAACCTCGTTGAACCTGGAGGACATTATGGTAAGTGAAATAGGCCAGTCACAGAAGGACATATGCTGCATGATTCCACTTAGTGTATTAGTCTGTTCTCATGCTGCTAATAAAGACATACCTGAGACTGGGTAATTTATAAAGCAAAAGAGGTTTAATGGACTCCCAGTTCCACATGGCTGGGGAGGCCTCACAATCATGGTGGAAGGCAAAGGAGGAATAAGTCATGTTTTACATGGCATCAGGCAGAAGAGCATGTGTAGGGGAACTCTTCCTTTATAAAACCATTAGATCTCGTAAGACTTATTCATGATCACAAGAACAGCACAGAAGAAAGCATGCCCTCATGATTCAATTACCTCCCCTTGGGTCTCTCCCATGATACGTAAGAATTATGGGAGCTACAATTCAAGGTGAGATTTGGGTGGGGACACAGCCAAACCATATCAGTGAGGTTTCTAAAATAATCAAATTTACAGAACCAAAGAGTGGAATGAAGGTTGCCAAGGCCTTGTGGAAGGGGGAAATAGGGAGTTGCTAAATGAAGGGGCAGAAATTTTCAGTTAAGCAAGATGAATAGTTCCTAGAGGTCTGCTGTACAATACTGTGCCTATAGTTAACAATAAGATACTGTACACTAAAAATTTTGTTAAGAGGGTATATCCCACAGTAAGTGTTCCTAGGAAAACAAAATAAAATTTTAAAAAATGTTAATTATCCCCAAATTGGCATACGGATTTAACAAACTTCCATATTTTGTTGTAGTTGCCAATAAGATTATTCAAAAATGTTTAAAAAGCCAAAATAATTAGATTTTCTAAAAACAATTTTCAAATCGTATAAAATGAGAGGAATCTGTCTATCTAGTTTCAAGTTTCATTATGTAGGTACAGTAATCAAACCTGTGTGATCTTGTGTGTATTGATAATTACAGTAATCAGTTCTGGTGGAATAATAGGCACATAGATCAGTGGAATATAAAACAGAACCCAGAAATAGACCCCAAAAAATATATCCAACTGAATTTTGACACAAATCACAAAGCAATTCAATGGAGGTAGGGTAGGCTTGTCAACAAATTATGTTAGAATAATTGGGCATCCATAAGCAAAATAAAATAAAATAAACCTCAATCCAAACCTCATGTCTTATGCAAAAGTTAACTCAAAATGAATCAAAAACTTCAATGTAAAACATAAAAGTAGCATATTTTTAGAAAAAATAACTTCATATCTTATGCAAAAGTTAACTCGACATGAATCAAAAACTTCAATGTAAAACGTAAAAGTAGCACATTTTTAGAAAAAACAATTACAGGAGAAAATCTTTATGATCTATATATGGACAAATGAATATTGATACCAAAAGCACAAATCATAAAAGGAAAAATAATAAATTGGATGTTATTAAACACTTTTGCTCTGAAAAAAGGCACTCTTAAGAGCTAAAAAGACAATCTATGTACTGGGTAGAAAATATCTGCAAGCATATATCCAACAAGGGACTACGATAAAGAATATGTAAACAACTCTTAAAACTCAACAGCAGAAAATAAGCAATCCAACTAGAAACTGGTCAACACAAATGAATGAATATTTTATTGAAGAGGACATACAAATGGCAAAAACTACATAAAATATATTCAGCACCATTATCCATTAGGAAAATGGAAATTAAAAATTAAAAATATAACCATGTATTAGTTTATGCCCACCAGAATTTCTCAAGTGAAATATAATGATAACACCAAATGACTGTGACGATTCAGAGAAACTGCATCACAGTTTAGCAATATCTTAATAAACCACATATTCAACTACCTATGACCCAGCAATTGCACACCTAGTCATTTATCCCAGAGAAATGAAAACATGTTCACACAAAGCCTGTACACAAATATGTTTATAGCAACTCTATTCATAATAATCCCAAAATGAGAATAACTCAGGTTGATTCAACAAGTGAAAAAAAGTTAAACAGACTGTGGTACATTCATGCCATGGAATACTGTTCAGTCATAAAAAGAAATAAACTATAGGTATACGCAATGACTTGGATGCATCTCCAGAGAATTATACTTCGTCAAAAAAAAATTGAAAATTATATATGTATGCTTATTTTTGTATAGCATTCTTGAAATGACAAAATTATAGAAACAGGTAACAGATTAGTGGCCTCTGATGTTAAGCGGGGAATGGACATGGTAGAGAAATGATTATGGCTATAAAAAGGCAACATGAGAGACAATTTGGGTAATGAAAAAGTTACGTGTCTTGACTTTATCAATGTCAAAATTCTGACTGCGATATTGTAATATAGGTTGTCAAGATACTACTATTTAAGAGAAATTGGGAAAAGAATGTGCAGAATTTTTCTGTATTATTTCCTACAATAGCATGTGAATCTACCATTATCTCAAAATTTAAAAACGATTAAAAATAAAGATATCATATGCAAGAAGCAATGATAAAATGATCTGTTGTAAATATTGAATATTGAGATAACTAAACCACTGGGGAATTATGTTTACAGAACACACAATTGATATTACATACTTTAGCAAAGCAGTAATGATCTATGCAACAGAATGAAAAAATAAGATGAAGAAAAAAGATAACAGTGGCAATCAAACTATTTCTTATAATATTTAATAAATGTCAAAGTAATTAAAATCTTACTATTAAAACAATTAAGAAACTAAATCAATCTTTTTTCTTAGTATTAAAGGGCCTTTTACAAATTGTCTTTTGAGGTGGAAAGCAATAGTATGAATTTCTGATCCTCTTCAGCTTCACTTCAGAATGTTTTTTGTTATTAATTTGAGTAAAATTAAATTAAATATTTTATTAAATAGCATTATAGTGTAATTATCATTATTATAAAATCTCTATGTGTATATAAAGCACATTTTAGAATGATGTTAATAAAAATTAAACTAGATTATTGGTAGATGATTTAATTTTGAATTATAGTTATTAATTTATTCATTTATTTATGTATTTGATTTCTCTTTAATAGTTTTATGTAAGCATCATTTGAAATTTAGACACTGGATATTTTCATTAAAATAATATTCAAAATAAATTAAAGGAGGCAATTCTGTTACTTGTTATTTACACTTATTAGATGAATTGAAGTAGAAGGATGATGTTAGCATAGGAATCTTGTCTTTCTCTTTCCTTTCTATCATGAATAGGTTCCATTAAATCAATACAATATCGACAGTCAAAGAAACATATCCCAAATATTAGCATTTTACCATATTTTACCATAATTTTGCTATCCAGGAGACACACCAAGCATGCCACCAAGTCTCACTGAAGTAGATTTTTTCATATACACAAATAAATAAACATAAAGTTACAATCACATTTTAGAGTAATTCATACTTTCAAATTTTCTTTTTCTTTTCTTTTTTCTTTTTTTTTTTGAGACAAGAGTCTTCCTTACACCTTAGGCAAAAATTAATTCAAGATGGATTAAAGACTTACATGTTAGACCTAAAACCATAAAAACCCTAGAAGAAAACCTAGGCAATACCATTCAGGACATAGGCATGGGCAAGGACTTCATGTCTAAAACACAAAAAGCAATGGCAACAAAAGCCAAAATTGACAAATGGGATCTAACTAAACTAAAGAGCTTCTGCACAGCAAAAGAAACTACCATCAGAGTCAACAGGCAACCTACAGAATGGGAGAAAATTTTTGCAAACCTACTCATCTGACAAAGGGCTAATATCCAGAATCTACAATGAACACAAACAAATCTACAAGAAAAAAAACAAACAACCCCATCAAAAAGTGGTCAAAGGGTATGAACAGACACTTCTCAAAAGAAGACATTTATGCAGCCAAAAAACACATGAAAAAATGCTCATCATCACTGGCCATCAGAGAAATGCAAATCAAAACCACAATGAGAAACCATCTCACACCAGTTAGAATGGCAATCATTAAAAAGTCAGGAAACAACAGGTGCTGGAGAGGATGTGGAGAAATAGGAACACTTTGACACTGTTGGTGGGACTGTAAACTAGTTCAATCATTGTGGAAGTCAGTGTGGCAATTCCTCAGGGATCTGGAACTAGAAATACCATTTGACCCAGCCATCCCATTACTGGGTATATACCCAAAGGATTATAAATCATGCTGCTATAAAGACTCGTGCACACATATGTTTACTGCGGCACTATTCACAATAGCAAAGACTTGGAACCAACCCAAATGTCCAACAATGATAGACTGGATTAAGAAAATGTGGCACATATACACTATGGAATACTATGCAGCCATAAAAAACGATGAGTTCGTGTCCTTTGTAGGGACATGGATGAAGCTGGAAACCATCATTCTCAGCAAAGTATTGCAAGGACAAAAAACCACACACCGTGTGTTCTCACTCATAGGTGGGAACTGAACAATGACAACACGTGGACACAGGAAGGGGAACATCACACACCAGGGACTGCTGTGGGGTGGGGGGAGGGGGGAGCGATAGCATTAGGAGATACACCTAATGCTAAATGACGAGTTAATGGGTGCAGCACACCAACATGGCACATGTATACATATGTAAAAAAAACCTGCACGTTGTGCACATGTACCCTAAAACTTAAAGTATAATAATAATAAAATTAAAAAAAAAAAAAAGAGTCTGGCTCTGTTGCCCAGGCTGGAGTGCAATGGCACGATCTCGGCTCACTGCAACATTTGCCTACCCAGTTCAAGCAATTCTCATGGCTCAGGCTCCTGAGTAGCTGGGATTACAGGCATGCATCACCACACCTGGCTAATTTTTGTATTTTTAGTAGAGACGGGGTTTCTACTAAAACCCCAGGCTGGTCTCAAACTGTTGGCCTCAAGTGATCTGCCCACCTCCACTTCCCAAAGTGCTGGGATCATAGGTGGGAGCCACCACCATGCCAGGCCTTCAAATTTTCCTTACAGTGAAAGTTCTTACATTGTGCGTTGGCTTTCATCAGGTTCCCCTGAGATATGCCCCTATAGGGAATAAAATGTTACACAATGAAAAAATATTTTGCATAGAAATTTTCCAATTGAGATAAATATTACTCAATAAATCATATCACATGTTTACCATAAATATATATGGAAGTGATATTTTTTAGGAGGAGGTATTTTCCTAAAATAATAATAATGACAAATATAGAATATTTGATTATTGTTTCTTAGTTCTTTTAGGCAAAACTGTTGGCTCTATCTAGTTCCTAAGTAAATATTTATTTTTAAGTCCAAGGCTTTTAAAAAGATCATCTTTATATTTAAGCTATTAAAACAATATTTAATAGCTTATAAAGGTTATTTATTAACAGGACAGTTACTGTTTCTACTTTATCATTCTTTGCAATTCATCTACCAGTGGTTTAACGTAGGTTCTCATACTACAATTTTGAAAGATTTTAATGAAAATCTATTACTTTGTAAATAAATTTTACTTTTATTATACCTACATAGTGTGGAATTGGTGTTTGTTTATATTTCTTGAAGATTTCAAAGTGTAATTAATATTCCAAATATGGAGATTATAGTATATATAGTACAATGGAGAGGGCAGAAAAATCGGGGGGTTGTAGTACCAATTTATTTGATAATTGTGTTTCCTTGATTACTTTAACTCCTGATGTTTTCATTGCCTTAGTTTTAACAAGGAGATACTATATCCTCCTTACAGTGATATGTGATTTAAGAAACAATGGAAATGCTTGTAAAAACACTTAAATTCAATGTTTGTAGAATAATATATTCAATATTACTTTTCATGATCAAAAGTCTCTGCCACTGGCAACAAGGATATTTTATAAATTAAAAATAATATGATTCTACACATTTTTTCCCTTCATTGTTGGTAATATTGCTGCTTTCAAAGTAGTTTTCCTGTTTAAGACAGGATCAGACATTTGAATATATCAATTTGATATTGATATAACTTCTTTCATGTATAAATAAGTTCAGTATTTCACAGCCAGAAATGCAATTTTTTAATAAAACATAATATTTGCCTGGTTATTTTCCACTTTATTTCCTAATCTATCTAAACTCTGAACAAACTTTAAAAAGCTTGCAGGTGTAGCAACAGGAAGGTGTGATTTTATCATGTTTAGAATTAAATTGTTGTATCAATTAAGAGGAAATGAACAATGAAGTTGAAATGAAACTCATTCTTAATTACCAAATCTTTTAAAATTTACATAAAAGTATACTCATCTAAAGTCATTAGTTCAGTGATCAGTTTCTATATTTTTTGTTTAATTTCACCTGGGAAAGGAGTGAAAGTAAAAATTAGTCTATGCGCAATTCTACAGTTGAGTTCAAAGAAGAAAGAACAGTAAATTATTCATAGTGCGAAAAAAGAGTTTCTGTTAGGAAAAAAAATCATTAAGTTTCTGAATCTCTAGTACCTACATAGTAATAAATAACATTCAACTCCAAGGACAGCTCTTACCTGAGACGTGCCATGGCATCTTTTAGGGTATAGAACATCTGCTGCTTAAGCCATTCATTTAAGGAGAGTGAGGGGATTCTCAATAATACGCTGAATAGACTGATACCATCTCTTGCACACTTAACCATCATTATCAGAAGAAATCCAGTAAAAATTAGCTTTATGTTAGGAGGTAAAAATCACTATGACTCAAAGTCTAACATATTCCACAATAAATATTTTTAAATGGCATTAAAGTTCCTGAAGGAAGAATTTTAAAATTCTGGTATCTACAGATCTATTTGATTATACTGTTTTTTGCTCCTCTGAGCTAATACAGCACTTTTACTTTACCCCGCCTATATTAACAACGAAAATGTAATTGAACTATCTTTACAATTTCAGATTCTCACCTAAGTGCTGAAACGACCTCATAGCACAAAGGGGAGACAGAAATTTTAAAAGGTAATTATGAAACATAAAACAGATGCTAAAATGAATAGATGGGCATAGACCTGTGGGACTGCAAAGCAAAACAAATTATTAAGGGTTTGATGGTCAGTGTTATCTAAACATTGTGTAAACTTTTAAATGTTTATGAATCCCATCTCAGAGGTGTAACTAATATTTGTTTGTGTGTGTGTGTGTGTGTGTGATACACTGAGCAACTGTATACCACCTAGCAAGTGGCATTCTTGCTTAGCGACTTACACTGGCCTGTTTACTCACCCTGCTGTAAAGATCTTCATTGTCCTTTCCGAAGGATGTATTTCTTCCTTACTCTACCCATGGTCAGTATATAACCTTCTGGTAGTTCAAGCTGTCTGCAGCAAAATCCTCTAAGGAAAGATGGCTGTCTAACTCTTTTCTTCAGTCTTTGAGGTATTACACAGCTCTCAGCTCTCTGTGGGCCCTTTATCCGGAAGGCAGTCTTGGCTCCAAAGCAGGCAACATTCTTGTATCTGTGCACTGCAATTCTAGTCTGCCCCTGTAAGTAAAAACACATTTATACTCTTTTTCTTATATGGATAATTCTTCTCCAAAAGTATATAACACCCCAATTGTTCTTTGGTTCACTTTTATTTCTGCTCAATGAGCACAGGAGAGTAACTTAAGATCACAGTCTCATTTGTAACCAAAGAAAGGACCTCTCGTCTCACAAGGTCATGGTAAAGAAAGAACAAGACGATTAAATGGAACTTATTGTAAAATTATATTATAGTCCAAAAGGGAAAATATGGAGTGATTTATTAGTAATCTTCTCACCCAAAGTTTAGAAAAAGCACTTTAGTATTAGTGGCAAATACTTTTATATTAAATATAGCCATGCATATTTTATGGAATGTTGTTATCAGCAGATTAGAAAATACAATATAAAAACATGACAAAGATATCCATTCTAAATTAATGTGGAAGAAAGAAATAAAATGAACTATTTGAATATGACAAGGCAGCCCACAGGGTTTTCTGTGTGACACCTTTAGAAATCTTCACAAGGAAAATCATGGCAAGTTTAAGAGCACTGCAGTGTAAAAAGAAAAAACAAAGACCAGTCACAAAAGAAAATCGAAGTCATATTACACTAACAATAGCTAAATAAAGCTAAGTCCAGTGTTTAAAACTTACAAAGCCATGAGAGAGGCAAGAACTAGCCTCAGTAAAATACAGATGCTGCACGTCTGCTGAAAATTGGATAGAAGCATATTTACTCCACTGTTTTCTGTGGAATGTACTGAAAACAATAAAAGTAACAGAACCTACGTTTTTTAAAATAATGAAACATATAAAAGATTTTCTTAAAAAGGTCAAAATATGAATAACCCTGTTTTGGAATATAAAGTCTCAATATTCTGAAGATGTCAATAAACTATTTTTAACTTCAATGCATTTATCATAAAATTTTAACAAATGTGTCACTCTCTTTGTAAGTGATTCTAGCATTTCATCTGGACAACTAAACAGGTGAGAAAAACAAAAAAAAAATCTAAAAGGGAAGATGATTAAGGCAGACATTACCAGTTGTAAAATAAATTTGCATTATTAAAAATTATATAATATAGGTAAGCACATTTATATATTCCTAGTTAGGAGTATAAATCAAGATATTTCAAAAAGTAGAGTCACCAGATTTTATGGGAACTTACTGTCTACTAAAGATGGCATTCCAGTCAATGGAGAAAATATGAATTAATTGTTATAGTAATAGAAAAACTGAGTAGCCAGAAAACAATATAAATTTTCTTAGAGCAAATATCATTTGAGCTGGATGACTGAATTACATGTATAAAGCAAAACATGATAATGTGAAAACAAGCTAACAGATAAAGTTGCTCCAGAGGTAAATGGACGTATCGCTTTGAACAAAAAGTAAAATCCTGATTTATAAATGTAATTAATGTATCTGTTAAAATTCTTTGTGTTATACACATTAGAAACTTGACTAACCAAAACAAGATAATAATTGGTGATAAATAATTTAATTGAAGGAAAAGCTAAGAAGGCAAGAGGACAACCTAAAAATGTTCAGGGTACATTTACATGACTCAGCTGCAACAGTTTCCAAATTTGATAATTTAAATTTCACAATTTCAGAAGAGAAAATCTAACGACCCAGTCTCAGTGAAGTGCCTTTGAATAAAAAGTTCACTGTGGTGGAAATGGGGTCCTCTGGCTACTGATAGCGTGTCCCATTTGCTGATGTGATATCCCTGGACACATATGTTTGTAAGCCAGGATTAGCCTTGGATTCTAGAACAAGTTTTAAATAAACAGCATCACAATAAATGTAATTGAAAAGTCAAAAAACAAATATAAAAGAAGGGGGGAACATTGTACAACACATATGATAAAGACTACATTTCCACTTTTAAAAGAGAATAATAAAAAATGAATTAAAATGGAAAAAAAAAAAAAAAAAAAGGCCGGCGCAGTGACTCACGCCTGTAATCCCAGCACTTTGGGAGGCCGAGGTGGGTGGATCACCTAAGGTCAGGAATTCGAGACCAGCCTGACCAACATGGTAAACCCCCATCTCTATTAAAAATACAAAATTAGCCAGGCGTGGTGGCACAGGCCTGTAGTCCTAGCTCCTCAGGAGGCTGAGGCAGGAGAACCGCTTGAACCCGGGAGGCAGAGGTTGCAGTGAGCCGAGATCGAGCCACTGCACTCCAGCCTGGGTGACAGAGTGAAACCACGTATCAAAAACAAACAAACAAACAAAAAAACAAAAACAAGCCATGAGAGAATGAATATCGAAATCAGTAAGGGTGGAGATTCTAAAGAGGGCAGCTCAGATACAGACCTCAGCTCTACTCCAGTGTACCTGTGAACTGGAGCAAGTTTCTTTTCCTCTGGCGTGTTTCCTCACCAGAGGAATAGGGATAAAAATGGCACACAACTCATGTTTTTTTTGTAGATTAGATGAATCAATTCAAGCAAAATATTTACTTCAGAATCCAGAATGGAGCAAGCACTCAATAATAGGTTTACTTGTTTTGATAAATATTATTATTAACCCCTTAGGAAGGGACAACTTATTATGTACATAAAAGTTTAGAGGTGGCTGGGCGCGGAGGCTCACGCCTGTAATCCCAGCACTTTGAGAGGCCGAGGTGGGCGGATCACTTGAGGTCAGGAGTTCAAAACCAGCCTGACCAACATAGTGAAACCCCGTCTGTACTAAAAATAGAAAAAAATTAGCCAGGCTTGGTGGTGGGCACCTGTAATCCCAGCTACTCGGGACACTGAGGCAGGAGAATCGCTTGAACCCGGTAGGTGGAGGTTGCAGTGAGTCAAGATTGCGCCATTGCACTCTAGCCTGGGTGACAGAGCAAGGATCCATCTCAAAGAAAAAAGAAATGTTTAGAGGTGAAGAATATATACAGTCAGTAAACTTACGGGGAAAAAAACAAAACAAAACAAAACTTCATTGATATTTAAAGTGATGCAATTTTAAACAATTAGAGAAGTCTCATTCTGCTTATTAGATTGCTAAAAATTAAACAATACCAACTATCGCTGAGAGTTTTCATTTGACCCTAAATCGCTACAAACTTTTTAAAGGCAATTATTATAATAATAACTCCAAAAGTAAGATGCACGCAAAACCGTATCAGTGACAGAGATATGTTGCCTTAGGATCAGAAGCACACCCCACCAGCACCCTGGACTACCTGCTCTTTGCTTTGTCAGTAGGCTTACATTGTGCTTGTCCAAGGCTGCTGTTTTCTGTTTTCTTTTCTTTTTCTTTTTTTTTTTTTTTTTTTTGAGACGAAGTTTCGCTCTTGTTGCCCAGGCTGGAGTGCAATGGTGTGATCTCGGCTCACTGCAACCTCGGCCTCCCAGTTCAAGCAATTCTCCTGCCGAAGCTCCTGGGGCAGGTGGGGGGTGCCTGTGATGGGCTCCTGATCTCCCAGGCGGATCCGAATAAATGTCAAAGTTGGCAAGACCAAACCCTATTATCAAGTGCTATTGAAGCCTAGGTAGTAAATAACGGGCGATATCTGCTTGGCTGCAGGTCTCAGCCTTGAACTTCATTCTAGCTTCACCGAGAAACCTTGAATTTGTAGGGTTTAGGATAGTTCCCATCACTCTTAAATCACTTATTTTCCCTTCCATTTGTCTCAGTGTTTCCTCATACACTACTTAAAACACATTGAAGAGACAAATGGTTAATACCTCAAATTTCCAACTTAATCTATTTCTATACATTCATCTACAAATTGAGTCAAATAAATAAGGGAATTTATATGTACAGAATTTTCCTTCCAATATTGTTATAATCATAGAGAAAAAGAAAACTTTATTTATTATTCCAGGACAGGCTAAATAAATTATGATACATGCTTAAAATGTGATACTATGTATTTATTTAAAAAGCATAATGTAAATTCATATGTACTAATACAAAAAAATGTTCATTACATATTATTAAGAAAAACAGCAAGGTGGATTACAGTAAGGGTAACATGATCATTTACATAAAATATATTTATACTTATCTTGCAAGTTTGCCTCAAGGGCAGCAATTTAACTGCGGCCCGTCAAAACCAGGCAAGGTCTGTTGGGCCTAAGTAAAATAATTGGAAGTCCCGGTTGTGAATTACACGATGCATTTCATACCTAAATGCAATCACAATGTTTTAAAATTTTTAAACTACGATTGTGCTCAAACAAAACAAAATGATTTGCCTCAAACTTACACTGGGAAAATTCTGATACAGACATTCATATTCATTTAACACTTCTAGAAGTGAAAAATTATTCCTAAGAAATTCTTAGGCCGGGCGCGGTGGCTCATGCCTGTAATTCCAGTACTTTGGGAGGCCCAGGCGGGCGGATCACGAGGTCAGGAGATCGAGACCATCCTGGCTAACACGCTGAAACCCCGTCTCTACTAAAAATACAAAAAATTAGCCGGGTGTGGTAGCGGGCGCCTGTAGTCCCAACTACTCCGGAGGCTGAGGCAGGAGAGTGGAATGAACCCGGGAGGCGGAGCTGGCAGTGAGCCGAGATCGCGCCACTCTGCACTCCAGCCTGGGCGACAGAGCGAGACTCCGTCTCAAAAAAAAAAAAAAAAAAAAAAAAAAAAAATTTTAACAGAAATTACTATTTTGGAATGGAGCAAAGATGGTGAAAGGTAACCTTAATTTTACACTACGTACTCTTCTGTGTAGGTTTGCATTTATTTACTGTGGGCATGTATTTCTTTCTTCTGAAAAGGCTAATGTAAACAAATATATATAAGAAGCCAACGAAAAACCTGTCTTAATACTTCAAATATATGCAACATGCATTTTTCATAAAAATAGGAAATAGTTATGTTTTGACACTCCCACTCCAGCAATATCTAACTACATATATTTCAACATATGTTCATCTACTAAGTTTTACTATAATATGCTGAGGTTTTAATTACATATAAAATATTTATAATATGTCATATGACTTTGCACATATTTTTTATACATGATGTTACTTCACCTGAATTTTTCTTCCATCTCGCTTCTTAATATCTGGTAAACATATGTTCATTCTTCTCAAACTTGCATAGGAGATTTTCTTATATTATTCCAAGCTCTCCTCTCCCCCAATAGTGGTGACTCAGTTCCTCTCCTGTACCGTTTACTTATGCTACATACTTTTATCATGTATACATCGCATTGAGTTATTTATCATAATGTTTATTCTCTCTCTTCTATACTCTGAAATTTCCTTGAGATCAGAAATAACACTTTATTTTTCTTAATATCACTAGTGCCATGCAGAATGCCAGAAACAAAATTGGCTCACCATACATTTTTTAACTGACCTGAGAGAAAACATTTCATATTTTTGTCAGTCTGTAAATCATCCCTACAGTATAGAAGAATAGTAATGACTGCTATTTATTGAGGACTTACAACAACATTTCTTATGTATTTGATATGCATTAACTTATATAAGACTTAGAGAAACTCTAAAGATATTATTATGATTACTAAGCTCATTTTTTAGATGAGGAACTTGAGATTTTGAGTCATTAATTTTCTTGGCCAAACTATGATCTAGAACTTAATTATGATATCCTTAGTTTAAGATTTGAACCTAAAATAAAGAGAATCATGCAATTACCTTAAGATTCAAGAAAGCATAAACTAAAAGTAATGCTTTACATTCTATTTCTTCAGGTTTAGCAATCAAGTAGAAACAAAACCCCCAATGAATATAAATGAATTAGCTTATAAATACATATATATGTATATATACACACATATATATACACACATATATGACTATATTATAGTATTTTTTATGATGCTGAGACATATATACACACATGTGTGTATACATATATACATATGTGTATATATATAGACACACACATATATATGTGTGTATTTATATAGACACACACACATATATATGTGTGTATATGTCTCAGCATCATAAAAAATACTATAATATAGTCATTAATTATTGGAACGTGTGTATTAGAAAACATAGCTTGCCCAAGAAGACAGCATAGAAGATAAACAAAGCAAATTACCGATTTTAATACTTTTAACTCTAAAGAGATATAAATCCACAAGGACTAAAGATATCTCAAATTATGCTTTTCAAGAAGGAGCATCACAGGAGCCCCAAAACAGGAAACCTCACATATACAGTTTATAAATATTATTTTTAAAAATATAAACCTATCAAGAATCATAGAAAAATGAAATGTTCTAAAGCAAGAAGAATCAGCCACTGATTTAGTTATAGTATCATCATATCAGAAAAAAGAGGAAAAGACTTAGAAATCAATTTTATTAGAGCATTTAAATTTTATTAATAGAAATATGTAGTTTAACAAAATGGAAATTTGCAAATTAAAAAAATATGTCTGTGGCCATAAACCTGTGTTTAAAAAGCAGGAGAAAAGAAGAAATTATTTCCAATCTCCACCCTAGTATTATTTAATATAAAAATCCTGTGAAATATAATTCCCTTACACTCTGAAAAAGAATATAAAATACTTTCCAGCGTAGAAATTCATATACTTGAACTTGAGTAAGGAATTACAATTCCCTGCTTTAAAGAAGAGTTACAACTTTATCATCTTCTCTGTCTGTATTGATCCCAATTGGATAGTTATTGTCAGTGGTGATGTAAAGGTATAGGTAAAAACTTCATTGCCATTAATTGCTAATTGTAAATATAAAGACACACAGGAAAATTCAGAATGTCACTATGCCTTGTTCTTCCGTACATTTATGTAAGAAGAAAGCACCCCGTGAGAAAGGCACCATTCTCTACTAAATGACCTGCTTGGGGCCTTAAGACTCATGGTCTCCAAGCTGTTTAGTGGCCTGTGTCAAAAAAATTACTTGTTTCAGTCCAATTTCTCTCAATTCAATAACCCCTAAGCCTCTCAAAACAAAGCAAAGTTAAAATGATTTTCAATTGCTTTGGACTAGGATGTGTCAGGCAGTCACCACCATTTCACGAACATCAATAGAAGAAAGCACTCACCCTTAAACCTTTCTCTTTTTCTCATTAATCAAAATTCCAATGAGCTGATTTCTTTTTTAGTCTGCTCTAGAAGAGATTTATGAGAAATGGGATTTTTCTGACTCATGACTTTGAGCTAAGTACTCTGGATATATATTCCAGAGAAAAACAACACAGCTAATCATCCCACTTAACTCTAAATAATATGCCCTTGATTACGAATTGTATTCCAAAAGTCCAGCAATCAAGAAACTTGAGGAAAATGAGAGCATGGCTTTCTGTTCTCGACTCTATTTCTTTGTGAATGGTTTTACTTTCTGTGGTTTATTTAGTCATACATTCTAATATAAGTTCATTGTGTCAGAAAGGTAAAATCACAAGAATTAAGGAAGGAGGATTTCACCTACTCAGCCGCCTGTCGTCATCTGTCAACTTTCTACCCATTCATCACCTAGCCTGTCACACTTGACATAAGCTTCTGAAGGGATGGGCGAAAGGGAGGCAGGAGAGACTGGATAAATGTCTTCATGATCATCTTTAGCAATGTCAGGAGCTCAGCACTCTCAGTATTTTAGACTTGCCTGTGACAGCTTTTCCACTAGCACTGAAGCTGCATTCCAAATTGATATTTGTGGTGGTGTGGATTCTGGGCTAGAGCAGTGCCTTAGGCAAGCCAAATTCTGCAGTTTGATACCAGTAAACAATATGATCTCTCTTTGTGTTTATGTGGATGTGCTGGAGTGGAATGAAGGGAGGATAACTTCAAATGACAGTTGCCACAGGTGATTAATTTTTTTTTTGTCTTTTACACATTTACTCTGCCTACTCTAATTTAAATTGGTGTCCCTAATGATCTTTTCATTTTGCACAAAAGCTGAAGAGATGCTTTCACTCATGAAACAAATAAGCAAGCAGGATGCCATCCATGAAGATGATGCTTCTGACTCACTGTAAAAATAAAAAAATACGTATACTATGAGGTGTTTCCTCTTTATTGACATCTACCTGATCAGCCCATTTGTGACCAACAAATGCAATTATGAGGTGAGACAGCTGATGGAGAAAGAGGTGAGATGCCAGTAAGACGGGATATGGAGAGACGCAACATAAAAGTTTTAGGAGAAAAAGCCAGACCGAGCCCAGAGAGCAGAAAATATGCTCCAGCTCAACGTTGCTAATTGTAATCAGGAAAAAGTAAATTAATCTCACCGTGGCTCAGTGACAAAGGGGATAATAAATGAATGCTACTGCAAAAGGATACCATAAATTATGACAATGCTTATGAAAGTATTTAAAAGTTACAAAGTATTATTCAAGTACTAGTTAAATATTGCTTATAATTATCTCATATCAAAGGGAAGCCAATGGACTGATAATTGAGCTTTTAAACTTTGCCTTGGGAATCAGAGAGAATACAAAATCTCATGTTTTATTAACTTCACTCTGTTTTCTTATGGTCTAATCTTAGTCATCTTTTAGGTTTCCATTTTGGGATATATGTAAACATGAAAGCAGTGGGATTAGTATATATCAAAATATTTAAGCAATGCATATTTAGAGAAGTTGGCAGCACAGAAATGAGCAACTTTTAAGAGTAATTTTAGCCATCTCATGGGAAAATTACAATAATAAAGTAAAACAATGCTAAATAAAGATTTTCAAGGATAATGGCCGCTCAAATCACAATTCATTTTTATGACCTGAATTTACAAGTTTTTTTTAAAACAAAAAACCCTACATTTTTAATTTTATTGCAGAAATATCCTTTAGAATTTATGATTCTAATGGAAAATATCAGGATTTTTCACTTTCTCTTTACTCAGTCAATAGTCAGGGGCTGTACCGTGATTACCTGACATACATTCAAACAAATGTGAGCTCCCACATTGATCTATCACTCTCTGGGGAGAAGAGCTCTCAGAAGCTCTGTTTCTGAATAACAAGGTGAGAGTGAGTCGGTACAAACCTCATTTGAAAGAAAATGTCAGATTTGGAATAGAGAAACAACAGAAATATCACAGCCTTCCTTAGAAGATACACAGGGCTGCATTTCCTAAAGTATGTCCTCTAGACACACTCTATTAGAAAATCTGATGAGCATGTATAGCCAAAGTGTTTACTGCTGCTGACTGCCCAAATCCATTCTTAGAGGAAAAGCATTGAAATGCAGATAACCTTAAGTTGTATCCAAAATATATTTATAATTTGAAACTCAAAGTTGAGCAATGACTTCTTTGTTGTACCTAGACAATACCCTGTCTGCCTTCTGTAGAAATGCATGACATTTATTCAATTGGTGGGAACCCCCAGGGTAAAAAAGAGCTCAGAAAATAAAACACTGATCAATTATTTTTCATTTCCCAAAATATTTTCCTTTTTATACCCCAAAACATCTTACCTGGACCAATATTTTAGCTTATGAACTACCTACCTCCAGCTTCTCCTTAGTCCAAATCATCATCAGGCCATTAATAGTCAGATTTGGATTTTCAAAACCCACCTCTGATCATGACTCTTGTTCTAAAAACTTTTGGAGGTTTTCCAATGCTTACACACGCACACACACACACACACACACACACACAGAGCCTTCACAAGGCACATGATAACATCGCAGCAATGTTTTTATCCTTAGTTCCCATTAATCCTTCATATATAAACTCACACTACAGTCAGACAAAACCACCTATTTTCTTTCTAACACTACCTGGGTTTTTCTTGTCTCTTCACACTGCTTTATTCTTCTGAAATGTTCTTACTCTTCTATCTCTGGCTGGTTGAAATTTTACATATCCTTCAAGTTCTATCTCAAAGATTAAACACTCAGTTTTCTGCCTGAATATCATTTCTCAGTATCCCAAATTTCCTTTAAAATACTCAGGAAAACTCAAAAGCATTTGGTAATCCTCCACAGTGGCTCTCAGTAGTAGAAGCCAAACTAACTAGAATACGGGAAGGATTTTCATCAGTTACAAGACATACAACTCTAAGTGTCATTCCAATTTGGCAAGAAATGCTGGCTTGCTTGCTGTCATTTGAGGAACACCACATTGCAGAGCCTACAGAATGGAAGCATTTGTCTCCACCCTCTTGAAAATCCTCCTTGTTAAGACCTAGATTCTTCAAATTTGTGGGGTTTTTTACATTGCATTTTATTATTTTTTAATAACAAAATCTATTAATCTTTTAATGGCCAAATACTTTAATTGTATTTTATTTTCTTAAATGGATTATCATTTCCAGAAAATTGGGGAGGGGAGGTGGTCAGGAAGAAGGAGAAGGGATGGGTGGTGAGGCAAAGATTCTGCTGTAGTATAATCCAAACAGTGTGGAGTTGGTGGGAGGGCTTCAAGAAACAAGAAGTGGGAACAAATTTTCTGAGGAGGAGCCATATTATGTCAACTCTAGGTCAAGGTTTCAGACAAAAAAGTGATTAGAAATTATATACATATGTGTGTGTGTGTGTGTGTGTGTGTGTGTGTGTAGAATATAAATGCATTAAATTAACATTTAAAAAACAATTGGAAATTTGACCAAGAACTACATCTATGAACCTGCCTCTCAGCTGTAGATCCGAGACAAAAAGTATACCAAATGTTCAAGTGCAGGTGTGTAGTTTGTTTCTTTTAACTGCATGATAAAAATGATTTAGCTCTGTTTTTGGGAATCAAGGACATTGTGTGAAATGAATTTTGTATAACTGTTTTTTGCTTACTATGTAGGTCTGTAATGCACATTATAATACACAATTTATGCTCATGTTTGATGCCATAAGATTTACTACATTTCTGCTGAATTTATCCGATAACCCTCCCCAATTGAATTGAATGGTGAATAGTAGAATAAAGATATGCCACCTATTTTTCCTTCCATCAATTCTAGACAGGATTTTCCCATTTTTAGGACAGGTGAAAAGGAAAATAACTTGAATGGGACCTGTGAAAAGTACTGACTATTCAGAAAATTATGTTGTAAACTTTTTGGATATGTCCAACTCTAACACACAGGTAAATAACTGAGAATTATATAAACATTAATCCTCAAAACAAGCATTTGGTTGGGACACATTAGAAACAAGATACTGTCCTAAAATATACAAGTTGTTATGAATGGCTAAGGTAGTTGCTATCCCATCAAAAAGATATTTTAGAATAAAATGTTCTAAAACAAAGCAATACAGTCATAGCATTCTCAGCAAATTAACAGACAAGCTAGTAGAGATTTCAATGAATACTAGGAAATGTAGCTATTGGTATAATAGTTAATGAGCCTCATATAAAAGAGTATGTAAGTCAGCGATAAAAGGTAAATCATAAGCGGTTTTAAAGGGAGAAAAATAAGTTACAAAAGTATGTGAAAAAAAGCAATCAGTGGATATAAATACTGAGCTATTAATAAAATAATCAATAAAATTATGTACCAAATGTATTCAAAAAAATTTTTCTCTTCTAAAAAAAAAACGGGATACACGTGCAGAACATGCAAGTTTGTTACATAGGTATACATGTGTCATGGTGATTTGCTGCACCTATTGACCCACCCTCTAAGTTCCCTCCCCTCACCCCCACGCCCAGCAGGCCCTGGTATGTGTTGTTCCCCTCTCTGTGTCCATGTGTTGTTCTCATTGTTCAACTCGCACTTATGAGCGAGAACATGCAGTGTTTGGTTTTCTGTCCCTGTGTTAGTTTGCTGAGGATGATGGCTTCCAGCTTCATCCATGTCTCTTCAAAGGACATGATCTCATTCGTTTTTATGGCAGCATAGTATTCCATGGTGCCTATGTACCACATTGTCTTTATCCAGTCTATCATTGATGGGCATTTGGGTTAGGTCATGTCTTTGCTATCGTAAATAGTGCTGCAATAAACATTTGTGTGCATGTGTCTTTGTAGCAGAATGATTTAATTCCTTTGGGTATACAGCCAGTAATGGGATGGCTGGGTCAAATGGTATTTCTGATTATAGATCCTTGAGGAATTGCCATATTGTCTTCCACGTTACCTGACTTCATGCTACCTGACTTCAAACTGTAGTACAAGGCTACACTAACCAAAGCAGCGTGGTACAGACATATAGACCAATGAAGCAAAACAGAGACCTCAGAATGCCACACATCTACAACCATCTGATATTTGACAAAACTGTCAAAAACAAGCAATGGGGAAAGGATCTCCTACTCAGTAAATGGTGCTGGGAAAACTGGCAAGCCATATGCAGAAAATTGAAACTGAACCCTTTTCTTACATCTTATACAAAAATTAACTCAAGATAGATTAAAGACTTAAATATGAAACCTAAAACCATAAAAACCCTAGAGAAAAACCTAAGCAATACCATTCAGGACATAGGCATGGGCAAAGACTTCACGCCAAAAATGCCAAAAGCAACTGCAACAGAAGCCAAAATTGACAAATGGGATCTAATAAAACTAAAGAGCTTTTGCACACGAAAACAAACTATCATCAGAGTGAACAGGCGACCTACAGAATGGGAGAAAATTTTTGCAATCTACCCATCTGACAAAGGTCTAATTTCCAGAATTTATAAGGAACACAAACAGATTTACAAGAAAAAAAAAAACAACCCCATCAAAAAGTAGGCAAAGGATATGAAGAGACACTTATCAAAAGAAGACATTTATACATCCAACAAATGTGAAAAAAAGCTCAACATTACTGATCATCAGAGAAATGTAAATTAAAACCACAGTGAGATAACATCTCACACCAGTCAGAATGGCAATTACTAAAAAGTCAGGAAACAAAAGATGCTGGTGAGGCTGTGGAGAAATAGGAATGCTTTTACACTGTTGATGCGAATGTAAATTAGTTCAACCACTGTGGAAGACAGTATGGCAATTTCTCAGAATTTTAAAAATATGGCATCTGGGGAACTGTTTTGCCATATATACAAAGCTAGTTTAGAGACAAGAGGAAAGGCTAGAAATAAGCAGACATTTTTCTAAATAAAGAAGTGTAAACGCCAATGTTCCTTATGGAATAGTGCCAGTATACCCCTTATTTAATGTTTTTATAAATGATTTAGAGAAAAAGTACATAAGAGAAGCCTGAAGTTTGTGGAAAACTTTTCTGTGTAATGCAAAGCTTTGCTGGATCTAAGTGATCTAAGGAACAGTTTGTAATTTGAGTTATAAATGGCAAATTCATTTTAATCTGGGGCAGTGTACTTTTAAAAATATAATATAATGTATATGTAGAAGATATGAGTCTTGAAAACACCCATTTTCACATAGGTTATGAGCCTTGGAATATTATACTCATATCCTTCAAGACAGCAGGAAGTAGAGATTATTGCTTTCAAATGTAACTATCAAATACCTATCATCATCAAGCAACTTGGAATGGATTAGTATATTTAGTGGAAAACTAAATATACTAATTTTGCATTTACAAAGTGCTAAAGCCTATATAGCACTGTGAATCAGGGTTACAAAGATTATTATTTTCAGTTATCTGGATTTCTCAGTAGCATTTGGCACAGCTTATCATTCTATCTCAGAAATGCTCTGATTACCTGACATCAGAGACATAAAACTCTCTTGGTTTTTCAGCTCACTTTCTGGACTCTATCTCAAAGTCTTCATAGTCACTTTTCCCTCTACTTTGTGGCTTTGGAAAACTGTAAGTTTCTATTACCTGGAACTCCACAGAAGGCCATTTTTGTACTCAACCTGTACCCTCTCCTTAGGTTTCCTTCCACTGCCATAACTTTAAATACCATGAATATGCATATAACTCACATTTTATTCCAGATTTCTCTTCTGAATTCTGGAGCATGTATTGAAGTATCTACTTGGTATCGTCACTTGATGTCTCATAAACATCACAAACATAGCATGCATGAGACCTAACCTTCAATGGCCCCCATCCCAAACATATTTCTTTTCTGCTCTTCCTTATCTGAGCAACAGACTTGACCTCATATCCAGCGCTCATGGCAGAAACCTGGGAAGCATTCTTGAAACAAATCTCTTATCACCCACCTTCATTCCATCCTTGCTTGGGTGAATTTTGATTAAAATGTTCCCTTCTTTCCATTTTATTCCAGGTAACTTGAACTTTTTAAAAAAGCCTTCTAACAGATCTGTCTGGTTCTATTTATATCTCTCTCTAATCCTCTATTTAAACAGAAGGAAAAGTGATATTTTTAAAAGATATAATAAATGTAGCTCTCCTTAAAAATCTAGCGTCCTTAAAATAAATTAATACATCAAGCACTTTCTGCTTATAGTACAGCTTGATCTATTCTATTGTTGCATTTTTATTTTCATTTCCACTGTTTTTTATTGAAAGAATATTGGGTTATTTCTATTTCTGGACAGCATCAAATCCTTTTAAGTTCAAACATGTTATTATTTCTACCTGTTGTCCCATTCTTCTGCTCAGCCTTTCTCCCAGTCTTTCCCTCTCCCAGGACAAACAACCACCTGTCAACATCTACTCACCCATTTCATCTTAGATTCAATTCATTTTTCACTTAGAGACCATTCCTCTGACACCACTACTTGATTTACACCCCTCTGTTACTACTTTGATAGCATTTTTAAAGTTATCTTTCATGCAAATTGTGGGAGTTATACAGATATTTAGTTAATTATGTGTATGGAGACTGTAATAGTCCATTTTTACACTGCTGATAAGGACATATCCGAGACTGGGCAATCTACAAAAGACAGAGGTTTAATTGGACTTACAGTTCCACATAGCTGGGGAGACCTCACAATCATGGTGGAAGGCAAGGCAGAGCAAGTCACATCTTACGTGGATGGTGGCAGGCAAAAAAAAGAGCTTGTGCAGAGAAACTCCCATTTTTTAAAACCATCAGATCTCATCAGACCCATTCACTCTCACAAAAACAGCATGGGAAAGACCTGCCCTCATGATTCAATTATCTCCCACCAAGTCCCTCCCACAACACCTGAGAATTATAGGAGCTACAAGGTGAAATTTGGGTGGGAACACACAGCCAAAACATATCATTATCATTCCATCCCTGTCCTCTCCCAAATCTCATATCTTCACTTTTTAAAACCAATCATTCCTTCCCAAGAGTCCCCCAAAGTGTCAACTCATTTCAACATTAACTCAAATGTCCACAGTCCAAAGTCTCATCTGAGATAAGGCAAATCCTTTCTGCCTTTGAACCTGTAAAGTCAAAAGCAAATTAGTTACTTCCTAGATACAATGGGGGTACAGGCATTGGGTAAATATAGCCATTCCAAAGAGGAGAAATTGGCCAAAACAAAGGGGATACAGGCCCCAGGCAAGTCCAAAATCCAGCGGGGCAGTCAAATTTTAAAGCTCCAAAATTATCTCCTTTGACTGCACGTCTCACATCCAAGTCACACGGATGCAGGAGGTGGGTTCTCATGTTCTTTGGCAGCTCTGCCCTGTGGCTTTGCAGGGTACAGCTTCCCTCCTGGCTGCCATCACAGGCTGGTTTTGAGTGTCTGTGGCTTTTTCAGGTGCACAGTGCAAGCTGTCAGTGGACCTACCATTCTGGGGTCTGGAGGATGGTGGCCCTCTTCTCACAGCTCCACTAGGCAGTGCCCCAGTAGGGACTCTGTGTGGGGGCTCCCACCACACATTTCCCTTCTACACTGCCCTAGCAGAGGTTCTCCATGAGAGCCCTGGCCCTGCAGCAAACATCTGCCTGGGCATCCAGGTGTTTCCATACATCTTCTGAAATCTAGGCAGTGGTTTCCAAACCACAATTCTTGACTTCTGTGCACTCGCAGGCCCAACATCATGTGCAAGCTGCCAAGGCTTGAGGCTTGCACCCTCTGAAGCAACAGCCTGAGCACTACATTGGCCCCTTTCAGCCATGACTGGAGTGGCTGGGATGCAGGGCACCAAGTCTGTAAGCTGCACACAGCACAGGGACCCTGAGCCTGGCCCACGGAACCACGTTTTTCTCCTAGGCCTCCAGGCCTATGATAGGAGGGACTGCCATTAAGACTTCTGACATGCCCTGAAGACATTTTCCCCATTGTCTTGGGGATTAACATTTGGCTCCTGGTTACCTATGCAAATTTCTGCAGCTGGCTTGAATTTCTCCTCAGAAAATGGGATTTTCTTTTCTAATGCATCGTCAGGCTGCAAATTTTCCAAATGTTTATGCTCTGCTTTTCTCATAAAACTGAATGCCTTTAACAACACCCAAGTCACCTTTTGTATGCTTTGCTGCTTAGAAATTTCTTCCGCCAAGCTGAGTGTGGTGGCTCACGCCTGTAATCCCAGCATTTTGGAAGGCCAAGGCAGGTGGATCACCTGAGGTGAGGAGTTCAAGGCCAGCCTGGCCAACATGGTGAAACTTCATCTCTACTGAAAAATACAAAAAATTACCTGGGCATGGTGGCAGGCACCTGTAATCCCACCTACTTAAGAGGCTGAGGAGGAGAATCACTTGAATCTGAAAGGCAGAGGTTGCCGTGAGCCGAGATCACACCACTGCACTCCAGCCTGGGCAACTGAGCAAGACTCAGTCTCAAAAAAAAAAAAAAAAAAAAAGAAAAAGAAAAAGAAATTTCTACCACCAGATACCCTAAATCATCTCTCTAAAGTTCAAAGTTCCACAAGTCTTTAGGGCAGGGGCAAAATGCCACTAGTCTCTTTGCTAAAACATAACAAGAGTCATCTTTGTTCCAGTTCCCAACAAGTTCTTCATCTCTGTCTGAGACCACCTCAGCCTGGACCTTATTATTCATACCACTATCAGCATTTTTGTCAAAGTCATTCAACAAGTCTCTGAGAAGTTCCAAACTTTCCCACATTTTCCTCAACCTCTGTCTGTTACTCAGTTCCAAAGTCACTTCCACATTTTCGGGTATCCTTTTAGCAATGCCCCACTCCCAGTATCAATTTACTGTGTTAGTCTGTTTTCACACTGCTGATAAAGACATACCAGGGACTGGGCAACTTACAGAAGAAAGAGGTTTAATTGGACTTACTGTTCCATGACTGGGGAGGTCTCACACTCATGGCAGAAGGCAAGGAGGAGCAAGTCACATCTTACATGGATGGCAGCAGGCAAAAAAAGAGCTTGTGCAGAGAAACTCCCATTTTTTAGAACCATCAGATCTCATGAGACCCATTTACTTTCATGAGAACAGCATGGGAAAGACCCACCGCCATGATTCAGTTTTCTCCAATCAGGTCCCTCCCAGAACATATGGGAATTACGGGAGCTACAACATGAGATTTGGGTGGGGACACAGAGCCAAACCATTCAGAGACTGACTCACAGCCCTGTGCTATCAAGATAAAGCTCAATGTTCTGTGAAGTAAGAATTCAGTCTATATTTTTACTGTTGATTTCATATGATCTAAGTCAGTTTTTAATGAATGCTTAAGACATTTAAAAATTTCTATGTTATAAATTTTATTTAATGTGTGACCCTAATAAAATGGGCATGAGCTAAGTCAACAACAAATCAGAGAACAGTGCAAAGGAGGCATTCCCTTCATAGATTTATGCTGAATAAATGTAATTACTGCTTCACGCTTGTAAATTTAGGAAACGTCAATTAATTTACTATTTCATACAAAAGGTAAAAATTTCATGAAATGTATTACTTCCAAGAGATTGTAAAGGCTAAAGTATGGATAGGTACAACAACAGATCAGCTTTATTTATGGAAGAAAATCTATAGGTTACTAAGGAAAATAAGAATGTTTCGAGAATCACCTGGGATTTGATTTGATGTAGGTATTTTAATCTTTCAAAACAAATGCATTTTAATTTCAAAATTATATATGTTCATTTTTACCTGACATTCCCAATTCTAATAAATTCAATTTGGCTTGACGCTAATACACTGATGTTTAAAGACATCTTAGCCTGTGACCTAGACTATTCTCCAGTTGTAGCACATCTGTTTCATCAAATCCCATTGTTAGTAACAATTTTTCAAATTTCTGTGGAAAATGGTTTCCTGAAATTTTCTGTCATACCAATTAACAGAAAATGCATAGTTTTTTGTTTAACCTTCTGTCTTACCTATTGACTGTAGGAGCTGTAAGACAAAAATGGTGTATTTCTCACTCATTATTTTATTTCTAACATCTATCTAAAACAGTGCTTGAAACAAAATAGATATTTCTTAACTTAGTAAATACAGTCAAGCAAGAAGAGATGGTTCTAGTCTCTTAAGAGAACAATTTATATAAATATTGCTGTAGTGCAACTCAAATTAGTTAAACATCTCAAGCATATCAAAGAATCATATAATTTATGCTGAATAATAATCATTGACACTATATTTTATAAGCAGAGTAGGATCAGATATAAATTTTACTGTGGAATTTAAATAAATGAAAAAATCAAGTAAAACAACTTGGTACATTTCCCTATTTTCTTCTAAAAGACCAATTAAATTGAAGACCAATTAAATTGAAGACCAATTTATATATCATGATTTCAACTTGCTTTACAAAATCATAGAAAGTTGTTAGTATTTTAGACTATTGCCCAGAGAGATCATTGAGATTGAAGAAATTTTAGTAACAAGTTAAGAAATTGGATCTTTTAAAAGATCCATATTCTACTTTAAATCTAAAACCTAAACTTTTTGTTCAGTCCACAAATGTTCTGGTGTCCTCACAGTTAATCCAAGATTGGAGTGACTTAGGGCCAATAAGATACAAATAGATAAGTTAAAATATAAACACTAACATAGATAGCACAGATATTTGCAGATAGAAGAAATCCAGAAAGCAGAAGTTGAAAGATCTAGATAACAGCAAGGTGAAATCTGATTATTCTCAATCAGAGGTTGTTTGTTCTCTTCCTTGCTTTATAAATCCTGCTGGTGTAAGCTGCATGACTTTTCAGGTAATGACTCCTCCTGTATCCAGGATGAATTGGAAGTGCTGCAAGTAAATTTGCCTTCAGTTTTAGCAGAAGAGAAGCTCCTGGGAGATCCTCATATTAAAATTTGGGTTAGTTTCTTCAGAGTTGGCAAAACAAAACAAAATAAAACCCAACACCCAAAACCTATAACAATAATATGATGAGAAACAAATTAACATTCACAAGAAATCATTTGGAATTAACACACTGCATTGCATTATTTGGTTAAATATCTATATTATTGTAATGGCTGTCACTAAACCTAATTACTGCATGTGGAAAATAACTTCATTGCTGAATCTGTCAAAATAAGCCTGGCATATTACCATATAAAGTCTATCACTACAGCTATTAAACATGAATGTGAGTAACCATTTCAGCAAAGAAATACTAGAGACTAATGATTCATCCTTACTGTAAAATTCAGGAGTGTTATGATATAAATATATTGCAAAACTCAGTTAATATGAATTTCCTGCTTTTTGTGTATACAAAATGACATTTTCAGTACATATGCATACACACATGTACATACACTCATGCATAGTGTGTATTGTGTGTGTTTATTCACATATAGTGTGTTACTTTTTTGATATAGTATATTAGTCATTTTATTAAGTCTCTTTATAAGTCTTGGGTAACAATGAAAGATTTCATGTCAGTGATGTTTGGAGAGCTAACTCTAAGACTATATTAGTTGGGGTGTCTTGATAATTGATTGCTCTTTAACAAAGGAGAATGGTATTTACCTTTAAAAGCTGAAATCATCAAACACAACATTGTTCATTATAAATGAAAGAGTACTACTGGTAGTATTGGTTATGGATGAAAACTGACCAAGTAACAACACATAAATAACACTTGTTAAAGATATACCAACATTTAAAACACATACTAATAAATTATTCCCTTGCAAGATTGTGCATGAAAATATTGATCCTATTTTGGTGACTTAAACTCCACCAAACCTTAGTTTTCTAAAGGTATATTTATGTCCTTGAGTACTATTAATTCTTGAAAGCTATCATTTATTTGCCATATTAAATAACATGTGAAAGTATTCACATTTTTAAAAGTATAACTAATAAGAGTAATTATTATCTCCCTGATAGAGTAAGAATGTAACAATAATATAACTTTCTCTTCTGTAAAGTGTTATCATAAACTGTTACAAAAGAAAAAGTTATATTATTGTTACATTCTTCCTGTTTCAGGAGGATAGTTCCAGGTTGTTCATCTGATTTTCTATTATATAGATTTCAGAATTTTCCCACAAAAAGATTTTATACTTTATGAAATTCAGAATGATCATCAGTTTGAGATTGCCAGGTGGTTGATAAAGGTGTTTCATAACCCCAGTTTTATATCTGTTTTTAGACATTTAATGAGGCATTGCCATTAGCTTATAATTAGATATGATGAATTTCAAAAAATTTTGACATTCATAAATATAAAAAATGTGTTTAAAAATTGAGAAAATATTTTCCTATGGGAAAAATAAACATAAACATATTATAAACATGGCCATTTGGACTAAGGAATTTTGGCCAGAGTAAATTGAAAGGGAAATTTAAAGTTACAAATGTGTTAATATTGTCTAAAACACAGTAGTTTACCTTTCCACATGTCATATGTATTAGGAAGGCAACTATACTTCCTTCCAGTTGCCTACCAGAAAAAAAAAGATGTTCTTTCAACCATACTTAATTGTAGAAATGTTTATGCCCAGCAGAGATATATGAGAGTGTTCATTTACCTAAAAGAATTTTGACATTTTGTGTTATTATTGTTTTTAGGCTTTGGCAGTCAGATCCATGAGAACAGATTTTGTAGTGTAAATTAAAAATTTTGATTGCATGCAAAGTTAACAAGTGTTGTATACATTTTTAATGAATGTTTTATTTTGGAATACTTTAATATTAACATAAAACTATCAAAGACCTTGCAGACTTTTCTTATACCCCACTCCCAATTTTTCCAACTTTTTATATCTTATATTACCATGGTGTATTTGTCATAATAAATGAATCAATATTAATATATAAATGAATATTAATATTAATTGATTTATATAACAAATAATATCCATGATTAAAATTATATAAATATATAATTAACAAATGTTGATATATATAACTAATATAAATAACTACCATTATTATGTTATTATATTATAAGCCACTATTATTGTTACTATTAACTAAACTCCATACTTTAGTTTTTTAGCTCTTTTCTAATGTTTTTTCATTTTTCCAGTATCTTATCTAGAATATAACGTTACATTTATTTATCATGTCTCCTTAGACTTCTTTGAGCTGTGTAATTTCTCAGATTTAATTGTTTTTGGTGATATTGACAGTTTCGAGAAATATTGGTCAGGTATTTTGTAGAATTTTTTTCAAGTGGTATTTGATTGATTTTTTAAAAAATATACTAGGGCTATGGGTTTGACTTGGAAGTCCAAAGATATAAAGTGCTGCTCTCAACACAATATTATCAGTGATAAGTGTAATTGACTGAACTTTATCACTGATGATACCAACACTGATGATACTCGTACCTGATTAAGGTAGTGTTTACCAGATTATTCAATGTATACTTATTTATCTTTATCTCCCATTTCCATGCTGTATTCTATGGGGAAAAATAATATTGATTTCCAATATATCCAATATTCCAAACACAAAGAAATGATAAATGTCTGAGATGATGGATATGCTAATTAACCTGATCTGATCACTATACATTATAGGTATCAAAAATTACAATGTACCCCAGAAATATGTACAATTATGTGTAAATTTAAAATAAAATAAAGAAATAAGTCTATTCCATACTTAAGGGGTGGCAGTTGCATTCCACCTCCTTGAGGGGGTGTATCTATATGAAGTGTTTGGAATTTATAAGAAAAATTTGTATTTTCTTCTCCAGGGATTGATTTATTGAATCACTTATATAAGTACAAATTATGGATAGTTATTTTATATTTTGGAATATAATCCAATACTACATTATTGACTTTATTTATCAAATCGTTCCACCTTAGGCCATTGGGATCTCTTTTACTGGTTCTTGTGTCCCTTATATATATCCCAATTGATATGGTTTGGCTCTGTGTTCCCACCCAAATATCATCTGGAATTATAATCCCCATAATCCCTATGTATTGAGGAAGGGACCTGGTGGGAAGGGATTGGATCATGGGTGTGGTTACCCCCATGCTGTTCTCACGATAGTAAGTTCTCACGAGATCTGATGGTTTTAGGAGTGTTTGACAGTTCCTCCTTCACACTCTTTTTCCTGCTGACTTGTGGAGAAGGTACTTTCTTCTCCTTTGCCTTTTACCATGATTGTAAGTTTCCTGAGGCCTTCCCAGCCATGCAGAAATGTGAGTCAATTAAACCGCCCTTCTTTATAAATTACCCAGTCTCAAGTATTCTTTATAGCGTGTGAAAACAACCAATGCACCAATTGTTTTGATTTTTCAGAATTTCCTTTCTTTCTGGTGTTAGAAGATGCACCCAGCCTTTTCTTGTATATTCCCTAACTCAGACATGAAATTAGCCATTTTTCCAAGAAGTCCTGGTTGCTTTAGTGGAAAATGGTGCCTGATGGGGTGTCCTTTATATGTGACCTGCCCCTTCTCTCTAGCTGCCTATACGATTTTTTATCTCTCATTGACTTTAGGTAATGTGATAACTATACATGTTGAGAAGCGTTGTCTTGTACAGCATCTTGCAGGATTTCTCTGGAAGTCCTGAATTTGCATGTTGACCTCTCTAGTGAGGGTGGGAAAATTTCTATGGACAATATCTTCAACTATGTTTTTCAAGTTGCTTGCTCTCTGTCCATCTCTTTTAGGAATGCTAATTATTCATGGTTTCTGTCTCTTAGCATAATCCCATATTTCTGAGAGGTTTTGTTCATTTTTAAAATTCTTTTTTCTTTAAATTTTTGTCTGCCTACATTGATTTGAAAAAGCAGTCTTTGAGCTCTGTGATTCTTCTTCATCTTGGTCTATTCAGTTATAAATGGTTCCAATTGCACTTCGAAATTCCTATAGTGAAATTTTCATTTCTACAAGTTCAGTTTGGTTCTTTCTTAAAATGGCTATGTCATCTTTCAACTTTTGAACTGTTTTACTGTCTTCCTCGAATTAGATTTCAACCTTTTCCTGTAACTCAAAAAGTTTCCTTGCCATTCTAATTTTGAATTGTATCTGTCATTTCAACCATTTCAGTATGATTAAGAACCACTGCTGGGGAGCTAGTGTGGTTGCATGGAGGTTAGAAAACACTCTGGTTTTTAGAGTTGCCAGTGTTCTTGCACTGGTTATTTGTCATCTGCGTGGGGTTATGTTCCTTTAATCTTTGAAGTTGCTGGCTTGGATGGGACTTTTTCTTTTATATTCTTTGATGCCCTTGAGGATTCAACTATGGTGTAAGTTGGGTTTAGTCAATTGGCTTTGTTTCTGGATGCTATTATGGGCCAAGGCTCAGCTCAGCACTCCTGGCCTGCATACTCTAACCCTGACAGGCTGGGACCTGGCCTGCTTGTTTATTCTCTGGCCACTTGAGGTTAAACACCTGCTGCACTGGAGGGGCTGACATGTTCCCAATTGTTCCCACTGGCAAGAACACTCCAACACGGGCTGCCAGCAGAAGCACTCTGGTGAGGTGGCAGAGGTGGCAGTGGGTTTACATGCATATGCATGCTGGAAAGGATGGGAGAGGAGGTTGTTGCAGGCAAATGCACGCTGCCAGGGAAAGCTGTAGGCAGGTGTGTGCTGGTGGGGGAAGACAGCAAGTGGGTATGCACTTGCAGGGGTCTGTCTATAAAAGTAATCCCATGAGTAGGCAGCTCTGCCAGAGAAAGAGCTATGGCAGTGGCTGCTGGCAAGCTGAGGCTGTGCTGTAAACAGGTTCAGCCAGGGAGGGACCCTGGAAGAAACTGTCAGTCAGCGGCGTGCTCAGATCAGAGTGGCCTCATCCCATGGCCAAGATTGCACTGTTCTATCCAGGTCTAGCAGCTATCAAAGGCTGAAACTGCCTAGAAAAGTATGGTGAGACCTGGGGGATGGGTGCCCATGGCCATGCAGTGCTGCAGCCATTCCTGTGCCAAAACTTCTTGGCTCTGCAATGGCTGGAGTTCTCTCTGACAACTCTCCAGGCAGTTCTCCCTACTACATCAGAAATCCATGGAGATCATGGGGTCTCCCACAGTGAGGATCCCAGAGGTCCATGGTGAGAGTGGGCCACTTCACACCTATAAAACTTACCCCTTCCCTAGGAGCTGTTTGGGGCCAGGAGCAAGTCCTGGTGCTCAGCAACCCCATGCATTGTTCCAGCTTCCTCCTCTTTCAGCCCCAGGGTCTGTGTCCTTCCTCTGTCAACTCTCACTGCCTTCTTTCCAAAGAACTGTTCGAGTGTGCTGGTCTATTTGATGGTCTAGTCTCTCTTGGTGCAAGAAGCTCTTCCTGGTTGAATCTAGTTGGCCATCTTGGCTCTGCCTTCTCATCACTGTTTTGTAGTTTTCCTTGTAGAGGAGTTTTTACCTCTTTGGTTAAATTTATTCTTACATATTTTAAAATACATTTTAGCTATTTTAAATGAGATTGCCTTCTTGATGTCCTTCTCAGCTAGTTCATTATGGGTGTATAGAAACACTACTAATATATATATAAGATTATATCATCTGCAAAATGGGACAGTTGACTTCTTCCTTTCCAATTTTAATGCCTTGTATTTCTCTTTCTCCCTCTCTATTTTTTTGAGACATGATCTTGCTCTGCCACCCAGGCTGGAATGCAGTGGCACACTCTGAAATCTCTGCCTCCCAGGCTCAAGAGATCCTCGCACCTCAGCCTCTCTGGTAGCTGGGACTACAGGTGTGTACCACCATGCCCAGCTAATTTTTTTATTTTTTGTAGAGACAGGTTTTCGTCATGTTGCCCAGGCTGGTCTCGAACTCCTGAGCTCAAGTGATCCACCCACACTGACCTTCCAAAATGTTGGGATTACATGCATGTGCCACAATACCTGGTCTATTCATTTCTCTTGTCGGATTGCTCTGGCTAGAAATTCCAGAACTATGTTGAATAGGAGTAGTATAAGTGAGCCTCCTTGTCTTGTTCTGATTCATACAGGAAAGGCTTTCAGCTTTTCCCCATTCAGTTTGATGTTTGCTATGGGTATGTTATATATGGCTTTTATTATATTGAGATATGTTCCTTTAATCTAGTTTGTTGAGATTTTTTTATAATGAAAAAATGTTGAATTTTATCAAATGATTTTTCTGCATCTATTGAGATGGTCATATGGTTTTTTTCCCTTCATTTTGTTGATGTTATGTATCATGTTGATTGATTTATATATGTTGTACTACCTTGCATCCCTGGAATAAACCCCTCTTGATCATGGTACATTATCTTTTTATTGTGCTCTTGCATTCAGTTTGCTAGTATTTTGTGGAGAATTTTTGCTTCTACGTTCTCGGGGATATTAGCCTGTTGGTTTGTTTTTCTTTTTTTTTTTTTTAATTGCGTCTTTGACTGGTTTTGGTATTAGGATAATGTCTTCCTCATAGAATAAATTAGGAAGAATTCTCTCTTCTTCAGTTTTTTTAATAGTTGGAAATTTGGTGTTAGTTTTTGAAGTCTGATAGAATTTGGCAATGAAGCCATCCAGTCCCGTACTTTTCATTCATAAGAGATTTTTGAAATTAAAACTTTAATATCATTACTTATTATTGGTCTATTTAGGCTTTCTATTTCTTTCTGATTCAATATTGGCCGATTGAATATGTTCATTAATTTATCCACTTGGTTTAAGTTTTCCAGTTACTGTATAGTTGTTTATCTATTGTCTGATCATATTTTGTATTTCTGTGTTATTATTTGTAATGTCTCTTTTCATTTCTGAGTTTATTTCAATCTTATGTATTTTTTTCTTGGATAGTCTAGCTAGAAGTTTATTGATTTTGTTTATCTTTCCAAAATATCAACTTTTTTGTTTTATTAAGTCTTTGTATTTTTTTAGTCTCTGCTTCATTTAGTTTGGTTCTGAACTTCATTATTTCTGTTCTTCTACTAATTTTGTTTTTGGTTTGTTCTTCCTTTGGAGTTTATTGGGTTGCATCATAGATTATTTGGAATCTTTCTACTTTTTTGATGTTGGCATTTATTGCTATAAACTTTCCTGTTAGCACTGCTTTTGCTGTATCCCATAGGTTTGGGTATATTGTATTTTGATTTTCATTTGTTTCAAGAAAAATTTTTATTTCCTTTATAATCTCTTCCTTAACTCAGTGGTTATTCAGGAGCATTGTTGTTTAATTTCCATGTATTTGTTCATTTTCCCAAGTTCCTCTTGTTATTGATTTCTAATTTTATTTCATTGTGGTCTGAGAAGATACTTGATATATTTCAATTTTTAAAAATCCTTTGAAAATGTTCCATGTCCTGATGAGAAGAATGTGTATTCTGCAGCTGCTGGGTGACATGTGTACATGTCTGTTAGGTCCACTTAATCTAATGTTCAGTTAATTTTTTGTCTAGATAATGCATCTAATGCAGAAAGTGGGGTGCTGAAGTCCCCAAATGTTATTGTATTGGAGTCTCTCTCTCTCTTTAGATCTAATAATATTTGCTTTATTTATTTGGATGCTCCAGCATTAGACACATACATGTTTATAATTTTTATGACCTCTTGTTGAATTGATCCCTTTATCATTAGGCAATGTCTTTCATTGTCTCTTTTTACTGTTTTTGACTTAAAGTCTGTTTTATCTGATGTAAATACAGCTATTTCTCCTCACTTTCAGTTTCCATTTTCATATAATATCTTCTTCCCTTCCTATATTTTCAATCTATACATGTCCTTACAGTTGAAATAAGTTTTTGCAGGCAGCATATAGTTGGGTCATTTAAAAAATTCAATAAACTAGACTATATCTTTTATGTGGAAAATTTAAATTTTTTACATCCAAGATTATTATTGATATGTGAGTCCTTAGACCTGTCATTTTATTAATTTCTGATTGTTTTCTGTATCCTGTGTTCCTATCTTTCTCTTACTGCTTATCATTGTGGTATGGTAGTATTTTTGTAATGGTAATATTTGAGTCCTTTTTCTTCCTTATTTGTGTGTTTGCTCTACCAGTGAGTTTTATATTTTATCATAATGGTAGATACTATTCCTTCATTTCCAGGCTGGAGTAAGACTCCCTTAAACATTTCTTTCTTTTTTTGAAATCGAGTTTTGCTCTTGTTGCCCAGGCTGGAGTGCAGTGGTGTGATCTCGGCTCACCGCAACCTCCGCCTCCTGGGTTCAAGCAATTCTCCTGCTCAGCCTCCCCAGTAGCTGGGATTACAGGCATGCGCCACCAGGCCTGGTTAATTTTGTATTTTTAGTAGAGATGGGCTTTCCCCATGTTGGTCAGGCTGGTCTCGAGCTCTCGATGTCAGGTGATCTACCCGCCTCAGCCTCCCAAAATGCTGGGATTACAGGTGTGAGCCACCATGCCTGGCCCCCTTAAACATTTCTTGTAGCGCCAGTCTACTAGTGATGAAATACCTCAGCTTTTGGTTGTGTGGGAAATACTTTATTTCTCCTTCATTTATGAAGGATACCCTTGCTGGATGTAGTTTTGGCTAGCAGAGGTCAGCACTTTGAATATATCATCCCATTTTATCCTACCCTCTGAGGTTTCTTCCCAGAAATCTGCTGTTAGTCTGATGGGGTTCCCTTGTAATTGACTAGATGTTTCTCTCTTGCTGTTTTTCGAATTCTCTCCTTACATACACGGCAATCTCAAGGCTCAGGAAAGTTGTGTGTTGGGTGTGAGGTTTCATCTTCATGTGCCTGACATCACACCACTGCCAATGGACTCTGAAAACAGTCCACCTTGGCTTTATATATCCTGAGCAGAACTTAGATCACTGATCTTAAGCAATAAAGAATATTCTTTCTTCAAAGGAATGAGGACACAGTGCAAGTTGCTCTGAACACCTCATTCTTTCTTTCTTTTTTTTTTTTTCCCCAGTGGCCTGTAATGTTGTTTTTGCCATTTTTTAAAATTTATTATACTTTAAGTTCTGGGATACATGTGCACAACATGCAGGTTTGTTGCGTAGGTATACATGTGCCATGGTGGTTTGCTGCACCCATCAACCCATCATATAGGTTTTAAGCCCCTCATGCGTTAGGAATTTGTCCTAATGCTCTCCCTTCCCATCCCCCCAACCCCCCAACAGGCCCCAGTGTGTGATGCTCCCCTCCCTGTGTCCATGTGTTCTCATTGTTCAACTCCCTCTTATGAGTGAGAAAATGCAGTGTTTGGTTTTCTGTTCCTGTGAACACCTCATTCTTACCTCAGGATATTTCATTCTCAGCCCGTTCTGTGGTTTTTCTAAGAACTGCAAGAGGAAGAGGGAAGATCTGGGTTGGCCAGAGTCATTCAGAGGCCTGCCTTCCTACATATACCAATTATTTATTTTTTTCTTGAATGTCCATATTGAATAGGAGTGGCAAGATGACATACTGCCTTGTTCCTGATTTTAGAGGAAAAGTGTTCAGTGTCTCATTAAGTGTGATGTTGACAGTAGGTGTTTTTCATATAAACCTGTAGAAATTATCTTTGATGTTTGGGTTTTTTGAATTTTTTTTCATGAATAGTTGTTGAACTTTATAAAATACTTTTCCACATATTTAAAATATATCATCTTTTCTCTGGTTCTATGAGAAGTTATGATGATTGATTTACAAATGTTGAACCAGACTTCCTTACATTCCTGAATCCTGATGTATTATATTTTTATATTTTGCTGAAGTGAATCTGCTAATATGTTATAAAGAATTTTTGTATCTATGTTCATGAGAAATATTGGTCTGTAGTTTTGGTAATTTCTTAGATAAATTTGGTGATAAGGTAACACTGTTCTTTCAACTAAAAAGTGTTCTTTCCTCCATTATTTTCTGAAACATATTGTGTAAAATTGATATTATTTCTTCCATACATTATTTGGTTTAGTTCACTGGTAAAACCACTTGGGCCCTTTAACTTAAATTCTCTGATAATTTCAAAGAAAAGCATTTATTTTTAGTTTTTACCAGCCCATGTATGTTGCAAGGAAAAGAACAACGACTTCCAGTCCTTCAGTACTTTTATAGGTCAAAGATGAATCCATAAGCCTGTTTTTCTGTTTTGACCATTTAAATAGTTTTTGTTAATTTTCATGTTCATATATTCTTAGCCCATTCTTACAATATTTTTATATTCTTAGCAGATATGTTTATGGAGTATTTATGGTATACTAAAATTTGACTTGTTGTTTGTACCTTTAAGTAGCTATCCTTATCTATAGTACTATTTGTAATTATCTTCCATTTTATATTTAAGTATTTACAATAATTATATTATGTTATAATCTACATATAATAAAATTCCCTCAGTGTAGGTGTATAGTTATATGAATTTGGATAATTATATATAGACAGTAGATATGCCCTCCACCACAAGTAAGGTATAGAAAACTCCAATCATCCTAAACAATTCCTCTGATGCATTAGAGGTGATTCCTTTCTCTGGTTCTCTGACCTAGATAGCTACTTATAGGCTTTTTGTCACTAGAATTTTACCTTTTCTCTAAAGTCAAATAAATGGATCATTCAGACAAGTAGTCATTTGTGTTTGACTTCTTTCACTTAGCCTAATGTTCTTGACATTTATTCTTTTCTCTCATCATCCTTACCCAATTCATCAACAAATCTTATGGGCGCTACCCTCTAAAACTATTTATTATCTGTCTACTTCTCTTATAATTCATTTCCAGCAGCCTAGTCTTCCTGGAAAACTGTGTAGCTTTCTAACTGATATCTGTGTGTCAAATTTGATTCTGTTCAGTCATACATGTATTATTTATCTCTACTGAAGCCTAGGCTTCAATCCTCCATACAACAGCCAAATTATTTCTTTTTGGAGGTTAACAAGATTATGCTGATCTCCCTGCTTAAAACCCTTCATTCAGTTTCTAGATTACTTGGAATAAGACTGAAATAACTGATCTTATGGTTTCTATTGACTTCTCCAAACATGTGTCATACCATGTGCACTTAAATTCCAGCCGTTGTCAATCCACACTTTTGTCTCTCTAACACCAAGCTCTTTTATTATTCCCTCTGCCATTTGAATGGCTTATTCTTATCCCCATGTCTCAATTGTTCTTCTGCAGATAGTCTGTTTCTGGTTATCTTGAATAAAACAGCACTAGCCAGCCCTTTTAAATTTTACCACTGTATCTTATAATTCTTGTAAAGTACTATGGCAATCTATAAGTAATTTGTTCACTTACTGGTGTATATTTTTATTTTAGCACCTCTAAATACAATGTAAATTCTATATGAGCATGTTGGATCCCTAGTTGCTTGTAGACTGGTTCATAATAGACACTCCTGACAGCTAAAATAAACCCTAGTATTGATTCCCTCAAGTATCCCACTCTCATATTGAATATGGCTAACCTGTGTAGCTAAGAGAGAATTAGACTGTATTTTGGACAAAAATACATGATCTGACCACAATGGAATTAAATTAGAAATCAATACCAGAATGATCCCTGGAATATTTTCACATATTTAGAAACAAAATAACACATTTCTAAATAATGCATACATCAAAGAGATAATCAAAGGAGGAAGCAGAAAGCAATTTAAACTAAATGTAAATGAAAACAAAACACATCAAAAGCAGTAACAAAAAGAGGCAATTTATAGTACTGAAAGCTTAAATTAGAATACAAGGAAGGCACTAAACCCTATGCTTAATATTCAGCACTAACCTTAAGAAACTTGAAAAAGAAATTAAACCAAAAATAAGAAGAATAAAGAAACTAAATAGAGCAGAAATCAATTATATGGACAAGAGGAAAACAATGGAGAAAACGAATAAAACCAAAGATAGTTCTTTGAGAAGATCATTACAATTTATAACATCCCAGTCAGATGAATCAGGAAAAAATAGACGACTCAAATTATCCATGGCAAGAATAAGAGAAGTGGCATCACTACAGATTCTACAAATAGTAAAAAGTTAAAAGCAGACGATCCTGAACAATTTTATGTCAATAAATATAAAAATGTGAATTAAATGAGCAAATTTCTTAATAGAAACAACCATTAAAGCAATTTCAATAAGAAATAGATATTCTGAATATTTAATATCTACTAATTTAATTTGTAGTTTAACATGCTCAATACAACACCCAGTATTTGACAGTTTTACAAGCAAATTCAATCAGTTATTGAAAGAAAAATAATACCAATTCTAATTAAATTCTTCGGGAAATTTGAAGAGGAGGAAATACTTCTAGCCATATTCTGGTGCTAAAAGCAAGAAGTCATATTACAAGAAAAGAAAACTACAGACCAATATCCGCCATGAACATAGATGTAAATATTCTAAAGGCTAGCAAATTAAACTCAACAATAATATAAAGGATAATACATTGTGATCAAGTGGAGAAGAGTTGGTATAATAGTCAAAAAGCAATCATTAATTCCACATATTAACAAATTATTATAAAAACAAAACACATGACAATCTCAAAAAAGAAGAAAAAGCATGTTACAAGATCTAATATCAGCTCTTGTGAAAACTCTCAGGAAATTAGAGAAAGAATAGGAATCCCTCATCCTGATAAAGAGCAGTCATGAACAATGATTGTAAATGACTGAATGCTCTTACCCTAAGATCAGAAACAGAAAAACATGTCTGATTTCACTGTTTCTTTTCAAGATTGAACTTAAAGTTTTAGCCAGTACAATAAGACAAGACAAAAAAATAAAATTCATCCAGAT
This sequence comes from Homo sapiens, assembly GCF_000001405.40. Classification (NCBI taxonomy): domain Eukaryota; kingdom Metazoa; phylum Chordata; class Mammalia; order Primates; family Hominidae; genus Homo; species Homo sapiens. Next base: position 140,578,385 of record NC_000006.12, on the reverse strand, counting down.
TTTAAGAGAAGAAATAATCCTTATTTGCTGACTACATGTTTACCTATGTGTGTATATATGTATGTATATATACACACATATATGTACACACACATATACACACACACATATACATATATACATATATATATATATATATATACATACAGAAAGAGAGGAAAAAATGCAATGACACCTACCAAACTAAATAATAAGGAAGTTTAGCAAGGTTGCAGGACATAAAAAAGGACAATTTGAAAATGAAATATAAAAATGATACTACTAGATAGCATAAAATATTAAATAGGGGTATATCCTACATGCCACTGAAAACCTTAAATCATTGCTGTTAGAATTTAAAGGAGCATTGGCTAGAAGTCTCAATATTGTTAAGATGACTGTTCTTTCTAAATTGATTTTTGTATGTTTTAAGACATATAAAAGGCAATATTAATCAAAATCCCAGCAGAGTAAGGACTAAACTGTTAACTATTGATACAACATGATGACTCTCAAGATGATTAGAGTGTAAGGAGCCAGAGAAAAAAATACATACAGTATGATTCCATTTACATAAGATTCCAGAATATACAAGCTCATTGATAGTGACAAAAAGAAAATCAGTAATAACCTTGAAATAGAAGCGTATGAATAAGAACTAGTGAGAGGGTTACAAAGAGATTGGAGAAACTTTTAGAGGTTATGGAAACATATTCTTATTTGAGATGATGGTTTCATGGATGTACACATATGTCAAAACCTTTTCACATATACTTTTAAAGTATGTTCGGTATACTCTACATTAAATACATGATGAGTTGTTTAAAAATATCATTAAAAGTAAATATTCCTCTTTACCATTTTTCTCAAACAATATCTTCCCAAAGATAACCATAGTTAATTGTTTGAGTCATATTCTTTCACATATTTTAATGAATTTACATACATATTTTTGTATATGTTTATATTTTACATAAATTACATAATATTTCATATTACTTCACAACTTTAAGAAGAATTAATCACTGGAAAATAGAAGTAAATTTCCATAGCTGGAAATACTTTTGGAATCTTTGTATTATAAAATTTACTGTCAGGCACAATGTCTATAAACAAACCCACACTGAGATTATTCTTCCTGAATTTCAGAAGAATAAATATACAAAAGAGCGTAAAACCTTGGGAGGGCTTTGGGGTGAACAGGAAAAAAGGTTACTTATCCAGGAATGAAAATCAGATGGCTGTCAAGCTTCATTTGTAGTACTGGATGCTCAAAGACAATGAAGCAACAATTTTGAAGCCACATGGGATAAGTATTTTGAACATAAAATTATGAATTCATCCAAACAAGTTTCAAGTGTGTCCTCTTGCTTAGCACCTACCAAGTATCTGGTAACTTTAAAAAGAACATTCTTGGTAGTTGGTTAAAAGAGAAATCAATTTTCAAGTAAGGGTAGATGTATCATGAAGCCACTGAAGCGTCATCAAAGACCTTCACTGCGTGTAAGTTTCATGCCCCGCAAATCTGGATCCATGCCTGATTGCAGCAGGTTAACCAGTAGGAATCAAATTAGGGAAAAAATAAATTGAGACACCTTTTTCAAGAAGGAGAAAAAAGAGAGAGAGGATGGTGGCAGCAGAGGGCCACAGAGGCAAGACTTGTTTAGAAGAGGACTGCAGTAAATATGTTGATAGAAAATGTGGTACAAGGGAGTAAAATGGTGAAAATTTATGGAAAGTGGGAATAATTTATGGGGCAAGGTATCAGAGAGAAAAAAAAGGAGCTGGTTAAAAACTAAGACTGAGGAATCTGTCTTGAACAAACATGAATTTTTCCCCCTCCCCTTAGTACCATCACTCTGGAGGAAACACAGGAAAGACTGCCGACGTTCATTTCCTTGAGGGAGTAGAATTGAGGCTGGTCATGCCCTATGGCTTCATTTTACCTTATGGAATGGGAAGAATGGCATCTGCTAATATAGAGGCATTTTTCTAAAGGCAGATTCCGTGGTGCGTAATTTATTTGTAACATCTTCAGGAATGAACAATTGTGTTGGAGAATCAACATGGCACACATATTGTGATCAGTGCCGAAACAAATAATTCTCTAGACAGCCTATTTTAAAGTCTGTTGATTTTACAGATAAACAGACTGAGATGCTTCTTCACATGCTTGTCTTTCAGTTCCTCATCATTACAATCATAGCAGGAGGGGCCGCCTGAGAGTCAAAAGATTCCAGTTCTTCCCACTGTTTCTCTGGGCCTCAGCCTTTTCCTCCACATAATGCACATACCGGGCTAAGGTCACCCTTGTTTCCACAACATGTAATTGTCTTATTTTCTAATTTGTTTATTGTCTAAACAGAAAAATTGGAGTGTAGAAAAGGAAGACATAATTGTAAACTGAAATAATCAGAACATCTTCAGGAAGATACATGATTTAAGCTGAATTTTAAAGAATTAGTAAAATATTTATAATAAAATCCATTACAATTTATACTGTTTTTTAAGTTAAAATGATTTTTACTAAACATAACACTTTATTCTTCCTGTCATAGCTGTATAATATATTGTAATTGTTATTTTCATTATAAAGGAAGAAAAGAAATAGAAAAAAAAGACACTGCGCTTCAGAATACAGAGGTCTAGTTTATTGCATATATTCCATGTTCCAGTCATTGTAGCCGATGCTGGAGATTTCAACATAAATGAGGTGTGGCTCGTATTCTAAAGAAGCTCACTAATTAAGGCAACGTGAGGAAGAGGTTAGAAAATGAAGACAGTATAATACAGTACCTTAAAAGCCCATCAGAAATTGTAGATATCTTTCTTCTGTTACCCAGCTATTTCAACACAAATAAATCAAGATAAGAAAAAGATTCCTAATGTGCTCTTTGCATCACTATATTATAATGCTTCGTTATTTTATTAGGACAAATATGTATAACACCAAAAAGGTGATAATCTAAAACAAATTGAAGGGATATACTTACATCCTTAGCCAATTATAGTATATTTAATTAACTAGGAAGCTATATCTGAAGTTATTAAGCACAGTTTATGAAGAATCAATAAAAGCCAGTCACACATAATACTATGAAAAAAACTGAAAGATCATTTAGCTCATTATGAGGAATAATATCACAATAGAAATAGAACTGTGACCTCTTTCTTAAATAATTAAATGAAACTTCTTGTAACAAAGAAGTCATTTTGTAATTTAAATGACCATCTTCTAACTAACCCAAATTCTCATTTATATTACTTCTTTGTAGTCTACTTCTGTATTTTAAGCATGTATAATGTGTTGACTTTCATTAATTATGAATAGTTATCAATGTGTGTGCCTGTTTGTTCATACCTTATATAAGAATGTTAGAAATTGAGTTATTCCTCTACACAAATAATAATATACATAAAGTAATTATTTTAAAATAAATTCTAAATGATGAAAACACAATATATTGAACTATTTTTAAAGGCATACATATAAACCCTGGATCACATCGCTTTAATGGAAAAGTGTTCAGAAGCATAACACATATGCTGGTAAAGTTTCCTGGATAAAATTCAACTTATTCCCAGACCCAATAGAGTTTATTCAGTGCTAATTTATGTATACTTATAATTCCCATCTACGCAGTTTTGCAGTACGAGGCTTTGAGTAAATATTTCAACTGATGTCAGTATCATTAGTAGAAAAGTCTTATAACCATCTCAATCAAAAAAGCAAGTGTGCATGATACAAAACTTTCTTTAATATTATATGATCTAATGTAATTTATTTTATAAATTTCATTCTAGAGTATTAGAAACTTTTGTCAGTCAATTAAAGAGTTCTCTGTCTTTACTGAGGGTTTTTTATGAAAATAGAAAGTACAAGGAATGGTCAGGGAGATACATGGCAGAAGATCCTTATCTGTTCACGTTGTTACCATTTGCATCATACATTCTATCATTTGATGCTGGTGGTTAGTTTGTGAAATATTCTTATTTTTAACCCCCAAAGCCTTTCCAATGTGTCTGAATTTCTCCTGTTCTCAGGTGTTTGGAAACATTTGTTGCTATCCAAAGTGCTAATAAATGAAAAACACAGTTTAGATCCTTAAATCAGGATTTTACTTTAGTCAATCAAGAGGTGATTAAGTGCTTCAATGTGTGTTATATCCTCACCTTCCAGTTCCTCCTGACCTGAGTAAGCAAAGCAAAGGAATCCATTAGGGGAAGAGATGGGAGTAAAATTTGGCAGAATGATTTAAACTGATATTATTCCTAGAAATCAATCAATTATTGTTGTGGTCAAATTAAACATACCCAGTCTGAGCTATGATCTCTTAATTGAATGTTTTAAATATTTTGAATGATGTCCATTTCCCATTATCATCTGGAGTTCCAGCAGAAGGTCTAAGCAGTCTGAAGTAGCACATGTATGCTCACAAGGCACTTAGGGGGATATGAAGATATGGATTACGTTCTTTGCACCTTGCGAATCTGGATGTCCCTAGAACTTAAAGGTCTGGAAAAGCCTTATCTGGAACTTAAATCTATTAGAACTAAGGCATTTCTGCTGCTCCTTAACTAGCCCAGAGCAGCAATTCATTTCACTTTCCATGACTCTCAGCACTGCTCCTTAAGATAGCCAATGAACAAATAAAGCATCACTTATAATGGAGCTGGTAATAGGGTTCACTTCATATCAGAGAGGAAATCAAAACTGCAATGATAAACCATCTAGAAAGTAATAAAAATGAGAACCAATTTTGAATTGGGTATCCGGAAACTGGGCTGGAGTCCTGAGCAAGGGAGACCCCTCAAAGACTGTTTGCAAATTGGAGCATCTCTCGAGGCTATAGCTATAGCCTGCCAAAATAGAACTCTAGAGCCTAGGGTCTCCCTCAAATGAAAAGAACAGACAAGTGGAAAGAAAAGTAGAAGAGCAGACAGGAGGGGACAGTATTGAGAACCAAATTTCCCACTGGGACCCGTCTCTAAGGCAGTATGGCTGATGGTTCGTTAAGAAAAAACTATGAAGGAAATGTGAGAGTCTGGGAAGGGAGAGACCGGCACCAATTGCTGCAGTACAGGGACTTTCATTCACACTGAAAAATCCATCCAAATAGGCTTCTAAACGGGCCTTTTCCCTGCTACAAATGAAACAAATCTAGAGAAATCTATAATTTCCAGCACTGCCCTGACTTATACATGTCTTACACCCCAGAGGCATGACTACCATTTGAGTTAGAGGACTTACTTATACTCCAGTTACTCTTTTGCCTGTGAGTTTCAGTCTGCATCAAGTGACACTGGTGTTCACCATGTCTTAGCACATCCATTACCTAAAATTAATGTGTGTTCTCTGAGTGTGCATTCTAGTCATTTGGGAAATTGTTATAACATGTATGACTGCCACACTGATTACATAACTCAGGAGATTCTCAGTCATGTATATTAATTTTGAGAATATACCCTGGGAATTCTGATAGGATGCCCCTACTCTCACCTCTAGGCACAGCCCCACCAGAATAACCATGTAAATCAGCATAATAATGACTGGAAACGCTCACAGGCCTGCAACTGACTTCTTGCTCCTCTAGTTATCACTAGTTATAAGCTATGTATTTTCTGGAACGTTACTTAACTTTTAAATCTCGAGCTCCTCCAGTTATATCCACACTTGGCACTAGTTCATCATGTTAGGTGATCAGATCAGCATGTTAACTAACTGCACAGGTTTTAGTGTGGAAAACAGTAGGTTCCGAGAAGTCAGATAAGACAAGAGGTCCCTGGTTATTTGAAAGGAAGAAATTGGAAGACAAAAAGGAGAGAGGAGACAGCATCAAAGCAGAATTTGCTACTTTATAATTTGGCCTAGAATTAGCCCTTAGAAAAACTGGTGGCTTAGACCACTTAACGGCACTATCAGGCTCTAACCCTATTTCCTAAATATAATACTTCCAGCTCACCTAAATAAATGGAGTTTCGTGACGAGTGCACAGGAAAAGATGACTCAGAAAACTGGTTAAGATTGCCCTTCTCTTTGCTGTTTCCTGTTTTCCTTACAATTGATGTATTTTTGGCAAAGAGTCTTGTTGTAAATTGTCTTGGGCAGTGGTTGCATGATACTGTATTAAGTTGCTAAAAAGAGAATTCTGAGTTAGTGAATGACTAAGCAGTGCTTTCATCCTGAATAATGATAGACCTGCTAGACAGTTGTAACTGGATTTTCCATTTCTTTCCTGACAGCAGCATTGGGCTAAGGGGTTGGAAGTCCTTTAAATAGACAGATGCATAAACCATAAATGCTTTAGTCTTGCTTATTTTCTTTCCAGTGCTAATCTCTACACAACGGTACCATCTCTGGTCAGCTAATTGTTTTTATAGAAAACCTTAGCAGTAGAATTTTTTAGTATTGAATTTTATCTACTTTCTTTTTCATCTTTTTCTTTTCCAAAATGTAAAGATTTTGGTTATGAACAATAAGGGATATATCTAACTTGCTGTTTTGAAACTTTGCTCTATTTAAGATGAGTAGCTTTCTCAAAAGAGAAACACACTGTGTCTCAGTTTGAAATGTAATATTATCATTGACAAGAAAGACTTCAAAATGAGTTCACATCACATAGCAAAGTGAATTTTAAGACAACAGAAAATCTCTTTGCTTCTCTCACGTAAAATAAGTGCTTCTATCTATTGATCTGAGATCTAAAGTGCCCGTTGCCATTCTACCCAAGTACCAAGAAAATACATTTGCAGTAAGTCTAAGAGCTTAATAAAAATGTGTGATTATTATAGTGTAAAATTTCTTCACTCTGTATTACTATTTTGTCTATGTGAATCTTACCTGCTTATAAATTTATATTTGCTAATTAAACTAAATATATCAATAAAAGATATTTTTTCCACAATATTCTTGTGTGTTTCTATTAACAGCTTAAAATGTTTTAAGGATATTTCATCAAGTTCTGCATGCTTGAGGAAAGTATTTTCAGAATTTGTCATAGAGGACTGAATGACAACTCAAAGACAAATGGAGTTTTACTACATAGAGTTAAATCAAATTAGTGACTTTCAGATTGGTGTGGGCTGAGTGGAATTTGAAATATGAAGTTAAAAATCTATAATTAATTACCTTTCTTTTCAAGATATATTTTATTAGTTTCCAAAAATGGCAGTATGGTATTTCAAATACCTCTTTGAACCACAGTAAAATATTCTATAATACATTCTTCACCAAAGTTGATGGCCTCAGTTGTGGCAGCATTTTATGTCTTATTGATACTAATTGAAGATGATGTTTATTTATGATAATATTGTTTGTTTAGTGCTTATTTCTGACACTTTATCAATTTTTTCTACCATCTATATAAAATTTCCAAGTTGGAAAATAAAGAAAGACTAAAATCTCATATGTAATTTGGTCTTCTTGAGTTTCTGTTAATGGGGTTAATTTTGAACGTTGGAGAGCTTGTTTTCTTTGAAAGAAAGTCAATTCAAATCAACTAAATTATTTTTTCACAAAAGTTTAAACACAAAACACGACAAAACAAACTAATAAACACAATCTCTCCATATATTGATTCTTAAGTAGTAAGATTTTGACCTTGTTTAAAATCTCAGGTCTGATAGTAACTAAAGTGTGTTAACTTTGAAAAGTAATTTGATCCTTTTTGAGCTTCCATTTCCTCATCTGTAAAATAGATGCAATAATTTTATCTACATTTAGGATAAGTGTGAATATTAATTGTGAAGTCAAATATGTGACAGAGACTATGGTTTTATCAAACCCATTCCCCTTTCCTCTGAGTAAGAGATAGACCCACGTAAATATAGTCGTCTGATCTTTGACAAAGCAATAAAGGAAATACAATGGAAAAAACAGTCTTTTCAACAAATGATACTCGAACAATTGAACATCCACATGCAAAAATGAATGTAGACACAGACCTTACACCCTTCACAAAAATTAACTCGAAAGACAGCATACACCTAAATGTGAAATGCATTGTTATAAAATTCCTAGAAGATATATAGGAGAAACCCTAGATGACCTTGGGCACCATAACAACTTTTTGGAACACCAAAGCCATGATCCACAAAACAAATTATTGATAAGCTGGACTTCATTAAAAGAGGTCAAAAACTTCTTCTCCGCAAAAGACAATGTTAAAAGAATGAGAGGACAAATCACAGACTGAGAAAAATATTCACAAAAGACACATCTGATAAAGGACTGTTACCCCAAATACACAAAATACCCTTAAAACTCAACAATAACAAAATGAACAACTCAATTAAAAAATGGGCTAAAGAACAGACATCTCACCAAACAAGATATACAGATGGTAAGTAAGGATAAGAAAAGATTTAAACCGCATTATCACTAGAGAATTGCAAATTAAATAACAGTAAGATACACTCTATACTTACTAGAATAGCTAAAATTCAAAATGCTGACAACATCTTTACTCTGTACATGTGGGCTTCTTTTCCCAGCCACCTTTGCAGTACTGTGGTCAGCAATGTGTAAGTGCAGGTGATTATGCCTCTCTCAGTACTGGACTTTAATATTCTCTTGAATAGTCCACTAATATCACTCTTTTTTCATCTGCTGAATGAAAAAGACATTTAGGACCTAAATGACAGAAAGCCCTCAGATAGAATTCGCCTGGGTTCCTGAATGACCTTGTGGGAAACCATATACTGAATAGGAGCATCAACATTAGACTTTGTGTAAAGAAGATATAAACTTTTATTTGAAAGCCAATGAACTCTGGAGATTTGTTTAGCACTGCCAATAACTGCTAGCATTGCTAACTTTTACTTATATAGAATATAAGCTCCCAATTAGACTGTGAGCTCCATGAAAGCAGCAATTTCTTCCATCCGTTGTTTTCACTATCCTGTGACTGAGCACAGTGCCTAGCACATAGTAAGGTATTTAAAATATGAATAAAAATATAAACAATTGAAGAAATACAAAGTGGCCTGGATATATGCATTATAAATTACACCTACTTTAGTTATGTTATTTTATCATGTAGACAATATTTATAATTGAATAATTCATTTTCCTTCAGTTTTCACCATTTTTCTTATTTAGGCTCTTATTCTTCTTGAAGGTAATTACAGCTTCTATCTCGCAGATCTTCTGGTCTCTTGCTCCCACCCATAGAGAATTCAATTGTATTTTTTTGTGGAACATGGCTATTTTGTCAAGGTGAGATTATATTCTAAGACTGTTAATTTTAATGAATTAAATTTTCAAATGAATTATCATTCAAACCAGTTAGCATTTATAAAGTTCTTAGGACCACCCCTGGCATATAAGAAGTGTGATATGGTTTGGCTGTGTGTCCCTACCCAAATCTCATCTCAATTGCAATCCCCACGTGTCAGGGGAGGTGCCTGGTGGGAGGTGACTGGAACATGAGAGTGGGCTTCCCTCTTGCTATTCTCATGACAGTGAGTGAGTTCTCACGGGATCCGGTTGTTTGAAAGTATGTAGCACTTCCCCCTTCATTCCCTCTCTCTCATGCTCCACCATGGTAAGAAATACTTGCTTCCCCTTCACCTTCCTCCATGATTGTAAGTTTCCTGAGGCATACCAGTCATGCTTTCTGTAAAGCCTGCAGAACTGCAAGTCAATTAAACCTCTTTTCTTCACAAATTACCCATCCTCAGGTAGTTCGTTATAGCAATGTGAAAACAGACTAATACAGAACATTGGTACCACGAGAGTGGGGCACTGCTATGAAGATATCTGAAAATGTGGAAGCAATTTTGGAACTGGGTAAGGGGCAGAGGTTGGAACAGCTGGGAGACTTAGAAGAAGACAGGAAGATATAGAAAAGTTTAGAACTTCCTAGAGATTTGTTGAATGGTTTTGACCAAAATGCTGATAGTGATATGGACAACGAAATGCAGACTGAGGTGGTCTCAGATGGAGATGAAGAACTTATTGGAAACTCTTACTATGCTTTAGCAGAGATTGGTGGCATTTTGACCCTGCCCTAGAGATCTGTGGAACTTTGAACTTGAAAGATGATTCAGGGTATATGGCAGAAAAAATTTCTAAGCAGCAAAGCATTCAAGAGGTGACCTGGATTATTCTGACAGTGTTCAGTTTTATGCATTCAAAAAGACATCGTTTGAAAGTTACTACTACATGATTGTTTATAATGTGATATGTATGATATTACATATGTTATATATGTATACATATGATATAGATTGATGATAATACATATTTTATGTATATATATATTTGGCTTTGTGTATATGTGTTAATCTATAATGGTACACACATAATTTTAAAACTAACACATATGGACTAAAAAGTCCCTACTTTAATAGCTAACACAAAATGTGCCCAATAATGCCCTCAAATAGACTCAGAAGGCATTGATTTGGTCAAATGTATTTCCATCCTGGCACCTGCCGTCTAATTAAGCAACTAGTTCTATTAAAATTCAGACTCCCAATTTATTCCTCAGTCCAGGCTTCTTATGTCTGATGTTGCTATTCCATTTACTGAATGAACTTACCTGCTCTGACATAGATCAAAACAAATCCATATATCTATTATGCATGTGAATATTAGAAAGCAAATACTATGATAATGATATTGATGTTACTCATTATGAAACACATGTTATACAGAGAGACAGCTCCATTTTCATTTCCAGCAAATACAGAAGGGAAGGTAAAATGATGTCATCAACACGAAGATTCTTAGCCAGGGTTTCCACAGGGTGGGGATGGAGGTCCTGAAACAAGAGAGAACTCCTACACAATAGACACAGTATCTCTGAGCTAAATGCCTAGTGTAGCTTCTGACTTAACACAGTTTTGTCCGTCCCTCACCCACAAGAGAATATTGTGGGATGGGTATTTTGGAGGAGAAAAACCTCAGCATTTCTTCTACCCATGATGATTTTTCAAGGATACTCATCAACTTTACCTTCTTATGGGAGGAAAGGAGGATCATAAAAGTAGTGAAGAGGAGCGTTTATGTGTACTTTAAATTCACCCAGAAAGATTTGGCTCTGCAGCCAGCCACAAAGAAATTTCCTATTTATTTAAGGTTAAGCTTAAAGAGAAGAAATTAAGAGGTTTTTCTTACTCTAACATATTTGTGTCGTATTATAGTATAGCAACTAGACTTTATCAGTGCCAAACATCACTAAACTGTTGTGACATCACTATTAAGATTGGTCAATTTTATGTCCTGGGGACCTAAAACTTAGACTTCAATAACACTGGCCAAGCAGAGCTAAGGGGTAAAGGAAGTTTGCTGTCATGCAGAAAAAGCACAAATTGCTGAAGTTTGCTGTGACTAGAGAGACAAAATGGAATCATTCTCAGAGATTCAGCAAATCATGGACATTAGATCTATGTCCTGAGGCCAGGTTAAGAGAAAGTGTTTTAACAGAAGCATTCAAAAATATGTAAACTGCAATACCTTTTATTTTTAATTCCCTATTGTTCTCTATGTGTTTGAAAGCTGGACTTGGATTCAGAGAGTGTTATTTATAGCCATGAGTCATCAGGGCCCTGAAACTGTTAACACTTATCCAACAGTGAGGAAGGCACCAGGGAGAATCTGATTTCCAAAAAATAATGACTTATTCTAAAATTCTTTTATAAATATCTTAACAAATAACATGTTATAATAAGTGACATCCTCTTTATTCTTTCTCACCCCCACACACACATTTACATGTCAACTGGATAAAATAATAGTAATGCAATTTTTATCCATTTCTTGTCTTAATATTTACCAGAACATCTAGATGTCATAAATGGCCAACATGAATGTCTATCTGCTTATGAGGCTCCATTAAAGTTGAGTACTAGAAATACAAAGGAGGTCACAACATTTAGCAATACAGCTTCTAGCAGAAAAGAAACAGAGTGATTGAAGGGCATATTCTGTTTTGCTTATGAAGTAATATGATATACTTTACTCCTACCTGATTCTCTTTTCTCTAAATTACATGCTCTTATTTACACCCACCCACATGAACTCTCTACTTAGAAACTATTCTAATGTTACTAAGTTAATATCTTAACTTTTCCTTAGTCTATAAAATGCCATTTCATAATATTTAAGATAACTAAATTAATCCTGATGTGACATGCTGATTAGTTATTTAAAGCCACAGAAAAAAATAAAAGCATAAATAGTAAGGTAATATTAATTATTAATAAAAAATGAGTCCTAATGAACTTCAAGTTTGTATCAGATTATTTTTGATAGCAGGATTACAAGTAGAGTATCAATTATTAAAAACCTATTTGTGTAAGAGTTAGGTATTCAAAAAAGTAACAAAATACATTCATTATTGGGTGGTTATTTACTATTATGTCAATCTGCTTTGTAAAGGGCTGATATGACAATAGCCTTGCTCGTGGCATTTCTCTACTATTAATGATGGACTCATATGGCACAGGTAGGCTGCTATTTCCTCATTCCCAACACTAACAGGATATAGGATATAACAGAACACAGAACAACAGAAATAAAAACTAAGATCCTAGGCAAATGTTTCCATGAAGGTAAAGAATAAAATAAAATTGAAAATATCACTCAATTTTTTTTTCAGTTACAGGAGATAAGTGCTTGCAAGTAATTGCAAAATAAAGAAAACAATATAATGTAACAAATATCACTTGTTGCATTTGCTACCAGAAAGCACAATGAAAAAATGGGATTTTAATTAGAATCAGCTCACTGTATACTCACCACATATACCTTCTCAACTTCATTCACAGATGTTCATTCACTGCATTCAGCTCTTTTTGCTTTTCTATAATTTTTTCTTTTTCATGGCATTTTAATCTCTATATCAACAACAAAAAAATTTTTAAAGTGGTCAGGATACAAATAAGATAAGTGAGCATATTCATTAACAAGAGCATCAATAAATACTTGTTATGTATTGAATGCAGTAATGACAATAAAATAACAAATATTAACTGAGAGTATATTACATGCCAGACATTGTTCTATAATACTTATACACATTAACTCATCAATCCTTACAAAAATCCTATGTAATAGATACAGTTTTTGCTCCTGTTTTACAGATGAGGTAAGAGAGCAATTCACCAAGCTAATAGATATTGAGACCAGGATTTTTGTACAGTCTGACCCCAGGCCCAGCTTTCTTAATCCCTCTGCTATGCTGCCTCCTGATTTCAAAGGGGATTTATTTATAAGCTGATTGTATTTTTACATATACAACAAAATTAAAACTTGTTTTCTTTTTTTACGTTATCTATATAGGTGTATTAAAACATTCATGAATTTTGAGGAAATTATGCTAAGTGAAATAAGCCAGACACAGAAATGCAAATACTGCATGATTCCATTTATATGAAGTATCTAAAATAGTCAAACTCAATGAAGGAGAAAGTAGAATTGTGGTTGCTATGGGCCAGGGGAGGGGAAATCAGGAGTTGCTTTTCAAAGGGTATAAAGTTTCAGTCAAGCAAAATAAAAATGTTATAGAAATCAGCTGTGCAATATTGTGTTTATAGTTAACAATACTGTACTGTATGTATAAAAATTTGTAAAGTGAGTAGATCTCATATGCTTAACACAATAAAAATATTTAAAAAATAATAGGAAAAAAAAAAGCAGTCCAATAAATTGACTAAATTAAGGACAAATACCTTTTTCTTGAGCCTGGTATCTTTTAATTTGCTAAATATCTTTAAGAATCCAATGTAAGGTTTTATTTTGTTTTTAAATGAATGAACAAAAAGAGAAACAACCTGGAAATGAAGCATTATGACATGGAAGAAAATTGATACACATATTTTGTTTTTGTAAATGTCTTAAGTATTGTATAACTTTTGCTCATTTGGGGTACCTAGGTTTTGTTAGTTCAAAATTGAACAAAACAACTAATTTACTAACTAAAACATAACAAAGTTATCAATGCCACCTTTAAATATTTGGATCAGCTACAGAGCATATAGACTCATCCACTTCTGAGAATAGAAAATTGGCATGCCCTCTAGCACCTTCCCAGGTAGTCCTTGGAATTGTCATACCTGGAATCAGAGAGCTCTATTGCATTATCAGTAAGTCAACTCACAACCACAGGATGAGTGGAATTAGTTAGTATGACAGGATTAAGGAAGATAATTAAAGGAAATGCAAAATCAATACAATATGTACAATGTTATATGGAAAAGGTCCGTATGGAACAACTAAGAACCAGTGGAACAGAACATCAACAAACAGGGTGTTGGGCAAAGGAATCAACAGAGAAAACAACCTAGAAACAAAGGTGGAGGTATCAGAATTGTAAACATTATATATCTGATTACAAAAATTCATTTCAGATAGCAAGCATAAACTATTGCTTAATCCCATTGATAGAGTCAACCTTTAACTGTAAGGTCAGAAAGATTTTGACTGTGATTCTCATCATTATTTTGCAGCCCTCATTTGAATATTCAGATGAGTGAGTCACACACACTATGCTGCACAAACCTTCATCAGTTCATTTCTTGTCCATGTTTAAGGCTAATGTATTAGTATCTAAAGAGACCATGTTGAACAATGTGGCAAAAAGTTCTTGTTACAGGTTATTAATAAGTCCCCTTTTAACTCTACCTAAAGGCATAAACACAATATTAATGCTAAGAAAATGATAATGTGATATGATGTATCACTAATATGATAGAAAATTATATTGTAAATTTTTTATATTATCATTAATAGGATTTAATATAATGAGATTTTCATGGAAGACTAAGCAGTGTCCATAATGCCTCTGGGTAAGAGCAGTGTGGTATTTCATGCTTATAAATAACATTGTAGATACATCGCACATGATTCCTGCATAGGAAAGTTTTAGCCTAAAAAGGAATATTTGTTACCTCGTATTACCATTATCAGAAAATATTGAAGGTGCAGGATATTTAGAGGTTTATATATTTCCATTAGGAGTGTTATTAAGCTGTGCTTCAAATTCAAAATCCTCTGTATGTTTGGAGTAGAAACATGTACTATTATCTCACATTTACCTGTGTACAATTTATGAATACATTTACATGTATTTCACAATTGATGCTTTTTGAAATTTTGAATATTGACTCAATTGGTGAATGCCTTTGAATATGATAATAAGCCAAATTGACTTTAGAGGTAAACTTAAAGTATATAATTAACTTAATAAAATAGTCTTAAAAACGAATAGATAATTTACACTAAGAAACATTAGGTCAGGTACAGTGGCTCATGCCTGTAATCCCAGCACTTTGGGAGGGCAAGGTAGGTGGATCTTCTGATCCACCTGCTAGTTCGAGACTAGTTCGAACTAGTCTGAACCACCAGGCTAGTTCGAGACTAGCCTGGCCAACATGGTGAAACCCTGTCTCTAGTAAAAATACAAAAATTAGACGGGTGTGGTGGCACACGCCTGTAATCCCAGCTCCTCAGGGGGCTGAAGCAGGAAAATTGTTTGAATCCGGGAGGTAGAGGTTGCAGTGAGAGATTGTGCCACAGCACTGCAGCCTGGGTAAAAAAGCGAGACTCCATCTCAAAAAAAAAGAAAGAAAGAAAGAAGAAAAGAAAGAAAGAAAGAAAGAAAGAAAGAAAGAAAGAAAGAAAGAAAGAAAGAAAGAAAGAAAGAAAGAAAGAAAGAAAGAAAGATTATACATGAATGTATTTCATATATTTAATTGATAATTAAATGAATTTATTTAATGATGAATTGACACATTCTCTTTAAAGGTAGCTTGATAACGTTTCTTCTTTCAAAGATTATTTTTACTTTATTTCTTTTAAGTCTAGTGATGGCTCTTAGTTTTCCCCTCAATGAAACCACAGGATTTTCCAAGTTACACCTTTATTTTATGTGCAGTCTTTCATTGTCTTCTTCAAAGACAGCAATATATGTAACCAAATAAAAATCCATTAGTTAGTTTTTAGGACAAGTGACATGACTGCTCCTCTGCACTGTCCATTTAGTTGGAGCTGCAGATATACCACAAAACCTCAAAGGAACATAATCCAAGCTTTTAATTTATAAAAAAAGTAGTCTATGTAAATATAGGTTTTGCAGATTCTGAGAGGCCTCTGACAACTTTTCGCAATCATCTTGATTAAGTTATCAAACCCACTGGACTTTCTTAGGAGCACCAGTACATTTCTTCTGGACCTCTTGAGTTCCCTTCTGATTCCTGAATCCTGTCAGGATTGCTTGGTGTACCCAGTTAAAACCTGCTGTGATTGCTACATGGAAAAATAGCCTGGATTTTATGACACCTGTGAAGCATCATACTACTTTCTGCAATTAGTACAGCTGTTGAATTAACTGAAGAATCAATAGAATAACTCATGTGGACTGCTCTGAATTAAAATTTTGTCTCTCACAGGGGTTCTTCTCTACCAGTGGTGCCTGATTATTTAGTATTGAAGAAGTCACTGTGTTTCACAACAGTTTCATATCCTCAAGGGCAAATATAACTGTGGAATGGTAGAGTTGGGAATAAAAGTGAAATGTACTAACATGTGATTCTCTTCGGTAAGGGCATGCAGAGGCTACCAGTGTTTGAAACACAGAAGTCCCTTTTATTAACCTCTGCTCCAGCTTTTCCCTACAGTCAGACAGCTGTAGACAATTGGAATTTTTGATCCTTAAGAAGAAAGACAGAGAATGTGATTATATATCTGTTTTTATCGATCATTGAGAAATACGGCTCCCTACCCCAGATCCACTCTTCCATTTAAGAATCATAGAGTAAACCTGTACAACTTCGTATTTATATGTAATTTAACCCTAACCTGGAGAGGTTAGCCAGTGAGTGCTTAATCCGACAAGGAGTAATATGTTACATGGCAATGGTTATATAGGAAAAAATAATCACACAGAGATATCAGAGATCAATTTGATAGCCACTTTACCAATTAAAATTTAAATTCGTGAATTCCACTGAAAATCCAAAAGGTATTCCAAGTTTGTCATAAAATTGTTTTACCATCAAAAATTTTGTCATTTTGTTAGCACCAACTAATAATGACAATATGAATAATAGGTAAATAATAATGATGATAAATACTAACATTTCTTGAGGAATTAATATAAGGGAGGTACCATGCTAAGCACTGTACCTGCATTATCACATCTCAACTTCTTTTTAACCCATTTTAACTCCTTTTCTGACATGAGAAGATCAAGTCCTAGCGATACAGGTGGATCAAGACTAAGGTGGTATTTGAAGCCAGATGACCTTACTCTAAAATCCTGGACTTTTAACCATTGTACCACACTGTTTCCCAGTTATTTTCTTATACCCATTATATAATTGATCCAGTTATATACATAAAACTTTTTAAATTGTATTTTTTTGTTATTTTCTTTTTCTTCTTTTAAAAACAAACAAACAAGCAAACAAAAAAAGAGAGAATGGGAACTCTTGAGTTGCTTGGCATGGCATGGCATCTTAGCCCTGCTATACAAAAGGACCGTTTACAGTCACAAAATGTGTGGCCTTTCCAGAATTTCTTCCAAGACAAGGGAGTAATTGACAAAATTCCTGTAAATCTTTTGCTCACTGTAATTTATGACCATTTATCTTCTTTGATGTCCATAGCTCCCTTATATCAAGAATATCAGGCCCCAGAACCTTGCATATTTCCATCTCCAATGTCACAAACATTCACTGGAAAATTTCCTCTAAGATCCATTATTTTTAAAATGTTTTTGAGTTTACATTAACTGCCAAGGCAAAGGGGAAATTATTCTACTATTCCTATATTTGAATATTTTAAGAAATTATTTAAAGAAAGGTATATTTTGTTTCTCCAAATCTTTGGCAACCTTATAAATTGACTCTTGGTGAGTTTAATACACAAAAGCCTCATTTATATTACCTTTCTCAGGCTTGAAATATCCACAATTTTTATGAGAAAAGAGATTAAGATTTGAGGGAAAAAGAGATTATATAATTCCCCACAGGAATTTTCCAGATGGCAAGACATATCACAAGAAAATTCTTTTTTAATATGTATGCCTTCATGCTGTTTCTTAAGTAAATAAAGTAATATTTTTGATAACTGAAAAAAAAAATGGTTTTACCCTTTATGTCTGTCTACATTTGGCTACACTGGGTAGTGGCAGAAGCCAGGAAGCTGAGGTCCTTGGCGAAATTGGCCTACTTCATATCTTGCCTGAGCCATGAACCTGAGTCTGACCCTAGCCTCCTCCATTCTACTAACCCTTCACTTTTTCTGAACTATCCTCATGTTTCTTACACTCCTTACTTTCAAATTCCTAGTAACGAATACATTCTCACCTCTTTCCTTTCCCATAAATTACTCTTTCATGTGATTTTAAGTTAACTTTCCTTTTTCTATTTTTTATTGTTAATTTTTTTCTGGAGAAAGTGTTTCTTCTCTGTATCAAAAGAATATTTAAACATCAGCAAGTAAGCTGTGAATGAGTATTCCATATAAGCAGATACCCATATTTGCTTTCTGATAAGTCAAGTCACACATACTCAAAAACACTTACTGAAAAAATTAAGTGATTTTTAAATGAAATGAAAAATGCAGTTTGGGGTGCTAGAAAGGTAGTTCTAAGACTTACTGGTCCATTTAAAAATCCTGAAGAAATGGAATTTGAACTTGATTTTACAATTGGTTAAAAGGAATGGCTCAGCTTTTATTTTTTTGAAAACATTCAGCTGATACCCTCACCTAATTATCTGTTGGTTGTTATGTAGATTTAATGCAATATCATCATTAAAAGAATGTTAAAACATTTTAAACTCAAAGCTTTATATAATTGTGTTGTTTTAAAATTTTTTCAGGTAAAGAAAATAGTTTCTTATTAAGACATGGTTTTTATATGTACAGATTAAAGGTTATTTTCTAGTCATTTCTTCTGTTTATTATGAAAGTTACAAAAATATGCACAAATTGAGAAGAATATGATCAATCTCCATGTGGTCATAATTCAATGTTTACAATTATCAATTAATGGTCAATTTTCTACATATATAGCTCCCTAAGAAAGATTATGAATGAAAGAACAACCATTGGACCATGATTATCTGTATATATTTCAGTATATAATTCTACAAAATTAGGGCCCTTTTTATAAAAATAACATTTAATCATTATCTCATCTAAGATAAATTAACACTAATTACTTTAATGTCACCAGTTATCTAATTAATGTTCAAATTTTCTCAATTGTATCATAATTTTTATTACAGTTTGTTTGATCAGAATTCAAATAAGGTCCATACACAGCAACAGATTGGTATATCTTAGTCTTATTTAATTGCTAAGTTCTCATTTCATCTATTTTTTATTTCAAGATTTTTGCTCTTATTGTTTAAAAAAAACAAGGTTATTGAATCAATTTCTATACTTTTGATTTTATTTATTTCAGATGTATTTAAAAATACTAGGCAAATAAAGCGTATTTTTGGGAAAGAGCTTAGTACAACACCTGTCACATGGTAACTACTCCATAATCCTTAACTACTCTGTATCCTTGATGACCATTCAAAGTATATCCTGCTGCAGTAATTCTAAACCAAAGGCAGATCCACAGCTGACCATCCCTCTCTGGATAGTGGCATTCATGGCAGTCATAGTGGCCGAATTCACATTTTGAATTGTGTCCCTCCAACAGATATATTGAAGTCCTAACCTCTGGTACCTGTGAATGTGACCTTATTTGGCAATAGTGTCTTCACAGATGTACTCAAGTTACACAAAGTTCATACCTATTTAGATTGAGCCTTAGTCCAAGATGACTGGTGGCCTTATAAGAAGAGAAAAGAGAGGAACAGATTGAGACACACAGGGAGAATGCCACATGATGACAGAGGTAGAAATGAGAGTGATGCATTTACCTGTCAAGGGGTGCCAAGCATTGCCAGCAAAACTAGAAGCTAAGAGAGAGAGCCATAGAATAGACTTTCCCTTAGAGCCTTCAGAAAGCATGCCCTGCCAACAACTCAAGTATTGACTTCTGGCCTCCAGAACTGTGAGAGAATAAATATTGTTTAAGCTACCCTGCTTGTAGTAGTTTTTTTCAGCAGCCTTAGGAAACTAATTCATATTCCATCAGCAACCCATCTTGAGTTAGGAAAGAGTAAAGTCTAATATTGAGAAAATAAAAGAAAGATTAATGTTAGAAAGAAGCTCATATGATGTCTTAAAAAGAAATTGGAGAGATTAATGATGACGGGAAGAAATGGACAACAAAGGGAAGATCGGTACGAAGAGAAGGTTTTGTATAGATGCTCTGTTTAACATCAGAGGATACAAAATAAGAGACATTGGGGAAATGGAAGAAACCATAAGACTCTCTTCATTGTCATTGTTACTACTGCACGAAGGCAGTGACCCAATCCCTGAAATTCAATGGGATTCTGAAATTTCTGCCCATAAGTAAAGTTGAAAACTGCATAGAAATATTTTCTATGGTGCAAGAAGGAGAAAATAACAGAGATTTTGGTAAAGTGTTAAGATATTCCTTTATTTTTCTAGTCTGATGAATGAATTAAGAATTGTACTGGCCTAAAAGCAAATGAAATCTTTATTTGTCTCTCATGGAGAAGACTCTGAAGGTGAACAGAACAGGGCTGATATGGGCAACTATAATCATCAGAGAGCCAGCCTACTCTTGTCCTTTTTTCACCTTTCTAACTTGTGGTTATAACTTCGTATCATCTTAAGGACCATAAAGGTTGAAGCATCAGCCATTACATTACAGGTCCAAGCCTAAAGGAGGAAATAAGTGGACCGGTCAAAAAGTACTTTCTGCCTGAGATATCAATTTTAAGTAGTCCTCACAAAGGCTTGCATTTTAAAATACATCTCATTGGCCAACATTAGTCACTTGGTTACATTTAGCTAAGAGCTCATACAATTCGGACAAAAATCATCCAGGATTTTTTGACTGATGTAGTATCATATAGAATAAATTTACTTCTGAAGGTGAATGTTTGTAACTAAGCTGAATTACTCCACATCAGGCTTACAATCCAGCCATCAAGAAAATGTTTAAAGCTTGCCTGGGACCAACCGGGTGAATTTGACTCAGTCAATTCTTTGTTCCAAGTGTTACTTGAAATATCTATACTCGCCTCAGCCGCCATTTTGCATTAGCTAAAATCAGTTTGTTTAGCACTTTTAAAAACACCCTTTTTTCTTCTCTCCACTTTCCCCCATCCCCTCCGCTTTGGATAGGGGACTCTTTTGAAGATTCATTTTTCCTTGTCTAGGACACGGATTCACCGAATTTATAGTAAAAATTCTATAAATATTTGCTTAGTTAATTAATCATTTTAAAGAAAATCTAAATATGCTCACATTCAAACAGGAGCATAGATTATATATTTTTAGTTACAAAAATTGTGATATGAAGATGACAATTACTCCTTATGGTGATATATATATAACTGATGTACTTAGTATCAAATTCTCAAAAATGAAGCTTTCTTTGCTAATTTGACTATAAAACAAAAATGGATTTATTTACCCCACTCTCAGAGCAGCACACTATAAATTATACCTAGGTAGTCCCTTAAGGATTACACACAATCTCCTGACAATATAAATGCCTTATAAGTAAGTAGCAGCTTCCTTCATCAAAGTTCAGAATAATTATAAAAGTGAAAGGAAAATATAAAAGGGAATAGTACTTTACAAACACATTTATGAGACAAAAATGGAGAAAGAGAATTTCTCCCTACTCCTTATAAATTCATCTCAAAGCCTTATACTAATTAATAAATCAAAAGTTTTTATGCTATTATGGTATTTTCTTCACTTCCTTCACTAATTAATCAGTTTAAAAAAGTGTCCATCAAGCTATTATGCTATATTCTTCACTTGTCTAGGAAGTTCTAGTTATAGTCCATTTCCCAAATAGAGATTCCTCATTCTAGAAGCGTCAGCTAACATTATAGCAGAAAGAGGTTTTATTGCTAAACTGTTTGGTTTACTAACACTTTGAATATGAACTAACATTAACATGTTGAATAATAAAAATGAGATATTATATTAACTTAAAAATACTTGAGCTATGTGCTTTGGATAACATATTTTCAAGCTGCTGCTCAAATTTATATAAATAAGATGTAAATTAGGAGTCCATCCAGGCCTAGAGACTTTACCCCTTGAGATCACTATAGACAATGTTTGTGTCATCCCAAAGTTTATATGTTGAAACTTCATCCCCAAGGTGATGGTATTTGAAGAAGTAGTTTTTTTTAGTTAATTAGGTCATAAAGGTGGGAGCCCTCACTGATGAGATTAGTGCTCTTATAATACAGGCCACAGAGAACTCCTTGGCTTCTTCTGCCATGTGAGGTCATAGTAAAAAGATGGTGATCTATGAACCAGGATGCTGGCCCTAACCAGACATGAAATTTGCCTGCACCTTGATCTTGGACTTCCCAGACTCCAGAACTGTGAGAAATAAATTTCTGTTATTCATAAGCTACCAAGTTTATGGCATTTTATTGTATCAGCTAAAATAGGGTAATACAGGCATGGTGGCCAAAGGATTTCTGCTAGTCTTACTTTCAAACATCAGATTGGAGGATTCCTGGTTACTTTATGCTGACTATAAGGGTAACCTAAGTGGACTTCTATGATATTACCATATCTGACGAAATTGAACACCTTATGCGAGGTATTGTCAGAACACATGCAATTCCAAAGCAATAGACTTCATCAAGATTAAATAAATTGTATAGGCCCTTATAAATAGTTTTTTTTAATATATGATTACTAAATGACGGTATGTGTAGTAGAATTAAGTCTGATATTTACTTTCACTGATAGTGAAAGGGGGCATGAGGCCCCCTTTCTAGGCCCTAGCTCTCAGGTGACATTTCTAGACATACCCTGGCCTAGAAGAGAACCTGTTACCTTGAAGGAAAGGACTCAGTCCTGGCAGGACCTATCACCTGCTGACTAAAGAATCGTTGGGCCAGCCAAGCGCGGTGGCTCATGCCTGTAATCCCAGCACTTTGGGAGGCCAAGGCTGGGATCCCTCGTGGATCATGAGGTCAGGAGATTGAGACCATCCTGGCCAATACGGTGAAACCTCTTCTCTACTAAAAATATAAAAAATTAGCCGGGCGTGGTGGCGGGCGCATGTAGTCCCAGCTACTCTGGAGGCTGAGGCAGGAGAATGGCGTGAACCTGGGAGGCGGAGCTTGCAGTGAGCCGAGATGGGGCCACTGCACTCCAGCCTGGGCGACAGAGCAAGACTCTGTCTCAAAAAAAAAAAAAAAAAAAAAAAAAAAGAATCGTTGGGCCCCGAATAAGCAGCAGCAATACCAACGTAATAATGCCATGGCTGAGACTGAGACTTGCTGGCTTCAGATGAAACACGGTACATTCCCAACTCTAGTGACTATGGTGAAAGACACTTGCTTATGAAAAGCAGAGGGAAAAGTAAAGGGGCCTGTGTCTTGCATCTTAGGTACCAACTCGGTCACAGGAGTGTAGAGTACCAAGCAGACGCTTGGGGCTCCCAATTCCAAGCTTTGGCTCTGCAGTGGCATTCCTGGATCTTTCCTGGGTCAAAGGAGAATGCACTACCCTGAAGGGTGAGACCCAGGCTAGGCAACATTCACCAAAAACTGAGTGAAGAGCCTGTAGACCTGAAGGGAACATCAGTAGTACCTGAGCATTACTATCTATGGGCCTGTGATGGTGGTGAAAGCAGAGTGAGGATCCTCTGCCTGTGAAAAGGGGAGAGAAGAATGTGAAGAATTGTATCTTGTGGTTTGAGTGCCTGCCCAGACATATGACAATAGAACAGCAGGTATACTTCTAAGATTTCTGATGCCAGGCCTGATGCCATACCTCTGGACCCACCCACAGCCTGGGGGGACCTCGCCACCCTGAAGGGAAGGACACAGGCATGGCTGGCTTTGTCACCTGCTGATTGTAGAGCCCCAGAGCCTTCAGCGAACATAGGCAGTATCCACATAGTGGTTACCACAGGCCTTGAGCATGACCCAGTGCTGTGCTGGCTTCAGATCCGACCCAGTGCAGTCCTGGTGGTGGTGGCCACAGGGGTGCATGTTTCACCCAAACCGCAGCTCCAGGTAGCTCAGTAAAGAAAGACATAGACTCCATTTGCTTGGGATAAAGTAAGGGAAGAGAACAAGAGTTTCTTCCTGGTAATCCAGAGAATTCTCTCAGCTCTTGTTTGAGACCATCATGGTGGTACCTCTATGTTTCTGCAAGAAACCACAGCATTACTGGGCTTGGGGTGTCCTCTAATGTAGACACAGCTTAGATCACAATACTCATGTTTTTTCAAATACCTGGAAAACTTTCAGAAGAAAGACGAAATAAACATGCCCAGATTGTGAAGACTACAATACCTGACCCTTTAATGCCCAGGCACAGATGAACATCCACAAGCATCAAGATCCTCCAGGAAAATATGACCTCACCAAATGAACTAAATAAGGCACCAGGGCCCAAGCCTGGAGAAACAGAGATAAGTGACTTTTCAGACACACAATTCAAAACTGCTGTTTTGAGGAAACTCAAAAAAATTCAAGATAACACAGAGAAGGAATTCAAAATTCTATCAGACAATTTAACAAAGAGGTTGAAATAATTTAAAAGAATCAAGCAGAAATTTTGGAGTTGAGAAATGCAGTTGATATACTGAAGAATGCATCAGAGTCTTTTAATGATGGAATTAATGGTGCTGAAGATTAGTCAATTTGAAGACAGGCTCTTTAAAAATACACAGTCAGAGCAGATAAAAGAAAATAGAATAAAAAACAATCAAACACACCTACAGGATTAAGAAAATAGCTGCAAAAGAACACACCTAAGAATTATTGGCCTTAAAGAGAAGGTAGAGAAAGAGATAGGGGTAGAAAATTTATTCAAAGGAATAATAACAGAGAACTTCCCAAACCTAGAGAAAGATAACAATATCTAAGTACCAGGTTATAGAACTCCAAGAAGATTTAACCCAAATAAGACTACCTCAAGGCATTTAATATTCAGACTCCCATAGGTCAAGGATAAAGAAAGGAGTATAAAAGCAGAAAGAGAAAAGAAACATACAGTATAGCTCTCATACGTCTGGCAGCAGACTTTTTTGTGGAAAACTTACAGGCCAGGAGAGAGTGGCATGACATATTTAAAGAGTTCAAGGAAAAAATATTTTACCCTAGAATAGTATGTCTGGTGAAAATATCTTTCAAACATGAAGGGGAAATAAAGACTTTCTCAGACAAACAAAAGCTGAGAGATTTCATCAACACCAGATATGTTCTACAAAAAATGCTAAAGGACGTACTTAAATCAGAAAGAAAATGGCATTAATAAGCAATAACAAATTATCTAGAGGTACAAAACTCACTATTAGTAATAAGAACACAGAAAAACAAAGAATACTATAACACTGTTATAATACTGTAACTGTGGTGTGTAACCTACTCTTGTCTTAAGCAGAAATAGTAAATGATAATCTAATCCAAAATAATAACTACAACATTTTGAGACATAGGCAGTACACAAAGATATAAATAGAAACAATAAAAAGTTAAAAAGCAGGGAGACATCAGGCTGGGCACGGTGGCTCATGCCTTCAATCCTAGCACTGTGGGAGATCAAAGTGAGGGCATCACTTGAGGTCAGGAGTTTGAGACCAGCCTGGCCAACATTGGGAACCTCCATCTGTACTCAAAAAAATAAGTAAATAAATAAATAAATAAATAACAATTGAAAAAAAAAGCAAGGCGACAAAATTAAGGTGTAGAGTTATTAGTTTTCTTTTTGCTTGTTAGTTTGCTTATCTATTTATGCAAAGAGTGTTAAATTGTTATCAGCTTAAAATAAACAGTTATAAGACAATTGCAAGCCTTCTGATAATCTCAAATCAAAAATCATACAACAGATACACAAAAAAATAAAGAACAAGAAAGTTAATGATACGACTAAAGAAAATTACTTTCACTAAAAAAAAGACAGGCAGAAAGGAAAGAAGGAAGATAACACTACAAACAACCAC
Source organism: Homo sapiens (assembly GCF_000001405.40). Lineage (NCBI taxonomy): Eukaryota > Metazoa > Chordata > Mammalia > Primates > Hominidae > Homo > Homo sapiens. The sequence goes on along the minus strand of NC_000006.12, from coordinate 140,552,364 downwards.
AAAACAAATAACCAAGTGGCAGGAGTAAGTCTTTACTTATCAATAACAATGTGGAATGCAAATAGACTAAACTCTGCAATCAAATACATAGAGTGGCTGAATGGATTAAAAAAAAAAGATCCAATAATCTGTTGCCTATAAGAAACACACTTCACCTGTAAAGACACACACGAACTGAAAATAAAGGGATAGAGAAAAGATATTTCATGCCAATGGAAACCAAAAAAGAGCAAGAGTCACAAACATTAGACAAAATAGACTGCAAGGCAAAAACTATCAAGAGTCGAGGAAGGTCACTATATAATGATAAAGGGGTCAGTTCAGCAAGAGGATATAATAATGGTAAGTATATATTCACCCAACACTGAACACCCAGATATATAAATAAAATATTATTAGGACTAAAAAGAGAGACAGACCCCAATACAATAATAGCTGGAGACATGAACATCCCACTTTCAACACTGGATAGATCATCTGGACAGAAAATCAACAAAGAAAGATTGGACTTAATCTGCACTATAGACCAAATGGACCTAATACATATTTATAGAACATATCATTCAACAGCTGCAGAATACACATTCTTTTTCTCAGCACATGGATCATTCTCAAGAATAGACTATGTCTTAGGTCAAGAAACAAGTCTTAAAACATTCAAAAACTGAAATAATATCATATCAACCATCTTCTCTGACCACAATGAATAAAAACCTAGATATCAGTAACAAGAGAAATTTTGAAAACTATACCAATACATCGAAATTAAACAATATGCTCCTGAATGACCCATAGGTCAATGAAGAAATTAAGAAGGAAATTGAAAAATTTCTTAAAACTAATAACAATGGAAGTTTTTTTTTTTTTTTTTTTTTTTTTTTTTGACGGAGTCTTGCTCTCGCTCTGTTGCCCAGGCTGGAGTGCAGTGGCGCAATCTTGGTTCACTGCAAGCTCCTCCTGGGTTCACACCATTCTCCTGCCTCAGCCTCCCAAGTAGCTGGGACTACAGGCACCCGCCACAATGCCTGGCTAATTTTTTTGTATTTTTAGTAGAGACAGGGTTTCACCATGTTAGCCAGGATGGTCTTGATCTCCTGACCTCGTGATCCGCCCATCTCGGCCTCCCAAAGTGCTAGGGTTACAGGCGTGAGCCAGAAAGTTTACAGCTGTAAGTGCCTACATCAAAAAGGAAGAAAAACTTCAAACGAACAACCCAACAATGTAACTTAAAGAATTAGAAAAGCAAGAGCAAACCAAACCCAAAATTAGTCGAAGAAAAGTAATAATAAAAATCAGAAGAGAAATAAATGAATTTGAAATGAAGAAAGCAATGTAAAAGATTAATGAAATAAAAAGTTGTTTTTCTGGAAAGATAAACAAAATTGGCAAGCCTCTATCCAGACTGAGAAAGAGGACCCAAATAAATAAAATAAGAGACCAAAAAAAGATATAATTGATGCCACAGAAATTCAAATGATAACTAATGGCTACTATGAGCAACTATATGCCAATAGATTTGAAAATATAAAATGAAATTGATACATTCCTAGATACATACAACCTACCAAGATTGAACCATGAAGAAATCCAAAGTCTGAACTGACTAATGACAAGTAACAAGATCAAAGTTGTAATAAAAAATGCCCCAGGACACAATGGCTTCACTGCTGAATTCTATCAAACATTTAAAGAACTAATACCAATGCTGCCCAAACTATTCTGAAGAATAGAGGAGGAAGGAATACTTCCAAACTCATTCTATAAGGTCAGTATTACCCTTATGGGAAAATTAGACAAAAAGCAATCCTAAAATTTATATGAAACCACAAAGACCCAGAATAGCCAAAGCTATCCTGAGCAAAAACAAAAACAAAAACAACTGGAGGAATCACATTACCTGATTTTAAATTATGCTACAGAACTGTAGTAACCCAAATGGCATGGTACGGGCATGAAAAAGACACACAGATCAATGAAACAGAATAGAGATTCCAGAGATAAATCTATTCATCTACAGTGAACACATTTTTGACAAAGGTGCCATGAACATATATTGGGGAAAGGATCATCTCTTCAATAAGTAATGTTGGGGAAATTGAATATCCATACGCAGAAGAATGAAGCTAGACCCTTATCTCTCACCATATACAAAAATCAAATCAAAATGGACTGAAGACTTATGTCTGAGACCTCATACTATAAAACTACTAAAGGAAAACATTGGGGAAAGCTTCTAGGACGTTGAACTGGGCAAAGATTTTTTTGAGTAATACCTTACAAGCATAAGCAACCAAAGAAAAGATGGACAAATAGGATTACGTTGATTTAAAAATCTTCAGCACTGCAAAGGAAACAATCAACAAAGTGAAGAGACAACATACAGAATGGAAGAACATATTTGAAAACTACCCATCTGACAAGGGATTAATAACCAGAATACATAATGAACTCAAACGGCACTATAGGAAAACATACAATAATTGAATTAAAAATGGGCAAAAAGCCTGAATACATATTTCTCAAAATAATATAGATAAATGGCAAACAAATATATAGAAAGGTGCTCAACATCATTGATCATCAGAGAAATGCAAATCAAAACTACAATGAGATATCATCTCACCTTATTTAGTATGACTTTTATCCAAAAGTCAGGCAATAACAAATGCTGGCAAGGATATGGAGAGAGGGGAACCCCTGTACACTGTTGGTGGGAATGAAACTTAGTACAACCACTATGGAGAAGAGTTTGGGGTTCCTCAAAAAAAATAAAAATACAGCTACCATACAATGCAGCAATCTCACTCCTAGGTATATACCCAAAAGAAAGGAAATCAGTATATTGAAGAGATACATGCACTCCTATGTTTGTTACAGCACTATTTACAATATGCAAGATTTGGAGGCAATCTAAGTGTCCATCAACTGATGAATGGATAAAGAAAATGTGGTACATATACACAATAAAGTACCATCCAGCCATAAAAATAAGAATGAGATCTTGTCATCTGCAACAACACGGGTGGAACTCAAGGTCATTGGGTTAAGTGAAATAAGCCAGGAACACAAAGAAAATTCACATGGTCTTACTTATTTGCAGGAGCTAAAAATGAAAACAATTGAACTCATGGAGACAGTTAGAGAGCAGAAGGATGGTTACCAGAGGGAATGGGGGAGAAGTGGGAATGGTTAATAGGTACAAAATATAGAAAGAATGAATAAGACCTGCTAGCACAACAGTAGGACTATAGTCAAAAATAATTTAAATGTACATTTTAAAATAACTGAAAGAGTATAATTGGATTGTTTGTAACACAAAGGATAAGTGCTTGAGGTAATGGATACCCCATTTACCCTGATGTGATTAGTACACATTGCATGCCTAGATCCAAATATTGCATGTAACCCACAAATATTTACTCCAACTATATACCCATAAAGAATCAACAGAAAAAAAGAAAAGAAGCAAAGGGAATCTATTGCCATCACATTAACAGTACAAAAAATATTTAAGGAAGTCATTCTGGAACAAGAAAAATAATATCAAATTGAAATATATATTTATAAGAATGAATAAGGAGCACTGGAAATGGCTAACATAAGAATAAAAGTAAATTTTGTTTTCTTTCTTTTTAATAACTTCTCAGGCTACAGAAACAAGTTACACAAACTTGGTGACTCAAAACAACAGAAATTTGTTTTTCACATATCTGGAGATTACAAGTCTGAGATAAAAGTGTTGGCTGAGCCACGCTCTCTCTAAAGTCCCTAGAGGATTATCCTTCCTGGCCTCTTCTGGGTTCTAATAGCTCCTGGCAATCCTTGGTGTTTCTTGGCTTGTATACACATCACTCCAGTCTGTACTTTCATCTTCACATGGAATGTCTCCCATGTGTCTGTGTTCAAATTCCCTTCTTCTTGTAAGGAACCCTTCTATCCTAATCCAATATAAACATAATCTTGATTATATATGCAAAGACCCTATTTCCAAATAAGGTTATATTCACAGGTCTGCATGTTAGCACTTCAACATATCTTTTTAGGAGGACACAGTTTAACCCAAAATTGCCAGCTATCTGCCCCTCCACCATATTCATGTGCTTCTCACATGCAAAATACATTCGCCCCCTCCCAATATCCCCAAAAGTGTTAATCCATTTCAGCATCAACTATAAATCCAAGATGATATCTAAATAGAATTAATTCAAAAAGTGCTGAAATTCATGTTCTGGATCATTGAAATCAGCTACAGGGGAGACCCTGTATACGGTCCACTTTGGGACAAAATTCTTCTCTATCTGTGGATGGGTGAAACCTAGAAAACAGTCTATCCGCTTCAAAAATGCAATGGTGGGACAAGTATAGAATAGACATTCCCATTCCAAAAGTGTTAAATTATAAGAAAATAAAGAGTCACAAACAAGTCTGAAATCCAGAAAAGTACATTCTATTAGATTTCAAGGCCTGAGACTAATCCCTGTAGCTAGATGTTCCTGAGCCAAACAGGAAGGTGGCCCCACCTCCTCATCCTATGAGGCCAAGGGTTCCACCCCCTTAGCCATGAGAGCAAGGGTCCCATCAACCTATCTTTCAGACCAAAAACTGGATAGAAGGGGATGAGTAACTACTAATGGTTACAGAGTTTGTTTTTGGAGTGATAAAATTTTCTGGAACTAGATAATGGTGCCGGTAGTACAACCTTGTAAATCGAATTGTAACACATTAAAACTGGGATTTTCATGGTATGTGAATTATATCTCAAATAAGAAAAGAGCTGGAAAACTCATGCTGCACTATTTTAAGGCTTAGTTTAAAACTACATTAATTAAAACAGTGTGGTATTTGTATAACAATAAACATATAGAGCAATGAAAGAAGAATATTTCTAGAATGACACGCACATATACATGATTGGGTGATTTTTAACAAAGTTGCTAAGGTAATTTAATGGGAAAATATAATAATTTCAACAAATATTGCTAAAATATTTGGATATCCATAATCAATAACAAATAAATAAGAAGTAAATATAAATAATAAGCCTACCTTAATTTTATAATACATTATATAAAAATTTAATTAAAATTGATTCAAGGTCACAGTGAAAATCCTAAAATTATAAAGATTTTAGTAGCAGACATAGAAGAAAATATTTGACAACATTTTAGATAGACAGAAAAAACATGAAAGACAAATTTTGATAATTTTGACTTCATCAAAATTAAAATCTTATCTTTTAAGGACACTGTAAAGGAAATGAAAACAACTGACAACTTGGAAATACCTTCAAAAAAGATGTGTGATCAATGATTTAACAGAAAATATAAAAAGAACTCTTACAACTCAATAGTAAGAAGACAAACAGCATGATAAAAAATGAGTGAAATGTTTTCATTTCAGACACCTCACAAAAGAATAAACACGACTGGCAAATAAGCACACAAGAATGTCCAACATTATTAGTCATTGGGGAAATTTAAATTTAAGCCACAAGAAGACACCAGAAACAAATCTAATAGAATGGCTAAAATTAAACAAACAAAGCACATAAAATGCAAATTGCTGGTAAAGATGGAAAATAATTAGTACACTCATGTCTTGCTGGTGAGTACGCTAAAGGGTGCGACAAGTTTGCAAGTAGTGTTGTGGTTTCTTATAAAGTTAACTGTATACTTCCCATATGACTAAGCTGTCCAACCCAAGAAGATTTATTTTATTTTATTTTTTTTGAGATGGAGCTTTGCTCTTGCTGCCCAGGCTGGAGTGCAATGGCACGATCTTGGCTCACTGCAACCTCCGCCTCCCGTGTTCAAGCAATTCTCCTGCCTCAGCCTCCCCAGTAGCTGGAATTACAGGCATGAACCATCACACCTGGCTAATTTTGTATTTTTAGTAGAGACGGAGGAGTTTCTCCGTGTTGGTCAGGCTGGTCTCGAACGTCCGACCTCAGGTGATCCGCCCACCTCAGCCTCCCAAAGTGCTGGGATTACAGGCATGAGCCGCCGCACCTGGACATCCAAGAAGATTTTTAAAAATTAAAATGCTCACATAAAGACCTATATCCGAATATTTATAAGGTTTATTTTAGAATAGCTAAAAAATAGGAAAATCTAAATGTCCACTGATGAATGAACGGATAAAAAAATTATGGTACATCCATACAATGACATACTGCTCAGCAATAAAACAAAATGATGTACTGATACATGCAACTATATGGATGAATCTCAAAATAATTATGCTTATTAGTGAAAAAAGCCAGACTTAAGTGACCATATATGTAGAATTTTATTTTCATGATATTCTGGCAAAGAGAAAATCACAGGACATAAAACAAAGCAGTGGTTATGAGGCACTGGCATTACAGGGAGGGCTGACAACTGACAGGCTCAGGGGACTACGTTGGAGTGATTAAACTATTGTATATCCTAATTGTAGTGCTGATTGCATTGTGTATAGGTAAAAAGAGTGAATTTTATTCTATTTAAATTATATATCATAAATATGCCATGCATTGGATTGTGTTCCTCCAAAATTTACCTGTTGAAGTCCTAACACCCATACCTCAGAATGTGACCTTATCTGAAGATAGAGTTTTTGCAGAGGTCATTAAGATCAAATGAGGTCTTTAAGGTGGGTCTTAATCCTACATGACTAGGGTTCTTACAATAAGGGGAATTTTGTACACAAAGACATGCATAAAAGGAAGATGCCATAGGGAGAAGATGGCCATTGACAAGCCAAGGACAGAAATCTGGAACAGATCCTTTGTTCAAAGGCCTCAGAAAGATCCACCCTGCCCACACCTTGATTTTGGACTTGTTGCCTTCAGATTGTAAGACAATAAATTTCTGTTAAGTCACTCGTTTGTGGTACTTTGCTACAGAAACCCTAGCAAACTAATATACCTGAACTCTAAAAATACCTTTTTATTTGAAAATTAAAATAATGACCATCATAATAGTCATTGCAATGAAAGCAATGAACTTAATATTGCAGTGTTTGTGTATACACACCATGAAAGAAAAGCTATCTCCTTTATTAGTTTTAATACATTTGAGTAGATTGTCTCTGTAGCATCATAAAAATGTCCTGTAATAAGATGGTCTTCAGGTGTGCCTTTGTTGTTTTGTCCAAATCTCTGCATTTCTGCATTACTTAAATGTTAAGATATTGCTTTAATTGTTACTGCTCTGAATGTATTATGCAAGTATCCAGATGTGTCTCATTTTACATCTTTTTTATAAAGAGATCCACTCTACCACATGCTTAGTGTTCCACAAATATTGCCAAACCCTCCTAAAAGAAAGATTCTGGAAGTGCGTAGGAAGAAGATTGTGATAGCAAGGGTCATGGTTTCCTTTCCCTGTACGTAAGTGCAAATTAGGCTCTTTAGAGAAGCAGTTTCCTAAAGAAATGTTCTCCTCAAACGTACTGTATGTATGAACTTTAAATGAGAAGATGGCATGCCACATTTCTCACTTGGGAATCGGCTATTGCACATGGCGGTGACTCTCAAAAAAAACGTTGATTATTTGATGAGGTAAAATATGTGTTGCACAAATATGGAAGTAAAATCTCATGGTAATTTAAAAAACACTAAATCATACCCAAGTTTTGGTATAGCTATATCACTACAAAAGTCTGTTAGGGTGCACTCAGAGAAAAAAAAAGTTTCTAACTCTTGAATCAGACAAGTTCAAGCGCATCAGTCATGAATCTCCATCTTGGAGCCAGGCCCGGGGAGGAGGTCACTGAATAGCTGAACATAATTATCCATCAACATAACAACCTTTAAATGAATTTCTGCAGGCATGTTAAGGAAGTTTCTTGCATGTCCAGTGCTTATAATCATTATAATTGCACGAGAGGACTTTTTTTTTTACTAATGTAACCCTATTTAATACAATCCTTTACATCACTGTTGCCCTCTGTAATCTCCTTAATGAATGAATATTTAATTATATTACTCCTTTATCAATTTTATATTGAGTACATCTGGAGGTCATGTGCTAGAACCCTTAATGTATAATTTCATTTTTGAAAACATATTAAAATAAATAATTTAAATGAAGCTGATTTTCATATATTCTAATATAATTTCATAAATAATTATAGACAGAAACTTGTATGGCTTAGCAGATTGGTAATGCAATGTAGAGTCTTCTTTTAGCTCACATGTTCAAAACCAACTTCAGATTATAAATCAAGAAAAAGTTATAGAAATTAAACCTCATGTTGTGAGCTAGTTTTATTTGCATGTATCTACTAAAAACATTAAAGTATGAAGAAATGCAAATCTTTTTCAAGTCTTAGAAAAATTTCCCAAAAGGTAGAACTATAATCTGAAATCCCTGGAGAAAGAGAGAGAAGTGGGTAGGAGAAAGAGAGACAGACAGAACAGGTATTTATATATAATGGTAATTCATATCTACTTCCATATAGTAATACTCATGTATTAGTAAACTTGTACACATTTCCCTTGCAGACATTAAAGATATAAAATAGAAATAAAAATCACCTTAGTGGTTTAGAAAAATACATCTTTCTCAATGTTATTTAACATCCCTCCTGGTGGGTCTTTTTTGTACACACCAAATGTGCTTCCCTACAAATTTCTGTAAACCCCAGATGCCACTCCTATTTGTATATAGTATGAATTTGTAGTGGTGACCAGATACTTGTTTTCTTCTTCAGGAACTTTTTAAAAATAAAAGTGAGATATCAATCAAAAGGTATATATTATTCTTCCTTTCATTTTCAGGAAAATCTGCTTCTGAATTACCCTTGGCTATTTAAAGAATGGATGCTCACCATATGCTTACACTGGACCTCTGTATATCTTTCCCTTATGGATAATCTAGAAAAATTAGGAAAAGATCTAAGTTAAAGCATTGGAGCAGCCAAAGTCTACAATCCAGAAATCTGAAGTTAGATTCCCAGAGGTAGGTTTATCACATGAGGGTCACAGAAAACTGTTGAGTGCTAAAATGGTAGCTATATGACGGAGTGAAATAGTGCAAATAATCCTATCAAATGTGGAAAGAAGAAAGGCTAGAAGGAGACAATGTAGAGGGCTTGAATCAATATTAATACCTGGGAATGACAGCAGCAGACGAGCTATTTAGTGTGAAACGATTAAGGTTGACATGGCTCAGTTTGAACAATGTGTTGCACTGGTCATAAAGCTAAGAGACAGATCTGCAAACAATGACAAGCCCTGTGTACAGTAACCACCATCATTATTGACTGAGTGATCAGAAGGTTTAATTGGTGACTGAGGAATCACTAATTGGGCATTAATCTCTCAATCAGTCATGTTTGCTTATAGAAATGACTCTTTGGTAAGTTTCATTTTCTTTCTTTTCTCACACAGCCAGGGAAGCTTTGACTTGTACATTAGAAGACAAGTTTACTTTAGTAGTTGATCTGGCTTTCGAAAGGACAAAGCCACTGATTCCACAATTAGAAAGGAGTAAAATGTCAAGAACCCTGGTAAAGTAATACCTTTCTTTAAACGGACAGTGAGAAATGAACAAGTGAGACTGAACCCTTTACTGAGAGCAAATTTAATTGGCAGGGGTCAGGGAATTTCACAATGATATAGAGTTCCTGAAGGATGCAAAAAAAAAAAAAAAGTATTCTGAAGAGGAGGAAAAAACTGCCTAAAGTAGGTCTGGTGATGTCAATGTCAATCTTCTCCTTCACAATCTTGCCTGGGGCTGGTTCTGCCAGGACTAAAGAGACAATGACATCTGTACGGTATATTCATAGTACTGTAGCATTTTATTGTACACCTTGGTAAAAATAAAGAAATTTTTGGCTTCTTTCTTAAGAAAAAGATGAGGGAGAAACTAAATTATGTGTTTGTTGTTCTAAAATGCATATTGCTCTACATTCAGTAAATGCAAAATAAGTGCTCATTAAGTGAAATCTATACTAAAATTTTTAAACAATTCTCAAAAGTGGAAAAATTAATTTGCTTACAGACCCAGTAGTTGAAGTTCCAATAGTTCTTAAATAGCCTAAAATAGTTTTGCTCTTAATAACAGAGCTCTGGGTTTACGAAATATGTTTATTTGCTAGGGAAAAGTTTTCAATACCTATGTTTCAGGAAGGGTGTATTGGTTTTATATGTATCTTTACATTTTTCTCTTTAGGATATATTTCCAAAACACGATTTATATTGTGAACTGCATCATGTATGAACTGTTTCTAGACTACTTGAAAATGTACCAAAATAAAACATTCTAATCTGTACAAAATCAATGTCTTGAAACTGAATCCATTTCTAAAATATTACACACGTGACTGGTAAACATGATTATGAATATCATCATATTTTCCAGGTTAATCTGAATTAGCTGCAAAGATAATAATAGATTCAACCTTGGAAAACTATGCAGATTCCAGTTTAAAGTGCTGTGCTACTTAACAAAGATGTACAGTTCTTTATATACCATCTATGCTAAAAATCGCAGGTATTGAAAACTTTTTCCCATCAAGTAATATACATTCTAAAATGCATATTGCTGTATGTTCAGTAAGTGCAAAATAAACTCTCATTAGCTGAAATCTATTCCAGTTTTTTAAACTAATTCTTAAATGTGGAAAATGTAAAAAATGTGTTCTATCATCAAATATTATTTTTCATTATGTATTTCAACACATAATTAAGTTAGCTATTGTTTCACTTGTATTGAAAACCTAGAATCTGAAACCAGCGACTTGTATACAGAGTTATTTCTCAGGCTTTTGTGTCTTCGGTGATCCCGGCTTTTAAGTCATTCACTTTCAATTTCTGTAAAGCTGTTCACAAAAGCTTTACTGGGAGTTTGTTTGTTGCTAAGCTTCATCCATGTTACGGTGCATTATTAAAGTTCATTTATTTTGCCTACTATAGAACATGCCAACGTGAGAATGACACACGGTTTATTCATCTAGTTTGCCACAGGGGGTGTTCAAATTATTTCCAGGTGTCTGATGTTATGATATTCTCATGCAGGTCTCTGGTGGTACCATGTTTTAAGAGTTTCTCTTGGGTGCATATCTCAGCGTAGAATTCTGGGATATAGAGCATATATATGCTCAACTTTAGAAGGAAATAGGCAACAGCAACTTTCTTCATAGCTTCTTTCACCAAGTTAAACCTCCACTTTTTCAAGACTAATCAAGTCACTACTAATTAAACCTATTATTCTTTTCACTGTTAGGCACTTTGCTTAACCCAATAATCTCAGAATTGTTAGGGAACACAAAAATACTGTAACATCTGTGACAATGCAGTTTTCCTAATAAAATATTTTTATTTTTTCATGTGCTTTAAACTGTTTGTTTTGTCAAAGCAGAGAGTTTCCTGACTTAGATGTTGTTAGGGACTTGTCTGAAATTGTGACTTCAGAATTAATTCCTGTTCTCACTAGTATCCCGGTTAGTCAAATCAGACACTTTGTATGAGAAAAAGTTTCACTTCATTTTTTTCAAATCAAAAGCACTTGTTAATATGCACTTGAGGAATATAAAAAACAAAAATGCCTTCTAGAACATATGTAGTAAAATAAATTATTAAAATTAGTTCAATAAAATTAAAATGATGTGAACTTAAAATAATTAATTTTAAGTTGGGTAAATTTCATGTAATACCTCATTATTTAATATGGAATAATTTAATGAAGCAAAAAGCAAAAATTATAGACTAAGAATATAAGCACATGATAATATATTAATCTTTCAGAAAATATCTTCATGCATGTGTTCAACTCTGACATTCAGTTTCTGGAAAAAATTAAATAAGAATACCCCCCTTACTTTAATTAGACATAATGATTTTAAAAATTGTATATTTACAGGAAGGAATGGGACATGCTACTATAAAATAATTAATCCAACATTTACCATTAAAATTTCATTTGTTGATAGGAAGTAGAATATATTTCAACACATAATTATAATGAGGTAAGATGATTTTCTATAATTAAATACTTCAAGTAGCATTTGACAAAGTAAGACTTATCTACAATGTCAAATAAAGGCATATCGCACCTAAAATAAATAATTGTTCATCTGCAACTTTTGTACATCATAATTCAAAAAATTTGATGTACTAAATAGACTCTAGTTACTATTTAAAAAGTTAGAGTAAGTAATCTGTGTTATGCTGGAAATTTGTAGATTCTTTTGTTTCCTCCTAATGATGGATTTAAGGAAAAGGAATTGAAAATAACATTTAAAATTGCTTACATTAAATATGTGAATAAAAGCCATTTTAAAAAGTTTATTATTTCTGACAGCTCATTGCGTTACTCTAACTATACTTTTTTTTTTTTTTTTTTTTTTTAATTGAGACAGAGTCTCTCTTCATTGCCCAGGCTAGAGTGCAGTGGTGCGATCTTGGCTCACTTTAACCTCTGCCTCCAGGGTTCAAGTGATTCTCCCACCTCAGCTTCCTGAGTAGCTGGGATCACAGACACATGCCACATGCCCGGATAATTTTTTTTAGTGGAGACAGGGTTTCGCCATGTTGGCCAGGATGGTCTCGAACTCCTGGCCTCAAGTGATCCGCCTGCCTAGGCCTCCCAAAGTGCTGGGATTACAGGCATGAGCCACTGCGCCTAGGCTAACTATACATCTATAGTTAGCAATTCATTTTCAAAAGCAATTCATCCTTTGGAAACAGTAGTTTGGCACAGAGGAGGCCATAAAATCAGATTTGCTATCAATTCTACCACCAATAATCTACCATGTATCTGATTTAAGAACAGTCTACAAGGACAGAAATACATCATTTTTTATTCCCTGCTCCTTTCTTAACAGAAATATGTATAAGACAGGGAAAAACACAAATTTCTGTAGTGGGATTAGGGGATTTTAATGAAGGCAACAAGAGTAATTTGAAATATCTGATGAGATGAATGAGTGATTTTTATTTTTTGTAAATAGCTATTATATTAAGGAAAGGGGCTTAAGGGGTTTAAACAAAAAACAAACAATATCATGCTAAAAAAGAGTAATTGTGGTAAGTGAGGAGCTTTAATTAAGTCTGTTAAAACTGTCTGTACTCACATTCTTGGAAATAATCCCAATTTGAAGACCACTGTTCAATGACTCCACTAGGTGAAAAATCATCTTCTTCCTATCAAAAGTGAGGTAGACATTTAATACTTCCAGTCAAGCCTGAATCAAGACTTTCTACATTTAAAAAGGCAGATGATGGAAAATTACACTAGAAATCAGCTGGAATGGGGGCAGTGTTGCTCACTGGCTCAGGTTGTGTCTACCCAGGATGACCTGATGTTCTGGTTTGCTTTCCCCAGCAGGATGTGGTGCACCTCTTGTCCCAGCATCCTGGCAGTTTTTCTTTACTTTTCTTCTTTTTCTTTCCAGACAAAAGTGTCCAAATTTAGATAATAAATTATATATCACATACTTCTACCTCAATCCTCTCCCATTTATATGACTTTTTGAGAAACTATGGTTCAAGGTTGATCAATAATTATGTAGAAATGCCCAGAGCCACAGAGTTCTTACATAAAGGGAAAATGTTCTCACCCCTAATTCCAATATTATAGAACCTGAGGCTGTGTGCTTTCTGACTGTAGCTTTATCCCCAGGTCCAAAATAATGAGCTATATAAATGACCAACATAGGACTATTTTTCAATGGGGAAAAAGGCAGGGAAACTGGATATTTAATTTGCAAAATTAAAGCTGGTCATTAGCTTCACAAAGAGATTAGCAGTCTGTCGAATTCTTACATTGATGTTTCTTAAGGGAATAAGATGGAGTGAAAATGTCTGAGCTTTTTATTTCTCAATTTAGCATAGAGTATGTGAATGAGTTACATTCATTTTCGTTCAACATTCACTCTGCAATTATTCATTAAGTATTTAAGGCACCCCAAATGCCTGTCTTCAAGGACTTTAAAGTTAAGTAGGGGAGACAGACAAGCAAAGAATGCAATATAAGGTGGTAGGTACTGCAAAAACATAAAGTGGGAAAACAAAGGAAAAACTTCCAGCATGTCAAAATGTATTAGGAAACCCTTTTGATCCTTCCTGACTTTAGACGAGTAAATAGAGCTCTGTATTTTTGGTTCATGAACGTACTTCCTTAATTCTAACAATGTGAATACACAAGTCCCCCTCCCTGACAAATGTCTGAATCTTAAAGCTGAATGTAATTGGCATCTATTTTTGAACTTTTATGAACTATTTGTGGAGAAACGTTTTGCTTCTTGATGCAAAGCCATGGGCAACTGCAATTCACCACAACTTCTCTCCTGCTGCCTGAATTCTTTGAATAAGGCATTGTGTGAAATTCCGACCTCATTAAATCTGCTGTTTAGCTGTGCTCTGTGCAGCCACTGCGAATCTGCTCTGGGTCAACCCTCCTGCTTGTGAAACCATTTAAGGCAAACAAGATGCCTGAACCATGAGGTGTAACATAATACCAAAGTCAGACAGCCACATTCTTTACTGCTTAAGTAAATTTCTACATTCTTTGCTGATCAAACTAAACTCTTTTTCGTTTTTATTTGGTAGAATCATTCAGACAAAATGTTGCTTCCTCCAAATAATAAACTGCACTGGAGGATCACATAGTTAAAGAGCCGAGAAGCTCATTTCACTTAACCATAGTCTACAAAGGCATAAAAATTCAAGTGGAAAGAGTCCCCCTGGTAAAGTGGATCACTTTAATTCTGAAATAGAAATTGCCTGATGACACCACTTGGACAAATTAAGCAAAATATTTTCTATTCTGCACAGAACAGAAGATTCATTCCAGAATAATTTTACTCTGCTCTAAAGCAACCCAAGAAGTCATTAAGTGTGTGTGTGCTCACGTGCATGCATGTGTTAGGTAGATGGGAAAAATGTCTGCCAGAATTGAGACCATATTCTCATTTCACATGATTTGACAGTTCTTATGAGGCAGCAGTGACTGTTTTTCTACCTACCTTGGTGACAGTCTCAAATCAATCAGTGACCTAGATGGAAAAGATTTTATAGCCCATTACCCAAGCCTTCAGTCATCCCACTGGTATTGTGACCGAACTGATTTTCAACTCCAAAAATAGACTCTGCTACTGAAGTTATGAGATTTTCCAGACAGAGACAACAATGTGATCGGCTTGGAGTAGACCTACAGATTTCTTCAAAAGTATTTGTGATATATTTTTATAACTTCAATTATTCACAATGCCTCAAATAAGCACCATTGTTAAGTTTGAAAAGTTATATATGTGATATATTAGCATGACATATTAATACTTAATGTGGAAACACATAACAAATTCATTAAAAAGACTTTTTTAAGCTCTTTGAAGTATGTGAGTTTTTATTATTTTTTAATTTTAATTTGATTTTTCCTATGATATATTTAAATAGCAACAATCTTTAATAGTTGTTTTAACCTTGCTAGAAAGAACATTTGTAGATATTCATAATTTAATTTTTTTAGAATATTGCTTTTTATACTTTTTAAAAACATTTATGGGTACATAGTAGGTATATATTTATGGGGTACATGAGATGTGTTGATAGAGGAATGCAATGTGAAATAAGCACATCATGGAGAATGGAGTATCCATCCCTTCATGAATTTATCCTTCGAGTAACAAACAATCCAATTACCTTCTTTATTTGAAAGTATATAGTTAAGTTATTATTATGGTCACCCTATTGTGCTATCAAATAGTAGGTCTCATTCATTCTTTCTATTTTTTTTGTACCCATTCACTGTTTATATCTTCCCCACCAACCCCTCATTACCCTTCCCAGACTCTGGTAACCATGGTTCTACTCTCTATTTCCATGAATTCAATTGATTTGATTTTTAGATCACACAATTAAGTAAGAATATGATGTCTGTCTTTCTGTGCCTGGCTTATTTCACTTAACAGAAAAATCTCCACTTCCCTCCATGTTGTTGCACATGACTGGATCTCATTCTCTTTATGGCTGATTAGTACTTCATTGAGTATATGTACAACATTTTCTTTATCCATTCATCTGTTGACAGACACTTAGGTAGCTTCCAAAGCTCAGCTATTGTAAACAGCGCTGCAACAAACATAGGAGCGCAAACATTTCTCTGATATACTGATTTATTTTCTTTTCAGTGTACACTTAACATGGATTGCTGGATTATATGGTAGCTCAATTTTCAGTTTTTTTGAGGAAACACCAAACTGTTCTCCATAGTAGTTGTATAATTTACATTCCCACCAAGAGTATACAAGGGTTCCCTTTTCTCTACATCCTTGTCAGCATTTGTTATTGTCTGTCTTTGTGTATAAGCCATTTTAATGGAGATGAGATAATATCTCATTGTAATTTTGATTTACATTTCTGAGATGATCGCTGAGGTTGAACACCTTTATATGTATCTGTTGGCCTTTTGTATGTCTTCTTTTGAGAAATACCTGTTCAAATCTTTTGCCCATTTTTAAATAGGCTTATTACTTTCTTCCTATAGAGTTGTATGAGCTCTTTATATATACTGGCTATTAATCCTTTGTCAGAGGGTAGATAGCAAATATTTTCTCGCATTCTGTGGGTTGTCTCTTCACTTGGTTGATTGTATCCTTTGCTGTGCAGAAGCTTTTACACTTTATGTGATCCTGTTTGTCCATGTTTGCTTTGCTTGCCTGTGCTTGTGTAGTATTGCTCAAGAAGTCTTTGCCCACACCAGTGTCCT
The DNA here is from genome assembly GCF_000001405.40 of Homo sapiens. Lineage (NCBI taxonomy): Eukaryota > Metazoa > Chordata > Mammalia > Primates > Hominidae > Homo > Homo sapiens. The sequence goes on along the minus strand of NC_000006.12, from coordinate 140,535,667 downwards.
GCAGATTTTCCCCAGTGTTTGCAGTAGTTTCATAGTTTGAAGTCTTAGAGTTAAGTCCTAAGTCCATTTTAATTTGATTCTTGTAGATGGTGAGACATAGGAGTCTAATTTAATTCTGCATATGAATATCCAGTTTCCCAGCACCATTTCTTGAAGAGACTGTCTATTCCCCAGTGTATGTTCTTGACAACTTTGTCAAAAATGAGTTCACTATAGGTTGTTTCTGGGTCCTCTATTCTGTTTCATTGGTCTATGTGTCTGTTTTTATGCCCATACCATGCTGTTTTGGTCAGTACAGCTCAGTAGTATAATTTAAAGTCAAGTAATATGATTCCTCCAGTTTTGTTCTTTTTGCTTAGGATAGATTTGACTACTCTTGGTCTTTTGTGGTTCCATATAAATTTTAGAATTGTTTTTTCTACTTCTGGGAAGAATGCCATTGTTATTTTGACAGGGATTGCACTAAATCTGTGGATTGCTTTAGAGAGTATGGTCATTTTAACAATATTGATTCTTCCAATCCATGAACAAGGAATATTTTTTCCATTTTTTGGTGTCCTCTTCAGTTTCCTTCATCAGTGTTTTATGGTTTTCATTATAGAGATCTTTCATTTCTCTGGTTAATTCTTAGGTATTTAATTTTATGTATAGCTATTGTAAATGTGATTACTTTTTAAATGTGTTTTTCAGATTCTTAACTATGGCATAGCAATGCTACTGATTTTTCTATGTTGATTTTGCATCCTGCAACTTTGCTGAATTTGTTTATCAGTTCTAACAGGTGTGTGTGTGTGTGTGTAGTCCATAGGTTTTTACACATACAAGATCATATCATTAGCAAATGAGGATAATTTGACTGCTTCTTTTACAATTTGGATGTCCTTTTTAGCTTTCTCTTGTCTAATTGTTCTAGCTAGGACTTCTAGTATTATGCTGAATAACAATGGTGACAGTTAGCATTTCTGTCATGTTCCAGATCTTAGAGAAAATGCTTTCAGTTTTTTCCATTCAATGTGATACTAGCTGTGGATTTGTGATATGTAGAGTAGAATTAGTATTATTTCTTTAAATGTTCAGCAGAATTCAGCAGTGAAGCCATTGTGTTCTGGGTTTTTCTTTACTGGAAGACTTTTTATTATGACTTTGATCACATTACTTATTGGTATATTCAGGTTGTGAATTTCTCCCTGGTTCTATCTTGGTAGGTTGTATGTACCTAGGAATTCATCCTTTTTTTTCTTGATTTTCCAATTTATTGACACACAGTTGCTCGGAGTAGCCACTAAGGATCCTTTGAATTTCTGTAGCATCTGTTGTAATATCTCCTTTTTCAGTTTTGATTTTATTTATTTGAATCTTTTCACTTCATTTTCTTAGTCTGGATAAAGGTTTGTCAATTCTGTTCATCTTTTCAAAAAATAACTTTTGGTTTCATTGATATTTTGTATTTTTTCCATTTTAATTGCATCTCTTTCTGCTCTGATCTTTATTATTTCTCTTTTCCTACTAATTTTGTGTTTGCTTTGCTTTTGCTTTACTAGTTCTTTAAAATGAATCATTAGATTGCATATTTGAAGTTTTTCGTTTTTTGATGACCACAGTTTTAAGTATATACATCCTTCTGAGTACTGCCTTTGCTATATCCAATAGGTTCTGTTTATGTTGTGTTTCTATTATCATTTAAGAAATTGCTCAATTTTATTCTTAATTTCTTCATTGATCTACTCATTCCTTGTCATTCAGAAGCATATTGTTTAATGTCCATGTATTTTTAAAGTTTCCAAAATTTCTCTTGTTATTATTTTCTAGTGTTATTCCATTGTGGTCAGAGAAGATGCTTGATATTATTTTGGATTTTGAATGTTTAAAACTTGTGTGGTGATTTGTGGTCTATCTTTGAGAATAATCCATGTGCCAAGAAAAATAATGTGTATTTTGTGGCTGCTGGATGAAATGTTCTGTAAATATCTTTTAGATCCATTTGGTCTGTAGTATGGATTAAGTCTAATGTTTCTTTGTTGATTTTCTGTCTGGAAGATCTGTCTAATGTTGAAAGTGGGATGCTGAAGTCTCCAACTATTATTGTATTGGGGCCTATCTCTATATTTAGCTCTAATAATATTTCCTTTACATATCTGGGTGCACCAGTGTTGGGTGCATATATATTTACAATTATTATATCCTCTTGCTGAATATCATTATATAGTGACCTTTGTCTTTTTTTATAGTTTTTGTCTTGAAATCCATTGTTTCTGATATAAATATATGACTCCTGCTCTTTTTTGGTTTCCAGTGGCATGGAATATCTTTTTCCATCCCTTTAGTTTTTTTGTCTATATGTGTCTTTACAGGTAAAGTGTGTTTCTTGTAGGTAACAGATTATTGGATCTTGGTTTCTTTTCATCCTTTCAGCCCATCTATGTCTTTTGATTGGATAATTTAGTTGATTTATATTCAGTGTTATTATTGATAAACAAATACTTACTCCTACCATTTTGTTATATGTTTTCTGGTTGTTTTGTGGTCCTCTCTTCTTTCTTTCCTTCCGTTCTTCCTCTAGTGAAGGTGGTTTTCTCTGGTGATACAATTTAGTTTTTTGCTGTTTATTTTTTGTATCTATTGTATGTTTTATGGTTTGAGGTTACCATTAGGCTTACAGATACTATCTTATAAACCATTATTTTAACCTCCAAACCCAGAATGGGTCCAGAAGTGCTGTCCAGGATTCAGGGGCTAGAGTCAAATACCTGAGTAGCCTACCTGGTGTTCTATTGTATTGTTACTGAGCTGGAACTCAAACCACATGATGCCATCCTTCCCACTCTTCCCTCCCCTTTCCAAAGGCAGAGGAGCCTCACCTTGTAGCCATTGCCATCCTAGGCCACAAACAGTACTGCCAGACTACAACTGGTGTTCCCTTAAGGCCCAGGGACTCTTAAGTTAGCTTGTCATTAATTCTGCCTGGTCTGGGACTCAGCCTTTAGGGCAGTGGGCTCCTCTCTGGCCCCAGGCAGGTCCAGAAATGTCATCCAAAAGTCATGTCCTGAAATCAGAGACCCCCCAACAGCCAGCTTGGTGCTCTACCCCACTTTGATCATGCTGGTAACTAAGGTGCAAGACAAAGTCCCTTTTACTTTTTCCTCTGCTTTTCTCAAGCAGAAAAAAATTGCCCTCTGTCCACACTAGCTGGTTATGTGCTGAGTCTCACCTGAAGCCAGTAAGTCTCAGAGGTTCACCTAAGGCCTTCAGTGTAGTACCTGGGTATCACTGTTGGTTATTCAGGGACCAAAGGCTCTTCAGTTAGCAGGTGATGAATGTTGTCAGAACTGAGTTCTCTCCTTTAAGGAAGTTGGTTCTCTTGTGGCCCAGGGTGTGTCTGTAACTTTCTTTTGGGAGCTAGGGCCTGGGATAGGGGCCTCACGACTCTGACCAGTGCCCTATCCTGCTGTGGCTGGGGTGGTATGCCAGATGAAAGAAAAAGTCATTTCCACTCTTCCCTCTCTTCTCCTCAAGCAGAAGGAAGGGATCTCTTTTGGAGCCAAGAGCTGTGCAGCCTGGGGTTAGGGGAGAGGTGATCCTGCACTCCCCTGGCTGCCCCAGTTGGTGTCTCAGTATGTCACATGTCCCCCAAGTCCACTGTCTGTAGGCCTTATTTAGCACCAGGACTTGCCTAAGAGCTGCAGTCCTTATGGCCCAGACTGCTTTTCAAGTTTACTTGGAGACATAGAGTTTAGTACCCCGCACTGGTAAGGTTTGTGGAAACTCAAGTTTGGACCTCTGGAATTGGCGATTCCCCTCTGGCTATGACTTGTTAAATGTTCTCTCCATGGTAGGCATCAGCTGAGTCTGGTCCGGTTTTCCTTTCTTCTCTAACAGGATAACACTGAGTTCAATGCCTCATACTTGCTATGTTCTCCCTTTCCCAATTCCCAGAGATGCTCTCTACATAGCTGAAGAGGCTCCCTTCAGTGTCTGTTTCAGTCATATAAAATTAAAACCAGGTACTATGTGTGCCCACCTGATTTTTGGTTCTTATGAAGATGTTTTTTCTTAATTTGGTGTCCTTGCAGTGGGGACAATTGGTGGAGCTTTCTATTCTGCCATCTTGCTCTGCCTTCCATATGGGGGTTTTTAAAAAAGCTGAATGTCCCAATATTTTGGAAGGTTTAATAGTATAACTGGAATAACAGATGTGTGCATTTTTGCTTATTTATATTATCACATAAAAGCCATTGCAAATTAGAATGTGTCAAATGAAAAAAAAAGAGTGAATAAATTCAATATGTCCACATACACCAATCTTAATACATTATAACATGTGTCATTAAAAAGTCATAAAATATGTCATTTCACAAGAAATTATAAAATATACAAGATGTTTTAATATGTAAAATGGGAAACAGATGATTAGGAAAATTAACAAAACTTAAAAGATATTTAATTTTATGCCAATTTAGAATGAGGAAATATTTCCTCACATTTTTATTTTTAATAAGTTCTTAGTTTATTTGTATTCTTTATTTTTCTATTGGTAAAATCTAAATTTTAGAACATTATACAAGCTTGAAATCATAGTAAATAGGAAACGAAATAGATGTTACATAAAGAAAAGTTTAAAATATAGTCAACTTGAATTAGGTTTTCTGAGTGATGAAGATAAATCCGTGCAACTTAGAATCCATGAGTTGGTAAAGGTGTTAAGGAACTTGAAGTAACCATAGAAAAAGGAAAAGATACAATATCAATACCTTTATGAATAGATATACATTATTAAGAAAACATTCTGCAAATGTCATTTCTGGAAACTACTGAATGAGATTTGAATGGCATTGTTTTAACTATATGATTTTTTTTTCTACCTTCAAAACATATGTAGGAATTAAGAAGTTTTAAGGAATTGCCTTATCTTTCTTTTTTGTCATTTCAGGAAAATCTGAAGACTAGTCAGCCATTATTTTATTTTAAAAAATGTGGTTGGTTTTCACTACCTTTCTCTTACAATTAAAATCAGATAGACTAATCATACACACAGAAAATATATTCAACAAACATTAATTTAATGTCTATTCTATCTAGGTACTAGCCAGTATCTAGCTAGCACCTATCCCCAGTACTAGCAATAGTAGGCCATTAAAACTCTGTCATTGTCTGCCAGTGGCTCATAATCTAGTTTAGGATTCTTAAAAGAAAATAAGTAATCATCACAAAAGTAAGTAAGTGAGTGCAGCAACACAGTTGCACTTGATACAATGGTTGTAAAGAAGATAAAGGGACCAAGTTTACACAGGAGAAACAGAAAGTAACATATAAAGGAGGTTCCTGAGAAAATGAAATTAGAAACACTTAAAAGGTCGTATGGAAATGTCAAGACTGGTAACTCAGGGAAGGATGAAAGGCAGGTAGTTATTATATTCTATTTTCTTCCAGTGTCAATCCCATAAATACCAACTATCAACTTCAGAATGCCTAAGGTGACGAGACACAAAAATTCAATCCTAACTTCTAGAAAAAACAGAAAGTATCTTTATATTCAGAAAGACAAATAGTAAATGATCTCATTTATATGTGGAACCTAAAAAAATCAAACCGATAGAAAGACAGTATACTGCTGCTTACCAGGGGCTGAGTGAGGGAGTGGGGAATGGCGACATATTGGTAAAAGGGTGCAAACTTTCACTTATAAGATGAAAAATTCTGGAGACAGCATGTAGGGCATGGTGACTAGAGTTAATAATAATGTATTGTATACTTGAAATTTGCTAAGAGAGTAGATCTCAAGTATTATCACCACAGGAAAAAAATGGTAACTATGTAGTGAGGTGATTGATATGTTAATTAGCTTGATTGTGATCATTTCACAACATATGCATATCTCAAAACACCTTCAACATCAAAACACATTGTACAACTTCAGTATAGACAATTTTGATTTGTCAAACAACCTCGATAAACTGGAAAACTTAAAATAAATCACAGATGGTAGGTATCTTCATAAGACGTGTTAAATATGATCCATTGTTAATAACTATACTTCACTTCTGGAATAGATGATAAGAAAATCTAACTAGAAAGATGTTACATTGATTGATAGATACATACATACATAGGAAAATGGATAGATAACTTACATTCAAGCTATCCGTTCAAAAGTTTTAAGCTGCCTCAACAAAATTCACAATGACCATATTTTATTAACAAAGAGACCTAATAAAAGGTTTGGCTTTAGCTTGAAAGTCCTTCTGCCATTGAGTAAGTTTCTTATGCCATATACTTAGCTCTTGCTATGACCCAATTATATATAATTCTTTTAAAATAGGATCATTACAACTGTGCTTATGACAAGCTCAACAACCATTTAAAAATATTCACCAAAGATGTTCATGTGGCTAAGCAGGAACATAGAGTCTGCATCCAATTTTGATAACCACAGAAGAAATGTTAGAATAAAAATATTTTTTGAAAACGTATTTTGGTTTACCCTAGCCTGAACCAAGATTGACACAAACAATGCATTTTTTCAGATATTTCGAGAAAAACAATTAGTTGATTTTTAAGACATTATGCTCAGAAATTGTATGATCTAATACAATACAGGGAATCATTCAAGAGAGAACAATAATTTCATCAGGTTTTTAGCCTCATCAAATGTACCTCAGGAGATGGAAAGGTCTACAGTGAACAAATAGCCTCCCCCACATGGGTTTTGGAGACTCTCCATTACCTCAGCAATGAAAGAATCATTTTGAGAGTTTGAAAAATAAGCACTTGTTGATTTGATAACTTAAGGATTGTCCATTTCAGCACCTAGGCTAATTATATGATAGTATTACTAGGTCAATATGTTAAGGAAATAAGCTGAATGATAAAGAAAACTATTCAACAACTATAGCACATAGAACTTCAAGTAGAGTTAACCATTTCACAAATGTATCCAATTGGATATTAGAGGGCATCCCATGAAAATCACAGGATAAGTGATTCTGTTGACCACTAAAGATTAGTGAATGATGAAGGAATGAATGATGCTTTTATCATTTATTTTATTTTAGAGACAGGATCCTCATACAAAACCAAGTGTCTAACTTATCTCTCAGCAATGTTAAGTTCTATCAATGCAAAACCATCGGCACTTGTAAAAGGTAAAAAGATTCAGGTTTTATCTGTATAGTACTTATCATTTTCAGATTCACTTCATTTCCATTTCTGATTTAATTTTGTAGTTGTTGTGATGAATGGTAGAGCTTAATGTTAACAGCTAAAGATGATGAGCTAAGACTGAAGACACCATAATGTTTGTGAAATCAACACATTTGACTTCCTTGGCTCATGAATGTGTATAAAAATTTTATAAAAGAAAAATAAATGTGTGTTATAATAGAGAGTAAAACTGAGCACCAGGGTAATTTTCTACATTATTAGGTTCAAAGAAGTTTTTGCACAGAATTCGCAGCTCAGTAGTTTTCAAACATTTTGAGCAAAGCAGTTCTCCTTTCAATAAAATACAGTGTAAATAAAAATTGATAGTATAGTGAATATGCTTATGTTACATGATCAAGTTATAATGTTTTTATTTTCTAAATTCATGGAAATTTCAGTTAAAGATATCATATAGAATATATGAATTCATGTCCTTCCCTTCCACAGTACTAACTTCAATGATCAGAAAGTAAATTTTTTAAAGGCTTCAACCTGTAAACCTAAAAATGTAGGGGAAGAGAAGATAAGAACAAATTTTGCAGTTAGAGTTAAGTAAAAAGGCTGATGTAAATTTTTTTTTTGTAAAAAAAAAAAAGTAATGATAGCTGATATTATCAGACCTGTGAAAGCACCATCAAAACTGGAGAAATCAAGATGAAAGTTTCAATCATAAAACCCCTCCAAAAATGCTAAGAAATTGGCAATCCCAGTTACCTATGTATATAAGAATTCGGTTGAGGATCAAAAGTGGTCTGATTACAGCTGTGTAAGAACTTACATGTACTGGTTTTCTATGACATGCCTGCCACAACAATATAACAACTGGGTGATTTAGACAACAAAAATTGATTGTCTCCCAGTTCTAAGGGCTAGAATCCTGAAATCGAGGTGCAGACATGGTTGGTTTCTCTGCAGGTTGTGAGGAAGAATCTTTCTCATGCCTCTCTTCCAGCTTCAGAGGTTTGCTGGCAATCTTAGGCACTCCTTGGCTTGCAGACATATCACCCTGATCTCTGCCTTCACCGTCCCGCAGTGTTCTCCCTGTGTGTCTTCTGTTTTTAAATTTCTTCTTTTTGTAAAGACACCAATAATATTGAATTAGGTGCTACTCCAATGACCTCATTTTAACCTGACTATCTTTGTAAAGATCCTCCAAACAGGATCACATTTTGAGATACCGGGGGTTATAACTTCAACATACAAATTTGGTGGGGACACAATTAAACCTATAGCATCATGAAGTCTATGTTCCCTCCTCATCTTCATACAGATTACAAACTATCTCTTCTCACTTCAGCATCAAAAAGAAGGTTTATACTTTGGATAAAATAATTATGAATGAACCTAATAAACAGTTCTGATTAGCTAAACTTTTGCCTCAGACTTATAGAAATAAAAACTTATATAAAAAGATTTTCATTTTTTGGATGGGAGATGAGTGTACAATAACTGAAAAATCTGAGTAAGACAAGTAAGTTGCGATGGTGACTTGTGTTGCAACTTTTGAATAATTTTCAATGGGAGATCACAAGAATTTTTACTATTAGCACCAAAAGTTAATATTTTGATTGATGTAAATTATTAAAATTTGGCATGGAACATATCTGTGTGTCAATTATGTGTAATTTCAGCTTTTAAGATAGTTACAAATAAATATCCAAAGTAAAATTCAAAGGTAACACTAAAATACCATATCAGTAAAAACAAAGGAATCCACAGGAAAAGATTTAAAAACCCCAAATCTATAAAAACTTAGAGCCATCTTTTATTTCAATTAATATTCTTCATTAATACCTAAGAAATTTTATTCCCCAATACCTTTTTTGTTTGTTTGTTTGTTTGTTTGTTTCACAGACCTATTTGAGAATCTTATAAAAGCTATGGTCCCTCTCTCCAGGAAAATGCAAGTATACCTTTTATCCATAACTATTCAAATTTTCACAAACAGCCTTCACGAAATTGAGGTATAGAAATAATTGAATTTCCTGAAGTTTGAAGTTTTTGAATAAAAATAGAGCTGAATTGGAATCTACAGTCTGCCATTTAAAAGCAGTATGATGGCTTAATCTCTAGGTTTCAGTTTTGCATATGTATAAAATTGGAAAATTATGCCTATAAGTTTTTGCAATGATGAAATTTATGTAAAATGTTGGCAACATATAGTTGCTGTCTCTATATATTTAGGGGAGGGTGTTCTTTTAACCTTAACACTGCGATTAACTCACTATTTTTCTTAGGTTCTATATTTATAATTCATTCATGACTTTTTTTTGTCACCTTCAGCTTGAGACATTCTGTATTTTTGTTGATGCCTCATCCTAAACCTGATAGTAGGTCTAAATATCAAAATGATTAAAATAATATGTTCCTATCCCTTCACGTATGAGGTAATGAAGCTTTGCACCTAGAATTATTGTGTAAATGGAGATTTTCTGGAAAATATCAGAAAATTATTTTAGTCCCAAAGATCTCGAATAAGAATGTATATCGTGTGTGGGAATTGGTATTCTTCCCTTTAGAAACATTGTTTCCCTATCTTTACTTTATGTTTGAATCACTTCTACTGTATCCTACCAGGAATTCATCCAACTTCTCTATTCTTTAAGATAGAAACTTCTCATCTCCAGAAGTAGACCATTCACATAAATACAAATCTAAGCAAATTCAGAGAGACTGAGAGATTTGGGGGGTTAAGCAGTGTGTCATATTGAGAAGCCTGGATGTTAGCAATTAAGATTAAAGCATTAATAACTATCCCAACAGTTATTTATGAAAATTAAATGAGATTGTGTAGATAAAGCAACTACCAAAGACAATGCCTTCACATATATGGTTTTCAAATAAAGTTGCCTTTTATTAAATCCAAATCTCTATTCAAAGCAAAGGCAGTTTTCATGTCAACAGGAAATTCTATTAGAAATATATTTAATCTTTCCCTCAATATTTCATATTAGAGATCTCAAGTACATATTGGGCATCTCATACTCAATTATTTCTTCAACATTCTTCATATCATAGGTCACCTCATCTCTTATAACATAAATTACTTCTCCTAAATATATTTTTTCATCAATGTATTTCTTACCCTAATGTTTTAATTAACTAAAAAAAATTTAGATAATTACCAACCAATACAAATTCTAGAGACTAAATTACTATTGGTACACCTTTGTATTAGTCTATTTTCACACTGCTGACAAAGACATACCTGAGAATGGGTAATTTATAAAGAAAAAGAGGTTTAATGGACTCACAGTTCCACGTGGGTGGGGAGGCCTCACAGTCATGGCAGGAGGCAACGGGCACATCTTACATGGCAGCAGCAAAAAAGAAAAAACTGAGAACCAAGCAAAAGGGTTTTCCCTTATAAAACCATCAGATATCATGAGATTTATTCACTATGATGAGAACAGTATGGAGGAAACCGCCCCCATGGTTCAATTATCTCCCACCAGGTCCCTTCCACAACACATGGGAATTATGGGAGCTACAGTTCAAGATGAGATTTTGGTGGAGACACAGCTAAACCATATCAACCTTATTTGGAAAAATTTTGGCAGCAAAATCATACTTTTGATTTCCATTGAGTTTACTGTTACTTAAAAACAGGCCTTCTTTGAACCTCACTGACAACTGATCAATCATATGCAGAAAAACTACATAACTCACATAAATATAACTTTTCAGAAACATTTAGGGAACTGTGTAATAGAGGTTTTCTTTTAGGAATAATATATTTGCACTTATTTGATCCTCTCTAATTCAGTCTTTCTTCAATAGCAACATGTTTTCCTAAGATAGCAAATAACGGTAATCATTCTGTATCCATATAGTAGAATGGAGCTAACTTAATTTTGTAGGCAATATCAACAAGCAAGCGCAAAATGCTTTACATTAAAAGGCTATCAAAAAGCTTCAACACAGCTGTCGTCCTGAAAGAACTTGTTCAACGCCTTCTGTTGTGAACTGAATTTTTGTGAACCCCCAAAATTCATATGTTGAGCCCAAAGCCTCAGTATGTCTGTATTTGGAGACAAAGCCTCTAAATAATTAAGGTTAAATAGGGTCCCATTACCTTATGGGGCAGGCCCTGATCTGAAAGCGTTAATGTTCTTATAAGAAGAGACACCAGAGCACCAGAGATCCCCTGCTCTCTCCTTCTCTCTCTCTTTTTGTCTTTCTCTATGTATGCCCACACACATACCAAGGAAAAGCACGTGAGCACACCGTGAGAAGACGGCTATCTGCAAGCTAGGAAGAGAGCCCTCACAAGAAGCTAAATACATTTTCACCGTGATCACAGACTTCTAGCCTCCCTAACTGTGAGAAAATAAATTTGTCATTGAAGCTATTCAGCCTGTGATATTTTATTACGGCAGCCCAAGCAAACTAATGCGCCTTCAATACTAATTTATTTTTTATGCCAGAGCTTGAGAATATATGCCTGTGTACCAAATAACTTTTGAGAAAAACACATATAAATTTTGAGTCAACAGATTCCGATTTATATTACAAATCGATTGATATCTGTTACAATAAAAATAACTGGATAAAAATATAAATGTCCAAGGAATAAAACACATTACTGTGTTATATCAAAAAATTAAAGTGTAACCAAAATTTGAGCAATCTTTTGGAAACTGAGATAGAACCTTTTCAAGATATATGGATTTTTAAATTCCATTAAATGTACCTATTCAAAAGGGAACCCAACAAGCAAATTCAGACCCTTATGTCTTAATAGAAATAATGTAAGAATGAGATGAATGAGTTACTGGAGGTTTTGATTTTCTTTTTAACAACGAAAAGAAAATTCATAAGAACATAAAAAATTTATTTATTTATTTTTTTGAGACAGATCCCCGCTCTGTTGCCCAGGCTGGAGTGCAGTGGCACAACCTCAGCTCACAGCAACCTTCACCTCCCAGGTTCAAGTGATTCTTCTGCTTCAGTCTCCTAAGTAGCTGGGATCACAGGCGTGTGCCACCACGCCCAGCTAATTTTTGTATTTTTAGTAGAGAGGGAGTTTTGCCATGTTGGCCAGGCTGGTCTAGAACTCCTGGCCTCATGTGATCCGCCAGCCTCAGCCTCCAAAAGTGCTGGGATTACAGGAGTGAGCCACCATGCCCAGCCAATTTCTTAAATTTTTGAATTTGCTACTGTTCTATTTGAATCAAAAAGAAATTGTACATATTTGACATGCTATATGTTTCTTACCCCAATTTCTTTTAAATGAAATCAAGTGGATCAATGTCCACATTTTCAAATTGCATTAACAGTTGCTGCTATTGATTGAATTGTATCACCCCCTCCCCAACCCCAAAAAAGATATGTTGAAGTCCTAAACTTTAGTACCTCAAAATGTGGTTCTTGGAAATAAGGTCTTTATGGAGCCAATGAAGTTAAAATAACGTTAGGTAGGCCCTAGTCCAATGTAACTGCTGTACTTGTAAGAAAGATAAGTTTAGACAGAGACAGACATACACAGAGGAAAGACAATGAGAAGACACACAGGAAGATGCCATTTGAAAACAGAGGAACATGCTAATGCAGCTGTAAGCCAAGGAATGCTAAGGGTTGCCTGCAACCACCAGAAGCAAGGAAAAGGCAAGAAGGAGTCTACTTAGAGTCTCAGAGGGTATATGGCTCTACCCTACAGATTTCAAACTTGTATTTTCCAGATCTGGGAGATAATTCATATCCATTATCTTCAGACACTTAGTGTGTGTACTTTGTTACTTCAGCCCCAGGGAACTAATAAACTTATATTATAAAATAACATTTGCCAGTGTATAAATTTATAGCATACCTTCCAGCTCTCAAATTAAATCAAATTCTATCAAGAACATAAATTAATCAATGGAAAAATGCATCGATAATTAATAGAAATGTGTGGCATAAAGTAAATAGATTACCTAAAATTATTTTTTGTATTAAGAGAGTATTAATAAATACAGCTCATCTGAAAGCATTTTTAATAAAAACATTTCATACTTTAATAACACGTATTTATGTTATGTTATGTTTAATAACACGTATTATGTTGAACCCATCCACTTTATTTTGGAAGGTAAATATCATTTGATATCAAATTAGAAGCTGACTGAAAATTAAACAGTTCTCTTTTTAAGATAAGCCACAGTAACACGCTTAAACAGGATTTGTGTTGCTACGGTGTGTACAATTCATAACAAAATTTTTTGAACTAAACATTCTTAATGTGTGCTATGTTAAAAGGGTCTACGGATCATTTACAAAAGAATAGAAAGTCTCCTTTCCGAGAGTTCTTTGATCTAGATAATATCAGATTCCCATGTTTTATGTAGAAAATTGTTTGTATGCATATAATACTTCCCTACTAATGTAAACTCTTCAAAATAACCCCAAGGCTATGATGAAAGCTACATAGCTCAAGTTTTTAGAGATATTGGCACTTCTTAATCTTTCATTTTAAAATTGAACCATTTCAACCTTAGAAATTGTCATTCTCACTTATATTTATGAGCAATCAATGGTACCTGAGCATTATAACAAAGTTTCATTTCAACCATAGCAAGAACTACAGAAGAAAGTGGGAGAGACGTTATAGACTATGTCTTATCCACTCCAGCTTGTCAGGTATAAATAAACTCCTGTAAACATGAGCACTATGACAAGAAGAGAAGAATGGTATTAAGTTTCCTTGTTCATTTTTCACTGAAATCATTTTAGTACTGAAGTTCAATTTTGTACCTAACTGTTCTTTATTTCAACATAACATCCACTTGCATTAACACAAAGATATACTATGTGTTTTTATGCTTTTTCACATGTTTCCATAGTAGCAAAAAGACAAATCTTTACATAATAAAGAAAAATAGTGACAATAATTAGCAGTCACCTAGGCTTTATTATGTGCCAGGCACTATTCTAAGCTCCTTACATGTATTAAATCAATTAATCCTCATAATAACCCTGAGAGCATATAAAATACAAAGCTGAGAACCAGCCATACGATCTAACATTGGTGTGCTTCCTTATCTAAGCATATTTCATATTCATTCATGTGCTGACAGAGCAATTCAGAGAAAAGCACAGACACACAGAAAATATATAATTCCTTTATCGGTAAGGAAATCTGCAGCTGGAGATATTGTCTACCATTGCCAAAGAAACACTGCATCAGTGTAGAAATGAAGATTGTAGAAATATCCCAATATACTGAGATGCACTGTGTTGCTTTCTACGTAGACACTGATGATGAAAGAGCGATGTGTTGGAAGTCTGGATACCTGAATTTCGACCTTGATGCTACATCTCTCTAGCTATGTATAAGCATAAAGGAAACATCACAACACTTTGGCTAGACCTTGATTTCCCTACTTTATAAATAAGGATGAAGGCTGAAATTTATTTGATTTCTAAATGCAATAAATTTACCCATTTGATACTTAATGTGTACAAACTGTGATAGATGCTTGGGGTACATAGATGAATGAAATATTTTCATGGTGATCATATTCTTATTTTAAACAATTTTATTAAGTATAATTGATACACCCCTAATGGCACATATTTAATATATACAAAAATTTGATAAGTTTGAGCAAATGCATTGAAAGAGTTTAGAAAACACCACCCTAAAAAATGTCACTCTCGTATATTGATTCTTTTGAGTTAAAGGCACTTAAAAAACAGCAGATGTAAGGAGGACACTGTCATCTCCCCTTTTTTTTTTTTTCTTAAAAACAAGAGATGAGGCAGGGCGCAGTGGCTCAGGCCTGTAATCCCAGCACTTTGGGAGGCCGAGGCGTGCAGATCACGAGGTCAAGAGATTGAGACCATCCTGGCTAACATGGTGAAACCCAGTCTCTACTAAAAATACACACAAAAAAAATTTAGCCGGGTGTGGTGGCGGGTGCCTGTAGTCCCAGCTACTTGGGAGGCTGAGGCAGGAGAACGGCATGAACCCGGGAGGTGGAGCTTGCAGTGAGCTGAGATCGCGCCACTGCGCTCCAGCCTGGGCGACACAGCTAGACTCCATCTCAAAAAAAGAAAAAAGAAAAAAAAGAGAAGACATTCCCATGTAAGAGCTGCCCTCCCTATGCGACCAAGAGGAAAAAAAAAAAAAAAAGGGAAACATCGTCAAGGACAGGAAAATGAGACAGAGAATTCTGTACAAATAGACTTTGTTAAAATAATTTTTATCTTCCTCTAGCCTTCTCATATATTTTAGCTGCTTTTCAACTGTTGTCTATTTTTTCAATCTGTATTAGTCCGTTTCCACACTGCTCAGAAAGACATAGCCAGGATTAGGCAACTTACAAAAGAAAGAGGTTCAATGGACTTACAGCTCCACGTGGCTGGGGAGGCCTCACAATCATGGCGGAAGGTGAGAGGCACATCTCACATGCCAGCAGACAAGAAAAGAGAGCTTGTGCAGGGGAACTCCTCTTTTTAAAACCATCAGATCTCTTGAGACTAATCTACCACCATGAGAACAGCACAGGAAAGACCCACCCCCAAAATTCAATCATCTCCCATGGAGTCCCTCCCACAACACACGGGAACTCAAGATGAGATTTGTGTGGGGATACAGCCAAAGCATATCACAATTCAATATAAAAGAATGTAGGGTTTGCCAGTTCTTTTGTTCTTCATTTCCTTATGAGGGCTCCTGTGTCACATAAAACTTTTATTAAACAAATATGTATTTTTTTCTCCTGTTAATCTGCCATAAGGCAAATTAATCTGTAGGCCCATTCAGAGACCCTAAATGGGTAGAAGCAAAGTTTTGCTTTTCTCATAGGGTACACCCATGAAACCATCACCATGGTCAAGCTATTAGACACATCCATCACCTCCATGTTTCCTTGTGTCCCTTGGTTTTTGTTTGTTTGTTTATTTATTTATGGTAAGAATACTTAACATGAAATCTACTGTCTTAACCAAATTTTAAGTGGATTATTCAATATTGTTTACTATAGGCAATACATTGTACAGCAGATCTTTAAAATTTACTTATCATTCATAACTGAAAGTTTAGACCTGTTGAGCTACAGCTCCCCATTTCCCCTCTTCTCAGACCCTGTCAACCACCATACTACTTTCTGCTTCTATGAGTTTGATTGTTTTAAATACTTTATATAAATGAAATCATGTAGTATTTGTCATTCTGTAACCAGCCCAATCAAGAGAATAAAAAGGCAACCTTTGTAATGGGAAAAATATTTGAAAACCATATGTCTGATAAAAGGTTAGTACCTAAACTATGCAGGAAAATCCTATGACTTAACAGCAAAAACACAAAAAACCTGATTTTTAAAAGGCAAAGAACTTGAAGACACATTTCTCCAAAGAAGACACACAAAAGTCTGATAGATAATGAAAAGATCTTCAACATCACTAATCATCAGGGAAATACAAATCAAAATCACAATGAGAGGTCATTTCACACCTGTAAAATTTTGTATTTTTTTAAAAGAAAAGATGTGTTGGCAAGAATGTGGAGAAATTGAAATCTTTGTAAACTGTTGATATGAATGTAAAATGGTGCAACTATTATAGAAAACAGTATGGAGGATCCCCCCAAATTAAAAATAGATCTACCATTTGATTCAGCTATTCCACCTTTGAGTATATATGCAAAATAATTAAAATCAGGATCTCAAAGAGATACCAGCACATCCATGTTCATTGCAGCATTATTCCCAATAGCCAATATATGAAAGCAACCTAAATGTTTATTGGTAGATGAATGAATAAAGAAAATGTAATAGACACATTAATGAAGCACTATTCTTTACTTTAAAAAAGGAAATCCTACCACATACAAAATCATGGATGAACCCTGAGGACATTATACTAAGCAAAATAAGCCAGTCACACATGGTATTCATATTCTACTTTTCAACTCAGTATTGTAAGTGCTATGATAGAGTGAGGCCAGGTTACTATGAGAAGCAAAAGGGGAACATTTAATGCAGACTAGGTAATTATAACAGTCTTTCTGAAGGGGATGACAATAATTTGAGTCTTGAAATTACTTAGGGCTTAAGTATGTTATACAAAGAAAAATATTTCAGGAAGAAAATCATTACATTATAAGGTAGAGAGAAATGAAAGAGGTGGACTTATGTGTTGAAGAGCCCATATAATCTAGCATAGTTGACATATAGGAAATAACCTGGAAATAAAGAAAACAGAAGCTGAGAAAGCTAGCAGGAGAGAGGTAATAAACAGCATATGTTGTGCCAAATAATTTTGCACATAGATTAGTATTTCCCAACATGTATTCTCTAGAAGTAAACTGGAGCATATATACAATATATTACATTTTTACAGGGAAAATACAAATTAGTATTTTAATGGCTTAAACATTATGAAGTAATTGAACTTATTAAATGTTAACATATTTCCCAAATTTGTTTCCAAACTTATTTGATCCTGAAATTTTTTCATCAATTTTTATTGCAAATTACTATGCAGACAAAAAAATTTACAGATTAAAAATGTATACTTTGATGAATTGTGTAGGCCAAAAAAGTGTGTGTGAGAGAGAGACAGAGAGAGAGAGAGAGAGAACGAACACCACCCTAGAAGCTCCCTTTTTGTTTCTTCATAATTATTATCAAGCCTTACTCCAAAAAGATTACTCCTATTCTATTTCAATTGCCATATAACTTTTTTCTTTTTAGAAAATGTATGTAAATATAATTTTACAATCAACTTATTTGTGGCTTGTTTCCTTTTACTCAAAATATATTTCATTCATGCTGCTGTGGGTAGAGATAGTTAATTCATTTTCATTACTGGAGAGTATTCATTGTATGAATCTATTACAATTGAGACATTCCAGTCTGGCTGCTAGTTTGGAGATATTATAAATAATTCTACAGTTACTATTTTTGCAAAGGTGTTCTGTTGCTTGTATGTACTCAGTTCTGTTGGGTATAAACATTGGAGTCAAAGTTCTGCATTAAGTAACATAAAATACCCAGCATTAGTAAATACTACCAATTATTTTTTCTCAAGTAGTTTTCCAATTTGTACTCCCACCAGGAACATGTTAGAGTTGATATTGCTGCACATATCTGCCAACAAATGATATTGTTTGTGTTTGTTTTTGTTTTGTTTTGTTTTGAGACAGAGTCTCGCTCTGTTGCCCAGGCTGGAGTGCAGTGGTGTGATCTGGGCTCACTACAACCTCCATCTCCCAGATTCAAACAATTCTCCTGCCTCAGCCTCCTAAGTAGCTGGGATTACAGCAGCCTACCACCATGTCCAGCTGATTTTTGTTTTCATTTTTGTTTTTTAAGTGGAGACGGGGATTTCACCATGTCGCCCAGGCTGGTCTCGAACTCCTGACCTCAGATGATCTGCCGCCTTGGCTTCCCAAACTGCTTGGATTACAGTCGTGAGCCACTGCACCTGGCCTTGTGTTTTTTATTAAAACCATTCATGTGTCTTGTTGATGGTATCTCAAAGTGTTTAATTTGTATTTTTCCTAACTAATAATGAGGTTGAGCATCATGTCATATAATTTGGCTATTTGGCTATTTTCTTTTGGAAAATGCATTTTCATATTTTTTATCCATGTTATTATTGAGTTGATGATTTTTGGTTGGTTGGTTGACTGTTTCTTTTTCCTCCCTTGTTATTGATTTGTAGGTGTTGTTTAAGTATTATGAAGACTAGCACTATGTCAGTTACATGAATTATAAGTATTATTGTCATATATGTTGCTTAGCATTACATTCTCTTAATTTTGTCATTTCATAACTAGAAATCTCTGTGTTACTAGAAGGTGAGGTAGGTGTCAAGATGTGTGGGTTTTAGTTTTTATTTTTAATTTTCTTTTTTTGAAACAGGATCTCGCTCTGTCACCCAGGCTAGAGTGCCATGGTACCATCCTAGCTCATTCCAGATTCTACCTGGGATCAAACAATTCTCCTGCCTCAGTCTCCTGAGTAGCTGGGATTAAAGGCACACACCACCATGCCCAGCTAAAGGATATGTCTTTAATACATATATCCAATTAATTTAGCATCATTTGAATAAAACGATTATTTCCTTTCTTCTGTGCAGTACAATTTTTCTGTAAAACAACTGTACATGTATGTGGACTTTGTTTCTAGATGACCCCTTCTCCTCTATTATTATCTTTGTCTCTGTGCCAACACCACCATACTGTTTTAATAACTAAACACCAAGTATATTAAATTTGCATTTATGTAAAAATTTAATAAAACTTAGAGTAAATGATTTCAAAATTAGTAAAAAAATTAGGGACAAATTTATTTGATTTCCTGAAAGAAAATGCAAAATTACATTTTAGAGAATTATTTGAATATAAATAACTAGGTCAAAAAAACAAAAAATTATTTCATCTTCTAATATACCAGAGCATCAAAGTTTTGTCTCTAATGTAAATCTAAGTTACACAAAACAATGCGTTTTCTATGTGAATGCCTCAGTGAGGTGCCATTTTGAGATAAGATCTTGGGCACAAGTTCTCTAAAATAATTTTTGATATCCATAAAAATAAGTCTTTCCACTACTTTTTCAAGATCAGCTTAGCTATGTGTGGTCCCCTGTATTACACATACTGCCTACACAAAGTTTTGCTGGCATCTGATTAAGATGACATTTAATATAGAGAACATTTTGATAAATGTTGACATATTTACAACATCACATAGTCAAATTCATGAAAGCATCTCTCTTCTTTTTATTCTGCTAACATTTTGTGAATTTTTTTGTTGAAGTCTTGTGCATCTTTTTTCAGATTTATAATATTTATTTGATGTATTCAATATCATTTTGTTACAAAACTGTATTTATTTACTATTTTGTTTTTATTATTTTTATTTCAGTAAGTTTTTAGGAAACAGGTGGCATTTGTTTATATGGAAATAAGTTACATAATTCAAATATATTTTTTCTGCCTTTTGTTTTTGGTATATGGAGACCTAATTGCTTTTGTATATTGATCTTTTAGCCAGTGATTTTGCAAAATGAATTAACTAATTCTCATAATGCATGTGCTGGTTTTTTTGGAGGTTATATATCAGAATCATATAATCTGTGAATGAGAAGATGTTTTAATCTTCATACACTTTTCTATTGCCTTATATCACTATATAAGTCTTTAATAAGATGTCTAATAGAAGTGATGATAGGTATTATTGTAATTTTTATTCTCAAAGCAAATTTTCAAAATATCACAATTCAATGTTTGCAATAGAACTATTTTAGATATTTTTATCAAATTAAGAAATTTCCTTCCTATACCTAGTTGGCTAAGAGTTATTATCACGACTGGATATTGAAATTTATTAAATGTTTATACTGAATTTTATTGTGAGAATCACATTATTTTTGTTAGTGTTGTGGGTTATATGCATTGATTAAAACAGCCTCCAGTTACAAAAGTAAATTAAACTTGGTTGTTGTATATATATTTAATATTACCAGTTTTTTTGGTTTATATATAGGGGGCATTTTTCTCCTCTTGTCAATTTTTAATAGCTATAAAAATGTTTTTGTCCATGTTTTCTTCTAAAACTTTTATAGTTTCACATCTTACATTTAATGTCATGGTTACAGTACTTAGAGTTACAGAGTTGGGGTCATCAAGACAGTGGTCTATTGACATAGGACTAGACAAATAAATCAATGGAACAGTAAGGAGTGCAGAAATAGACCCACATGTATATGGTCAATTGAGTTTCAACAAACGTATAAGAGCAATTCACTGGGAAAATAATAGTATGTTTCAACAAATATTCCAGAAATATTGGCAGTTCATGTGCAAAATCTAACTAAATAAAAATTAAAAACTAACAACTGAAAAAAGAGAGAAGATACAAATTACAAATATTAGAAATCAGAAGATATTGCTATATACCCTTTAGATATCAAAAGGATAATAAGGAACTATAAAAAACAACTCTACACACATAAATTTAACAAATTAGCTTAAATTGATTACTTCCTCCAAAACACAACTACCATAACTAACCAAATATAAAACAGATGATTTGAATAGCTTTATAATAATCAAGAAAATTAAAATCATAATTAAATGCTGCCAAAAATGAATCTCTGGGTCCAGATGATTTTAGTAGATAATTCTACTAAAAATGTATATAATTAACACCAATGCAAATCAAACTCTTCCAGAAAATAGGAGACACACTTCTCAATTCATTTTATAAAGGCAATATTATCGTAATATCAAAACGAGATGAATGTATTTTTTTAAATTACAAATAGCCTTCATAAATATAGACAAAAATATTTCATAAAATACAAGCTAATCCAGCAATATATAAAAATAATTATACATCACATCTATGTAGAGTTATTACATAGATACTAGGCTGTCTTAGTCTGTTCAGACTGCTATGACAAAATACCATTGATTGGCTAGCTTGTCAACAACAGAAACTTATATCTTATAGTTCTAGGGACTGGGAAGTCAAGATCATGATAGAATCGTTGTTCTGTTGGGGCTTGTTTCCTGGTTCATAGATGGTGCCTCTCACCGTGTTCTCAGATAGTGGAAAAAGCAAGGCATCTCTCTGTGGCCTCTTTTATAAAGACACTAATACCATGCATAAGAACTCCACCCTCATAACCCAAATGTCTCCACCTCCCAATCATCGTCTTGGGAGTTAGGATTTCAATGTGTAAATTTCAGGATGACACAAATATTCTGACCATAGCAAAGGGTTGTTTAATACTTGAAAATCAATAAATGTAATCCACCACATCAAGAAGCTAAAAAGAAAAACAAAATGTGACCGTATAAGTTGATGCAGATTAAGAGTTTGACAAAATCCAACACTGTTTTTTTATTAAAACTCTCAGCAAGTTCAAAATACACGGGAATTACTTTAACTTAGTAAAGATAACCTACCAAAATTCTGTAGCTAACATCACACTTAATAGTGAAAGACAGAATTTCTGCTTTCATTCATCTTATTTAATATACTTTCAGGGCTGTCCAATCTTTTGGCTTCCTTGGGCCATATTGGATGAAGAATTGTCTTGGGCCACACATAAAATACACTAACACTAACAATAGCAGATGAGCTAAAAAAAAAAAATCACACACAATATCTTATAATGTTTTAAGAAAGTTTACTAATTTGTGTTGGGCCACATTCAAAGCTGTCCTGGACCTCATGTGTCCCGCAGACCAAGGGTTGGACAAGTTTGCTTTTTATAGTACCAGGAGTCTAGTGAGTTCGGAAAGGCAAAAAAAGCAAATAGAAGCATACAGACAAATAGAAAGGAAGAAATAAAACTCTTTCTATTTGCAATGACATGATAGGCCATGTAGAAAAAAACTAAAGAATTTACAAAAACAAAAGTTTGTGAGTTTAACAAGGTAATATAAGATCAACATATAAAAATCAATTATATTTCTATATACTATCCATGAACATACCATGTGGAAATTAAATATATAATACCATTTACAATTGTCCAAAATGTAACAAAACATATGTAAGACTTGTATGCTGAAAGCCACAGAATATTGATGGAATAAATCCAAAAAGATGTAAATAAATGGAGAGACATAAAATATTCATAAATTGGAAAAGCTGATGTAGTAAATATGTCAATATTTCCCAAATTAATATATAGATTTAACCTAATTCTTAACACATTCATAAGTTTTGTTTTTTTTTTTTTTAAGATGGAGTCTCGCTCTGTCACCCAGGCTGGAGTGCAGTGGTGCCATCTCAGCTCACTGCAAGCTTCATCTCCTGGGTTCACACCATTCTCTTGCCTCAGCCTCCCGAGTAGCTGGGACTACAGGCGCCCACCACCACGCCTGGCTAATTTTTTTTTTTTTTTTGTATTTTTAGTAGAGACGGGGTTTCACTATGTTAGCCAGGATGATCTTGATCTCCTGACCTTGTGATCTGCCTGCCTTGGCCTCCCAAAATGCTGGGATTACAGGCATGAGCCACCATGCCCAGCCAGTTTTTTCTTTATAGATATAGACAAGATTATTCTAAAGTTTATATAAAGAAAAAAGGAACTCAAATAGCAAAAACATTTTGAAAAATATGAATATATTGAGAGAAATCAGTTTTCTAAATTCTATATTTATTCTGTAACTACAGTAATCAAGACTATGCAGTACACAAATAAATCCAACTAAATTCTAATAAAGATGAAATACAATTCAATGGAAGAAATGTACCCTTTTAACAAATGGTGCTAGAGAAATTTGGATAACCACAGACCAAAACCAAAACAAAAAAACACACAAGATTCTCAGTTAAACTTTGTCTTAATCCATTCTTAGTCCATTTTGTATTGCTCTAAAAGAATAACTGAAACAGGGTAATTTATCAATAAAAGAGGATTAATTCACTCAGGGTTCTGCAGGCTGAGAAATATGAGGGCATGGCCCTGGTTTCTGACCAGGGCTTTCCATGCAGTGTCACAAACATGGTGGAGAAGATCAAGGGGAAACCAGACACATGCAATAAGGGGAAAACTCGTGGGGTGTCCTGGTTTTGTAACAACTCGCTCTCACAGAAACTAATCCATTCTAGCAAGAATCAGTCTAGTCTTGCAAGAGCAAGAACGCAATTCCCCAAGAACACCACCAAGCCAGTCATGAGAGATCTTCTAACCTTATAACCAAAATACCTCCCACTAGGTCCTAATCTCAACCCCAACACATTGGCCATCAAATTTCAGCATGAATTTTAGTGGGGACAAACAAACTACATCCAAGTCATAGCAAACTTCACACTTTTCACAAAAATTGATTCAACATAGAAAATATATTCAAATATAAAACCTAAAAGTATGATCTTTTTTTGAATAAACAATCGTGTTAAAACTTCCATGCCTGGAAAGAGTTCTTAGACATAACATTACAAGCATAATCTATAAAAGGAAAAATGATAAGTTAGACCTCATCAAAATAAAAACTTTTATTCTGTGAAACACCATCTGAATAGGATAAATAGAAAGCTACAGAGTGGAAGATCATGTTTGTTAAACCACATATATAGCAAAGAACCTGTATCTAGAACTTATAAAGAACTCCCAAAACTTAACAGTAAAAATATAAATAATACAATTAGAAAAGGAAAAAATGAATAAAGGGGTATATCGCTGAAGATGATATATAAATGGCAAATAATCTCATGAAAAGGCGTTCAATATCTTCAGCCAAAAGAGAAACAAAATTAAAATCACAATGAAATCTCACACACATTTATCAGAATGGTTGAAATTAAGAATAGTGATGACATCAGATGCTACTGGTGACAATGTGAAGAAACTGGATTGCCAAAGCACTGCCGGTGGAAATGTTAAAATAAAAAAAAAATGGTACAGCCACTCTAAAAATAGTTCAGCAGTTTGGTATAAAACTAAACATGCAATTACCATATGTCCAAGCAATTGCACTCTTGGATATTTATCCCAGAGAAATAAAAATGTAGTTCACACAAAAACCTATGCATGAATATTCATTGCTGCTTTATTTGTAATAGCTAAAAACTACTGAAACAAGTTCAGATAAATGGTTACACCAACATGTAATATACCATAGATGGAATATTAGTCAGCAATAAAAAGCAATAAGCTGTTTATATACACAACAATTTGGATGGATCTCACAGGTCTTATGCTGAGTGGAAAAAAAAGCCTATATCAAAGGTAACATTTATGATTTCATGTATATAACATTCTTGAAATTACAAACGCATATAGATAGGGAATGCATATTTTAGTGACTGTCAGAGGTTAGTGACTGGGAGGTGGGGGTGGCAAGAGAGGGCTCAGTGTGGTTGTAAAAAAACAGCAGAAGGTCACTTTGTGGTAATGGAATTGTTTGGTATCTTCACTGTGGTGGTGAATACATGAGTCTATACATGTGATAAAACTGTGTGGAACTAATACATTTATATATACATACACAAGTATAAGGAAAACTGGAAAATCTGAACACGATCTGTGGATATGCATGTACTATTACATATAATAATTGTGATATTGTAAAACATTACCTTTGAAAGAAACTAGGTAAAAGGTACTCAGGATCTCTATTATTTCTTACATCTGCATGTGTATCTACAATAATTTCAATAAACATTTTAATATTAAAAATAGTACACATGCCCTTAAAATAAGTATAAATACGGTATATATCAATTAAAGTATCTACAGTCAGCACAGTAAAAAAAAGAATGGTTTTCATGCTGACAGACATGGTTTTGAATCTTTGCACTCCTATTTATTTGATATGCATCCTTGAACATGTTCTTTAAACTATGCTGAAGTTCACTTTTCATATTTAAGTTAAATGTATAATAACACCTAAAATGTTTTACTGTAAAATTCAGAGTTACTAGTTAAAAGTAACATACTTCTGATACCTTAGTAGGTACTCCCAATATTTTAGACATTAACAATTTTTAAAATTTGTAACAACGTATTTTGGTTAATTGTTCAACATTTTAATTGATAAATACTTTTGAAGTAACATTTTATGCCTAGTATAGCCTACAATAACAAATAATAATAATTTATTTTAAATAAATGAAATAAATTAAAGAATTATTTTAATTTTAAATGAAAATAAGTTCCAACAGCATAATGTATATTTAACCTTAAATTCTCACCACTCAACAATTGAAATTCTGATATCCTAAATATTCTACTTCACTAAAATAATAAATACCAGAAATTAGATTGTAATTAGTTAAAATTAAAAAGGGCAGAAACATAACTGAGAAAATATAACTAACCTTTTTAGAAATTGGGTTTTTTTTTTTTTTTTACTTAGCCGCTAATTTATTCAGTTAGTGTATCATTTTTTTGTGTGTGCTAAGTAATTAGCAGGTCACATCAGAAGATAGAAAAAAATGTTTAACAGAAACATCTACTTCTTTTTAATACCTTTGGGATCATTACCTCTGCTATGACCTCAGTGTAATTGTAACAATTTAGATAATCTTTATTTATACTAAAATACATGAAAGATATATGCTAATTTTAAAGCTTAAAAATAGAACAGAAATTAAAGAAGCCTTTTCCTCATGGCTGAAAGTGCATAAAATTAATTTGAGTCCTATGAATTTACTCTAATAATAGTTCAATTTGTGTGACAAATGCTTCTAAGTAATTTATACTAAAACTCTATTCTTATCTACAAATAACAAATTCCACTTACCAAATCTAACATCTTTATTAGCAAAATATACATGTTGCCCCTTATTTGCACATAAGTATACTTGGTGATGTGGGCCTGAAGACATTTAAGAAAAATATCAAGTACTCAAACGAACTATGGTAATAAGTATCATATAAATTGAATGGAAATGAACTAGATAGTGGCAGATCTTGTAGATTAAAATACATTTAAGGAACATTTAAATTTAAAAAGTAAAAGGTAACAGCTAAAATACCAAATTGAGTAGTACTCACTATGCATAAAAAACCCATAAAAAGTACGTTAGTGCTTTTGATTAAATGTACAAATACAAGTTCTATTATTCTTGAATCCACTAAAATAGATTATCAAAGGCACATTCTGAGTGTGAGGACCTCACACAAATGCTCTTGGTGACTTTCCTTTAATGCCAAGAGCCTGTCCTGGAAATCTTCATCCTTAACAAGACACCATGCGCAAAATTTATAATCTGACAGCTCTCCCCTCTTACAATTTATTACTGACATCTTCTCATCCTGTTCTACACAAAACCACTGATGGTTCAAAAAATACCTATAAACTCAGAAGAGAAATTGTCATGAGCCTTAGTTCATAAACTTTAAAGTAGTTTTTATGGCATTCATTCTCTGAACCTGGGATAACCTCACTATGTGTCTTGCCCATAATGTGCTGATCTCATTTTTCCTTATTCACGACCAAGCACACAAAAATAATTTAGTTATTTTTAGTGATTAGATTTAAAGACATGCCAGAATTAAAAAATATATAATTTATTTATTTTGCAAGAGACATCCAGGGCTCCATTCTACCATTGTAGACTCCTGTGTCATTCTCTCATCCCATGGAGCCAGAATTCTAGGCACATTTGGCTTCTCAACATTTGCTAAATATTCTGTATATTTTTATGGTTCTACATCTTTAAATGTACATATCTTGTTTTCTAAAATGCCGTTCTTCAGTCTCAATTTTCTGTCAGGCAAATGTCTCTTTAAACAAAGTCAATACCAATATTATTTCCATTCCACCGCTTCCATCTCTGACCTCATTTCCTTCCACTGACCCAACCAAATGTATCACATTTATATTTTATTCCATGGCACTTTATATTCTCTTGTTGTTGAGGTGATGCTAGCACACTGAGAACCCTGGATCCAGAGTCAGACGCCCTGAGTTTGAGTCATGACTCTCATTGATGAGCTGTGCAACCTTGCGCATATTCCTCAATCTTTACAGGTTTCAGTTTCCTCCTTGTTGAAATGGGCATAAGAGTAATTATGATTGTTGTAAGCATTAAATAAGATAATGCATGTGGAAAACTTAGAAGTGTGCTTAGCACATGCTCAATCATTTTACCTATTATTTACCAAGTTATTTGAAAATATACTTGGCCTGCCCAGGCGCCGTGGCTCACGCCTGTAATCCCAGCACTTAGGGAGGCCGAGGTGGGCGGATCACCTGAGGTCGGGTGTTCAAGACCAGCCTGAGCAACATGGAGAAACCCAGTATCTACTAAAAATTCAAAAATTAGCTGGGCATGGTGGCACATGCCTGTAATCCCAGCTACTCAGGAGGCTGAGGCAGGAGAATCATCGCTTGAACCCAGGATGTGGAGGTTGCCATGAGCCAAGATCACGCCACTGCACTCCAGTCTGGGCAACAAGAGAGAAACTCTGTCTCAGAAAAAGAAAAAAGAAAAGAAAAGAAAATATACTTGACTAATAACTAAGAATAAAATATTATTTTCTAATAACTTCTAGAAAGAAGGGATTTTTAAAATCATCTTTCTGTCATCAATGATTATTGCCTAGATAACAACAGTAAAACCTCAACAAAGGGTGATTTTAATTGCTCAATTGCTCTATGTATAAGAAAAGCAGAAGCTCCTCTTGATATTTTAAGTATAGGTCAATTAATTATAGTGAACAGGATCTTCATAAATTCAGTGGAACAGCCAAAGGAAGCTGAAGTTGGGGAAGACATCTCAATTTTCAGATCCACAATTACAGATCTGACGCATATGGTTCGGAACTTCATTCTGCCGAGAATAAACCCTTTTAGGAATACATCCCTAATGGTGATGGTTGCCTTACAGGATCAAGGTGGGAGGCTCTTAGGGGTATGAATGCCTATGGAAGCATGCATGTCTACCTGTCTCTGTTCTATGTTCCAAAACATATTTGAGTACAAGGCTGGGGAAACCATGGAAGGATTTTGGTGAATTCTGATTGCCTGTTGGTTTAGTCAATTTAAACTGCTAGAGAATGGGTAATTAAAACGACAGACATTTATTTCTCACAGTTCTGGAGACTGGAAAGTTCAAGATCAAGGCACCAGGAAACTCAGCGCCTGGTTGAGGGCCTGCTTTCTTGTTCATAGATGGGATCATTTTTGTTGTTGTTGTTGCTGTTGTTGTTTTGTTTGTTTTTTGTTTTTTTGTTTTTTGGGTTTTGTTTTTTTGTTTTGTTTTGTTTTTTGCTGTATTCTTACAAGGCAGAAGTGGTGAGGGAGCTCTGAAGTCTCTTTCACAAGGGCACTAATCCCATTCATGAGGGCTCCACTTTCATGACCTAATCACCTCCCCAAATCCTCAACTCCTAATAGCATCTTATTGGGGGTTAGTATTTCAGTACAGGTGGTCCTCGACTTAAAATGGTTAGACTTATAATTTTTCAACTTTATAATGGCATGAAAGTGAAACATATTCTGTTTTTCACTTTCAGTACAATATGCAATAAATTACATGAGATACTCAATACTTTATTATAAAATAAATTTTGCATTAGATGATTTTTCCCAACTGTAGGCTAATGTAAGTGTCCTGAGCATATTTAAGCTAAGCCAGCCTAAGCTATGATGTTCAATAGGTTAGGCATAGTAAATGCGTTTTGACTTACCATATTTTCAACTTATGATGGGTTTATCAAGACACAACTCCATCATAAGTCAAAGGAACATCTGTATATGAATTCTGAGGGGGCACAAACATTCAATCAATGACGTGTGTGTGTGTGTGTATCTGTTAGTATGAATTATAAGAGTTTGCCTGTTCAGTGCCTCAGAAATGGTTGAATTTCAATAATCTCATATAATTTGACTAGATAAATAGACACAGTTTAATATTTTATAATTATTGAGTAGGATAATAACCGCTAGGCCCTTACTCTTCTGTTGCCACCACAATGTTTACAATTATGATTAGTCAAATTCAAACCAGCCCATGAGCATTTCTAAATTCTGTGAGAATCCACTGGAATCCAACTTTTTTAAAGTTGATGGCTGTGTCTAAAAGGAAATCACAATTATATGTACACATGAGAGCACCCTGAAGCTACTTTGTTTTCACATCCTCCTTGTTGTGGTCTTAATTTGCTTAGTGTTCTCTTCATTTTAGATTCTTGATACAAGAATTTACTGTCTGTTTGCTCTCCCCTGATTCTTTGTTCCCCATAGGATCACTAGAGCTAACAGCCCAAAGTTCTACCTTTAGATAATTTTCAGGATTCTACTTTGCCTGAGATTGGATCTTACTTCAGATAATTCCATCTATCTGCTTTAAATCTACTGATTACAGTTAGTTCGCCTACTATAAAGTCTGAAGCCAACCAGGATTCTTTTGGCTGGAAGTTTAGTTTTCAACTTCCCTTCCCAGTGGACCTCAAGGATATTGAAACATGCTTATGTTGGGTTTCTTATTTTTATCTCATAGTTTTGTACTGTTTCATGTAATAAAGACAAAATCTATTAGTATTTGAGAATTTTTGCCCCACTTTGTTATGGCAATTCTAGTTGTGAGTGAAGAGAATTAGAAGCATATTAGAAAGTCTAGACTACTTGACATTAAAGGGCACAGTAAGAGCTATAAAAATACACAGTAGAAGGGAAAGACTCATCGGGTGGATTAGTTTAAGAATAGAGAAGGAGAAATAAAAGACTGAATGTCAAGGACAGAAGCTATGGCATACAATATGAGACTGAGATTTAACAGATTTACATGAGATTTAACTTAGAGGTTATATGTATCATGGCATGTAATTCCAATCCACTGATTCAGATATTTCAATAAATAGTTTGATTGATTTTGAAGTTTTTTTCCATGTCATACTTCATTTGAATGGGAAATACTGCTGAGATAGTAGAAATGAGCTCAGCTTTATAGAGTTTACATTAGATTTTTAGCTGACGTACCTTTCAACATTATCAGAACTGGCCAGTAGATCTGACTCTTAATTTTCATGGTTTCTCATTGCTCTGGGAACAGTTTGCTGCCTGCCATTGCTCAAGACTTCCCTGGAAGTCTTGATATGCTATTTTTGTCCTGATATGACCAGAGATATGCTATTTTTAACATTGTCCAAGACTTCCCTGGAGTCTATGTGGCCAGAGATACCTACTTTTAATATCAATGTTTGTCTATTCATATTGCAATTATAAAGTGGTCCTTTTCAACAAACATATTATATAGTATGTTGATCAATAGGCATTTTGAGCATCTTCTCAACTACAAGCAAGCATTTCTATGTATATGTATTATGCACAACAATCATCCACTCATCTAACTCTGTATATTTTTATCTATCTATCTATCTATCTATCTATCTATTTATCTATCCATCTATCAATACAAGTGGTGGTGTTTAGTCCCACTAGAAAAGGAGAGCTACAGAACATGTGAGTCTTTAAAAAAAAAAAGTAAAGTAAAGAAATGCTTTCTACAATACTGTGCTCCTTCATGAGGTAGGATAGAGCTTCTCATATTGGCTGTATACAGTAAGCAAAGCATATTTTTGAAGTAATTCTTAGCAGGATATATATTTCAGACATATATACAAGAAAAATAACTTTAGTTGAGCATATTTTTTATAACTATTAAAGTTTGTTTCATGAAAACAAAGTGAAAACTTTGGTAGCTATCCAAACAAAAATACATTTACATTCGCAGAATTGAAAAGGATCAAAATAACCCTCCCATTATAAATTTGCAGAATCACAGGCTTAGAAAAGTCAAATCATCTTCTCAAGGTCATGAATTCAATTTGGGGGCTAGATACCAGGACTTGCGGACCTTGATTCAGTGACCTTTCACTACACAATATTTTGTCTAAATTAATGGTAGGTATACAGTCAAAAATATTAACATATTAAAACTATTAATATTTTCTGGAATTAATTATATGGTTTAATATCTAGATTTTCTTTTTCAAGTGTAGACTTATGTTTAATTTGATAGTCTTTGGAAAAGGGTTACTTAAACAGCGATCAGAATGATTAATTTCATCAGTATTGTAAGAACATGCTTAATTTAATTAAATTTCTTCATGACTTTGAATGCTTAATCAAAAAGAACCTTCAAAGATAAACTGAAAGCATATTAATTATACCTTAAATCTAAAACAGCAAAATTGGAATTTTTTACAAACTTGGTTTTTTCCCAAAAATATGAAGTCCTTTGAAATTGTAAGTAATCTCTAACAGAAAATTACTGCATAATATGAAATGTGACTTTTTAAGTTGTCATAATAAGCATCTATACCAAAAATAAAGCATTTATATTTGTGAGCCATTAATATGTCTTACAGAAAGACTGAAACCCATGATTTGGGATTTATGCAAATGAATTAGTAGTGCAGACTGTTAATTATAAACATTTTTCCAGACTTTCTTTTGTCACAATTCACAGGACATCAAAGCTTTTATGTAACAAAATAGTTCATATTTGACTTTTTTCAATTAATTATATATATTTCTATTATCTATTATATATGATTCAATATTAAATGACAGAGGCTATTGAGGTCTCACAAAAATGTTTTACTTAAGTATATTAAAGGAAAAGTATAAACTACCAATAAAGAGCTTAAAACTCAAACAAACTGATCTATGACTTGATTTCATAGACTGGAAATCATTAACTTGTTTCTAGTCAGGGCAGATGCCAAGTTAACTTTGTGTTACCTCTGCATATATGGCTCCACTTTTCCTTTTGTATCCCTTACTGCCTTGCTAAGATAATCAGAACAGCTACCCCACCTCTTTCTATTTACTCTGTTTCCACTAAATATTGGAAAACCCCATTCCCTCCTCTGTGGCTTTTAGCTGTCTTAAGCTACAAACGTGCTCAACAAGGATTTGTGGCATACAAAAAGGAGTGGGGGAGAAATTACTTCTAATTCCCAACACTTCCCCCACACCTGACCTACATCTTATCACATTTTTAGCAGTAAATAATATTCAAACAAAATGTTATGGGGAAACAGAAAATCGATGAGGATGAAACAGCTGTTGTTGATATAGATAAGACACGCAAGGCCAGCAATTGGTATCCCTCTCATCCTCAATGGCAGTCTTTGTGCTGCTTCTAGAACTCTATAGAACATGGTTTAAAAATCAATCAAGATAATGAAAACAGAAACCATAGACTGGGAGACAATTATTTGCAAAAGACATATTTGATAAAATAATGTTATCCAAAATATGCAAATAACTCTTAACTCTTTTCCCATTTTGAAAAAAAAAAGTGCAGCTCACTGCCAGCGCTCATTTAATTTTACATAAAAGATGCTCTTTGAGGCTGAAGCAAATCTGACTGATTTTCGATGAGAAAATAAAATATAAAAACTGTTTTTGGAGTTATTTCTAAACAGAACTAACATCAGAATCATCTGAATCACCAGAATCACCTATTTTGGAAAAATCAGATTCATCATATGATTCTTTGGCCAACAACTGTTCAAGAAAGATGTTAACATCATGCATAGGAATGCTACGTTTTCTAGGATTTGCCATTTTCAGCAATCAAGAATTCCTATATTTTGTAAATGGAAATACCACTACTAAAACAGAATGCTATAAATAGAATAGTGTCTTTTCTTTCCAAAGTCGATTCAATATACTAGAACAATGCAAAAATAATAATAAAAGTGAGATAGTTTGTGACAAAGTTATCTCAGGGTAAATGCTGCAGCCACAAGCGCCCCCGGCAAGTATTCTTGGAGCAAATAGGAAAAGGGTTAAAACTCAATAATAAGAAAACAAATAACTGGAGTAAAAAATGAACTAAAGACCTTAATAGACACCTCACTAATAAGAATATAAAGACTGCAAATAAACATATGAAAAGATGCACCATATCATATATCATATGAGAAATGCAAATTACGACTACAATGAGATATCACTATACACCTATTAGAATGGTCAAAATCCAGAATCCCAGCAACATCAAATGCTGATGAGGATGTGGAACAACAAGAACTCTCATTGATTCCTGGTGGGAATACAATATGTTACAGCTACTTTGTAAGATAATTTGGCAGTTTCTCAAAAAATTAAACATACTTTTACTATATGATGCAGTGACTGCGCTCTTTAGTATTTAAGCAAAGGAGTTACAAATTTATCTCCACACCAAAACCTGCACATGGATGTTTATAGCAGCTTTAGCAATTCTTAATTACCAAAAGTTGGAAGCAACCAAGATGTCCTTCTCTAGGTGAGTAAACAAAGAAAGTGTGGTATACCCAGACAATGGAATATTATTTAGTCCTAAAAGAAGGGAGTTATCACACCATAAAAAGATGTGTAAGAAACTTAAATGTATTTTTTTTTTTTGAGACAGAGTGTCACTCTGTAGCCCAAGCTGGAGTGCAGTGGCACAGTCTTGGCTCACTGCAACCTTCACCTCTGGGGCTCAAGCGATTCTCCTGCCTCAGCCTCCCACGTAGCTGGGACTGGAGGCGTGTTACACCACACTGGTTAATTTTTTTGTATTTGTAGTAGAGACAGGGTTTCACATTGCCCTGGGTGGTCTCAAACTCCTGAGCTCAGGCGATCCACCTGCCTTGGCCTCCCAAAGTGCTGGGATTACAGATGTGAGCCACCGCGCCCAGCCACTTAAATGTATTTTCGTAAGTGAAAGAACCCAGTCTGAAATGGCCTCATGCTATAAGATTCCCACTATATGCTATTCTAGAAAAAAAAAAAAAAACTGTGGAGACAGTAAAGAGATCAATGTTTGCCAGGGATTAGGGGAGAAGGAGGGATGAATAGGCAAAGCACAGATTATTTTCAGGACAGTGAAACTATTCTGTATGATACTGTTAATTGTGGATATGTGTCATTATACATTTGTTCAAATCCATAGAATGTACAGCACCAACAGTGAACCTTAATGTAAACTATGGGCTTCGGATAAAAATGATGTGTCATTATAGTGTCATCAGTTGTAACAAATGTACCAATCTGGTAAAGGATGTTGTTAATAGGGAAGGCTATGCTGCCATGGGGACAGGGAGTATATGGGATATCACTCTACTTTCAATTTTGCTCTTAACCTAAAACTCTCTAAAAATAAAAGTAGTCTTTCCCCCAAAAAAATCACTCTGCTATAAAATCTCAAAAATAACGTACAATTACGAGTAATTTTTAAATGCCCTGCTCTCAAGCTACAAAAGGCCAATTAGTAGTATCCTTCTAGAAAAATCAGTCTCATATTTGTTGACAGCTATACACTAAAAGCTAGAAAGGGCAGGCCAGTGGAAGATACTTTGAGAACATTCTTCTAAATTCCTTCTGAGAAGTGCCTCTTCAACCTCCTTTTATATATGGCTGTTTTCTTACTGCATGAGGAAAATAAAATGAGATGTCTTGGATGACAGTTTCAATTCTCCTAACTAGTTAGATGTTCCCTAGACGATGAAGTATCACGTCCTACTGCACCAGAATAAGAAAGCACAGGTTTCCTCTTATTAAAGTCATCCAGCTATCTGTTATTTTCGTTCCTCCCAACCTCAAGAAGGTCATAGCCTTTTCTAGAACTCCATACCCAATGGGTATTAACCAGTAAATGTCAGCACATCGGTGCCCTTCCCTTAATAGCAGTGCCTTCCATCCTAGACATACACACAATTAATATAAGAATAACTTCTTTCTGGATGAAACAGTAGACAATGTCTGGATAGTTAACCCAGAATTATAAGTGAATTAAGTTAGTAATAATTTTGGTGCATTGATTAGTATTCTTCTTGAAAAGACAGCCTTGACTGTTACATCTTTCTGTCCTAGCCAGCCCCTCTCAATTCAGTGGTAATTTGCACTAACTACAGTTTACAACAGGAGTCAGATTCCCAAACCAGTTCTGTGCAACGTAGTCTGACAAGAAAAGAGAAAATAATAACTCTGTGTAGTTATAACTTGGGTTGTTCTTGCACATTCCCACTTCTCAAAAGAGCAATACCTCAGATTTCTTTCATTCCTTTACAAACATCAAACATGTAATCA
Organism: Homo sapiens; assembly: GCF_000001405.40. Taxonomy (NCBI): domain Eukaryota; kingdom Metazoa; phylum Chordata; class Mammalia; order Primates; family Hominidae; genus Homo; species Homo sapiens. The sequence continues at coordinate 140,499,999 of NC_000006.12, read as the reverse complement.
ACTCAACACTGAGATATTGATTTAGGGGCACAGCAACTTCATTTCAGGTGGAGTCAAAAGATCAAACACAGAGATATACTTTCTTGTCTTACAGCATACTTGTTACATTGTGGAAGAATACGGAATAAAGCTATGACCAAGAGAGCTAGCTAAAAGAATCCTATTTGTTTCCATAAGTAAAATTTATTCCATATCAGCAAATATTTCCTAGCCCAGAAAATTCTGAAGGCTACATTTAGAATTTGAATACCTTGTCAGTATTTTGTGTTGAAACATACTTAATGTTCAGAAAGATGGAAATCATTTTTCCAGAGGAATAATGACACATATCTGATAAAATAAATCAACCTTCCCAAATCTGTTTTACTTAAAGTTTGTATACTGTAATTCTCTTAGTTCTCTTCACTTTACAGATAAAACCGACTTCACTGACTTTGTTTCTGGCCCTAACACAGAAACTATCTAAAGATCATAGTGAGTGACAAAATGAGGACCATATAGATTTACAATGCAAGCATGACTCAAATAACTAACAGTAAGAGTGTAGCAATTAATTACCACAATATCAGCCTCTCATATTCTAGCCTAATTAAATAGCAAAATGTTGAAATCCTTGGCTTCACCAACATATATATGTTTATTTCAATGCACTCCATATAATATGTTTTCTTGACTGTATGCTAATATGAAAATATTGCCAATATGGCTTAATGGTGTGAGTGTTCTATTATGACAGTAGATTTCTAAGCCTGTTACATTATGAGTCATGTAATAGGAAATATGTTTATCCACATACTTCAGTATATTAATGAATGTGAACGGCCTACCAGTAAATAATATTATTCAGAATAATATTGAATAGAAAAGGAATCTGATGTTCATAATAGTGCAAATAACCTTACACTTAACATAAACCGTAAGTTACCATAGAATGTATTCACTGTAATAATTACTAATCTCAGTAATATGAAAAGAAATAATAAAAATCTCAATGAAATAAACAATAAAAAATTTCAACTTGTATCTATGTGAATAAATGCCTTGGAGAAATAATATAAATTAACCAGACGTGTGGAATATGCAATTTATTAAGTATACATTGCTGAATTTCTTTCATGTGCCTAACACATTCCTTATTGCAATAAGGCTCAAAAGATATGTTAGTCACGGTCATTTACTAGATGAATTTGTAAGAAAAAAATAAGCACATTAGGTGATCATTAGTAAATTATTTCTAAATGTTAGTAAAACATATATTCTACTTATATTCATACTGGATATATGAATGTAATATCCTGCTAACCAAAACAAAATGTTAGGAATTAAGACAGCTTATTAAAAGAGTGATTCATTACAATGATAATTTTATTTCTATTCCATGGTACAGTGTTTTTCCTTTTTAGAAAAAAAAGTCAGAAACTAATTTATAAATTTTTTTACCAACAAGTTTTCTATAATTTTCTTAACTCTTCACTTTTATATATGTGTCAAGATGGAAACATTTTGTACAATATTACTTGAAAATAGCATAGGACAGAAAAGAAGAAAATATGAAAAACACACGGAATATAATGAAAGCAATTTCACCTCAGTGAAATTTCTAGGGGTCTAGTGGTGTGGAGCATGTTGAGTTATTCAAGAAACAGGATAAGTTGTTACATATCCAAATCCTATAACGAAAACAGAACCAGAATGCCTAATGGACCTCTTCAGATTTCGGAGGCCATATTCCTCATTTGGATATGTTACTGCAGCACATACACCAAGTGACCTGAAAAGCAGTTGAAGTTGAGTGGTGCCCAGCACAATAGAAGACTCTGCAGCAGGTCCAGGCTGCAGGGCAAGCTGTTCTGCACTTGGACACATGATCCAGCTGATCCAATAGTGTTTGAAGTGTTAGAAAAGGATGCTGTTTCCTCCCTTGGGTTTTGGGAGCAACGTTCTGCCATCCTCTGCAGATAACTATTCTCCTTTTGAGAAAACAGCTCTTGGCCTGTAATTGGGCCTTAGAAACTGAACAATTAACTGTGGGCCACCAAATTAACATGTGACCTGAACCCCTATCATGAACTGGGTTTTATCTAACCCCCAAGCCGTGAAGTTAGGAGTGCACAGCACATCAAATGGAAATGGAACATGCATGATGAAGCCCAAGCAGGCCCTGAATACCCAAGTAAGTTACATGAAGAAGTGGACCAAATGTCCATGACACCCATTGCTGCCACACTGTCTTCTCTCTTCTATCCTTCACATATTGGCTTATGGAGATTTCCTGTGATCAACAGAGGAAGAGAAGACTCACGCCTACATTACATGATATGCAGGCATCACCCCAAAGTGGGCAGCTACAACATTACAGCTCCTTTCTGGGACATCCCCGAATGACAGTGATGAAGGGAGATCTTTCCAGTGGGCAGAACTTTGTATGGGGCATCTGATTGTTCACTTTGCTTATGTTGATTAATCTTGTGTGTCAAGTTGACCTTGCCACAGGGTGCCCAGATATTTGGTTAAACATTATTCTGGACATGTCTATGAGGGTGTTTCTGGGTGATATTAACATTTGAATGGATAGACTCAGTAAACTAAATTGCCCTCCCCAATATGGGTGAGCCTCATCCAGTCCATGGAAAACCTGAATTGAACAAAAAGGGTGAGTAAGGGAGAATTCACTTTCTTTATCTGACCGTCTTCTAACTGGGATTCTGGTCTTCTGCCTTTGGATGACAGATCTGGACTGCAATTACATCACTGCTATCTTGGGTCTCCAGCTTGCTGACTACAGATTGTGAGACTTCTCAGCCGAGACTTCTCAGCTTCTATAATAGTGTAAGCAAATTCCTTATAATACACACACACGTGCACAAACACACACATATACATATATATCTCCTATTGATTCTGTTTCTCTGAAGAACACTGAATGATACATTTTACTTTCACAAAAACAAAGCTCAGGGTTATATTTAGGTAATTGAATCTGAAAATTTATACTTCCTTTCTTTCATCTTCTAATCTATTATTTCTAATTCAAGGAGATCACAGATGTAGAGGCACTCATTATTTCTGAAATCTTGAGCAAAGGTTTTCCTGACTTGCTAGGCATGGTGGCTCATGCCTATAATCCTAGCACCTTGGGAGGCTGAGGAGAGCCATTTGCTTGAGCCCAGGAGTTCCAGACCAGCATGGCCAACATAGTGAAATCCCATCTCTACAAAAAATACAAAAAAAAAAAAAAAAATAGTTGAGTGTGGAGGCTCACACCTGTAGTCCCAGCTACTCAGGAGGCTTAGGTGGAAGGATCGCTTGAGCCCAGGAGGCAGAGGTTGCAGTGAGCCGTAATCACACCACTGCATTCCAGCCTGGATGACAGAGCCGGATCCCATCTCAAACAAACCAACCAACCAACCAACGAAAAAAAAAAAAAAAAGATTTGCCCGAATTGCTTACGTTATACCCATGATATGTTTATTGTATCAACCAATTGCCTTTCCTGTAAAGACTGAAAAGTGCACTGAATATCTTCTTATGTGATTTTCTGTGCAATATTTTGACCAAAATGCCCATCATGGATAAGGATACTCAATTTCAGGTGTCTGTATTTAGAATATACAATTATCATGCAATATATTTTAAAATATATATGACCTCTCAAAAATGCCCAGAGTTTAATTGTCATAGTGTTAGAAGCTCTATTCTTTTATCTGCATTGATTCTATTTTATTTATATTGAAGAACAGTTTGTATAGTTTGCAATGAACGTATTTTCAGGGTACACATCAATGAATTTTAATAAATGTGTAATCTATGCAACCAATGCCTAAATCAGGGTATAGTACACTTCACTACAACAGAAAATGATCTCGTTCTTTTTCTAGTTGCACCCACTGCAGACAATTCTTATTTCCACCACTAAAGACTGGTTTTGCCTATTTTTAAACATTACAGTAGTTAAATTATTCATATATACAATTTTCATAATGTTTAACATATTTCATTATTCCAAATTGTTTAAAAATTAGCATGTTTTAAATTTTGTTCTATTCTTTTGTGCATCTGTAATTTATTATTTATTTGATTTTTCTTGATAAATATTAGTCTATAGTTAGAATATATCATGTGTGTTTATTTATTCTCCTATTGATGGACATTTGCTTTGTTTCCAGTCTTTAGTTAATATGAAGAAAGCCACTATACACATTCTTGCACAAATCTTTTGTTTTATTTATCTTGGATAAAAACATAGAAATTAAATCCCTTGATCAGATATACATACATACACACACACACACACACACACACACACATATCTAGCCCTCTATCTATCTGACAATACGTTTTTCAAAATGATTCTACTATATTCCAGTTGCTTTGCATTCTCAACAACATTTATTATTGTCATAGTTTCTAATTCTGAGCATCATAGTGGCTGCAAAAATTTATTTCATCTCATTATAATTTTCATTCCCTTCATGACTAATGATGATGAGCAATATTTTATGAGCTTTTTGTTCACTCATGAATTTTTTTCTTTTGAGAAGGGTCTATTTAACTTTTTGTTTTAAATTTTAAAATTGTTTATCTTTTTTAGTATTGAATTCTATGCATAATTTTTAATATTCTGGAAGTAAGTGACTTGTTAAATAGTCCTCCAGACTATGGGTTGCATTTTCATATTCTTAATGATGTTTTGTGTTGAGAATGTTGAGAAGTAATTAATTTTGATTATATCTTAATATGTGTTTATTTTATACCATCTCTAAGGAAAATAGCTTATATAAAGTTTTCTTCTAGTTTAAACTTTTGGCTTTCACCTTAAGTCTGTGATACATCTCAGGTTAAATCTGGGCATAGCCTGAGGTACGGACTAAAGTTAATTTTTCCCATACATTTACAAAGTTGTTCCAGTGTCATTTATGAAAAAGACTCATGGTTGATCATTGAATTGCTTTTATGCCTATGTTAAGAATTCACAGACTGGAATTTTGCTTCTAGCAAAGATTGAGTAACAGGGCTGTCATAATGCTCATACTCAAAATAACTGAAATAAAATAGACAAAATATATGAAATCATGGCTTACTGATATTTGACACTAGGTAGCAACGTGATCTCTGAGAGAAGAGGAAAGTGAGGTAAGTCCTAGAAGTGCTCCAGCTTAGTATCTGCATAAAGTTTCCAGAACACTGCCTAGGGCAGTGGAGCTGAGATGCAGTGCACAGGACTTGAGTTGAGAAAATGAGAGTAGTGAAGCTGACACAGGTAGAATTTGCGGGGAACAGCACTAGGAAAGAGAGAGTTAACTAGGGAAAAAGAGTTCTGAAAACCAATAAATGGTATCCCAAGTCAGCAGATAGATTCTAATCAGTAAACGCATATAAGAAAAATAGCAGAGGCCAGAGAAAAAGCGCTCAAATAAAATGGAGAGAAAAATCCTCAAAGATTATACGAAGTCAGGAATTGTTTGTGCTCCAACAAACCAAAGTAGAAAATCTGGTGAGTCATAGGGCATTGGAAAAAGTACTTAACGAGTGTTGCCTCAGTTGAGAAGTAAAATAAAGGCAGTTGTGATCACTTATAACAATTTTTTTTCTTTTTTTCTTTTTTGAGACGGAGTCTTATTCTGTTGCCCAGGCTAGAGTGCAGTGGCACGATCTAGGCTCACAGCAACTTCTGCCTCCTGAGTTCAAGAATTCTCCTGCCTCAGCCTCCCAGGTAGCTGAGACTGCAGGTCCCTGCCACCACGCCTGGCTAATTTTTTTTTCTTTTATTTTTAGTAGACATGGGGTTTTACCATGTTAGCCAGGATGGTCTCGATCTCCTGACCTCACGATCCAACTGCCTCGGCCTCCCAAAGTGCTGGGATTACAGGCGTGAGCCACCGTGCCCAGCCCACTTATAACAAATTTGAAAGCAAGATTAGAGAGAAAAAAATTATACTCAGGTGAAAAATAGTGCTTCAGAATATAATTCAAGTATATTTATAGAAATACAAAAATATTCAGCACCCGGCTGGGTGTGGTGGCTCACACCTGTAATCCCAGCACTTTGGGAGGCCGAGGTGGATCACCTGAGGTCAGGAGTTCGAGACCAGCCTACCCAACATGGCGAAAACCCATCTCTACTAAAAATACAAAAAAATTAGCCAGGGATGGTGACAGGTGTCTGTAATCCCAGCTACTCAAGAGGCTGAGGCAGGAGAATTGCTTGAACCTGGGAGGCGGAGGTTGCCTTGAGCCAAGATCACGCCACTGCACTCCAGCCTGGGAGACAAGAGCAAAACTCCGTCTCAAAATAAATAAATAAATAAATAAATAAATAAATAAATAAATAAATAAATCGGCAGCCAAAAATACAAAATTTAAATGTCTGACATCCTATTATGATTACTAAGTATACAAAGTAGCAGAAAAATATGACACATAATGAGAAGAAATTTCAGTCAATAGAAACACAATCAGAAATGACTCAAGTAATAGAATTAGAAGGCAGACTGTTATAAAATAGTAGCTAATTCTATCTTTCAAGTGTTAGCTAATAGTAGCTAATTCTATTACTCAAGCAAACTGTTAATAAAATAGTAATGTTAACTATATTGCATTCAAAAAGATAGAAGACAAAATTGAGTATTTAAAGTAAAGAGTTGCAATATTAAAGTTGAACATTTAAATACAATTTCTAGAGCTAAACAATACAATTTGGAGTTAAAAAATATATTACTTAAGATTAACAGTAGATTAAATGTTGAAGGAAAAAATCAGTGAACTAGAAAGCTAGCAATGTAAACTGTCTAAAATAAAATACAAACAGTAAAAAAGAATTTTAAAATTGAAAAGAGCACTGTGAGTGGCAAAACAACTTCAAGGGACTCACTACATGTATACTTAGAGTCTCTGAGGGACAGGGAGCATTATAAAATATATATAAAGGAATATTGGGTATATTTTCCACATTTCATAAAAACAATAAACTCGTCTATCCAACATGTTCTGTGAACTCTAAGTGCAAAAAGCGCATATAAGTTTATTGTTTAAAATCAAAGATAAGGAGAACATCTTAAAAGCATCCAGAGGGGGGAAATGTCATATACAGGCAGGGAAGCAAATATAACTGCAGATTGCTCATCCAAAGCAATACAAGATAGAAGGCAATGAAGCAACATTTTTAAAGTACTAAAAGAAAAAAACTGACAACCCAAAATTCTATATCCAGCCAAAAGGTTTTCAAAACCTTTCTATTGTCAAAAATAAAGACAATATAAAGACACCTTCACATATACAAAAGTTGAAAGAATTCATCACTAGCAGACCTTCACTACAATAAATATTTTTTAAAATTCTACAGGAAGATAGTGATTTCAGATGGGAGCCTATATCTACAGAGAAAAGCAGCAAAAATGTAAACATGTGATTAAATATAACACACTTTCTTATATATTAAATCATGAGAGTTGTTTAAAGCAAAAAATGGCAATACACTATAGGATTTACATAGTGTATGTATGACAATAACAGCATAAAGGCTAGGAGGGGAGAAATGAAAGTATACTATTATAACATCTTTATACTAAATGTGAAGTGATATAATATTACTTGCAGAAAGACTATGAAAGTGAAACATGTATACCAAAAAAATCTAGAACAATCACTAAAATAACCCAAAAAAGGTATAGATAATAAGCCAATAAAAAAGATAATTTTAAAAAATAGTATTCAATCTAAAAAGAAACAGAAAAAGAGGAACAGTGAAACGATGATATGGGAAAAATATAAATTAAATAGCAAGATCATTGATATAACCCAATCTTGTTAATAACCACATTAAATATGAAGTGTTTAAATACTCCCCAAAAAAGTAACTCAGACTAGAAAATGTGAAAAAATTGATCCAAATGTGTGCTGCCTACACATAACTAATGTCAATGTAAATAAAGCAAAAGTAACAGAAGAGAAAAATATTTACCATGCAAATAATAAAAAAAAAACCTGAAGTGGCTGTGTTAAAATCAGATAGTTGATTTCAGAACAAAGAATATTGGATGGGGTAAAGAGGGCTATTTCATAATACTAAAGGAATCAATTCATTAAGAGGACAAAATAATTCTATATTTTTTTCACCTAATAAAAGGACTTCAAAATACATAAATCAAAATATTTGCATAACTTTAAGAAGAAATATACAAATAAACAATTCTAATCAAAATTTTCAATGACCTTGTCTCAATAATGGGTTGGAAAGACAGGTAGAAACTCAGTAAGGATACAAAACATTTAAATAGCACTATTAAACAAATAAACCTAAATTGTTTGTGTAGGTCATATCACCCAACAAGGGCAGAATACACATTCTTTACAAGTGCACAAGAAACACTTAAGAAGGTTGATATACTAAGTGTTTTATTTAAAATAAGTCTCATTATATTTTAAAGTAGTTCAGTGATACACCATATATTCTGTGACCAGTGTAATTGAATTAATAACAACTAATTGAACCATGTTAAATCAAGTTTAGCCTAAAGCTGCCTCCTTAAATATTTTAAGTTTGGTCTGAAGGTTTTTCTGCACATTATGAACTATAAAAAGTGGAGGTATAAACAGACTGTAGCCTACACTTGTGCCAACCACTAAGTCTTGGCCAATCATATACAGCCAACTGTTTGAATTGTGTTCAAATAAGGCAAACGATAAGCCTTAACCAATCCAACTGTTCCTGTACCTCACTTCCATTTTCTGTTCGTCACTTTCCTTTTTCTGTCCATAAATGTTCTTTCACCATGTGGCTGTGCTGGAGTCTCTGAGCCTACCCTGGCTCAGAAGGCTGCCTGATTCATGAAGCATTCATTGCTCAGTAAAACTCCTCTGAATTTAATTTGGTAAAAGAATTTTTCTTTTATCAACCATATCAAGACAATCACGAAATATTTGAAAGCCAGATAATCTAATTCTAATAAGCAGTCAATAAAACATGAAATTGAAAGAGAAATTAAAAATAATATGCAGGAAAAGAAATTAAAAACCAAATATATCAAAGTTAGTGAAATGCTACCAAAGAAATATTGAAAGAGTAATTTGTATCACTAACAGCATACATTAGAAATGTAGAAAGGTCTCAAGTCTATTACCTTAGCCTCTACCTTTAAAGAAAGAAAAAATAAAAGAAAACAAAAGTCAGCAGAAGAAAGGAAATAAGATAGGAGCAGGATTAAATGACATAGAAAACAATAACAGTAGTGGTAGCCAATGAAACTAAATTCTGACTTTTGACAAGATTCCCTTTCACTAAAAGTCAATAAATAAATAAATAAAAAGTGATTAACATTTAATCAGACTGACAAGGAAAGAGACAGGAAATGCAAATAACCCATAACTGTAAATGGAATAGTTATATCACTACAGATATTAACAAGTTATTAAGGAAATATTAATTACCTAATATCAATAAATTTGACAATTTGGATGAAAAGGGAAAATTTCTTGAAAGAGATAATTTGTCAAAGTTCATTAAAGAAGAAATAGGTAATCTGAATTGACATATATATCTATAAAAGAAATTGAATGTATAACAGAAACCTTATCAAAAGAAAAAAAAAGATACCAGTCCCATATATTTAACTGTCGAAGTCAACAAACATCTAAGGAAGAAACAATACCAATTTTACATAAACTATTTAGAAAAATAGAAGAGGATAGAATACTTCCCTGTAACTTCTATGAGTCAACATTACTCATAACAAGAAACTAAAAGAGAAATATGGACCAATGTCTTTCATGAGCATAAATGAAAAAACTCTAAAAGACTGTTAGCAAATCAAACTCAATATATAAAAAAGATAATATATTGTGACGTACAGTATTTGTCTCCCAGTTAATTTAATATTTTTAAATCAAATTAATGCAATACACCAGTTAAGAGACAAATAATAATTATCTCAAGAGACATCAGAAAAATCAGTTTAGGAAATTTAGCATGCATATATTTCTGTTGCAATTTCTCAGCAAACTAGAAACACAAGTAAAGTTTGTAAACATGATCAAGGGAATCCAGAAAATACAGCTAATAATATATTCAATGCTGAAAAAGAGAATACTGTAATTGAGGATCAGGAGCAAGGCAAAGACATTTGCTGTCATCACCTCTATTTCACATGACATAAGCAGTTCAACAACTAGAAAAGGTTAAGAAGAAAAGAGGTTATAGACATATAGTTAATAAAGGAAAAAATAAATATTGTGTGTTTTAGCTCATGACAAACTGGCAATGTAGAAAATCCTATTAAATTTACACAAAACGACTAGAACTAATAACTGGGCCTTGTAAGTTTATATAATACAAGATTGATATACTAATACATTTTATTTCTATATAATAAGGGCCAAAAATAAGAAATTAAATTGAAAGGCAATGTCATTTATATAAGCATCAAGAATATGATTTAGTAAGGAATAAATTTGACAAGAGGTGTGTAGTAACTGTATACTAAAAACTGCAAATGTGGCTAAGAGAAATAGAAATGATTAAAGGAGAACTAAATAAATGGATACATATACCATTATCATGGAGCAGAAAAATCAATATTTTTATAAGTGGTCCATTCTCTGCAAATTAATCTACAGAATCAATGCAATACAAATCAAAATTTCAGTAGATATTTTTTATAGTAATTGACAGGCTGATTTAAAAATATATAAAAATATGCAAGAAAATAGAATATGTTAAAAAGAAAAAACTTAAAGAACAAGAACAAAATGACAGTACTACATTACCAGATTTCAAGTTTGATTATAATGCAACAGTAAATAAAACTGTGATTTTAGAGTTAGGATACACAAACAGAACAATGAAACTAAGTAATGCCTAATTTTATTATTTACTAAATGCTATGGTAATTCAACAGGAGAAAAGATAACAGTGTCAGAATTATTGGTTAACAATATGCAAAACAAACAAGAATCCAAAAGACCTTTGACCTTCAACTTACATATATATAAAATACTTATCTCGAAATAGATCATAGCCCAAAATTTAAAATCCAAAACTACAAAATTTCCAGGAGAAAACAGAGAAGGAAATTTGTGTAATCCTGGGTTTTGCAATAATTTCTTGTATTAAGAACAAATAAGCACAATTCATGGAAGAAAAATTGATAAATGGGATTTCAACAAAATTAAAGGTGTCTAATCTTTCACAAACACCAACCACTAAGGGAATAAAAAATAACTCACAGACTAGAAGAAAATATTTGAAATTCTCATACCTGATAAAAGACTATCTAAAATATATACAGAACTCACAAAACTCACTAATAAGAAAAAATAACCTAATTAAAAATGGGCAAAAATTTGGGCACTTTACCACAGAAGATACGTGGTTGACAAATAAGAAAATAAAAAGATACTCCACATCAAAGTTTTTTAGGGAAATACAAATGAAAATCACAAGGATATACCACTCTATTATACCAGGGTGTCTAAAATTAAAAAGACTGGCAATATCAAGTGTTGGTTAGGATATCGGTAAACTGGAAACCTCATAAACTATTTTTGAGGAACGTTAAATTGACAGCAACAGAAGAAAGCCATATGCCTAGGCAGATAAAGGAGGTTCCCCAGAGAAACCCCACCTTCAAGCCAAAAATCACACGCAGGCTGAAAGACTGGACTGCTGGTCCCAGATGAAACCCACAACCCAGAGTGAGAACTTCTGTTTCTGTTTGGCTGCCCCTCCCCTATTCTGAGCCCATATAAAGTCCCAGGACTCAGCCACACTGAGGGAACTTTCTTGCCTTTGGGTTGGGGGACCACCACATGTCCCCTCTCTGCTGAAAGCTGTTTCGTCACTCAATAAAATTCCCTGCCTTGCTCACTCTTCCATTGTCAGTGCATCCTCATTCTTCTTGGGCATGGTACAAGAACTCAGGAACCAGTGCACAAGCCAGACTCTGCCCAGTGGGCCGACTGGACAAGGCGCCTCTTGCAGCAGGTAGCATGTCCCGAGTGAGGCCTCTGGCATCACTGGCCAGAGGTCCCCCACTGGCAGAGGGACAAGAGAAAATTCCTGCAACAAAATTTGCATGATCACTTTGGAAAACAGTCTGGCAGTTTTTAAGAAGTCAAATGTAATCTACCATATGTCTCAGTTATGTACTTAAGAGAAGGAAAAGTATTTGTTTATATAAAATGTTGTACTTCGATGCTCATAGAACTTTGTTTTTAAAAATGTCAAATTGAAAAAACTCAAAGAGCTTTCAACAGATTAATGAGTAACACAATTGTGGTGCAACCATGCAATAGAATACTATTCAGAAACAAAAAACGATGAAACTACTGATACATACTCCTACATGGATGATCTTGAAAATAATTTTACTGACAGAAATTAGACAAAAAATATCTACTATATTATTTCATTCAGATAAAACTTCAGAAAATACAAACAAATCTATAGTGACCATAAAGCAGATCTGTGGTTTCTGTGAATGGGGTAAGGAATGAATTGAAGAAATCAGGGACAACAAAATAGTGTGGGAAAACTTTGGAATTTGGGGAATAATTATGTTCATTATCTTGTGGTGGTAATTTTGTGATGATGATTTTAGGAGTAGAAATATATGTCAAAACTCACCAAATTGTATAACTTAAATATGTGCTATTCATTATAACTCAGTTAAATCTCACTAAAGCTATTATTCAAACCCTAGTGGTTTAATACAATATTCATTTATCCTCACAGATACACAATGTTGTGAAGCTCGGCTGATTTAAACCAGGATCACGTGCAGAGGCTTGCACTAACATGCATCTTTCTGAAAGCCTCTAGATAACACTGGGTGGCTCTGCCTGATATGTTTGTCATCTATTTTTGACTGGCAGGTTGACTAGCACAGATTCTTCTCATGATAATGGCAGAAGTGAAAAAGGGCAAACAGAAACATGCAAGGCCTCTTAAATCCTTGACTTGAAAATAGCAGTCACTTTTGACTCTTTCTGTTCATGAAAGCAAATCACACAATCAATTCCAAAGTCAAGGGGAGGAAATATGCTCCAACCATAATGATGTCATAGCAGGGGAATGGCTACAGGGATGGTTGAAGAATTGGGCCAGTAATGCCATCTCACACACACAAGAAATAGGATTTTGTCCAAAAGAACCAATAAATTTTGAAAAGTACTTCAGTACTTCAGAGAAACAGGAAATCACTTTATTCTTTTACCTTAATCACTTTCCACTATATTGTGAGCTCTCATCTTCTAAAACAGTGTCTCAACACTCATCATGAGGCTTCAATGCTAAGTTGATAGTTAAATGTACCTCAAGCTTGACTTTGTCAAATAAATGATAACAAAGTAATGCTTGAGCATATTATTTCAAAATAAGAGTCCATGCTTCTATGAAAAACAAAAAAATTAAAAACACACCCTCCTAACCACCTCAATTAACAATACAATCATCTCAAATTAGCCCTCAGCTATTATTGTTGAAATGCAAAACTGCTCAGACACTGAGATAAGTAAATTCTCAACTACTACAACTTGTTCGGATTGAAATCTCCATGTAGATCATTGTATTATTTTAAAACTGTTTGGAATTAACACATATTCTAAATATCCTTCATACTTCACATTTTCCCCATTTCTCTAAAAAGTGTGTAGGGGAATATTAAGGCAATTTGTGTGTACATAGGTTTGGAAAATGTTAAGAGGTATTACTCATCACCACGGATTGGTGATTCTGCTGACTAACATCACTGCCCACGCAGTGGCCTACTTAGTATAAGAGGAAGTTGGAACTTTTAATATCTCTTGGCTAGATATACACTCTAAAGTATAAACAGGTAATTTTGAAGGGAGCAAGTTACATTTGTTAAACTGAGTTAACAATAGCTGTCTTATCTGCATATAATTATTTCTTTGGGGTGAAACACGTGAGGTTTCAGGAGAATTTCAGGTGAAACAAAACTCGTATTTTTATCTTAATATAAAATATTGCAACAGTCTTCCTCAGAAGTACAGCCATAACATTCAAGCTGAAAGGACAAGAATCTCTCAGGACATTTTCCTTCTGTGACATTTATAATAAGTGTTTGCTTACAGCAAGAGGAGAGAGCAGAAAAACAAAAGATTTAATGACATCATTTTTCACATCGATGTGATTTTCTCTATTAACTGTTCTTTAAAACTGGCTAACTCAAGAATGATTGTTATATACAAAACCTGGTCGGTATGTATTATTTGGAATCTGCTGTCAAAACAATATTTGTTTTTCTGGCCATTAATGCTGCAGAAAAGTGGAGAGGGAAGGTGGAAGGAAAATATGAGAGTTCAGAAAACATTCATTACTCGTTCCACAGGCACAACTCAAAAGAAGCTAAACGTAAAATAATAATAGTTCTAACCTTGCAGACTTAACCGCAGTAGAGATCAGGCTGTGAGCACCCCACATCTACCCTTTTGATCTTATTATTATGTGGCACAGAAGGAGAAGAAGGTCCCACTGCTAGGGAAAAACAGATCATGGATGGAAAGGTAAATGTCAAGGAGGAAATTAGGTTAAAATATAAAATCATAACCAAAGGTAACAACATTGGTTTGCATGGAATGCCAACTAAAAGAAAAAAATTATAGTTGGAAAACAGAATAAGAGTGAAACAGGAGGAAAGAAAATGAAGGGGTTGCAAAGGTCATTTCTCTAGAGCACGCAGAAGTGCTAACTTGCCAGTTCCTTGACTTTTAGTTGAAGGATATTTAGGAAAAAAATGTATTGCACACAAGGATTCACGTTTTTCATGAAAATAAAGTGGGTATTTAAGATGTTTTGTTTGTTTTTTATTCCATCCACTGGACTGTAGCTGTATACTGACTGGCTCATTTTCTGCAAAATAGTTTTCACCCCAATAATTCCATACGGAGATTTTTCACATTGATATTTCTGTACCTATCTATTGTTAAAACAGTGAGGCCTTGGTAGGGAGGTTCTGAATTGAACAAAAGAACACAAATACTCTCCTGATGCAGGACAATGGTGACAACACAAATTAAACCCTTCTAAATCTCCTGCCTCCCAGAAATGCCTGCATTCAAAGAAGTGCTTGTTTGCAGGTCATATTATCTGTTTCTTTGTTTAAGTAATAGCAGTAAATCAGAATACTTCAATTATCAACATGATACAGAGAGGGGGTTTTATTCAATGTGTTTATATTGTTGACCTTGGCATTTACTGATTCATCATTGCTATTCTGACTACTCAAAATGATCCTAATGGTATGTGTAGGATTTTTAAATCAGACAGGCATATATTTTAGGCTAAGAAATTTTCTCTGTGCCAGGAAGAGGAATTAGGATTATTCACCTAGTCAGCCTTTGCCCTATAGGGTCATTATAGAGCCATTTATATAATGTAATGTAAGACCATTTAATGACATGGGAAACATTTTAAAATATATTATTGGTTGGGGGAAAGAAGGATGCTAAAATAAGGAATCAGTTTAATCATATGTTCTCAACAAATCAGCATGAATGTGAACATGCATAGAAAAGAAATAACTAAAATACTCCCCCAGTATATTTATTTTCTAAATATATATGTGTATTTAGTATTTTATTTTCTGGATATTATTAATAGTGGTTTATATTCTTTTATTTGTTATTTTCTGTACTCAACCTGGATGGAATTTGCAAGATAGAAAAGATACTGACATAGAAATTGAACAGCAGACATGTTTAGCTTTTTAGCCATATGTTGGACTCCCATAAAAAAAAATATTATTAAGCAATCCACTCATGTCAAGACTATTACTTGCTCTTAGTGTCAGAAGTAATATCATACTACTCTGGCCACCTTTCCTGCTTCATGCTTTTTTTCTTATTTCGCATATCATACCACACCACAGACATAGTCAGTGGTGAAACTCTCATGACTATCATTATTATCTCATAAGAAAATTACTATTGTTACTGTTGTTGTTAGTATTATACATCTTTTTACTGTGTATCAGGAGTTGGCCCATTTTAGATTATCTGTAGAAAGAGAGCAATACAATTCATTAAGGAAAACATAAGAATTCAAGGAAAAGGGGAAAAATAGTTTTAGAAGAAAACTTGAGTACATCACTTTCATATTTTATGAGTAAAGGAAGCAAATATTTAATAAATTAATAACATAAATATTAAAAATTACATTATCAAATTTATAGATTAAGAAAAATATGCATGTTTCAAAGGGTATGGGAAAAATGAATCATTAATATTTAAATGTAAATAATAGATACACATTTCAAGTCACATTATAGCAAAGAGAGTAATAATTTTAAGTAACCAAACAGAAGCATTGGAAGTGCACACACACACACAAATGAGCTCAGGAAAAAAAATGCAGATATTACAAACACATTTTTAAATGCCCAACATATACTCTACAGAAAAACTTTGAGTGTGGGTAAAGTATTTTATTCCTTTAAATTTTTTTATGAATCAAAAATGATAAGAAAAAATTAACAAATTGAAGATTTGCATTTTGTTTTCAGCATAAGAACAAGTTAACCAATGAATAAAGTAGAAAATAATGAAAAGTTAAAGCATAATTACTAGATCAATACAAAATTTAATTGTTAAAAGAAATAATGTTAGTTTTTCTACTTTCAGTACTAATTGAACAATCAGCAAATTTCAATAATATTAGTAGAAATTTTTAAAAAGATAATTTATATAAATACAATATGTGTATATATGTGAAGACTTCTGAAATCATGTTTAAATAGGTAATTTTATTTTAAAATGACAATTACTGGCTGGGCGAGGTGGCTGACACCTGTAATCCCACCAGTTTGGGAAGCCGAGGAGGGAGAGTTGCTTGAGCCCAGGAGTTGGAGACCAGCTTAGGCAACATAGCGAGACATCATTTCTAAAAAATATTAGCCAAGTGTGGTGGCATGGGCCTATAGTTCCAGCTACTCAGGAGGCTGAGGTGAGAGGGTCCTTTGAGCCCGGGAGGTCAAGGATGCAGTGAACTATGTTCACGTCACTACACTCTAGCTTGAGCAATAGAACAAGACAGTCTCAAAAAAAAAAAAAAAAAAGACAATGACAAAAATTGACATATCAATGAGACAACTTAAATAGGACAGTAAAAATTGTGAACAAAATAGGTAAAAGTGCTAACAGCAACAAGAAACTAAAGAACATCCAAGGATTGGCTTATAGGTCATTTCTTTCTAACTTGTAAAAAAAGAAAACAAAATCATCAGGTTGTAGAAAATACCTTTAAACAAAGAAGAAAAATGTCATCATCTTCAACTAATTTCTTAAGGTAAATATGTTCTTTAGTTTAAAATAAGACAAAGATAATAAGAAAAATATAAGTCATTCTCACTTGTCTATGAAAATAAAGACAAAGTATTTGTAAAACTATTATATTAAAAGATCATTTTTGAATACTGAGGTTCATTCAAAGAATAAAAAGTAAGAAACAAGCAATTCAAATATGCTCACCAAGGCAATATATAAAAATATAAGATTATACAATTATAAGAATAAAATATAATTTTTAAAAGCAGATTTTAAAAGTGAAGTATTAGTTTCAAAGACAGAGGTGACACAAAGCAGATCAGCACTTAATTGATATGATCAAGGAGAACTTTTTGTTTAAAGAACACACAGGAAAATATTACTGCTATTCTTTTTCTTAAAACCAGTATAAAATCTAAAGAGGTCATCTAACACTCCAGGAAGGACACTATAATGACAAAATTAGCAATTTAAGAGGTTAAAGGCAAACAGAAATATAAGAGTAATTAGTGAATAAACGTGCTGTACTTTTAACAAAGTAACTAGATAACATAATTTAAAAAATACAGAACATACATATACAAAATCAGAAATGACAAAGGGAGGTTATTAAAACAAAGCAACAATAGAATTATAAAGGATATTTTGCAAAATTTTAGACACTTTTTTTTTTTTTTTTGAGACAGAGTCTCGCTCTGTCACCCAGGCTGAAGTGTAGTGGCGCCATCTGTGCTCACTGCAGCCTCCACCTCTTGGGTTCAAGTGATTCTCCTGCCTCTGCCTCCCAAGTAGCTGGGATTACAGGCATGTGCCACCATGCCCAGCTAATTTTTTCATTTTTAGTAGAGATGGGGTTTCACCATGTTGGCCAGGCTGGTCTCGAACCTGGTCAGGGGACCTCAGGTGATCTGCCCGCCATGGCCTCCCAAAGTGCTGGGATTACAGGCATGAGCCACTGCACCCGGCCCAGACACATTTTAAGGCTTATACAAAATATTTTATATAAACATTTTAATAACATTTTATTTTATAAAATGTTTTTAATGAAAATATTTAATTAAAATATTTTTCAATTATACTTGACCCCAGGAGAACTGATTGAGCACTTAAAGGAATCAATTTCCTTGGAAGAAACAGAATGTATCAAATAACTACCCATACAAAAGACAAAGGTGAAATAATGCTTTATGTAAATCCTTAAGACCTTCAAAGACCAAGTAATTCTAAGTCATCCCCAACCCCCAACCCCTACCTGCCCCCCACCCCTGCCCTCACACTTTTTTTAAACAATGTAAAATCTGATTGTTGTCACTTTCTGGCATAAAAGGTCTGTAAAGTAACTTCCCACTTGTAAAGTAACATCCCATTGCATGTGAGTAGTACCTGTGAATATAATGAAACATCACTCCCATGACTATGTTATGTTATATAGCAAAAAGGAAATTATCCTGATTTGTCCTGTCTTAATCAAGTGAGGATTTTCAAAGTACAGTGTTTTCTCTGGCTTTTTGGTGAGGGAGGAAACAGAGAAACTTGCTCCTGCTTGCCTGAGAGAGAAGCAGCAGCTATCCATCTGCATTGCCCATGGAAGCCACGTGGCAAGGAATTATGGGCAGTATCTAGAAGCTGACGGTGATCTGGCCAAGAGTTAGCAAGCAAATGGGGACTGTGGTAATACAGCTGCAAGAAGATGATTCTGCCAAGTTGAAAGAGGAAGCTGACTTTTCCCTAGTCCAAGCCTCCAGATGCATCAGACAGATGCTTTGATTTCAGCCATGTGAGATCCTGAGCAGAGAGCCCAGTTAAAATGTGTCAGACTTCAGATTCTCAGAAATTGTGAGACAAATTTGTATTGTTTTAAGGTACTAATATTTTGATAATTTGTTGCACAGCAATAGAAAACTAATACAATGACCAAACATATTAACAAAATGAAACACAGTGATATTCTGAAGTCTCCAAGTGTGAAACCCTGAACATGACAATGCAACAGACATAATCTAAGTAGAATTCCTGCCAAAAATTTTAACCTGAAACTAGCCAGACAAATTCAGATTAAGAGATAAGTCCTAGAACTTATCTGATTTTTGCTAAAAACTCAATGTCATTGACAACAACATCAACGGGGAAAATGCTCTATTATGATGGACACTAGCGCAGCACATCAGTTAAATACAACATACAATCAAAGACTGGGAAAAAGTCCATTGAGATAAATGAGAATATTTAAATATGGGGTCTATTGTAGATAGTGTTTTTACTGCTAAATTTTCTGAGCATAACCATTGTATTAAGGCTATGCAGGAGAATGCTATCACTTAAGCAACATGTAATAAAGTGTTTAGGAATAAGTTAGTATCCCGTCTGTCAAATATCTCTCAAATAGTTGAAAGGAAAAAAGAAAGATGAAACAAAAGTAGTAAAATATTCAAAGATAGTGAATCTAAAAGTATATACAAATGTAGCTTGCCATACTCTTGCAATTTATAATACTCTTTTCTGTGCCTTTGAATTTCAAAATTGCTGAATAAGAAATGATGTTGCTGATAGTGTCAGGTACCTGCATTTTATATAAAAATATTTTCATCATATATCTAGCTCACAGAAGGTTGTTTTTCAATAAGAAATAGTGCTGAATTTAGTATTTTGGTATCTTCAATATAATCATTTAAGTAATTTTCATTTAAAAAGTTAAAGTAATGAAATATATAAATATGTTTATTATGAACCATCGTTGAATTATTGGAATAAATTATTATGGCCATAAGAGATTAATCTGGTGGATTAATTTGCTGTCGTTTTTTCTGCTGCATCTCATTCACAAATAATATTGGCTCCTAATTTTGTTTTTTTCTCCTGATATTATTCTTCATTATTTAAAATCAGAATATGAAAACTAATAGACATTATTAATAAGGTTTCTATTTCTTTTCTGTTTTGTCTGCTGTGTTCACCAATAGATTGTAAGCACATCAAGGAGAATTCTTGAAAGTGGGAAATAGGGTCATGGTAGATACAATTAGTTAAGGTGAGGTCCTCCTGGACTTTCTTCTTTGCACAACTAAGGCCAAGTTCACATATTGTTCTTAAGAATATTATACTGAAAAAAGAATGAGGACAGGTACAAAGGATTAATAATGCAGATTTAAAAACCTATTAAGAGATAAATTTGATAGAACAAGCGAGTGGTTATACTGGCAGAGAAAAGGGGCTGAACTGACACTATTAGGTCTCTCTGTTGACTGGATTGATAAAATGCAGAGAAGTAGTTGAGAGTGGCTCCAAAGTTATTTTCTACGTTTTATTTCAAACACTAAAAATTAATGGTGTGCTTTCACCAGTTATCTTTTGACTAATAGTTTATTTAGCTCCAAATTTATCCTAAATGGCTGATTTATATTTTACTTGGTAGTACATGTAAAAAAAAATCACAATTTCTTTTGAGTTAACACAAAATCCCTGCAAAGTAAACAAAGCTAAAATTATTAGCTCCATTTTACAGATCATGTAGCTGAGAAAAAGAAATTAAGAGATTTTCCAAACGGAGTGCAGGTAGTAAAGAACCAAATTTAAAGATAGGGTCTTAGGTATTTTGAAATTTCATGTCCATTTTTTTCTGCCATGTTGTTATGGGTTGAACACCCATGAATGCCTTATCCCAATCCCAAATAAATATTTTGAAGTTCTAACCACAGTACCTCGGAATGTTACCTTATTTGGACATAGGGTCATTGCAGATACGATTAGTTAAGCTGAGGTCATACTGGAGCAGGGTGAGCAGCTTATATGACTAGTGTCCTTACAGAAGGGAAATTTGTAACACAGACACACCCACTAAGAAAATATCATGTGAAGATGAATGCAGAGATCATGGTGATGTTCCTGCAAGCCAAGGAATGCCAGAGATTACCAGCAAACCACCAGAAGCCAGGGGAGAGGCAAAGAACAGATTCTCCCTCACAGCCATCAAAAGGAACCAGCCCTGCCGTCACCTTATGCTTGGACTTCTAGGCTCCAGAAATATGAGACAATACATTTTTATTGTTTATGCCACTCAGTTTGCATTTGCAGTACTGCATTATGGCAGCCTTAGCAAATTGGTAAATATGTGTTGCTACACTTTGATGTAGAAAATGATAATAACCAAAATTGAATAAGTAACGCATTGTATATATCTTCCTTTCACGTTGCTAAACATTCCTATATGTCGTGGTCATTTTAACCTAATCACACATGGGAATGATTGTTTGTTTGTTTGTTTGTTTTGAGACAGAGTCTCGATCTGTCACCCAGGGTGGAGTGCAGTGGTGCGATCTCGGCTCACTGCAACCTCTGCCTCCCAGGTTCAAGTGATTCTTCTGTCTCAGCCTTCTGAGTAGCTGGGATTACAGGTGTGCATCACCATGCTCAGCTAATTTTTGTATTTTTACTAGAGACAGGTTTTTGCTATGTTGGCCAGGCTGGTCTCAAACTCCTGACCTCAAGTGATCCTCCCACCTCAGCCTCCCAAAGTTCTGGGATTACAGGTGTGAGCTACCACACACAGACACACATAAGAATGATTTAAACATCATAGAAAAGCAATTTAATTAAAATTTTAACTCTTAGATAAATAGAAAAAAATTAAGTTTTCTGAGAGAAAAGCCTTAATTGACGTTGTCTTCTATAACATTTATACTTTCTCCATGACATCTTTTTCAAATGTAATTATTATGTATCACAAATCCCCAAAGCGTCCTTTTACTATGCATGTCTTAAAATTAAAATGTACTAATAATTTTCTTTTGTTATACAAGAACAATTAATATTCTGCAGCATAAGTATGTCATATGCAATTTGGGACATGCTTATATTAGACAATAATTATTTGTTTATCTGAAATTCCAATTTAACCTGAAGTATAATATTTTTTCTGACATGCCTTGACAATCTCAGTTAAATAATCTCTGGCTACAAGAGTTCAAGTGCATAGAACCAGAAAAACTAACAAAGCCGTAATGAATCCTCCAGAAATGCCACTATGTTAGTACCAGATGGTAGAGAGAACTTACTAAATAATATAATTGGCCAAAACAATAAATTTTCATTCCTCAAAAGTTACAGTGATATTAAGTTTGTCTATTTTTATTAATCAACCAATTTCAATAAAGCATATCTATCCAGGGGCTACTGAATACCTTCAGCCGTTACAAGATATACCAACAGAGACAAATTTAGAGCAATGTGTTCAAATCTACCCTGCAGAATGGAATACTCTAATACCTCACAGTAACCAGGAATAATCATCAAAATTATTCATTACTTTATAAATAATAAAAAGGGGCATTTGGTTTTCCTGGGTTAAGCACCTAGTTTTGATTTTAAAGGCATTTTTAGGATATATTAGCTTAATGCAATTTATAAAACAGGATACTCGAATTTCAAACAACATGGTGCGCTGCTTGTTTTTGCCCTTGATAATTCGATTGGATTAGCACACTCTTCCCTCAGATTTTTCAAATAACTAGATCCTTCATGCTTTTCTCCTATCAGTTCAAACAGCACCTTCTCAAAAAAAGCCTTCACTGACTAGTCTCTGTAAAGCAGATGAAGACATACATCATTCATGTAATTTCACACCATTCATGATGTTATTCACACCATTCATGTATCATGTAATTTATTGTACTTTCTTCTTATTTGAGCTTGCATGTTCAACCTATTTTTGGTACATTTCTGATGAATTTTTTGTTTACTTTTTGAAGGTGATGTCTTTTCCTACTAGAATCTAAATTCCAAATGTCCAATGTCAGATCTGTGCAACTCACAATAGTGTTCTCTGAGCTTGGCACTGTCCTTAACTAAATTTTAATGTGTTATAAAATGACAAGATTTCTCCACACCATTTGCATTGGCCCAGAAGCAACAAGCTCAAGGGCTTCAGAGACCACAAACCCTTTCTGGCAGCTCTAGGGCTGAAGTGTCAATATCTTGGTACTCTGAAAATTCATTCCGAGCAATTATTCAGCCAATGAAAGGGGTTTTGGAAGCACTTGGCATAGGCTCTCAAGTCAAATGGACCTAGATTGAAGTTCTTATTTTGCAATAGACAAAATGGCAGATCTGCGCTTCAGGCTCTTCATCAGTGCAGAAGAGTGATAAAAGTCTCATAGCATAGGGGGATTGTAAGGTTTCAATTAAGTAAAACCCGTGCTTCACATTGCAGGTTAGGAGTGTTTTTTTGTAAAGTGATTTATTCCTTATATCCATTTCCAAATATATTTTTTAAAAGAAGCAGAGTGTTGAACTTAACCTCAGTAGCCAATGTTCCAACTAGTAGGGCCTAAAAGAGCCATCAATGAGTATTATTTCTACAGGAAAATATAACATATTCACAGCACAGTATATACAGCCTTTAAACATTTTCAATATACACATATAAAAGTCTACAGAATCTAGATTCTTCTATTTTTAAATGATTCCTGGAAGTTTCTTCAAAATCAACCCTAGTGAAAAGATGAGTAATTATCTGTTATAGTTGAGAAAAAGAAATAGCCTAGAAACTAGAAATCAAAGTTCAGAGTTTTATTTTATAATATACATATATAATTCAGTAGAGCAACTCTGGAACAGGCTGGACATTAGAGTTATTGATGGTAAACCTTCTCCCCATTTTTACCTAGTAAATACTAGGGGTTTTTTTTCTCTAAGTCTGGCTACTGTCCAAGTGATAGTTCTTCTTTAGTAAAATTCTATTCTGTTGCTTAAAGGTTTTGCTATTAATAGCTTATTAGAACATCGATGAAAAACTATTGTTTAAAAAATGACATTCTTTCTGATTAAGTTCATTTTGAATTATTTACATCCATTTTGTTGAACACTCCCCTTCGATCTACACTGCATTGCACTAATGATTTTGCAGCAAACAACATAAATGTTTTCCATATTCTCTCAGCAAATGTAAATGCTAATAGTACATCTATGTGAAAAATGTCAATATAATAAGCTTAGATTAAGTACAGTGCCAAGCATGGTATGGAACAATCATATTTAATTGATGAGTGATATTATTTATTTTTAGTGATTTGAGTATTCAAAAGAAATGAAACATTTACAATACATGTTACAAAAAACATTCAAATAACCAGTCACTGTGCTTCCTTGGGGTAGAGGAATACAATTAACTTAGTTTCTTATTCAGAATGCCAGTAAGTACTGTAAGCAATATTTCATGCCTAAATATTACGATAATATAGATAAACTTCTTCCTTTATGCATCAAAATGTCCTAGAATATTTCCTGCTCTATTTTGCTTTACATTTGCCTCTATATAAAGGATTCATCCTTCAAACAGAAGCCTGTGGTATGAAACCTATGGCTATTTTTCTTACTATGCCTGGATGCTCTGTGGTAGGCAGCATTCTAAGATGAACCCTAATGAGTCATGCCTTTGTACAATTCCCTCCCCCGGAGTGTGGGCAGAGCCAAGAAAATATGCCAGAGGTGTTGGGATACCATTCTCCTAATTAGGTTACGTTCTATTGTGAATATGATGACACAGTTATTCTCAAGATTATCTATCTCAAGTAAGAGATTCTCCTATGGGCTTTGAAGGAGTAAGCTGCCATCTTGTTAAGAGAGGGCTTGTGAAAGGTTCAAATGACAAGGAATGGAGATCTTCAGTAAGAAAACAGCGACCTTAATCTTACAACTGCAAGGAAATGAATTCTGCCAACAACCGTGTGAGCTTGGAAAAGGACTCCCAGCTTCAGAAAGGAATGCATGTCAGTCAACACTTATATTGAATCCTTGCAGTGCCCAAAAGCAGAGTTCTCAGCTGTACTATGCCAACCTCCTAACCCATGGAAACCATGAGATAATAGATTTATGTTGTTATAAGTCACTTATTTTTGCTAATTTGTTACAGGAAATAGAAAACTAATACGTGTTACCTATTTTACAAAAGTCTCTGTACTTTTTCTCACGTCGCTTCCTTAATTGCAATGACTCCATATCCTACCCTTCACTCTGTTTCGCTGACTCCTGTTTATCAACTGGATTCACATCATGTGACACTTATTTAGGAGACTTCTGACACCTCTACAACAAAATAAATGAAGTTTCATTCCTCCCCTTTTGTATAGCAATTGTATATACCTTCTTACATTTTATTTTAATGAGTTTCCATATATGACTCTTAAGAGCAAGAATTGTGTCTTACTCTTACCTCCTCACATCTCTAAGTAAATAAAATACATTGTGTTTTCATAATTTATTGGAATGGTCCCTAAATTCCAAGTGCCATGTGGTCCTTAAACTCCCACCTGCATCAGAGTAATGCCAATTCTGAACATATTCTAGATCTACTGTTTTCAGATTTGGATGAATAGGTGACAGGGTTTGGATCTTTGTCCTCACCCACCCCACATGGAATTGTAATCCCCAGTGTTGGAGATGGGGCCTAGTGGGAGGTGATTGGGTCGTGGGGGTGGATTCTTCATGAATGGTGTAGCACCATCACCTTGGTGCTGTTATCATGACAGTGAGTGTGAGTTCTCATGAGATCTGGTTGTTTAAAAGTGTGTAGCACCTCCCCCATCTCTCTTTCTTGCTCCTGTTCCAGCCATGTAAGACGTGTTCTAGAAATAGTGATACCTTAAGGTGAAGTGATGTGTGAGATAATCACATGCCCATTTTCAATAAATTTTGATATGTGCCACAACCCCACCTCCATCTGAGAATTATTGCCTATTGAACAACTATTGTCAATGAATGATTTTAAATTTTCCAGGTATTTTGGGGTATAAAACAAATTGGAAAACAACCACTATGAATTAATGGAGCTAATTTCCGTGTATGGCTCATGGAAATCCATCACATTACTTCGGTTATGAGCTAAGGTCACAGCCACTGGCAAATTTCTTCATCAGAAGAGAATTGCTAGCAAATTAATGAATTAGAGAAATGTTCATGTTCTTAATGCCTAGAAGTACATTAAAAAGTGCTTATCTTTCAACATATTTTATACTTTATGCCAAGAGCATGTTAAAACAACTCTCTCACAGACATAAGACTGGATGGGTAAACAAATTTAGCAATCTGAAATAAAATCAAAATAATTTTATAATCATGCTTTATATTAAAAAATTACAGCAAATCTCTAAATTGTAACCATAAATTTTTATGAACATGTACAATTGTTACTCTAGTATAGGTTACTTCCTTTATCTCACAGAACTAGCTTCAGATCTAGTGACTATTAAGTTGTCACTTTTTATATTTAAGACCATGAAATATGTTAAAGAGACATCTAACTTGATTAATAACTTCACTTCTCTCTTTGATGCTTTTTTATTTACTATATTTTGAGCTTTAGCTCTGTTATCATATTGTAGTTAGGACATTTAAAGAAAATATGTGTCTCTGAAAATATTCTTATGATACAGGATATTTAAATGTCTAACTCCTTCTACCCTGATATTTACATCACATAAAACGTCCTCACACTAGATACTAATTAAGGACCGTTATTGATTTTTCAGAGAGCAATTATTGATAGTCATGAGTGAGTATAAAATGAACTATCTTTGATGTTATGATGATTGCATTGGTCAGCATAAAGAACTGTAGCCCTTTATTCAACAGAACGGGGCCTCATAACATACTCATTTAATTTGGCAGATTATAATATGCTTTTCTATTAATGCTGGCTAGATTTCAACCAAATGACTATGTAGATGTAAAAGACTTAATATCCTATTAGCAACCCTATGATTCATCTAGTCCCCCAGTCTTGTTTCTAATCATAGCTTCTAATATTATATGTAATATTGGAATGTGCCTATAAAAATTTAACAAATTGAAACTTGAATGGTTGAAATATATACTAGTTAAAAGCTCTCTGTTGATCCTAATTTATTTTATTGTATTTTCATATACCTATCAAATCCATTTATTATATTTAGCTTAAAAATGTACACACACATTTTATAGTTAGCAAATCTACCAGTGAACAATTATGTTTTCAAGTAAGTACATTATCTTAGGATAAACACAAATTGGCTTGTAAAAAAATACAATCTATTAGCTAAGTGTGGCTTAAAGGGTTACCATACATTTGTATTACCTTTAAGTGATGATACTTACTTCTGAGGAGTTTAAGTATGGTAACCAAGAAGATAGGGGAGTAAAACTAAGCTGTGAATGGTTTCCATTCCTAGCAGAAGTATATCTTTTGAATAGCTCATAAAAAGGCTGGAATATTATATTTAGCATTTGAATAACATGAATCAACATTTTAAATAATGACTGAGACAGTTTTAAAATAAAAACAATCTTGAACATTACACATATCTAAAAAATTCTTACTAATAAATTCAGAGATTTGAAATAAAATTTGAGAATCACAAGTAAAAACTTCCTGCTCACTTTTATCCACCTGTAGTCAAGCTTACTTAAGGTGAAACATAGAAGTGAATACACAAAGAAAAATTAGTATAAGCTTATATTTTGGGCTGAAAGGATAGACTACTCCATTTGACAAAGATAGTGTTAGTATAAAATCATGTGGTTTAAAAACAGAATCTGCAATTACTTCTTCCCTCCAACATCCGAAAATTAAAATGGTTTATTATAAATGAGTCTAATTAATTTAGATTATTCTATGGTTATATTATTGATACCTATAGAAAAATACTCTTATGATGAAAGCACATCATAAGTCATAAAATAGTTATTTATGAAATTACTGATTTGCTTTCCATAAAATTTAACATAACTATTACAGATTCTATGCTGACTTCTCAGGCACAAATTTTGTTGAAATATTTATGGGGTTCACACTATGAAATACAAAATCTTTGTGTATATATATGGCCTTGAAATTAGAATAATTACAAGAGGGAAATCTAGAAGCTGCTTTTATTTTTTTTTTGTTTGTTTGTTTGGTGTTTTTTTTTTAAAAAGACTTCTGAAAGTGCCAAGCAATATCGTTGAATTTATTTGAGGAAAATAATAAATACGTTGTTATTGTGTATGAGTGGGTACACTAGTACTTAGGAGGGTCCACAGTTAGAAATGAAGGTGACCCTCTGGTTAAATAGCATGGGTAGATTTTGATTTATGTAGATTGTCGCTGGTAGAAAATAAGCCCTGCTCATAAATCTTGGAAAGTAGGGTAGAAGGGGTTAAGACAGTATTTAATATTTGTATGCCTTTTAATGGTTGTATGAATGTCTTTTCAATTGAATCTAAGTAGTTTAATCATAAAGGTTGTATAAGGAAATTAAATATGTCTTTAAAGTAAGAACTGTAAACACCTACATAATTAATATATGATTTTCAGTACTTATTAAGGTGAAAAATGTTATACTAAATGAATACATTTTAAAAATTACAATGAATAGCTTATTTCCCTTAGCCAGAATTATTGTTTAAAGGGTGTATGCTCTTCAATACAATGTCCCTCATGGCCAATTTAAAATATTCCACAGAATTAATTTCCATTGTATTAGTGATTTTCAGTGACTCCAAGGAACTTCAATGTTTAAACAAGTGCATTGTTCATATACAGGAAGAATTATTTTCAGAATTCAAGTAACCCAAATTATTCTTGACACCCACGTTTTATCAAATGGAGTTTCTATCTTCTTACAGTGACAATACTGGGTAATTAAAATATATTGATCAAATCATTAACCAATTGATAACAAGTGCTATCCTAATTGCCTATTGTGAAAGAGATTTTAAAATTTAGTTTTTTCTTTTATTTCATAAATTTTACTTATTTTATAAAGTTTTTATGGAGCCAAATAAAATATACCATTTAAAAATTACATTATTTAAGTCATTTTTTTGGAGGTGTTAAATATAAAGTTGTTCTGTAAGTATACAAAATTATTGCAGAGCAACAGAGAAATTAGCTTGGATATATGAGAAATAATAGACAAAACTAAAGAATAAAAGTTAATTTTAAAGTATGATAGATGGAAAATATAATGCAATGATCATCATTCTTTGTGGATCAAGTTTTGTGGCTGGAGAGATGCAAGGATGCCTTTCTAACTGAACTATTTACCACTTCTGCCATTTTCCAGAAGATGTTCCCCCAAAAATTAAACTCTGATTTGACTTCAGATAGACAGATGGGTAGATAGATAGATAGATAGATAGATAGATAGATAGATAGATAGATAAATAGACAGACAGATAGATTATAGATAGATTATAGATAGATAGATAGATGATAGATAGATAGACTATATATATAGTCTTTTAAAATATTTTCTTATATCTCTTTGTATTTCATCTTTTTTATTTTTCTCTTTCTGAGTATGTTTTAGAAATATGTCCAGGGAAAGATAAGAGTAAACTCATCTCTTAAGTTTCTTTTAGCAAATCATGTGCTTGGCTTATTCCAGTTCTAAAAAACCAAGAATATGCCTTATAACACATGAAGAACACCAAAAACAATTTCCAGCAGGACTTATATGTTTATGAAAATCAGCAGTGAAAACTTTAAAAAGTCAAATGCTCAGTAAGTTTGCGGAATTAGAATTTCTGTGAGTGGTTTGAACATTTCCATTT
Organism: Homo sapiens; assembly: GCF_000001405.40. NCBI lineage: Eukaryota > Metazoa > Chordata > Mammalia > Primates > Hominidae > Homo > Homo sapiens. Next base: position 140,470,158 of record NC_000006.12, on the reverse strand, counting down.
ATTTAAAAGAATAGGCCAGGCACAGTGGCTCATGCCTGTAATCCCAGCACTTTGGGAGGCCAAGGCAGGCGGATCACCTGAGTTCGGGAGTTGGAGACCAGCCTGACCAACATGGAGAAACCCTGTCTCTACTAAAAATACAAAATTAGCCAGGCGTGGTGGCACACGCCTGTAACCCCAGCTACTCAGGAGGCTGAGGTGGGAGAATTGCTTGAACCTGGGAGGTAGAGGTAGCAGTCAACTGAGATTGTGCCATCGCACTCCACCCTGGGCAACAAGAGTGAAACTTCATCTCAAAAAAAAACAAAAACAAAAAAACAAAAAACAAAAACAAAAACAAAAAACAGCATAACTAACTCTCTGGAGAAGACAGTAATGTACAGACAGATTTGAGAAGACCTACCCTAACTAACTAAGCCAATGTTGCTACATGTGTGAACTTATTACAAATGAAACTATAGGGCAACTATGAAGAGTTTTATTTAAATGGCTCCACAATGGTTCAGTCCTGCCATTAGCACTCTCACCTCCAGTCACATATAATTGATTCAAGTGCTCTGTTTTCTGCTAACCTGTCACTCATTAAGATAGTTACTTTGCATTTTGATACTGAATGTATTCCTTTTTGGGAGAGTTAGATACATTCAGATTATTTCTTTATCCTAAAGACAAATTTCTCCATTTTGGATGAAACTGCAGAAAGGAACATCTCTTAAAAAAAAATAGCAATAACTCTTCCTCCCATGTTGAAGCCCCTGATTTCCAACCCATCAAGATATTTTACTTAGGCAACCAGTTGCCTTCTTCCAAGTATCTGGCATATTATATAACTAAACCACTGGAAAAAGGTCAGAAGTTGTCTCTCTTATAATAAATTTATGACAATATAATTCACAAATTCAATTTAACATTTTGGATGCTGCTAAGATAATGACATGAAAAGAACTTAAATACATATAGTCATTCTTTTTTTTCTTGAATCCTCATGAAAACATATAAACATTGAAAAATGGCAAAAAAAAACCCTAAATTTAAAGTGTTATCAAAGCGTGAAATAAGTTTATAGTAATTTACTTTTTTATGACTTTAATCTAGATTCTAGATGTAATATGATTTATCTTGAATAATCACAAAGTACTAAAGGTTTCCTTTTAATAGTAACACTTTTGGTAACAGTCAGTATGCAGTTAGATTATACCATGGTTAATAGTCATCACCAAATCTCAGGAACTCAATACAAGAGAAGCTAATTTCTTGTTTACAGAAAGTTTACTGTGGGTCTGGTCTGCTCTATAGGACTGTTGTCCTCTATATCCTCAGGAAACCAGTGATGGAGTCAACTTATGCTAAGAAATCTCCAACATTTTACACTTGTACTATCTAAACCATATGATCTCCTTATTAGGTGAAACAGGGGAATGAGCACTTTCACCTTAGGATAATGTACTCAATGAAACTATATTTTTAAAATAAGAACATTTTTTTCCCTGGAAAATAGCAATATATGTTACCCATTAAAACTATACCTGCATTGCAAGAAATATTTATACAAATTATTCAGGCAAAAGAAAATCCCAGAAGAAAATTTCAATCCACATACAAAATTAAGTGAGTTAAAAAGGTAAATATTGGGATGTATATAAAAGATATTTTTCAGCCTTTTAAAATTAAATTAGAATTAATTATTTAATGCAAACTATAATAACAAGTTGTGAAGTAACATATAATTGATTCCAGTACTCTATTTTCGTATATAGAATTTAAATTTATAGAAACAGCAATTTACATATATAGAAACAATAAAACATAATATGAGGAGAAAATGATACTATACTATTATGTATCTTATACTATAAGTAAATATATGTAATATTTGAAGATAGTGATAATTTTAAAATGCTCTTTGTAAACCGTAGAATAATCATTACAAACTAAGATAGGCATAATTAATAATGCAATACAAACAAGAAACTGAAAATTTAAAACATTCAGTAAATCCAAAAAAAGCAAAGAAAGAAGAAAATATAACTAAATAAGCAGACATAAAGATATTAGATTTAATTCTGAAAATGTCAACCTTACAATTATATTAAATATAAACGGTCTAAATACCGCAAATGATAGGCAGACATTGTCATAAACATAAAAATGTTTAAGGCAGACATAAAAATGCATGACCCAACTCTAAACTGCCTGAAACAATCATAATTTAAATATCATGATATAAGGTATTAAAGTGAAAATAATTTAAAAGATATAATAAAAAAATAAAACTAGAGTGGCTATACTAATGTCAGACAAACAGTATTTTGGAAACTGTAATATTTTCAGGGAGGAGAAAAAGGGAAATTTCATAATAATGTTTTCTTGATTTTTTTTAATCAAGAAAACTTAAACCAAATCAGCATGCTTTTTTAAACACATGTATTTAAAAATACATGCAAAGAAAACTGATAGAAATCAAAGGATAAGTAGACAAATACATAATTATAGTTAAGATTTTAATATACCTCTCTCAGGAACTAATAAAGCACACAGAATAAAATTAATGTAGAAAAGAAACACCTAGAAAGCACTATCAAAGGGCAGACTTAATTGACATTTATATGGCATCCACCCTCAAATAGCAAAATACACATCCTTTTCCTTGTGAATGTAATATTTACCCAAACCAGTCATTTTCTGGTCATAAATCAAATTCCAATAAATTTAAATAATTTGAATAATAGAAAGTATGTTTTTGGTTGCAACAAAAGTAAATTAGAAAGTATTAGTAAAAATAGACATTTTATTGGCCTCAAAATTTTACTTTCCCCAAAATTGGCAAGTGGAGAAGACCTGTGGTTACTGCCCCAGCCCAACTCCAGCACTACCCTCATAGAACAGAAACATCATTCTGAAAAAAACAGGCCTCTGTCCCTGCCCCAAGCAGTGGTGGAGTGTTGCAGAGATACTTGTTTTTCTTTTTGCAATGGGAGAAGCTAGCTATAAGAACAGAGAGATCCATAATTTTCCCTAAGGGGACTGACTTTATTTGGTAATTAAAGTGGGCTAGTTTAAGCCTATCAGTATTGTCAAAATAAAATGGAGACTTTGGTGGTGAGCAATTAAGAGGATGCAACAAACGAACATGCAACAGCACGTAGGAAGCACCATGATAGAAGCAAGCAAATTGGATAGACCAACTAGAAGTTTCAGAGAACCAAAAAATGTAGCTGTTAAAAGAGTTCTCCTGGGATTAGAGCAAGTTTCAGAGATGGGCCTCTAAGACTATCTCAGCAGAGGGGCAGTAGTTTAATTGGATTATACAGTGAGACAACTTATGCACAAAGACTTGACAAAACAATTGAGTAATTAGTTAGCAAGTAGTGGAGGCTCACAGCTATATGTAATACTAATAGAGGCATACCACCGAGTAGTTTAACAGGGATACCAGGTAAGACACTGTCAAAAAAAGCCTGTCATTTATAAGGCATTAGGGCCAGGGTTACTGAGTGCATGCCCAAAGTTGTACCCTCTGAAAGGTGATACTAGAAGCTAAAAACTTCAGAGGAAATAGACATAACTGAGCTAATCCAGAAAACTCACTAAACAAATAAACAGGCAAACAATAATAACAACAAGCCCCACAGGAATCAATATAGAGCTGCTGCAATATACTATCTAGAATGTCCAACTTTCGACAAATTACAAGATATCTAAAGAAAAAAAAATTGACTCGTACACATAGGACTAAAAGCAAGCATCAGAAATTGCCTGTATTAAGGTCCAGATTTTGGACTTAACAGGTAAATAAATCAAAGCAGCTATTACAAACATTTGAAAGACTGAAAGAAACCACATTTAAAGAATCAAAAGAAGGACTGATGACAGTATCTTATCAAATAGAGACACTGATAAAAATTGAAACTTTCAAAAATAATGAAATGGAATTTCTGGAGTTGAAAAGTGCAATAACCAAAATAAGAAATGCATTAGAGTGGCTCAGCAGTATATTAGAACTTGCAGATAAAAGAAATATGAAACTCCAAACTAGATACATACATAAAAATTATGTAATCTGAAGAACAGAGTGAAAAAAAGAAAGAAAAATGAACTGAGACTCAGAGAAATATGTGGGACAACAGTAAAGGCACAAACATGTAAATAATGAGAGTACCAAAAGAATAAGATAGAAAGAAGTAGAAAAAAAAATCAAAGAAATTACAGTGAGAAATGTCCCAGATTTGTTGACAACATTAATCCATAAACCCAACAAGTTCAGTAAACTCCAATTAGGATAAACAAAAGGAGGTCCATACCCAACATTTTATATTCAAATGTTTAAAGTCAAAAACAAAGACCTTGAAAGCAGTAAGAGACAATTCACTATGTACAAGGAAAACCAGTAAGATTAACAAGTGGCTTATCAGAGTCCATGAGTTAAAATGTAATCGTTAAACCAATATACATGTAATATAAGACTGGATTTTTTCAACAGAAACTTGCTATTAAAACCTAATCATATTTTGAAAGATACAAAGGAAAATAAGTTAAAAAAAAAGTTTTAAAATTATCAAATACAACCTAGATGTACATAAAAAAGAAAAAAAAAATCATCATGATTGAGTTTTTTATACCAGGAATACAAACATAGTTCAACATTTAAAAAATTCAGCAATGTAAACTATCACATTTATCAGAAGAAAAGAGAAAAAGAATAAGGTTATCTCATTTAAGAAAAACCACCAGAACTCCAGAACTATAAGAACTTTTTCTTTATAAATGACTCAGTCTCAGTTATTCTATTATAACAACAGTAAATAGACTAAGACATCCACTTTTCTAATTGCCATACTCTGAGTTTAAATTCCTATAAGAATTTGATTCAACAAGCTCATATTTTTAATAAAATGTTTGTGAATTAAAAAAAAACTTCTCCATCAAAATTAAATAGATTACTATAGAGCTTCTTTATACATTCTAAATCTACAGGAATAAAACATAATATGCAACTATCCTCCCAAATATTATAATTATAACACCCATTTTAACAGCATATTTCAGGGTTAGTGTTTAGTAATCAGTAACTGTTATGATTATTCAAAAACTTTTTCTTATTCAAATAAGGGAATTGATTGATATCGAAGGAAAAGATAAAATATAGTAAACATTTAGAGGAAATATAGCTGTACACACACTAGATAATCAGTAACCGGACTATGTGAAATTTAATAGAAGACAGTCCCTGAGTTCAGAATAGTATGTGATTTGAAGGTTGTCAGCAATATTTCGTAACAGCCAAGCAGAATTCAGGAATGAATAAAGTGTACACTGAAGAAAACCAATGTAATTTTCCCATTATACACAAACCTATTTAGACCATCACCTAACAGTCTTCTTCTCTGTGACTTAACATAGTTGGGTACAACATGAATAGGGTATCCAGGAGAGCAGTCAAATTGATACAAAGTCTAGATTGAAAGGTTTAGCTAAGGAAGTTTATAGTAATTATTTGGTCCCCAGTGACATTTCCAAGGATGGTGGTAGCAGACTTTGAGTGAGATTTTGAAGGACGGTGATAACAGGCTTCAAGGAAATGCAGGAATATTATTGTTCATATGCTGATGACCATTTCTGTTGATAAAAGAGCAAGGGAAAAAAGTCTAAGGGTATGGCAGGAAGAACTTAGATTAGATGATGCAGAATGAAGATTACTCATGAAATGCCATTTTCTGGGATATCAAGATAATGCATATTATGATATCTAAAACTGATTATGGTAATGCTGCCATGAAACAAAGGAAGAAAATTAACAATTTTCTGAGGTCATTTCAAGTTCTGAAGAAAATATATGAGTGTTCACGTGTGTCTTCATAAATATTCATATTCCATATATATGTAAATATATAGTATACTTACTGAAAACCTTATTTAACATAAAAATTATTCTTCTAAATTTTAATGTAAGGATGTTATATTTAAAAATTAAACTGAATTTCTGATGACAGGGTATTAAGCTCTAAAATATATCTTATGACATTATTGCCCTTATGGCAAAAAAGAAAGAAAATATGCCCTCATTGCTGTTAAGGAAAGTATGTTCATTACCAGTGACTTCCCAGAAGAGAGTAACCATTTCTGATTTTGTTTTTCCTTTCCATTATAGTATCTAGTTAAAATGGTGCAAGTAATATATAAATTTGTTTCTGTTATAATCCTTGTGAATCATTTTAGATCTTTATTACGGTATAATTCTTTCATTTACTTTAAACAGAATGTTTAAATTGTCTTCAGCAGTGTCATTTCCAATAAACTGAAGAACTCCAATTCTAAAAATTTTAAAGAGTCAATTTCACTATTTTAAAAAGCCATACTCTCTGTCCTGCTTTCCCCCACATGGAAGACATGGAAAATCATTAGCAATGTTACTGTTTATTTGCAATCCTACAATTTTTTAGTGCATTCTACTTTACCTCAAAACTGAACCTCAGTTTTCAATCACTGAGTAATACATATGTAGAGAGATTCATTCTGTTGCTAAGGACATAATCCAATCAGTGTAATGATTTTTGAGAAAGAAGTAAGCTAGTTTTGTTTACATCTCACTTCCATAGAGCATAAAATAGCAGAGGACTTTCCGGGTAGATGAACACCCTGGAGGTACTAGAGTGGGATGCAGCAGGCAGGACAGGCTGGGTTCACCGCATAAAGAGAAAAGTCTGTCTTAATTTGTACTTTCCCCTCAGGCTTCAAATCCATTTAAAAAATGGACTGAAGCAATAACAAAAGGGATTTGCACCCCAATAAAATCACCCCTTTGAATGACAGCTTGGCTGCTTAGGGAAAATTTACCATAATTCAACTGATTCTATAATGAGGGAGAAGCAAATGTAAACTCAACTACCTGGACCCAGCCATTGAACTTAGATAATTATTTCCCAATCAAAAAAGAACATCCTGTTTTTCTTTGGCATGCTCTGGTGTCTGTTAGTTTTGCTTTTTATAGCTTTAGTTGAAATTTCATAATCACAGAGTTCAAATACAGAACACATTTGAGTCAGTTCTCTGGAACAATATCATTCCCTTAGAGCTCTCCTTTTTCAAAAGAAACAACAACAACAAAAATTCCCAGGCCTTTATTAGACTCTGTGCTTCCCCTGTTCCTGTGTATAAAACTCTCTGCTCTAAGGATCTATGCTATTAAAGCAAAGCCCGAGGCTAAATTCAACAGGGAAGTGAGTGGAAGGAGCAGGTGAGCTCACCTAGATTACCGGTTTAGCAAGTTTACTGGAGAATTTAAAGGGAAAAAAAAGTAGAAGGAAAAACACTTGGGATTCAGCAAAAGCCAAAATGAGTTAGGACCAAATCTGTTGTGAAGGGATGTGTATTTTTAAAGGAAATGTAGTCCATGTTTCTGACTCACTTACAATGACCTTATCAAAATGTCATGTAATGAAAGTTATTTAGGGTCCAATAATCCTTTTGAGCATCTAAATAGCATTTCAAAACATTTTTTTCTAGTTTGATTACAAATGAACTCAAATTCCAAAAATTCCATCAAGGTCAGTAAAATTCTCAAGAGTCATCATATTGAAACAGAATTTAAATGCTGCAATTTTTTCTTTCTATCCTGAGTCATTAAAATGGTTATGGGATGTTTAATTCAGTTGGAGACTTTGGATTGCATAATTATAGACAATCAAACGAAAATCAAGAAAAAGCTCCTAGGAATAGACTTTTTTAAGTGATTTTGCACATTTATTATTCATTGTAAAAAGCTTACCAAAAAGTCTTCTAACTTTCTTTCTCTACAACATAATAGTAGTTTCCTAATGTTTCCCTGGGAATTAGAAGGAGTTTGGCATAAGATACTCTAATGTTGTACTGAAGTCCTAAAGTTCACACATTTTCATGTTCTAGATCATTTATATTAGTCTGCTGAGAAACACAGAAGGTCAGAGATGGAGGTTATTGTGATAATTTAGTCCAAACCCTGAGCACTGAAATGGGAAATTGCAATTTTCTGCCCAAGGGGACATTAATATTTGGTGGCAGAACTAGTCTGTACTGACTAAAAGATTTCCCAAATACTTCCTAAACTACTGAACGCATAACTTTCTGTAACATGTTCTTTTTTTTTTTTTTTTTTTTTTGGTGAGATGGAGTCTTGCTCTGTCGCCTAGGCTGGAGTGCAGTGGGTGCAGTGACAATTGTGACACTGAAACCTCTGCCTTCCAGGTTCAAATGATTCTCTTACCTCAGCCTCCTGAGTAGCTGGGATTACAGGTGCCTGCCACCATGCCCGGCTTATTTTTGCATTTTTAATGGAGATGGGGTTTCACCATGTTGGTCAGGCTGGTCTCAAACTCCTGACCTCAGATGATCCACCCGCCTCGGCCTCCCAAAGTGCTGGGATTACAGGTGTGAGCCACCATGCCTGGCCTCATTTCTCTTTTTGAGGATTGTAAAAATCTGCTGACAGCATGGCCAATAATCTAGGGTGACTGTCTAGCCCACAACATGACTATGTCTTGCTTAGACTACTATAATTTTCTTACAACAGCTTCTTTGCCTCACTCCTGCTTCTCTGCAGTCTGTTGTCCACTCAGCAGTAAGAGTGACCCTATAGATCTTTTTATTCCCCTGTTTAAAACCACTCATCAACCATTAACTGGTTTTCCAACACATTTTGACTAAAGTCGTCATTCTGACCTGCAATATCTTGTAATGATCTAGATCTTGGTACATTAACTGATACCCTATCACTTTATCACTTGCTGACAGTGCTCTCATCATACTGCTCCTCTTCACGTTCCCAGAGTAACCAATCACATTTGAACTTGTGCTCCTTTTGCATGAAATAATATTCCCTCAGATATCCACATGACCCACTTTCATTCACATCTCTGCTCAATGTCACCTCCCCGGAGAGATGTTTCCTCTTTTTCCTACCTAAAAAACATTTCCTTACTCTCTCTGCCGTTGTTTTGTCTATTTTTTCTTTCTGGAACTCAACACTGTCTGATAGCATATCTACATCTTTTTTACTATTGGTGTATTATCTATCTTAGTTACTAAAATATGAATATATGAAGAAAGAGACATTTTCCCCTAGCACATTGAACAGATTTCTGGGAGAGACTGATGCTCTGATGGTATATGGTTCCAATCTCAACAACTCCATTATCATGTTTCTTTAGTTAGCTTTGTAAGTTTATTAACTTTCAAATTCTGTTACACAAAATATCTTGTGGCAATGTATGTATTAGTCATTATCAAAAAGAGCTACAGTTGCTCCTCAGATCTCTAGCAATTGGGGGCAGTGCCGTTAACCTTGAAAAGCAGAGGATTTCTAGGCTCTGAGTGCATAATTGTAATGATTTTTGGTTAGTTAACCCAGAAGACACAAACGATCAAACTGCAAAACAGTAAGACAAGGTGTTTATTGGGGTCTTAGGAACTGCAATTTGAGAGACGCAGTTCAGCTAGATGCCAAATCAAGTTTTGAAGAGAGAAAGGGGAATAGGGATTTTTTAAAAGGATGCCAATAATAATTACACAAGTTGTTTTGAAAGAAATGTCGTTGGTGGAGGTGGCTGGCTTAGTATATAAGTCCATAGTTCATTGGTTGTCACTTTTCAGGAGTTGCACTGCTGGTAAAATTTAGCTGTTCCAGAATGTTGTGATCATGGCCATTTGGCCCAGTTCAGAGGTTCAAGTCAAGTCCTTCATTTGCAAGTCCATAGGTCAAGCAGGAAGTCCTTCTCAGAATGGTTATCTGAAAGCCTTTTAGAGCTCTGAACCAGAGTGATGTCATTTGGTATATCACATTTCACAGGTATCACAAAAGGTTAAGAGAGAAAAATGGGAGTAATGATGGAGATGTCATGCTATCAAAAGAAGACTCTCATGCAATAATTCATTTCTATTATATATTTTTCTTCAGTTAACTGTCTAATAACATATTGGATTGAAAACCAGGGCTTAATCTGGTTATAAATCTACTCCTATTAAGGCAAAATGGCAGGGTACATTCAAAGATGAATAAGAATAGTTGCTGGTTTTGTTGAAATGTTAGTGACATAAAAATAATTATGCTTGAAAAAGATATACATAGGCTATTAAAATCCAATAACTTTATTAATAAGAAATAGAAAATCATGGGATATACTTCAAATGCTTAGCAGAAATACACATCCACAAAAGATACTTGCCATTGCCATTGCATTGTCTTAAGATTTTTACAGTCCCCATCATTCTTCGTCACTTATGTATCAGTCATCTTTACTGTTTAGTTCAAAAATGATGATAGAAAAGACAACTACTAAAGTAGGAAGAATCTAATTCTAAGTTGTCTCTAGCATCAGAATGGTTATTTGTGGGGTTGGAAAAGACTGTAGGTGATACCCATACCATGTAAACATACACGATAGAGAAAAGGGGAATTCAATAGTAATCAGTTCATTATCCATCCACATTCAAAAGTTGTAAGGCCACACTCTTTACAAGACCTAACTCCTCAGTAGCAACAAGAGTGTTTGAATTGATCTTTACACTGATCATATTGGAAGTCTAAATTTTCCATCCTTCCTTTAAGCCATAACACATGGGGGGAAAAAACTACAAAGATGTGGCTTAACCAGTTTCAATAACATTTACCTATGGGATATTAGCATACAAAATCACCAGTAAAGAGCAGCTGGATGTCAGCCAGCTACCAGTTTGGAAGCAATGCCGACAGCCATTCGCTTTTGTGAGTCTAGACATGTGGAATTGATGGATGATGGCAGTACACTTGCACAGCTGGGCATACAGGAAGCTAAAACAAGGCTGATCAAAGAACAGAAGATCTGCCTTAAGAATACCCAGAAGTACAACTTGCAATCAAACTCTGAATTTCTGGAAAACATAAAGAGCAAAACAAATTAATATATGAAAGAATAATCACAAAGAAGTCTGGGTGAGCCAAGTTACACACAACTGAGTATCAAACACAGAACATTATCAACTTAGAAAAGAACAGTAATGTACCATCCATGCCTAACCGAAGCAACCTCACAATAAGTCACTGAAGCCTCCTCACGTAGGTTGGTAAATTAATCAAAACCTTCCAGTTGTACCCCGGTGCAGCCAAGGCTGATTATTAGAAATGGAACAGTAAAGTTAACAGTAGGACTGGGAGAAAATATATTATAATGGCAAAAATTATTTGTTTTGTTTGTGTTTTTTTAAATATCAGTCTTTTATATGTTCAACATGCAAGATTGGCCTCAACAGGCTAAACTTATCATGAAAATGTTGAATTCCGTATTTCTAATGTAACTGCTGTTCTCTGAACTAAGGCAAACAGCTGCTGAAGGTAAGAATCATGTTTGGAAGTTATATTCTTAATAACAATATTTTAAAAGTGAAATCTTTTCTAGAACATTTTGAGAGAAATACATAAGTAGTTTGTGTATTTACATACGGTGTTGTAAAATAATAAACTATATGGAAGCCACTGAAAGTCACTTTGGAAACTGTAGATATAAGGGATCAAAACTAACAATTTAAACATGTATAAATCGGTCTGCACTGAACAAAACTAGAAATAGATGGCACACTCAAATGAGGTAATTGAGAAATTTTGATGAATGAGGCTATATAGAACATTGTAGATAGGCTTAAGGGAAACCTATAAGAAGGGAAACCAGTAAGAAATGGGGTTTACAACAATAGAAGCACTTAGCATACTTGGCTTGAAAGGAAAAGGTAAAGAACAATTACTGGAATCCAGCAAAAGCATCTGTTTGAAGAGAGCTCCCAAAACCCAACCAACCAGAGCTGTGACATTAGGTACAGAGATACAAACACTATGCAGCAACTGACAGAGAGCAGACCATGGGAATAAATACATGAACATCATTCTCTTCCCATCCTCTAATATCCTGCCAGTATTTCTCATTCATTGGCAAGAGAGTACCTTGATGCCAGACTCACAGGATCACCTCCCTTTCCCAGGGCAGAGAGATGAATGGAAAAGAACAAAGAAGGAATTTGTAAGCACCAACAGAAGGCATATAGCAAACAGTTGATTCCAGGTTAGGACCATTAGCTACTAAAAATACAGAAATAATTCACACCAAAACATTCTAAGTTTTTAATGTAATCTTAACTACTTTTAGAGTTGCATGAGTATTTAATAAAATAATACATGTAAAATGCTCAGTCCAGGGAAGACTGCTTCCTTCTTCTTCTTTAGTAAATTATTGGTGTCACTGCAATTGTCAATGTCATCTTGATTTGTCCTATATGGAGTGTTTGATATTTTATCAGCTTCACTGGTGGAGGAATATAAAGCTACGTGTATTTGTTGTACTATGTGCACCAGGAAGAAACAGAGGAAATAATTATGGAATAATGACTTAAGAAAGGCACTCAAAGTATTTAAACATAAGATATGAAAAATGCTGATTAGAGCCAAACATTGTTAAGTGTAGCTTAGAACCAGTTGTGGTAGGAGACTTTAGCAAAATATTCCTCATGCAAACTTTTTCTCAACATATCCCAAGTAAAGGGACCAGGAAAGAGTCAGCCTTGCAAGACAGCAAATTGTTAGATAATAATTATTCTCTAGTCAAATACCACAGGAAAAAGCTCTGGTTCCAATGCCAATGCTACCAGCAAGGCTAAATGGAGAGCCTAGACTCTAACCCTAGACATATTGTAACAAGGCATCTTAATGCTCATGTTGGGGTATTATCAGAGAAGGCCAAAAGAGACAACGGCATGGTTCAAGGCTAAATTGTGCCCCCTAATATTTATATGTTGAAGCTTCAATACTAAATACCTCAAAATATGATTACATTTGGAAACAGGGTCTTTAAAGAGGTAATTAAGCTAAAATGGGGCCAATAGGATGGTCCCTAACACAATATGACTGGTCTCCTTACTAGAAGAGAAGAATGAGACACACAAAGAGGTACCAGACATGGGGGTGTACAGAATGAAAACCATGTGAACACATAGAAGGAAAAGGCAAAAAGACAGCCATCCACAAGTCAAGGAGAGGAGCCTCAGAAGAAACACTTCTGCAGACTTGATCATGGACTTCTGGCCTCCAGAACCATGAGAAAATTAATCCACCTGATCTGTAGTACTTTCTTATCACAGTGCTAGAAAATTAATACAAAGACTTATTCCTTGCTAAGCAGTAATAAGTTACCCTCTTTCCCATGGTGACAGTGGAAAGCATGTAAGAAGTTCCCATTGGAAGGTAATTGGGCATCTTCTCTTTCCCCACTGGGGTGATGTCAAGGTGGCCTAGTGGAGAGTCAGGAATTTTACTACTAACCAGCAATAAGTGTCCCTCCAAAACATAGAGGCCACAGAGGGAGCAGTAATGAGGTACTTCTTTCTCTACACTTCTCTCTATCAGTCAGGATGGTATCGATTGAGCATACTAGAAGGTGAAACTCTATCCTCCCCCATCCAGCAATAACTAGAAGTCCTCCACTTACAAGTGTCAATGGAAGCTAAATGGAGAATTTAGGCTTCCACACCAACCTGGCAATAACATAGTAGAAACATGCCTCTTCTCTACCTGGAGCAGAGTTTGATGTGAACAGTGAAAACAGAAAATTTAAATATGACCTAGATTCTTATAATAAAATACCCCCAAATGGCTAGGCTTATATTAAAAAATCACTCATTGTATCAAGAAACAGAAAAATCTCCACTGGAATGTTAAAATGCAATCAATAATTGTCAACACCAAGATTATAAAGATTTTAATATTATCTGACAAGGATTTTAAAGCAGCCATCACATAAATCATTCAACAAGCAGCAAGTAATTAATCAATCTTAAACACACTTGGCAAAAAAAAAAAAATCAACAAAGAAAGAGAAGATGTCAGCAAAGAAATAGAAGATACAAAGAATAACCAAATGGAAAATAACTGAAAAATACAGCAACTGAAATGAAAAGCTAAGTGGATGAGTTCAATAGCAGAATGGAGGGGAAAGAACTAAAAATAAACTGAAAGACATAGAGGAACACCCAATCTGAACAAAAGAGAGAAAATGGGCTTTAAAAAGGTCCTTAAGGATTAGTGGGATTATCACAAAATATCTAAAATTTTTACCATTGGAGTACCAGAAAGAAAGGAGAAAATGGGTAGGGATAAAAAAGCATTTGAAGAAATAAGAGCTAAATTGCTCCCAACTTTGCCAAAGAACATACAGATATCTATTTTTAAAACTGAGAACCCCAAACAAGATACATCCAAAAATGCATGCTAAAGCTCAGCATAATCAAATGTGCAAAAATAAAAGAGAATAAAAATTGTGGAAGTAGTGAGAAAGACACAGAAAATTTCACAACAGGAATAACAGAGATTAGGAAGAGTAACACAGCATGTTTCACGTGCTGGACGAAAAGGAATGTTGACTCCAAATTCTATATCCACCTAACATATCCTTCAAAAATAAAGGGAAGATACAAAAATTCTCAAATGTAAGAAAACTAAGGGAATTTAATACCAGTAGATTCATCCTATACAAATGGCTAGAGGAAGTTTTCAAAACAGGAATAAATGATCAAATAAGTAATCTGGAAACATCAGGAAGAAAGAACAATCAACTGAGTATAAAGATGGGAAAATATAATACATTTCAATTCTCCTTTTAAGTTTTCAGTTTATGTGCAGTGATTAAAACAAAAATTATAACACTATCTCATGTGAGATAAATGTCATGTAAGATAATAATTATAACACTACATCATGTGCGAGAAAATATGTAAGACAGTTATATTAGAGAAGGGCAAATGGAATATACTAAATTAAATTTTCTATACTTCACTTGAACTGATTAAATGTCAACACTGTGATAAATTTTGTATATTAATATAACACTGAGAGGAACCCATTAAAAAATACATAAAAAGACAGAAGAAAAAATACCCTACAGGTAAATTAAAATGGGACTCTAAAGAATAATAAAATAACCCAAAGAAAGGCAGAAAAAAACACAGAAAAATGAAAAACAAAGAATAAACAGAAAATTAAAATTAATAAAATGGCAGTCTTATACCCTAACATATCAATAATTATATTAATTATAAATGGCCTAAATAAACCATTAAGACAGTTATTGGCAGAGTGGGAAAAAAGTAACCCAAACATATGCTGTCAAAGAGGAACTTACTTCAGATATAACAATTTATAACAGCTAAGTTGAAGGTAAAAGGATGGAAAAAGATAGGTCATGCCAACATTAATCAAAAGAAAGCAAGAGTGGCTATATCAATAACAGATAAAATTAACATTAGAGTAAAAAATTACCAGCGATAGGCTGGTTGTGACTGCTCACACCACAGTGGTATGGGTAGGCTGAGGTGGGAGGATCACTTGAGTGCTATAGTTCAAGACTAGCCAATGCACTATAGTGAGACTCCATCTCTTCTAAAAAAAAATAAAAAAGTTTTAAAAAGTAGCAGGGTGTAGCAGCACATACCTGAATTCTTAACTATTTGGGATGCTGAAGTCTTGAGGTGGGAGAATAGCTTCAGTCCAGGAATTTGAGGTTAGAATGATCTATTTTTGTGCCACTACACTTCAGCCTGGGTGACAGAGTGAGACCCTGTATCTAAAACAAACAAACAAACAAACCACCAAAATCTTACAGGTCTAAGCACCAAAACAGAAACAAGACATATATGAAGCAAAAACTGATAGAACTTAAAGGAGAAATAAATGCATATGTATAATTGTAAACTTAACACCTCTCTCTCAACAGTCAATAAAACAATTAAACAGAAAATCAACTAACATAGAAGTACAATAAAATACCATGAATAAATGCAATCTAATAGACATTCATAGAACACTCTATCCACCGTAGCAGAAAACAAAATTTTTTTTGAGTGCCTATGAAATAGATACCACGATAAACCATATGCTGGGCCAAAAGAAAAACTTCAACACATTTTTTAAAATGAATCATTTAGCATATATTCTGTGACCACAATGTAACCAAACTAGAAATCAATAACAATAAGACAACAGGAAAATCTCTAAACATTAGTAACTAAATAATGCACCTTTAAATAAGCCAGGAGTCAAAAAGGAAGGTCTCAAGTGAAATAGGAAAATACATTGAACCAAATGAAAATGAAAACACCATATATGATAATGTGTTGGATGCAGCTAAAGCAGGCAAAAAGAATAATTTATAGTACTAAATGTTCATACTAGCAAAGATGAAATGTCTCAAATCAATAAGATAGGATCCAATCTCAGAACCTAGTTAATGAGGAGTAATATAAACCCAAAGCAAGCAGAAGGAAGGAAATGAGAAAGATAAAAGCAGAAATAACTGAATTGAAAAGAGGAAAACAATACAGAAAATCAATAAAACAAAAAGTTGTCTCTTTGAAAATGTCAATACAATTGATCAACCTCTAGCAAGACTGACAAAGAAAGAAGACACAAATTAACATCAGCAAACAAACAGGATATATCTATAGACTGGGCAGACATCAAAAGTAAAGTAAAAAAAAAAAAAAACTACTACTACTAACAATGCGCAGTGTCTTAGTCCTCTCTTTGTGTTGCAATAACAGAATACCGCAGCCTGGGAAATTTATAATGAACATAAATGTATTGGACCTTCTTGCTGTGTTTTCTTTATATGGCAGGAGGCGAGAGGACAAGAGAGAGCAAGAAGGGGCTAAAGTTACCCTTTTATAATGGCACCAATCCAAACCTGGAAGATGAAACACTCATAGCTTAATCACCTCTTAGAGGTCTCACCTCTTAATACTGTTTCAATAACAATTATATTTCTTTCTTTTTTATTTTATTTATTTTTTTTAGACAGGTTCTCACTCTGTCACCCAAGCTGGAATACAGTGGCACAATCTCAGCTCACTTCAACCCTGACTGCCCAGGCTCAAGCAATTCTCCTGCATCAGCCTCCTAAGTATCTACAGGCATGTGTTATAACATCTGGCTAATTTGATTGTTTTCTTTCCTTTTCTTTTCTTTTTCTTTTCTTTTTTTTTTTTTTTTTTTTTTTTTGAGGCAGGGTCCCACTCTGTCACCCAAACTGGAGTGCAGTGGCATGTTCTCGGCTCACTGCAACCTCCACTTCCTGGGCTCAAGCCATCCTCTCACTTCAGCCTCCCAAGTTGCTCAGACTACAGACACCTGCTACTATGCTCGGCTTTCTTTTTATATGTATATATATTTTGTAGAGATGGGATTGAGCCATGTTTGCCCAGGCTGGTCTCGAACTTCTGAGCTCAAGCAATTGGCCTGCCTTGGCCTCCCAAAATTCTGGGATTACAGATGTGAGCCATCGTGCCTGCCCTAATTTTTTGATTATTTGTAGAAATAGCATCTCACTATGTTGCCCAGGCTAGTCTTGAATTCCCAGGCTTAAGCAATTCTCCCACTCTGGTCTCCCAAAGTGCTGGGATTATAGACGTGAGCCACCACACCTGACCAACAATTATATTTCAACATGAGATTTGGAGGAGACAAACAATCAAAGCAGAACCCACAGATTTGACAACTTTGATGAAATGGACTAGTGCCCCAAAAGGGACAGTCTGTCACAACTAACCTAATATTTAATTAGTAATACCTAATTAATATTTAGGTCATTTAAGTAGCCCTGTAAAAATTAAAGAAATTGAATATTAATTTGAAAACTTCCCTAAAAAGAAGTCTCCAGGACCAAGTATTTTTGCTACATAATTCTATCAAGTATTTAAATAATAATTCACACAAATTTTACTTAATCTCTTACAGAAAATGAAAGAGGGAACAGTTTTGAATTTATTTTATAAATTATTATTCTGATACCAAAACCAGAAAGAGACAATACAAAAAAAGGGAAAATTATAGACCAATATCCCACATGAATGTAGATCCGAATAACCTTAACAAAATATTAGCCAATAAAATTCAACAATTTGTAAAAAAACTATACAGTGTGACAAAATGGGATTCATTTCAGAAGAACAAAGTTGGTTTAATATTAAACATTCAATCAGTTTAATTCATCATATTGACAGGCTCAGCAACAGAAATCAAATGATCATATCAAGTGTCACAGAAAAAGCATTTAAAGAAATTCAACACCCAATCATGATAAAAACCAGGAAAATAGGGGTAACTTCCACAATTTGATAAAGAACTTCTACAGATAACCTTCAAGCAGTATCATACTTAATGATTTAAAACTGAATATATTTCCTCTAAGATTGCAAACAAGACAAAGATGCCATTTAATACAATAATGGAAGTTCTAGACACTACAATAAAACAAGATAAGAAAATAAAACCATACAGATTGGAAAGGAAGAAACTGTCCCTATTCACAGGAGACATTATTATCTATATAACACGTCCTAAGAAATCTACAAAGAAACTCCTAGAATTGAGTTTAGCATGCTGCAGGTGTACAACAGCAGTATCCAAAAATTAATTCTATTTTTATATACTAGCAATGCGGATGTGGAAACCAAAATTTAAAAATGCAATACATTTTACAATCACTTAGTAAATGAAATACTTACATGTAAATATAACAAAATATGTATAGACTTTAATGTTAAAAGTTGGAAAACATTGATGAAATAAGATCTAAATAAATGGAGAGATATACTGAGTCTATGGATTAGAAGACTCAACATAGCAAGCTGTAATTTTTTTATATTGATTCATTGGTTTAAGGAAATTCCTCAAAAAATCTAAGCAAGTTTTTATTTTGATGCAGATAGACAAGGTTTTTCTAAAATATACAGAAAGGTACAGAAATAAGAATAGCTGAAACAATTTTGAAAAAGAATAAAGCAGGAGGAATCTTTCTAACAAAATTCAAGACTTACTATATGACTACCAATATTCATGGTATTAACAAAAGGATAAACACAAAGTGGAATGGAAAAAGGCAGAGGATTCAAAAATGGTTCCAAAAGCACAGCCAACTCATTTTTGACCAAAATGCAAAAGCAACTCAATGGAGGAAGAATCATGATTTTAATAAATGTTTCTGGAACAATTGGATATTCACAGGCAAAATAACAAATTTCAACATAAACCTCATATCTTTTACAAAATTTAATTCAACATGAATCATAGATGTAAATGTGAACATGAAACTATGGAACTTTTAGAAAAAACTTCATAAAAAATCTTTCAGACTAAGGCTTTGTAAAGAGTTCTTAGACATGAAACCAAATGTATAATCTGTAATAGAAATAAAAATATTAGACTTTATCAAAATTTAAAACATTTTTCTATTAAAGACCCTGTTTAGATTATGAAAAAAAAATCTACAGACTGGAACAAAATATTCACAAACACATATCCAATAAAGGAACAGTATCTAGAATATGTAAATAATTTAAATACCTCAACAGTAAAAATAAACACCTCAACAGTAAAAAGTCAATGAAAATATGAAATGGGCAAAAGATATGAAGGGACATTTCACTGAAGAGGATATATAGCTAGCAAATGAATGCATAAACAGATGTGCAAATCACTAGCTAATAGAAAAATGCAAATTAAGATCACAAAAATATAACACTGCACACCTAATTAAACAGCTGAAATAAAAAATGCTGAAAATAACAAATGCAGATAAGGATGCAAAGAAAATCTCATACATTGATGGATGAAATATAAAATCATATAGTCAATCTTGAAAATAATTTGGCAGTTTTTTAAAAAGTAAACTTTGCTTTTTAGCAAATTGCTTTCCTCCAGCAATTGCTTTCCTTTGAATTTATCCCAATAAAATAAAAATTTATATTCACAAAAACACCTGTGCATAATTGTTCATAGGAGCTCTATTTTTAGTACTCCAAAACTAAAGCAACCCAAATGTCCCCCAATAGGCAAATGGCTAAACAAACTATGGTAAATACATATCATGGAATACTAATTAGCAATAAAAATGAACACATTATTGATAGATACAAAGCTTTGCATGTATCCATCTTTTCTTATACCTTTCATACAGGAATAACAAAATATCATAAATTGGGTAGCTGATAAACAACAAACATTTATTTCTCACAGTTCTGGAGGCTGAGAAGTGCAAGATTAAGGCGGCAGCAGCTTTGGCATCTGGTGAGGCCCTATTTCCTGGTTAACAGGTGGCATCTTTTCACTGTGTTCTCACATGGTGGAAAGGGCTAGCTAGTTCTCTGCAGCCTCTTTTATAAGGGCACTAACTTCAATCATGAGGGATCCAACCTTGTGATCTAATCACTCTCCAAAAGCCTGCCTCTTAATACTTCCATCCTAACCTTGGTGGTTAGGATTTCAACATATGAATTTTGAGAGGACACAGTATTTAGACTGTAGCAGATCTCAAAGTCAGCATGATGCTGAGTGGAAAAGGCAATCTCAAAAGGTCAGTTAATTTCTGATCCCATTCATGTAACATTCTTTAAATGACAAAATTATAGTGATAAAAACAAATCAGTCATTGCCGGGGTTCAGATACCAGAGAGGGAAGGGTGGAAACTATGAATATAAAAGGGTAATGTGTCAGCGATCTTTGTGATGGTAAAATAGTTCTGTATTTTGACTGGAGTGTGGTTACACAAATTGTATTACAATTGTCTACAGTATACAGTAGAATAACATGCTACACAGGATTGTACTTAGGAGTAATAAGCTGTACCATCTAGCCTAGATGTGTAGGAAGGCTATACCATCTAGATTTATATAAGGATACTCTATGATGTTGGCATATTGATGAAATTGCCTAGTGATGCATTTCTCAGAAAGCATACCCATCATTAAGTGATACATGACTATATATACATCTAATATGCCAATACCAATTTCCTGGTGTTGACATTTTACTATAGTTATGTGAGATGTAACCATTGTAGGAAACCAGATGAAGGGTACACAAAACACCCCTCTTCAACTATTTTTTTAGAACTTCTTGTGAATCTATAATTATTTTAAAATAAAAAGCTTTTTTAAAAGACCAAAAATCATAAACTCAGAAAAAGTTAATTTTAGAGCCTGAAAAGAGCATAAAAATTGACATCGATAGTATTCCAGAGAAATATTTTTTTAAAACACCAACAATGTGATGAAGGTAGATTATCTCAAAAGCCTCTAGGATTGTAGATATGTAAAATATGTAGATTTAAAATGTAAGGTGGGAGGCAACAGATGTTTCTTTCTATGCTCAACAGCAGTGAAATTATATTCTTTCCTGGGACTTGAATTGTAAATTAGCAGATATCAGACAGTGTGCACTACTGATTGTGAAGTATTTAACTATCAGCCTTAGATAAGCAATATAAGTACTTAAAGTCTAAATATACATTGTTGTAGCAAGATGGACATTGAAGAAACACACACACAAAAAAAACCTCTGAAGTTCAAATTAAAAACAAAACAAAAATGGTTCTTTGTGGTCAAATCTAGACACATTTAGAGAACTAGAGTCTGCAAATGTGCAGTCTTAATAGATAATGTTACATAATGTTATGCTTGGGGATCTTGTCATGAAGACATGCACAGGTAGCCAAACTTAACCAACATCTTGCAGAAACCTGATCATCAGGCTAGATTCCTATGAAATATTCTCATAAAACTTCATGCTTTTGTATAAACTTTATTCAACCTTTAAAATAATGTAATTAATGGCTATCTTTCTTAATGGGCTGCAAGTTCCTTGGGAATAGACAAATAAATATATCTCTATTTATCTATTAATCAATATACTATAGTCTTATTAATTACTAACTACTGATTTATAATACCCTTAACTGTACAGAGTATATACTCAATATGTGTGAAATAAACTACTTCCTTAACAGGTAAAAATCTGAAACTCATTAGTTAAGGAAGGTCTTGCCCAAGGTCACAAACTAGTGAATAGTAGAAGTTAAAAAGAAGATGTTAAAAATGATGTTAGGCTGGGCATGGTGGTTCATGCCTGTAATCCCAGCATTTTGGGAGGCCGAGGCAGGTGGATCACCTAAGGTCAGGAGTTCAAGACCAGCCTGGCCAACATGGTAAAACCCCGTCTCTACTAAAAATACAAAAAAAATTAGCCGAGCGTGGTGGCAGGTGCCTGTAATCCCAGCCACTCAGGAGGCTGAGGAAGGAGAATCGCTTGAACCTGGGAGGGGGAGGTTGCAGTGAGCCCAGATTGTGCCATTGCACTCCAGCCTGGGCAACAAAGCAAGACTGTCTCAAAAAAAAAAAAAAAAAAAAGAGGCTAAAAAGAAAACAAAACAAAACAAAAGCAAGGGTGGTTGTTATTTATTATATGCAAGGCAATGTGTCTACAGTGCGGACTTTTGAATTTGGGAATATCAGAAATGTTAACTGGCAGAAATCACACTAGTGAACTGCTAGAAACAGTCGTAATTTTCACCACTTGCAAACTTTGGAAAAATTGATGGCTTTAGTGTTGACATTCTACTAAAACAAATGTTTATATATTTCTCTATATGTTTTCTATTTCTGTAAAGAAAAAGATAAATTCTGCATGTGGCTTGGTCTCTCTATAATAGAGTACAACTTATAGAAAGTAGTTATTATATAACTTAATAATTAAAAATAAGGTGTGCCCCAACTAGCATCTAGCAAATAAAATTATTTTTAAAGTAAAGGTACAGAATATGAAGTTAAAGTGAATTTTACTAGGCATTAAGTGTTATGTCCTTTGAAGAAATCAACTATGCATCCTGATTCTCTCACATTTAAGACAGTCAAAATTTTCTAGTATCTATGAGTGAAAATTGAGATGATTGAATATGAACTCAGACAATGCAACTCAGCAAAAAGAACTCTGCATGTGAGAGTGAAGAGACCTAAATTCTATTCTGCCATCCTCAAGGTCACAAAGTAAGTTTCATGGCAAATGTAATTTGGCTTCTCCAGACTTCTAGCTTCCCAATTGTACAATGATCGAATTTTTGCTTAATCTTTCCTGGCTGACTCCATAGGGTTTAATGAGGCACAGGAGAGCTTGGGAAGTAAATTACTCTTCATTCATCATTTACTTATTCTCTCATTCACACTTTCATTCATTTGTTCACCAAACATTATTAAGCAATGTATATTTGCTCAAAGATTAATAAGATTAATAAGACACCATCCAGTGACACATATGGAAATGGATAAGTCCCATTTAAAAGCTGTATAAAGGATGGAAAAACTAAGTCTGAAGCAGTGAGAGAAGGCTTCTACTTTGAAGTTTTTTAACTCAGGATGTAGAATACGGTGTTCATTTATTATTTAATCCCATAAGTAAAGAAAGCATTTATTCTGTGCCAAATTTATGACAGGAATTAGGACATGTGCTGAGGATTCAAAACTAACTTCCAACAGACTTTACCATTAGGAGTTTATGGCCTATAACTAATAACAACAGGTTATATATTTGAGCACAGGTTTCTGTAGAGACACAGATTTGGATCACCTAACCAAAATTGGGAGTCAGAAGTCAGGGAAGATGTAACAAACCTATGATATTTGTGTCTGGCCAGTCAAGGGTAGGATGATGTTTAAGAATTTGTACTTCTTCTCATATCAACACCCCAAAGTTC
Organism: Homo sapiens; assembly: GCF_000001405.40. Taxonomy (NCBI): domain Eukaryota; kingdom Metazoa; phylum Chordata; class Mammalia; order Primates; family Hominidae; genus Homo; species Homo sapiens. Next base: position 140,446,590 of record NC_000006.12, on the reverse strand, counting down.
CCTTGGAGACCACCACTTCTGCCCCATCAATCCACTGTCCAAGTAGTGCTCCACTCTAAATTCCACAGGTTGACATAATGCCTTAGGCCAGGACAATCACACACAGCCTGAATCCTCCTGGCTAAAGTGACACTTCAGCAGTAAGCATATTATCCAGGCCTACAATTCCAGCAGCCCAGAACACTAATTGATTCAGGGATAGATATGGGAACCAGATTAGTTGACATATAGTGACTCTCAAAATGTTTACAGGTGATACCAAGAAGAAACTGGGCTTGAATCTATTATCTCACAGACTGTGAGCTGCTAGAAGCCATCCTACTGTCACTTGTGACTAAATGTAAAATGAAAGAAAGCAGAACAAGGAATGGAGTGGGCCAGGAAATAGGTGAGAGCAACACAAAAAAAGCAATTGATATAAAGAAGTTATAGAAAGATGAACAACACAAGAGAGTGTTTGAGACAAACATTTTCCCCCATGAATGTTAGAAAAAATAAATTTGGAGGACAAAAGCAAAAGATTATAGTGCAGAAAAATTTTTGCAGGGGAGTGATAAAGTGATTTTTTGAAAGAGAATTGTCTTTTTGACTGTGGAATAAATTAAGCAAAGGAAGACTGGAGGCAGGTAAATGAGTGAAGGTGCTGTGGATGTCATCCAGGAAAGAAAGATGACAGCCAAAAGTTAGGCGGAAAGACAGAGAAGAGAAAGGAAGAAAGGGCCAGTATCATAAAGTACAATTAGCAGGATATAGAGATTGAGAATGATAGGAATGCAGGCTGGATTCCAAGTTGTCTCTTGAGAGGAAGAATGAATAATGAGATCAATCTCCAAAATAGGAAATACAAGGAATGGAGCAACCGTGAGTGAAAAAGATAGAGTTCTCCTTTAATCATGTTAAACTTTGAGTACTTAGATTTTTGCAAATAGAGACTTAATAGGTAATTTAAAAGTTTGTGGCAGAAAATTAGGTTTTGAAATTTTTTTCCAAATCATCTATAAAGAGTTACGTAGGTAGATGAATTAAAATGGAATATATATGTAAGATAAAATGAGAGAAGTTAAGATTGTGACTCCAGGAAAGAGATAAGAACATACAGTCAGAGACTGCCAACAGAGGAAACTTGAGTCCTGCAAGTCAAGGGGAAGAGAGAATGGTTCAAGTAGGAAATAATCAATACTAGTACACTCAGCAGAAATGTTTTTTTAAAATAAATAACCATGGTATTTGCAATAAAGATATCATTGGCAGTATTAATTAAAGTTGTTTTAGTGAAAATATTTTTTTCACTAGATTCAAAAATAGAGGAATGAGGAGAGAAATAAAGATATTGACAGTAGATGACTAGTTTAAGAAATGGTAAAAAAAAAAAAATCCATAGACGGTAGTGGCTTGAGTGTAGCATAGGAAAGATTTTGGTGTTGAGTTTTTATTGTTTGCTTATTAATGTGGGAGTAGGTATATTTTTATGCTGCCCGGAAAGATGCAATTGGAAAAAAAATGCATGAAAATATGGGAAGGAAAAAGCTAATAAAGGGAGGCCCATGATGAAACAGGAAAGAATCACTCTGAAATAACACATGAAGAAAAGGAATTAAGCATAAGAAATAGGAATGGGACTAGAGTTTTCTGGGTGGTCTGGGCCTGAGTATGGAGGGGGAGATGGTGCTGTGATTAAATGCACCTGGTAAAGATGTGGAGAAATGGAAAGGCATAGCAACACAGGGAATTGAAGATAATACTTGTTCAATTAATAGATTTAATGAGTGAATGAATGAATGAAGGAATGAAATGCAATGAATTTGAACCAGAGATTTGGACACAACTAATGTTCCAGGTGAATGAATGAAGGACATTTTAGTCAAATGTAAGAATGAATGAATGCAAAGATGTAGAAGAGTGAAAGATCTTCCTTGTTTCTCTCCAGGAGTGCAAGGTGCAAAGTTGAGTGTAGTTTAGGGTGATGATTGAAATTAAGACTGACGAAGATCTCTAGAGATAGATTGTAAAAAGATTTGCATTTAGAAGTGGGGTGTACATATTTTTACTTTCATGAAAGAATCTTTAAGCAGGGGAAGGACTTTGTCAAATTTCTTTTTTAAGAACATAATACCAACAGCTCTGCAAGAACTGGTGAGTTTAGACGGAGAAAAAGTCTAGATTCCTAAGCATTTCTGAGATAAATTCTACATTTGATACCTAAAGAAATGTGTGTCATAAAGACAGAGATCAGTAGAGTATGACTATAACACAAGAGGGAGTTTTAGAAGGTATATGTTGAATCAAGACTTCCTCTAAAGCCCACTTGGATCCTCTGCTTAAGTAAAAATATGCTTATTTCAAACAGTCAATTTTAAAGGTAAAACCAGTGAGTGTATACCATGCACTTAAAATGATTTTGAAGATCTACGATATTCCAGACATTGTACAAAACACTAGAGATATGAATAAAGCTCAATGTTTGCTCTACGACATCTTCATAGCCCTCTAATAATAAATAACGTAGTCAATAAAGACAAACTGATGTGTGAAAGGCAATATTAGAAATATTCATATGGTAGTATGAAAACACAAAAATGAACACCCAACTTTTCTTATGTGCATAAAGAAAAGTTGCACAGAGCTGAATTTGAATAATAGCTCAGAGGATAAGCTATAGTTTTCATAGGAAGATAAAGGGAATGATAAGGGGAATAGCAGGGAGAGTATGCATCCCATTTGAACAACAAAATGCCTTCTTAGACCAGAGGGAGAAGCAAGCTTTAGGAGTGTTTATTTATGGAGGAGACTGTAAAGCTAGTAGATGTGGACAGTCTTGAATGCAATGTCACTGTCTTTTTTTTCTGTTGTTTCAGTCTGTACTGCTAAAACAAAATACCTGAAACTGGGAAACTGATAAATCACAGAAATTTCTTTTCTCACAGTTCTGGAAGAGGGGAAGTCCAAGGTCAAGGTGCTAGCAGATTTTGTGTCTGGTGAGAGCTGCTCTCTGCTGCCAAGATGGCATCTCTTGGTGAGTCCTCACAAGAAGGAAAAGAAAAGCACAAAAGAACACCTCCTTCAACTTTTTTTCTTCTTTTTTTTTTTTTTTTGAGATGGAGTTTTGCTCTTGTTTCCCAGGCTGGAGTGCAATGGCACCATGTTGGCTCACCACAACCTCTGCCTCCCAGGTTCAAGCGATTCTCCTGCCTCAACCTCCAGAGTAGCTGAGATTACAGGCATGCACTGCCATGCCTGGCTACTTCTGTATTTTTATTTATTTATTTATTTATTTATTTATTTATTTATTTATTTATTTGAGACAGAGCCTCACTCTGTCACCCAGGCTGGAGCGCAATGGCGCGATCTTGGCTCTCTGCAACCTCTGTTTCCTGGCTTCAAGCGATTCTCCTGCCTCAGCCTTCTGAGTAGCTGGGATTACAGGCGCCCACCATCACGCCTAGCTAATTTTTGTATTTTTAGTAGAGATGGGGTTTCCCCATGTTGGCCAGGCTGGTCTTGAACTCCTGACCTCAGGTGATCCACCCGCCTTGGCCTCCCAAAGTGCTGGGATTACAGGCATGAGCCACCGCGCCTGACCTACTTCTGTATTTTTAGTAGAGACAGGGTTTCTCCATGTTGGTCAGGCTGGTCTCGAACTCCTCACCTCAGGTGATCCACCCGCCTCGGACTCCCAAAGTGCTAGGATTACAGGTGTGCTACTGAGCCCGGCCCCTTCAACTTCTTTTATAAGGCATCACAAGGTTTCTAATCCCATTCATGAGGGATCCACACTCATGACAACTACCTCCTAAATGTCCCACGTCTTTACATATGATCAGAGTGGCAATTAAGTTTCTATGTATAAATGCTGGGAATGCATTTAGACCATAGCACCTATGAGGATTATGATGACGATACTAATGATGGGGATCATGATTGAGATGACTATAATGAATATTTATTAAGTACTTACTATGGCCAACAGTTATTGCACTACACATTTATAGAAAGTCATTCATGTCTTTCCCTTGGGCAGCCTGTAAGTTCAATATTAACACCATTTTACAGGTAAGGAAGATGAGGCACAGAGAGGTTGAATAAATGGGCCAAATTCATCAACTGCTAAGTGGAAGAGCCAGCACTTGAAGCCAGACTGTCTGCCTCTGTAACATTAAACACTCAATCAGACTGACCCTGATGGATATGGGGAAGATTTTAAGTGTTTAATGCAGAATGATGACATAAATGACTTGCTTATTTAGAACAGTAACTCTGCAGTTGAAAGGATGAATTAAATGTTGGGAAGTGGTTATTAAAATGCTGTTGCAGTGGTCCAGGTAGCCAAATATAAGAACATCACTATGGTTATTGTAGTGAGGATACATAAATAAAGGACAGATTGGAGACTTCTTGAGCAACCAGAATTGGCAGAACCTGTTGATGGATTGGGGTAATTAACATTAGGGCACACACAAAAAAAGGAAGGTAACATTTCATCTCCAAACTAGAAAAAGATAGATATGATTTAGTTGGGAAGATGAAGAACTTTGAGCATATTACCTGCAAGATACTCAAACAAAACTCAGTAGGACACAATTATACTTGCAGGGTGAATCTCAAGAGGAAAAGGATTTAAGTGCAGATGTGGTAGCCATCAGAGGAAAGAAGTTATTTTAAGATATGAGTGTGGATATCGTTTTATAAAGAAGGGTGAAGAATGACAAGAGAAAAGGGTTACATACAGACGATCTGTGGAGCAGCTGACTAAGTGATGTGCAAATTAGACTGGCAAGGAAAGACAAGAGTTAGAAAGAAAACCAGAGGAAAGAGATGCCCCAGAAACAAGAGAGAAGCAGGAAAATATTACATTATCACTAAGTCTAAGGTTTTAGGGCTCCTCAAGAGTATCCTTTGGAATTGATCATAATGATGCCCCCAGTGATCCTAAGGAATGCCCTGAAATGCGGTAGCTGGAGCTAGTCCCAATCGCAAGGCACTAAATTTTCTTCCATGAGCAGTTCAGTGCTAGTGACGAAGGGAGCGCCTGACTGATGCACAAAGATGACAGCTATGTGGCCAAGAGACCAAGACTATGAGAAAATGTTCCATTCTGGCCCTGCCCCCAGATGGAGCTGTATGCTCATCAGTGGAGCGATAAAATGCCATGGCCTGGGAGGCGGGGGAGGAAAAGTTCTCTGTAACTCTTACCATTCAAAAGTTTGTCAAGGCATCATTTTTCTTCAGAAGCAGAGAAGTCTGTCCCCTGTTGTTACTTGACAAGTATTAACTAAAAGCCTACTCTGTGCCTTAGGCTGGGAAATACCTTCCTACTATACTTAGAGTAAGAAGAAGAGGAAGATTCTCAGAAGGTATTTACAACTTACTCAGTAACTTCCCAGATTTAAATTACTTAGAAAAAGCAATATCAAGTCTGTAATCTAATATGTAATTGATACAGGATACACAACTTCAGGGGAATTGTGATGTCCTGAAATATTCTTTCAAATGCAACAGAAGGCACGAAGTATAATTATAAAATGACACTGGTTTCTACAAATCAAAGGAAAAATTGGTCTTTGTTCAAGGTCACACATTACATTCAATTAGATGTTTGTATTTAGGAGGCTATCCCGACCCACACATGCTTTCAGCTTACAGACCCACACATGTGCAAAGAAACACAGAACTCAAAAAATCATAAAAATCATAATGTATAAATTTTTCAGAGCTATTAATTTTTCATATGAAATTTTAATCCATTTCTTTTATAACCGGTAGTATTAGATCTCATATTTCTGTTTCATTCCCTTTCCTCACTTTGAAGCAGTTGATATATTTACATGAAAATGACCTCTTTGTTCTTTAGAAAATCATCTCAGGCTTATTCTCTACCCAGAATTACAATAATCCTATATTTGTGACATCTTAATCACCTCCACAGCAACCGATTGTGAGGTTAGAAACAGAGGATTAAAACTTCAAGTGGAAAATAAGAAGCAGGAATTGATGAGTTCTTAACAAACCAAGATTTTTTTTTTCTTCAAAATAAATTACTCCAAGGAACAAGAAAGGATTTTCAAACGAGGACTATGAAGAATATAGAGAAATACAGCAGAGCTGTTTATCAAAGTTTTCCTTGGTATGTCAGCAGGTCCTTTGGAACTGACAGTGCTGATCTAAACATTTCAATAATAATAGAAGTGTTAACAGTGATAGGAACAAATAATATTAAACACTGTCAACTGCAGCATTTCATTTTCACTGGCCTGACAACCACTGCTGCAAAAAATGAAATGAGGAGAAAGAGACTTAACTGTTGAGTCATTGCAAATAAGACTCTATTAACAATACTAGCAATGGGAACAAGGGTATTAAAATGAAAGAAAGCAAGAAAAAAATGAAAGAAAAAGAGAAAGGAGAGAGCAAGAGCGGGGGAGGAGAAAGAAGGAGAGAGGGAGGGAGAAAAAAAGGAACTCAAGCCTGACTCCTGTCTTTAATAGTGAGTGCAAGTTTTGGGTTTCTTTTTGTTTATATTTTTACAGGATACATAGAAACAAATATGTAATAAATAAAAATGGAAGTGTGTCATATTATTGAAAAATAAAACCTGCCTAAAAATATGTAGGAAACTGATGTTGATTCTTTAATGTTGGCCCCATCTCCACCTCACCACCGTGAACCAAAATAACAATCTACTTATTGAAGAGGACATGTCACCTTTGAACTAAATATCTCGGTCTTGTCTTAGTGGAACATGGCATCACTTACACAAACTTAACATAAATGCCTGTTCAAGAACAACGTATTTGAACATTAAATATTTCAGTAACTTGTAATGTTATAATGAATGGTAATAAGCATTATGAATATGAATAGTAGTAATATCTGTTAATAGTTAAATTTGAATATTCATTTTGATATATCTTTATTGTATTTCACAATAAACTTAAAGTAAGACATAAAAACATATGTAACACATAGAATTAAAAATATGTTGCCAAATACATGGATATAAAGTTTTCACTGACTTCCCAATGGGATAGTCAATAGTTAATAAACATTTTGAGCCAATTTCAAAAATTTTATATGTAATTAAGATTATTAATTTAGGTACATGCACCTATTTATAATAATGGACTGAGAAATATTCTAGTGATTCAAGCGTTATCTTTTCCACTCTTCACATGTCAAAAATTATATCTTTAAATTGTCGTGTGTGCAATCACCATCCTCCTAGACAACATCTGTTATCTAAGAGAAGCATGGATGTGCATTTGCTATTCATGCTAACAGGCAGCACTTGTTGAATTCAAGTGTAATGTTCTCATAGAAATTTTAATCTCGCCACAAAGATGTTACTATGAACATTACAACAGCTTTAAAAACATCCTCTAGGTTGGATATTTTTATTAAAGGTCTAAACTCCTCTACTTAAAAAAAATGGATACTTTCATATTATCTTGAAATCATATACAACTACTTTCAATTGAATTAACTTATGACTAATATACCTTACACAAACATCAAATTATTCTAAATATTAAAATAAGTAGAGTGATGTGAGATTTTGTTTTTAGGGACTTAAATTAAGGACAATGTTTTCTTTTCTGAAACTTGTCTTTGCAAAAGAAAATTTCTGGTTTATATGGTTAGAAAATTTGAGAGACATACAAATGGAAAAATATGTGAACAGAATAATAAAACCAGAGACACACTTTGCACACACAATCACTGCCTTATGGACTAGTATGTCACAAAAGCCTTGGTTTCAGCTCTAAATTTTGAATCAGAAAAAGCAAAAAGAGACACAATCGTAAATTTATAATTCCTGAAATATACAAACAAAACAAATACTTTTGAATTTTCATACAGAGTACACACATTTTTTGATGATTTTCTGCTATATGATGTACATATCTTACAACACGACAGTGTGGTTGTAATTTCCATTGTATTATATTATTCAATTTAATTGTATGAATATAATTGGGCTCCTGCCACATCCTCAGCACTGTTCTACAAGCTCTGAACTCTAGTAAAGGTGCATGTTATAGGGGCGAATCACTTTACTTCAAGTGGGTAGAATAGTTTCATTCTGTATCTCCTCTCTCCCTAATTGAGAAGTTCTGTGCCTGGCAGGGATGAAGGTAAGATGTTCCCAGAAAATTTCTTTCCTTTTCTTGGAAGCTTCTCTCTGATGTCTACTAGCACAACTGTGCTATAAGGACAATGTCTAAACACTATGCCTTGCCCCAGCTGACACTGTGAAGAGCTTGAATTTGGTTCTGATTCTGTCTAATTTTGTTTGAACTCAGAGAGGCTAAGCACAAATACTACAGCAATGTTTACTAACTTTCTCAGTCTCCAAGCTCCTCCAGAAATCCCAGGCTCTCCACAAAGTATGCCTTGTAGGGATAGAGGTGTCTGCACTCAACCTCCGAGACCTGATCTGTCAGGACTTGTTAGAGGTCACATACCAGATGCTGCTCAGCAAATGACTGAAACATGATAGTGACCTGAGTCTCATATCACGTAGTATGTTTCTCCCTCTAAGTCCACAACCTCACTTGCAGGCTTTGATTTTTTTTGAGGGCTTTTTTTTTTTTAACTTAAATATCCCTGGTACTTTTGCATATTTTTTTACAAACAACATTAAAGCATGATTTCTATGAAGAGAATAGATATGAAGAACACAAATTACAGAAAGCCACGATGCTCTCAGGATTTCCCCATCCACACCCTGTTAATTTGGGGATCTACCTCTCTACCGCCTGAACATCAGCAAGGCTGGAGCTAGGGTCTGAGATGATGCTGTAAGCTATTATTATTAAACAGAGAGTACAATTTAGTCTAAGAGTCAATGAAGTCATTTTTGTGCCCTAAAGAACGATTAAGCTATAGCCAGGCAAAAATGTTGAAACTTTGAGGGGATGAAGGTGGAAATTGGTGGGATGATAGAAGTGAGAGGAGGACTGAAGAATTAACAAGTATTTCAGAGTATTTTCCCCAAAGTGTGCTTACTATTTTTACAGAGAAAATTTACACTGGAGAAACTTTGCAGACACTATTTTAACCAAGAGACCAATGTTAACATCACCAAAAATAGAACAAAATAGTGTCATGTGCCTACTGATAGAATGAACTGGAAATGATACAGTAACAGACCAATGCAAATTAAGAGGTATTCCACTAAATAAGTAGGCTTTACTCTTTAAAGTATCAAAATAACATAAGACAAAGAAAGGCTGGGTGCAGTAGTTCACACTTGTAATCCCAGCACTTTTGGAGGCTGAGGTGGGAGGCTCACTTGAGGTCAGGAGTTGAAGACCACCCTGGGAAATAGTGAAACACCGTTGCTACAAAAGAGAATAAAAAATTCACTAGGTGGCATGTGCCTGTAGTCCTAGCTACTGGGGAGGCTGAGGCAGGAGGATTGCTTGAGTCCAGAAGTTTGAGGTTACAATAGCTATGATCACACCACTGCACTCCAGCCTGGGCAACAGAATGAGACCCTGTATATAAAATAATAATAATAATAATTTTTAAAAAGACATAGAAAGACTGAGGACCTATTCCAGATTGATAGCCAAAGAGCAGAAAAGAAAACATAACACAACCATGTGCTGGACTCCGGGTGACGACATTTAACTAGTCTACAGATTCGGTAATAATATTGTATCTAGTGGTAATTGTGTTGTGAAGATACACAATGATGTTCTTGTTTTTAGGAAGCACATACTGAAGTGTAAAGGGTAGCTTAGTGTGGGCTCATTTCAGAGTAAGATTCTCTCGGTGCCCATAGTCCTAGGGGAGCCTCACACTTTTGTGGGCTTTACCTCTGGAATCTCCACCCAGTTCTTGTGGTAAAAAAACAAAACAAACAAACAAAAACCAGAAAAATTGACTCCTGGTTCTAGCCTGAGGAGAAGAGTAATCCTTGTGAAATGTGCTGAGAGCCTTCTGCATAACAAAGGCCTACACTCTCTGGGGAAACAAAACCTTACCAGAGCCTTGTCCTGGAGCTATGAAGAGGTGCATTCCTCTCACTCCACTAGCATTCCTGTCTCAACTAAGACGAAGAAAAAAAAACCACATATATAAAAAGAAACACTTGTGAAGGTCATGGGCCAGGGACACAGGAGCATTAAAAGACTGAAGTTAATTGAAAAATTATACAATCTTCTTCTCTACCTTACTGCAATTACAACAAAACTTTTGTTTAATAATGGTGGATTACAGAGCTGTAAGACATAGACTTTCTGCAAGGAGGAGCACTTACAGAAGTTCAAAGTCAAGAGGGGAGACAAAAACAAGGACCGTAGAGGAGTTTGAAGCCTCTGGCACATAGAGCTACAACAAACATTGAACAAAGCCCAAACACTAGCCAGATTAACATAAATCCTCACATTACAGGTCTATTTACTTGGCTTCCTATTATGCAATACAACAAGTCCAGTTTCACAAGTAAATGAATGGATGGCATGTCAACAGCAAAAAGGAAGAAAAAGAAACAAGAAAGTAAACAACAAAATAATAACAAAGTCTGAAGAGTCAAAGCAAAGATCAGACCCAGATTCAGGCATGTTACAAATATTGTAATTATCAAGCCGGTAATTGTAAATGTCTATGATTAATATGTTAGGAGATCTAACACAAAAAGTAGACAACATGCAAGAACAGATGGTACAGTAACCAGAGAGACAGAACTCTAAGAAAGAATCAAAATAAAATGGTGGAAATGTTAGAAGCATTTTTACACAAGTAGAAAAAGCCTTTGATGTGCTCATCAGTAGAATCGACACAGCCAAGGTAAGAACTAGTGAGCTTGAATATAAATCTATAGAAACTTCCCAAATTGAAATTAAAAAAAAAAAAAAAAAAGAATAAAAACAAAAGACCAGAACATCCAAGAACTGTGAGACAAATTTAGGGATATAACATAAGATGTAACTAGAGTAAAAGAAGGAAAAATAAAGACAAAAGAGAGCAAAATAAATGTTTGAAATAATAATTTCAAACTTTCCAAAATTAGTGAAAAACACCAAACCATGGATTCAGTAATTTCAGAGAATGTCTAACCAAATAAATACAAACAAATAAACAAAACTATATCGAGGTATAGGACATTCAAATTTTAGTAAACCAATGACAAAGAAAAGATCTTGAAATACTTCAGATAAAAAAACATACTACCTATAAAGGCACAAACATAGAAATTACATTGGAATTCAGGTAAGAAACTATGCAAGCAGAAGAATGGAGTAAAAAAGTATCTGTTTAAAGTTTAACTGTTGAAAAAAACAAATCACCAACCTACTACTCTATCTCCAACAAAATTATCCTCAAAAATTAAAGGAAAAATAAAGACTTTCTCAAAAAATCTAGGACGATCGATCACCAGCAGACTGGTTGCATTAGTCTGTTTTTACACTGCTATAAGGAACTACCTGAGACTGGGCAATTTATGAAGAAAGGAGCTTTAATTGACTCACAGTTCTGCAGGCTTAACAGGAAGCATGACTGGAAGGCCTCAAGACACTTACAATCATGTTGGAAGGCAAGCACATCTTCACATGTCAAAGCAGGAGAGAAAAAAAGAAAGACAGAGAGGGAGGAAGTGCCACACACTATTGAATCATCAGATCTCATTAAGAACAGCATGTGGGAAATCTGCCCCCATGATTCAATCACCTCTCACCAAATTCCTCCACTGACATCTGGGGATTAAAATTCAACATGAGATTTGGATGAGGAAACAGGGCCAAACCATATCATTCTGACCCTGGCCCCTCCCAAATCTCATGCTGTTCTCACATTTCAAAACAGATCATGCTTTCTCATCAATCCCCCAAAGTCTTAATTCATTCTAGCATTAATCCAAAAGTCCAACTCCAAAGTCTCATCTGAGACAAGGCAAGTAACTTCCACCTATGATCCTGTAAACTCAAAACCACCTCTATTACTTCCAATATATGGCATTTGCTAAATTCTCCATATGAAAAGGGAAAAAAATGGCCAGTACAAGGGGGCTACAGGCCCCATGCAAGCCCCAAACCCAGCAGGACAGTCATTAAATCCTAAAGCTCCAAAATAATCTTCTTTGACTCCACGTCTCAGATCCAGGACATACTGATGCAAGGGGTGAGCACCTATAGCCTTGGGCAGCTCCATCCATGTGGCTTTGCAGAGTACAGCCCCTGCGGCTGCTTTCATTGGCTGGCATTGAGTGTCTGTGGCTTTTCCAGACACACAGTGCAAGCTGTTGGTGGATCTACCATTCTGGGGTCTGGAGGACAGTGGCCCTCTTCTCACAGATCCACCAGGCAGTGCCCCAGTGGGGACTCTGTATGGGGGCTCCAACCCCACATTTTCCCTCTGCACTTCCCTAATAGAGGTTCTCCCTGAGTGTTCCTCCCCTGCCGCAGACTTCTGCCTGGACATCCAAGCATTTCCATAGATCCTCTGAAATCTAGGCAGATTTTCCCAAACCTCAACTCTTGCCTTCTGCACGCCCACACTCCCAGTCACCAAGGCTTGGGCCTTGCACTTTCTGAAGCAACAACCCAAGCTGTACCTTGGTTTCTTTGAACCACAGCTGGAGCTGGAATGGCTGGGATGCAGGATGCCATGCCATGTATTGAGGGTGCACAGAGCAGCTGGGCCCTAAGCCTGGCCCATGAAACCATTTTTCCCTCCTAGACCTCTGGGCATGTGAAGGGAGGGGTTCCTCTGAAGGTTTCTGAAATGCCCCGGAGACATTTGCCCCATTGTCTTAGTGATTAGCATTCAGATCCTCGTTACTTATGCAAATTTCTGCAGCATGCTTGAATTCCTCTCCCCAAAATGGGTTTTTCTTTTCTACCACATGGTCAGGTGACATGTTTTTCACACCTTTATGCTTTCCTTCCCTTTTAAACATAAATTCCAATTTCAAACCATCTCTTTGTAAATGCATATGACTGTACACTTTTAGAAAAAGGCAGATTAGCTCTTGAATGCCTTGCTGCTAGAAATTTCTTATGCCAGATGGCCTAAATCATCTCTCTCAAGTTCAAAGTTTCACAGATCTCTAGGGAAGGGGCAAAATGCTGCCAGTCTTTTTGCTAAAGCATAGCAAGAGTGACCTTTACTCCAGTCTCCATTAAGTTCTTCATCTTCATCTGAGACCACCTGAACCTGCACTTCATTGTTCGTGTCAGTATCATCATTTTGGTCACAATCATTCAACAAATCTCTAGGAAGTTCCAAACTTTCCCTCATCTTCCCGTCTTCTTCTGGGCCCTCCTAAATGTTCCAACCTCTGTCTGTTACCCAGTTCCAAAGTTGTTTTCACATTTTCAGGTATCTTTATAGCAGTACCCCACTTCTGGTACCAACTTTCTGTATTAGTCCATCTCTCACTGCTATAAAAAACTACCTGAGACTGGGTAATTTATGAAGAAAAAAAGTTTAATTGGCTCATAGTTCTGCAGGCTTAGCAGGAAACATGATTGGGAGGCGTCAGGAAACACAATTATGGTGAAAGGGGAAGCAAACGCATCTTCACATGTCAGAACAGGAGAGAGAGAGAGAGAGGGAAGAAATGCCACAAACTTTTAAACCATCAGATCTTGTGAGAAATCACTCACTATCATGAGAACAGCATGGGTGAAATATGTCCCCATAATCCAATCACCTCCTACCAGGTTTCTCCCCCAAAATTGGGACTTACAACTCAACATGAGATTTGGGTGGTGACACAGAAGCAAACTATATCACACATGGTGCAAGAAATATTAAAAAATATTCTTCAGGCAGAAGAAAGATGATATGAATCAGAAACTCATCTCTACACAGAAAAAGAAGATCTTCAGAGAAGAAATAAATAAAAGTAAAATAAAGACTATTTTTCTTATCTTTAGGTGATTTAGAATACAAATAATAATTGTGATAGTGCTTTGGGTAATTATAGTGTATGAACATATGAAATAAATGACAAAAATTTCACAGGGATAGGAGAGAAAAATTGGGAATATTCTGATATAAGACACCTGCACTACACATGGAGCAGAATAAGATTATTTGAAAGTGGACTTAGGCTGGTAAAAAATGTTTATTAGTGAATGAATGTATAACGTAAACTGTACACAAAGTACTAAAATGTTCAAAGAAGAGGTAAAAAAATTATGCTAAGAGAGAAGATAAAAATCAATCACAAAAGGACTCAATTAAAACCAGAGCGTGCAAGAAAATAACCTTTGTCAATAAGTAGACAATATTTTAACATACAGTTGCTATTAATCCAAATATATAAATAATCACTTTAAATATGAGTGGTTTAAATACACCACTTTTAAAAGCAGAGATATTGAGAGTGGGTAAAAGCAAATTCAAACTGTATATTATTTATAAAATCTGCAGTTTAAATATAAAGACTCTAATAGGTTAGGAGTAGAAAGGTGGAAAAAAATAAAGCACGCTAAACAAATCAAAAGAGAGCTGTAACTTTGAGTAACTGTGTTAATTTCAGACAAAACAGACTTCAGAGCACAAATAAATTTTAGGTATAAACATTAGAACTACATAATGATAAAGAAGTTCCTTCTCCAAGAACACATACAAATTCTAAATGGATTTTCACCCACCCATCTAAACACATGAAGCAACAATAAATAAAATTTAAAAGAAAAATAGGCCAGGCGCAGTGGCTCAACCCTGTAATCCCAGGACTTTGGGAGGCCGAGGTGGGCGGATCACTCAAGGTCAGAAGGTCGAGACCAGCCTGGCTGACATGGAGAAACCCCATCTCTACTAAAATACAAAAATTAGGCATGCATGGTTGTGGGCACCTGTAATCCCAGCTACTCAGGAGGCTGAGGCAGGAAAATCGCTTGAACCCGGGAGGCAGAGGATGCACTGAGCTGAGATCACACCATTGCACTCAAAAAAAAAAAAAAAAGAAAGAAAGAAAGAAAGAAAGAAAGGCAAATCTACTGTTCTAGTTGAAAACTTCAACACTTGACTATCAGTAATTATTAGATCCAATAGACACAAAATTACTAAAAATAGAGTTGACCTGAATAACATTGCCAGTCAATTTTATCTAATTAACTTTTATAGAAGACTTTATCTAAAACTGGTAGAAAACACATTCCTCTCAAGCTTACATGGAACATAAACTACGATTGACCACATTGTAAACATAAAACACACTTTAACAAATTTAAAAGTATAAAAATCCTCCAAGTATGTTCTCATAACATAATTAAAGAAAAGACCAATAACAGAAAGATAGTTAGAAAATTCCAAATATTTGGAGAACAAACAACATATTTTTAAATAACACATGGGTCAAAGAATCTCCAAAAAATTGAAAAATATTTTGAACTAAATGAAAATGAAAATAAAACACCAAAATTTGTAGAATGTATCAAAGCAGTACTTACAGGGAAATTTATACTATTAAATGCACACACTAGAAAGCTAAAAATACCTAAAAATCAATGACCTAAACTTCCAACTTAAGAAACTAGAGACAGAAAAGAAATTCAAACCTAAAGTAAGCAGAAAAAAAGAAACAGCAAGAATCAGAGCAGAAATAAATGAAATTGAAAAGAGCAAAACAATAAAATCAACAAAACCAAAAGATGAGTTTTTGCAGAGATTAATAAAATTGATAAACTTCTGGCCAGGCTAACCAAAAAATAATAATAAAAAAATTAAATTAAATAGAGAAGACAAATAGCTAATACCACAAATGAAAAAAGGTCATCACTACTGACCCCATGAACATTAAAAGGAAAATCAAGAAGTATGATGTATAACTATATGCCCACAAATTTGATATATTTGGTTGAAATAAACCATTCCATGAAAGATGAATTATAAAAACTCACACAAGTAGAAATAATTTGAATAGCTTTATATTTATTACAGTAATTGAATTAGTAAAGAATTACCTTCTAAAAAAGAAACAATCAAGAACACATGGTTACATAGTGAATTCTACTAAATATTCAGTTTAAAAATATTACCAAATCTCCACTTCTTCCAGGAAATAGAAGCCAAAGGAATACTTCCTACCTGATTCAATGAGGCCAGCTTTATCCCAATACCAAAACCAGATAAAAGCATTACAGAAAAGAAATGCTTTTCTGTACAGAAATGCTTTTTGTTCTTATGAACATAGACACCAAATTTCTCAACAAAATATTAGCAAAAATTGTTAACAAAGACTCTGGCCAGGCCCAGTGGCTCAGGCCTGTGATCCCAGTGCTTTGGGAGTCTGAGGTTAGAGGATCACTTGAGGGCAGGAATTTCAGACCAGCCTGGGCAACATTTTTTTTCTACAAGAAAAATTCAACAAAATGTCAACAACTGAGTATAAACTGAGTTATATGCCACCACCAAGAAAGATTTACTCCACCTATGTAAGTCTAGTTCAACATTTGAAAATCAATCAATACCTCATCAATAGATTAACAAAGTAAAATCATATAATTATATTAATTAATGTAAAAGCGCATTTGACAAAGATCCAACAGCTATTTATGAAAAGACTCTCAGCAAACTAGTAATAGGGGTAAACTACCACAATTTAATTTAAAAAATCTGCAAAAAATATACAATCAACATCATGCTTAATGATGAGAAACTGATCATATTTCCCATAACATCGGCAAAAAGAAAAGAATTGCCTCCCTCCCCACTTATATTTAACATTATACTGGAAGGCCTAGCCCTAACTAGTCCAATAAGACAACAGGAGGAATTGAAACCATTTAAATTTGAAAGGAAGAAATAAAACATCCTAGTTGCAGATAACATAAATGTTTACTTGGAAAATTCCAAAGAATCACTAAAAAGTTCCCAGAACTAATAACAGAGTAGAGCAAGTTCACAGATTGTAATGGCTAATATACAAAATTCAATTGTTGTTATATCTTCCAGGACTAAACACATGAGATTTGAAATTTAAATGACAGCCATATAATTTACTAAGGTACCTCCAAAATAAAATAAGTAGGTATATATCAAACAAAAAATGTATAGGACAAATATATATATATATATATCTCAATCAAATGTGCAAACACTTATTTTTAAATAATCAAAGAAAATCTATGTAAATCAAGAGATATTATTTGTTCAGTAATTGAAAGACTCAATATTGTGAAGATATTGTGAACAGACACAAGGTATTGTGAAGATAGCAAACCTTCCCAACTACACGTATTCAATTCAATATTAATCAAAATTTCAATTTATTTTGGAGATATGGACATACTTGTCATAAAGTTTACATGGAAAGTCTATAGAATCAGATAGCCCGGTATACTGAAGAAGAATAAAGTTGAAGAATTCACATAACTTAATTTCAAGACTTAATGTAAGATGATATTAATAAAAAGAGTGTAATATTGGCAAAAATAAATAGACACGTAGATAATGGAGAAGGATAGAGAACCCAAAAGTAGACCCACACAAATACAGTCAACTGATCTTTGACAAAGAAGCAAAGGCAATTCAATGTATAGAGAATGATCATTTCAATAAATGGTGCTGGAAATCTTGACAACCATATGAACAATAAAATGAACATGCACACAGACCATATACCTTTCACAAACAGTTAATTATAAGTAGAACATAGGCCTAAATGTAAACTGTAATTCTATACAATTTCTTGAAGCAGAGAAAACAATCTGTATTACCTTGGGTTTCGCGATTAAATTTTAAATACAAAACCAAAAGCATGATCCATGAAAGAAAAAGTAAAAAGATAATTTAATTAAAATGTCTGCCCTACAGAAGACATTGGTAAGAGAAAAAAGAGGCAAGCTATTGAAATTGATCTTACAAAAAAATTTGATCAGGGCTTTTTAACCTCAGCAGTACTATATAACATTTGGAACTGCATGATTCTTTGTTGGGGGGCCTATCATGTGCACTGAAGGATTTATAGCATCATCTCTTGCCTCCACTCACTCTATTCCAGTACCACCATCCCAGATGTGACAAACAAAAATATCTCCCAACATTGCAAAATATTTCCTGGGGAGCAAAACTACCACTAGTTAGAACTACTGGTTTAAATGATATTGAATAATAATATATATGGAAAAGTAGCATTGGAAAAAAATGAACAAAATGGTATTAGCAATATAACTGCTTATAAATGATTCCCAAAAGGCACATTAATTATGAGAATTATGTGCATAATTTTATAAAATATATCAACATTTATTACACTAGAGGCAGAGCAGGATGGTGGAATAGAAGGCTCCACTAAGCATCCCTCCCCACAAGGACACCAAGTTAACAAATATCTACTCATAAAAAACACCTTCATAAGAACCAAAAATTACAGGGTAATAGAGCACAAGTGGGCTCTTGGGATCATCAATTCCACAACTTGACACTTGAATGGCATTTCTGGACCTGCCCTGGGCTGAATGGCGTTTCTGGACCTGCCTTGGGCCAGAGGGGAGCTCCCTGCCCTGAAGGGTGAGTATCAGGCCAGGCAGTATTCACCACAAGCTGACTTAAGGGAACTTGGGCCTTGTGGGAACATTGGTGGTAGTTTGGCAGTACTTCTTGTGGCCTAAGGTGGCAGTAGCTTCAGGATGAGGCTCCTCTGCCGTTGGAAGAAGAAAGGAAAAGTGAAGAACCATGTTTTATGGTTTGAGTGCCAGCTCAGCTGCACTACAACAGGATACCAGGTGGATGTCTAAGGATTTTTACTTCAGTCCCTGACTCCTGAATGGTACTTCTGGACCCACCCAGGGCCTGATGGACCTCACTGCTTTGAAAGGAAGGACATAGGCCCGGCTGGCTTTGCAACCCACTGACTGTAGAGTCCCATGGCCTTGAATGAACATAGGATAGGAAGTAGTCAGTGAGTGGTTACAGCAGGCCTTAGGCAAGACCCAGTGCTGTGCTAGCTTCAGGTCTGACCAAGTACAGTCCCAGTGGTGGTGGCCACAAGGGTGCTTGTGTCATTTTACCCTCAACTTTAGGTGTCTCAGTACAGATATATATAGAGAGACGCTCTGCATGTTTGGGAGAAAGTAAGGGAAGAAAACAAACACAGCTCAGGTCACAACACCCAAGTCCTTTCAAATATCTGGAAAGCCTTCCCAAGAAGGATGGCTACAAATAAGCCCCAGTGGTGAAGCCTACAATACCTAACTCTTAATGCCCAGATACCAAAGAACATCTACTAACACCAACATCATCCAGGAAAACATGACCTCACCAAATGAACTAAATAAGGCACCAGGGACCAATCCTGGAGAAACTGAGATATGTGACCTTTCAGACAGAAAATTCAAAAGAGCTGTGTTGAAGAAACTCAAAGAAATTCAAAATGTCTCAAAGAAGGAATTCAGAATTCTATTAGATAAATTTAACAGACAGATTGAAGTAATTAAAAATAATCAAACAGAAATTATGGAGCTTAAAAACGCAATTGGCATACTGAAAATGCATCAGAGTTCTTTAATAGCAGCATTGATCAAACAGAAGAAAGAATTAGTGAACCTGAAGACAGCCTATTTGAAAATACACAGAGGAGACAAAAGAAAAAAATATAAAAGAATGAAGCACACCTAAAAGATATAGAAAATAGCCACAGAAGGGCAAATCTAAAAATTGTCGGCTTTAAAGAGGATATAGAGAAAGACATAGGGGTAGAACATTTATTCAAAAGGATAATAAAAGAGAATTTCCTAAACCTAGAGAAAAATATCAATATCCAAGTACAAAAACGTAATAGAACACCAAGTAGACTTAATGCAAGGAAGGCTACCTCAAGGTATTTAATAATCAACTCCCAAAGGTCAAGTATAAAGAAAGGATTCTAAAAGCAGAAAGAAAAAAGAAACAAATCACATACAGTGAAGCTTGAATACATCTTCCAGCAGACTTTTCAGTGGAAACGTTACAGGCCACAAGACAGTGGCATGATATATTTAAAGTGCTGAAGGAAAAAAAAAAACTTTTACCCTAGTACAGTATACTGGCAAAATATCCTTAAAACATGAAGAAGAAATAAATACTTTCCCAGACAAAAACAAAACAAAACACAACAACAACAAAAGAAACACTGGGGTTTCATCAATACCAGACATGTCCTATAAGAAATGCTAAAAGGAGTACTGCAATCAGAAAGAAAAAGACGTTAATGAGCAATAAGTAATCACCTAAAGGTATAAATTTTAGTGGTAATAGTAAGTACACAGAAAAACACAGAATAATATAACATCGTAACTGTGGTGTGTAAATGATTCTTATCCTAAGTAGAAACAGTAAATAATGAGCCAATCAAAATAATAACTACAACAACTTTTCAAGATATAGTAACTAGTTTTCTTTTTTGCTTGTTTGTTTAAGGAAATAGTGTTAAGTTGTTATCAGGTTAAATAATGGGTTATAAGACAGCATTTGCAAGCTTCATGGTTACCTCAAACAAAAAAAAACCATACAATGGGTACATAAAAAATAAAAAGCAAGAAACTAAATCATATCACTAGAGAAAATTTCTTCAATAGAGGAAGACAGGAAGAAAAGAAAGAAGGAAGAGAAGACCACAAAACAACCAGAAAACTAATAACCAAATGGTAGGAGTAAGTACTTACTTATCAATAATAACATTTAATGTAAATGGACTGAACTCTTGTTTTTTTTTAATCCACTTAGCCAGTCTATGTTTTCTAAAAAAATGTTTTTTAAATAGACTGGCTGAGTATATTAAAAAAGCAAGACCCATTAATCTGTGAATGAGTGAAGAAATACACTTCACCCATAAAGACACATGTAGACTGAAATTAATGGGATGGAAAAACGATATTCCATGCCAATGGGAACCAAAAAGCATAAAAGTTACTATACTTTTATCAGACAAAATAGATGTTAAGACAAAAACTATAAGAAAAGACAAAGAAGGTCACTATTTAATGATAAAGGGGTTGAGTCAGTAAGATAATATAACAATTTATATATGTAGTTGCTCCAACACGGGAGCAACTACATATATAAAGGAAATATTATAGCTAAAGAGAAAGATAGACCCTAATACAATAATAGCTGGAGACTTCAACATCCCCACTTTCAGCATTGGACAGATCTTCCATGCAGTAAACCAACAAAGAAACATCAAACTGAATCTGCACTATAGACAAAGTGGATCCAATAGCTATTTACAGAACATTTTATTAAAGAGCTGCAGAATACACATTCCTTTCCTTGGCACATGGATCATTTTCAAGAATATACCATATATTAGGTCACAAAAAAGTCTTAAAACATTCAAAACTTGAAATAATATCAAGCATCCTCTCTGACGAAAATGGAATGAAACTAGAAATTAATAACAAGAGGAACTGGAGAAACTACGAATACCTGGAAATTAACCAAAATGCTCCTGAACGACCAGTGGGTTAAAGAAGAAATTAAGAACAACCTTGAAAAATTTCTTGAAATAAATGATAATGGAAACACAACATACCAAAACCTATGGAATATAGCAAAACCAGTACTCAGAGGGAAGTTAATAGTTATAAATGCCTACATCAAAATGAGGGAAGGCTTCAAATAAACAATCTAGCAATTTATTTTTAAAGAACTAGAAAAGCAAGAGCAAACCAAACCCAAAATTAGTAAAAGAAAAGGAATAATAAAGATCAGAGAAGAAATAAATAAAATTGAAATGAAAAATAAAACAATACAAAAGATCAAGAAAACAAAAAATTGTTTTTTCAAAGTTAAACAAAATTTCAAAGTACAACAAAACTTTTAGCCAGATTAAGCAAAAAAGAGGGAAGATCCAAATAAATAAAATCAGAAATGAACAAAGGGACATTATAATTGATACTACAGAAATTCAAAGGATCATTATTGAATACTATGAGGAAATTTATGCTAATTAATTGGAAAAATCAAGAAAAAATGGACAAATTCCTAGATACATAACAACCTATACAACCTACCAAGATTGGACCAGGAAGAAATCCGAAACCTGAACAGACCAATAACAAGTAGCAAGGTTGAAGCCATAACAAAAATCTTCCAGTAAAGAAAAGCCTGGGACACGAGGGTTTCACTGCTGAATTCTACCAAATATTTAAAGAAGAACTAATACTAATCCTTCTCAAACTAATTCCTACAAACAGAGGAGAAGAGAATATTCCCAAACTCATTCTATAAGGTCAATATTACCCTGATAATGAAACAAGACAAAGACACATCAAAAAAAGAAAACTACAGGCCAGTATCTCTGATAAATATTGATATAAAAATCATCAACAAATACTCACAAACTGAATTCAACAATACACTAGAAAGATCATTCATCATGACCAAGTGGGATTTTTCCCTGGGATGCAGGGATGGTTCAACATATGTGATATGGTTTGGCTGTATCCCCACCCAAATCTCATCTTGAATTGTAATCTCCATATTCCTCACATGTGGTGGGAGGGACCTGGTAGGAAGTGATTGGATTATGGGGGTAGGTTCCCCCATGCTGTTCTCATGATAGTGAGTGAGTTCTTATGAGGTCTGATGGTTTTATAAGCATCTGGTACTCCCCCTGCTTGCACTCACTCTCTCCTGCTGCCCTGTGAAGAGGTGCCTTCTGCCATGATTGTAAGTTTCCTGAGGCCTCACCAGCCATGCAGGACTGTGAGTCAATAAAACCTTTTCTTTTTATAAATTACCCAGTCTCAGGCAGTTCTTTATAGCAGTGTGAGAGCAGACTAATACAATATGCAAATCAATCAGTGTGATACATCAGATCAACAGAACAAAGGACAAAAACCATATGAGCATTTCAATTGATGCTGAAAAGTGTTTGACAAAATTCTATGTCCCTTCATGATTAAAAAAAAATCAAAAAACTGAGGCTAGAAAGAACATACCTCAACATAATAAAGCCATATATGACAGACACACAGCTAGTAACATACTGAATGGGGAAAAACTGAAAGTCTTTCCTCTAAGATCTGGAACATGACAAGAATGCCCACTGTCACCACTGTTATTCAACATAGTTCTGGAAGTCCTAGCTAGAGCAATAAGACAAGAGAAAGATATAAAAAGCCTCCAAATAGAAAAGGAAGAAGTAAAATTATCCTTGTTTGCAGATGATGTGTTATTACACATGAAAAAAACCTAAAGCCTCCACAAGAAAACTATTAGAACTGATAAACAAATTCAGCAAAGTTGCTGGATACAAAATCAACATTAAAAAATCAGTAGCATTTCTATATGCCAACAGTGAACAATCTGAAAAAGAAACTTAAATAGTAATTTCATTTACAATAGTTATATATATATATGTATATATATATAAAATTAAATACCTAGGAATTAACCAAAGAAGTGAAAGATCTCTATAATGAAAACTATAAAACACTTATGAAAGAAATTGAAGAAGACACCAAAAAATGGAAAAAATATTATATGTTTATGGATCGGAGGAATTAGTATTGTTAACATGTTCATACTACCCAAAACAATGTTAACATGTTCATACTAACCAAAAGAATCTACAGATTCAATAAAATCTCTATCAAAACACCAATGACATTCTCCACAGAAATAGAAAAAAACAATCCTAAAGTTCACATGGAACCACAAAAGACCCAGAATAGCCAATGCTATTCTAAGCAAAAAGAACAAAACTGGAGGAATGATATTATCTGACTTCAAATTATACTACAGAGATATAGTAAGCAAAACATGATACTGGCATAAAAAGACACATAGACCAATGGAACAGATTAGAGAACCCAGAAACAAATCTCCACAACTACAGTGAACTAATCTTTGACAAAGGTGCCAAGAGAATATATACTGGGGAAAAGACAGTCTCTTCGATAGATGGTGCTGGGAAAACTGGATATCCAAAAGCAGAAGAAAAAAACTAGACCCCTATCTCTTGCCGTATAAAAAAATCAAATCAAAATGAATTAAAGACTTAAATCTAAAACCTCAAACCATGAAATTAGTATGAGAAAACATTGGGGAACATCTCCAGGACATTGGTCTGGGCAAAAATTTATCGAGCAATACCACACAAGCACAGGCAATCAAAGCAGACATAGACAAATGGGATCACACCAAATTAAAAAGCTTTTCCTCAGCAAAGTATACAATCAACAAAATAAAGAGACAACCCACATAATGGAAGAAAATATTTGCAAACTACCTATCTGACAAGGGATTTATAGGGAGATCAAACAACTCTATAAAGACATCTTATAATCCGATGAAAAGATGGGCAAAAGATTTGAGTAGACATTTCTCAAAAGAAGACATACAAATGGCAAACAGGCACATGAAGAGATGCTTAACATCGTTGATCATCAGAGAAATGCAAATCAAAACGACAATGAGATATAATCTCACCCCAGTTAAAATGGCTTATATCCAAAAGACAGGTAATAACACATGCTGCTGAAGATGTGAGAAAAGGGAATGCTTATACCCTGTTGGTGGGAATGTAAGTTGGTACAGCCACTATGGAGAAAAGTTTGGAGGTTCCTCAAAACTCTAAAATTGAGTTTTAAAATTTTTAAAAATTAAAAAAAAATTGGATTTCTGACTCTATCACATAATCCAGGAATCCCACTGCTGGGTATATACCCAAAAGAAAGGAAATCAGTATATCAAAGAGATATCTGCACTTCTATGCTTTGTTGCAGCAATGTTTATAATAACTAAGATTATAAACTAAGATTATAAACTAAGTTTATAATAACTAAGATTATAAGATATAATAACTAAGATTAGGAAGCAGCCTAAGTGTCCATCAGCAAATTAATAGATAAGGTAAATGTGGTACATATACACAATGGAGTACTATTCAGCCACAAAAAATAATGAGATCCAGTAATTTGCAATAACATGGATAAAACTGGAGGTCATTATGGTGAGTGAAATAAAGCACAGAAAGACAAACATTGCACGTTCTCATTTATTTGTGGTATTTAAATATCAAAACAATTGAATTCATGGATGTAGAGAGAGAAGGATGATTACCAGAAGCTAAAAAGAGCAGTGGGGGGTTGGGTAAGGAGGTGGGCATGAGTAATGGGTACAAAAAAATAGAAAGAATGAATAAGATCTACTATTTGATAGCACAACAGGGCTACTATAGTCAACATTAACTGTACATTTTTAAATAACTTAAAGTGTGTCATTGAATTGTCTGTAACTCAAAGGATAAATGTTTGAAGGGATAAATGCCCTATTCTTCATGATGTGCTTATTTCACATGGCATGCATGTATCAAAACATCTCTTGTACCCCATAAATACATATACCTACTATGTATCCACAAATTAAAAAAAAAACATTTACTACACTAAATAATTACACTAAAATTAGTTGTATTCCTTAACACTTAGCCATAATGTCATAGTGTTATTTTAAAAATACCATTTAAGACAGCAACAGAAATTGTAACAGGGTTTTAAAAAAACAGTGAAAGATATTTAAAAGTTTTATTTAAAAAGTTTGAAAACTTTTGAATGACTTTTAAAAGACCAATGTAACTTCCATCCAGGAAAAATTAATATGATAAACATGTTATTTCTATCCAAGTCAGCTATACATTCAAAGCAGGTGACATACCAGCCTGATTCATAAGTGTATATGAAATTGAAAGTGGAAAAAGAATAGAAAAGGCAATTTTGAGGAAGAAAATCACAGTAAAAAATTTGCCTTCCTAAAATCAAGTGTTACAATAAAGTTATTATAATTATATTATGGAACTGAATCAGGAATAAACAAAAGATTTAAGAACAGAATAAGCAGAATGAATCATCTGTATATTTATAGAATTTTGTTTATTAAAGAGATTGCATTGTAGCTTAATTAGGAAACATTGGGTTATTCAATAAATGATGCTATGAAAATGGTTGTATTTGTAAAAAAAATTGGATTTCTGACTCATATCATATATAAGCAACCTAGGATACATGAACTATCTAAATGTGAAAAGTAAATATTTCAAATCTTAGAAGAAATTATAACAAATAATTTTATGACAATGACATAGGAAAGATAAATTAAATTACATAAAAAATGAAAACATCTATGCATGATGGTTACTATAAAATATAAGAAAGATAAAAATAAGGATAGGATACGTACCAGTCTCACAATCTTAAACAAAAAATGATTAGTATATGGAACACACGATGAACTCAATATTAATAAGAAAAAGAGAAATATCCCTTTTTGAAAATGAACAAAAGATATTACCAGACAATTTTATAGAGACAAAATGTTAATGATAAAGAAATAGATATAAAATATGGTCTATATCAATTATAATGAAGAAAATATTAATTAAAACCACAATGATAAATCAGGCATAGTGGCATGCACCTATAGTCTCAGCTACTCAGGAGGCCAAGGTGAGAGATTTACTTGAGTCCAGAATTTCAAATCCAGTCCTGGCAGCACAGTGAGATAGTTTCTTTTAAAACAAACCCACAGTGATGACTTTCCATACCCATTGGATTGATAAAATATTATTACTAATTGTTGAGAAGACTGTAGAACAACCTGAAATCATATCTAATGCTGTTGGGATGATGATATGGCTTGACTGTGTCCCCACCAAAAATCTCATCTTGAATAACCTGAATTACAATCCCCATGTGTTGGGGGAGGGACATCATGGGAGATGATTAGATCATGCAGATGATTCCCCCATGCTGTTCTGGTGATAATGAGTGAGATCTCATGAGATGTGATGGCTTTTCCTTACTTTCCTCTTCACTTCTCTCTCCTGTTGTCATGTGAAGAGGGATGTGATTGCTTCTCCTCCACCATGATTATAAGTTTCCTGAGACCTCCCCAGCCATGTGGAACTGTGAGTCAAACTTCTTTTATTTATAAATTACCCAGTCTCGGGCAATTCTTTACAGCAGCGTGAGAATGGACTAATACAGATGGTAAACTAGTTCAACCAGTTTTGAGATTTGGAGCAATATCTTGTATAATTGAAACTGTAGAATAGTTCTAAACTCACTGTATATTCTAGAGTCAGAGAATATTAACTACAGCCTTTGGCACAAAGTTGTACAGATTTGGCACAAATCTGACCAGTTGCCTGTTTGTTTGTCACCTGGGAGCCAAGAATGATTTTTCCATTTTTAAATGGTTACATTTTAAAGCATTATCTGAGTACCCACATAATATCCTTGATGTTGCCTCTTAGGCAGGAAAATCGGAAACATTTAGTATCTGGCTTATTAAAAAAAAATTGCTGACCCTTGTTCTAGAGAAACTTTCATAGTTAATGAAATGTGTACATAAGGATTATTGTTTATAAATACTAGAAAATCAGAGACCCCATAAATATCCATTAACAAGCATTGTATTTTATATGGAAAAATAAAACAGTTTACTGGAATACTACAAGCAGTGAATTAAATGGACTAAAACTTTGCCTATAATTATAGACACATTTAATATTGTACACTGTACAAAATAAAATTTTAGAAATATTTTACCATTTATATGAAGTTTAAAAATGTAATACAAAACTATCTGACAAGACAATACACTTTCAATGAAGGCATAAAGATGGAAACAATACAGACACTTAATTGTATCACATACTATTATGAAATGAAGAAAGATGCAGTTGGGGAGGAACAAACATGGTGCTTTAGCTATTTTCATTATGTATGATGAACACTATGTTACATTTCTCAAAACTAAGAATCTGAAATTGGTACATTACCATTCACAAACTCAACTTTATTTTGACTTTACTAGTTTTTCCATAATGTCCTGTTTCTATTTGGAGATCCATTTTGGGGTGCTTCTTTCCATTTATTTGTCATCTTTCCTTGGTCTCCTCAGGCCAGTGACAGTGTCTCAGCCTTTCCTTAGTTTTAATGAACTTGACAGCCTTGAGAAGTACTGAGCAGATATCCTTTATAATGCCCTTCATCTGGGTTTTTCTGATGTTTTCTCATGCTCTGGGAGTTTGGAAATAATACAGTAGAGGTGAAGTGCTCTTCTCTTTACCTCATATCAGGGATCACATGATAGTCATATAGCATCACTGATTCATTTAGTTTGTTCATCTCTTGGTTCAGGCACTTTTTCATAGGTTTCTCCACTATACAATTACTCTTTTTGCCTTTCCCTACTTTGTTCTTTCGAGTTATCTGTGCAGGGAATTGAGCTCCACTTCCTGTAGCAGGGAGTATCTCCATATAAATGATTCCTCCTTAGAGGTTTTTAAAATGAAAACAATGGAGTTATTATATGGTAAAGTTGAATACTTTATATTAATTAGACTTTGTTATCAGTAGCATTAATATATTGAATTAATATTTATTCAACTTGTAATCCTTATGGAGCAATTGAAGTGATAAACTGTAAAACATTAACTATCATAATACTTGGTAAGAAAAACTGATTTCAATAAGTGTAGAGATTTTTTTGAATGACATTCTTAAGTAAACCTGTTATTGTTCCATTTATTTTTGTTCCTAGTGATGTGTATATTTAATTTGATTCTCCTCGAGGTTTATTTCTTTCATTTATAGTAACTCAGCATGCAATTCACAATACACTATACCTAACTACATTTCCTGCTTGCTACAAATAATTTTCTTCTGATGAGTATTTCATGTAAGTTTATGTTTGCAAGAATATTGGCAAAAAAATAGATGAAAAATCTTAAAGTGGAGTATCTAAAGCTTAATAAAAAAGGAACTCACCAAACTTTATATTACTTTAGTAGCATGTCTAGGAAGGTTCAGTAGTCTATTATTACTTTAAGACTTGTCTTTACTCGATTATTTTAAAAAGGTGATTATTTCCTGTGTGTTACTTAAATTTTCATGTATATACTCAGAAATCAGGAGCATCTGTTTATGGAAGTAGCACAAGCATTGAAGTCAGACATTCAATTTCCTTCTCTGCCAATTACTAGCTTTGGGATTTTAGGAAACTTAAGTTAATTTGTATCCTGTTCCTCATTTGCAAAATGAATTGAATAGGAAAGTCAAGTGATAACAGATGTTGGCAAGATTATGGAGAAAAGAAGCCCTGTGCACAGTTGGTTGAAGGCAGATTGGTGCAGCCATTATGAAAAAAAGTGTGCAGAGGTTCCTCAAGAAATTAAAAATAGAACCATATGACCCAGCAATCCCTCTTCTGGGTATGTATACAAAAGAAATGAATGTCTCACCTCATACAGATGTCTGCACTCCCATGCTTATTGTAGCATTATTCACAACAGCCAATATTTGAAAACAATCTCAGTGTATGTCAGGAGTACAATGCATAAAGAAGCTGCGGTATGTATACAAAATGGACTATTACTCAGCCTTAAAAAAGGAGATCCTGCCATTTGCCACAACATGAATGAGCCTGGAGGACATTACACTAAGAGAAATAAGCCAGGCACAGAAAGAAAATATATTGCATAATCTCATTATACGTGGAATCTAAAAATATAGATGAATAGTTACTAACTTTATAGAATTGTTATAAACAGAAAAAGAATGATGCTTGCAAAATACTGAGTGGAGTGCATGATGAAGAATAGACACTATATTCTTTGGGTCTTCTCCCTTTATTATGGAAAGACCAGGGGTTCGGCCTAGGTCTGCTGCTCACTGAACGGAAAACCAATCACTAAGACAATGAGTATTGCCAGGGAAGAAGGCTTTAATTGGGTACTGCAGCCAAGGAGATGAGAAATAAGTCTCAAATCCATCTCCTTGAATGACTAAAATTTCGGGTTTGCATAGTAGGGAAGCAGTGCAACTACGTGTGGGAAAACAGGAATTAGGAAGAGGAGCTGTTAATAGGCAGCAGGTGGTCAGTTAGGCAATGGACTAAATAGATGATGGGTGAAGGGTCTGGCATCTCATTGCCCAGATATGGTGGTCTAGTAAGTTTCAGTTCCCTGATACTATTACGGAACTGATTAATTCTGAGTAATTGTGGTTTTGCCATTAAAAGTAATGGTAAAGCTGCAATTACTTTTGCATCAACCTAATATTTGGGAGGATTTATGGTATGTTTCCTAAGAAAGGAGCTCAGATAAGATAAATGTAAGATTCTCAAGTTTTAAGACTGTAAGGGTCAATTTCTGTGTTTATTCAAGACACCATAAACATCAATTCTATAGGATTAATGAGCCAGTTACACCTTCATCTTGAGAATTAGATAAGACTGTTCAAATTTCAGCTAAACCACTTTATTCTTGTCTCAAGGGACATTCTTTAACTGACTTTGGTCTTCTCATTTGAAAGAGAATAATATAATTTAGTGATAAAATGTACAAGCACCTAGCAAAATCTGTGATAATGTGGTTGATCAAAATTTATTTTTCCTTTATTTCCTCCTCATCTAGAACACCAGCCAATATTTGTATTATGACCCATCACAGTTTTAATTTTTACTTCAAAGATTTGGCAAAGTCTTAGGTGCAAATTCACAATTATTAAGAACTCAAACTAATGGATAAAGACAAGGTAGAACTAGTTTTATAAGCAACACACTAAAACCATGGCAAAATCTAGGAGACCTGTGCTGGAGAGGCTGGGAAAATTGACTATTTATTTTACTAACTCATGTGTGTCCTGTCTGCCTATAGAGTATTTAAAGCAGACCCTGGGATTGAACTAGGGGAATTTGAGTTTCAGTTCTGGCTTGGCCACTTATGGGCTGTATGACCTGCAGTAAATCACTTATTTACTCTGAGCCACAGTTTTCTGGTCTCCAAAACAATAGTGATACAGATTTCACTTGGTTGTTTTTGTAAAAATCAAGATCTGATAGAATACATTATTAATATCTAACATATCATATGCAATGCATAATAAATATGCTTAGCAACTCTAAGGAGTCATGCATAATTACTAATGATCCTGTTGGGTTCTTTATATTTTATTTGAATGTGTCTGTAGAATGCAGAGTTAAAGGCTAAAATAATTTTAAAACAGAGGTCCATAACATTGTAGTTTTTGAATCTTTGTTCTTTTCTAGTAAGCAGCTTCAGGTGTTCCACTCACCAAGCCCTCTGCCTGGAGCAGTCTGGGTAGCATTGCCAGTGCCCTGGCTAACTACCAGCTTACCAGGAGGAGGACTTGCTTAATTGCCTGAATTCTGGCTTCACAAAGCAGCTTTCACACCTAAAGCTGGGGCAGCTCACATCTGTGGCTGTCAGGATTCTGCTTTGCAGATGAAAAAAAATCAGCTGTGCCTGGTCCCCACAGTACCCCAGGGGGTCCAAGCCTCATGCATAAAGTCAAAAAACACAAGCTAATTTCCATATAGAATACAAATAACTTATTCATCTAAGAAGATAACTCCTGAAACTTACTGCCCATATTATTTTAAGCTCCTGTGCAGGTAATTACAGTCCTGCTTAGGAAAAATCAATGAAACCATTAGATCAAAACCAAGTTCCTTTTATTTTATTTGCACATGTGTCATCTCTGCACATTCTCAGTACTTTTCTTAAATACACTCAACCAGAACAATTTTTCTCCTTAATATTGAGGTAATTTACAGTGTTACCTCAGGCTATGTGCTCTGTGTGTGTGTGTGTGTGTGTGTGTGTGTGCTCGCACGCGCGCGCACGTGCGCGTGTGCACGAACACACATGAGCACACAAATGCAGTAGAGAAGGACTGGGGAGAAGGAGGGAGGACTTACTAGCTTTTATAGATATGGGTGTATTATTCATTTTATAGCTATAAAATGTATAATTTTATTCCTGTGCCATCAAAAGAATCGCTAGCTGCTGATAAGGTACAGGAATTCACAGGATGCTGTGCAGTAAAGTACCATGCTTCACTTCACATCTGAGAGCACCACTAGGGTTCTAATAATGACACCTGTGATGGTAAGATTTTAATTACTCAGCTACTGCTCAGTATAGCAACTGCATAAATAGGGGACAATGTACATCTTGTGCAATTTTGCAAACTTTCATTATTACCAATTATGGAGGTTTTTGTACTGTTTCAGCTTAGCTAAGCTGCAACTACACTCCCCTTTCTTTTATAATTTCTAGTTAGGGTTGGCCACAAGAAATATTAATGCAAGATATGTAACATACAAACAGAAATAAACCAGCTGTCATCATACTTTGAGGGTCTTTACAAGGTACCTCGGCTGCTGCAGCTCACACAAAATACTACTGATATGCTGGCTCATTTTATAGGTGCAGGGCAGCAGTTGGGCCCACAGTTCCTCCAACTCTACCTCAGTTTCCACCTCCACCTTCCTCAATTCCCAGGCCAGAAATGTGTGTAGCTCTGAGGTCCCAATAAATATGCTTTTTAAAAACTACTTTGAATTGACATCCAAATTCAATTTCACCTAAGGCTCCTACTATCAGTAGTCTAAATTACAATTTGAAATTCAAAGTCAACATATTAATTATAATTCACTGTTTCTCAAGTATAATGTTTCACAAAGTACACACAAGTGGTTCACAATGTCATCCAAAGTATGGCTCTTAGTATTCACTGTCTTTATTGGCATATGGTGCTTCTATTAAAGGTCTTTAGTTCTATTGTCTCCTTTAATTTATATTGTCATTGTTGTGGTTGTTGTTTTAAACATAGTGGGTGGAGAGCAAGTGTAATAACAAAGTAAGACATGGATTAGCAATGTTCACTTGCAGCTACTTGAGTCAAGGCCAGGCTTATATGTAAGTATTAGTTAATATATGATATAATTTTCAAGTAACAGCTGAGAAATTCTTCCAACCCAAGTCCTAGGTGCTTGGAAATTATTTTCAGATCAGCTATAATATTTTTTACTGCCAGTGTATAACAATGTCTTCTTTGTTATCATTAGCAATGTATCCCTTTTGTGTAGGATGTGTGATTTCTGAAAACCCCTGACAAAGTGTCAATATACTGGTAGAAGTGGAACTTTAAGTGGCTACTTCCTCAGTGAAATTAATTACAAAAATTAACAGTTTTTATTTTGAAAAGCTGACCACCAGCCATGGAAAACTGAAACACAGGACAAGAATGTTGACGGAAGGAAGGAACAATAGATTGAGATAGGACATTGGTAAAGCTGGGGAGAGCATGTCTAGATGAACTCTGGAGGTGGTAATAGCATATAGATAAACGTTTGTTCCTCATTAAGTCATAGGAGGCCTTGGCTTAAAGTACCAGAAAACAGGGCCAACATTTTACTTAACTTACATTAGATCTTTGCTTTATCAGAAACCTAAGTGGTATCTTCACTTTACCCACTAATACCTCAAGTGGAGTGTGTGAATATACTGTATTCCTAGGTATTCCTAAGCTATAGTCCTATGTTGTATTCAAACACTCCACTTGAGGTATTAGTGGCCAAGGTGAAGTAATACGAGTAATGGTAAGTAAATTCATAGTGTGGTCGTGTGGGGGTCGGGGGGCATGTGGAGTAAGTTTATTGCAATATTTATGTAACTGTAGCCAGAAAAGCAATCTTCTGACATGAAAAGGTCTTCAGTAAGTTCATTTTCTCTCCCACTGGATTCTTCTCCCGCACTTAGATGTTTTCTTTCCAGTTTACAAATACTTCCTACTCCCCAGAAAGCCATGTAGCTTTCTGATAAAGCACTAATCTGCCTCCTTACATAGTGGCAATAAAACTTTTCCTTACTTCTGTAGTTCACTTTTATAGTGAAAAATTCAGAATATGTACTCCTTGCTCTCTTCTGGGAAGGTGCTTCAGCAAATGTGGAAATTAGTCATAATAAAGCAGAGTAGAAAAAATGGCTTATCCAAACCTAAGAACAAAAGTAGAAAGAGGTCCTAAGATATCAGTGATAAAGTGGGACCAGAAAGCAGTGAGTCCACAAAAGACCAAGGGACAGAGGGCAGTGGGAGGTAGTCAGAAAAAAAAGTTGCGCAGAGAATTGAAAAAAAAATGAGTAAACAAATAAAGACAAACACAGTAAGAAGAAATAAAGTGCAATTTTATTCTTTGGTTTCCATGGAAAATGTTGTTAAACTATATCATCTGGTTATAAAATAAATAATAATATATATTCATAGTAATATCAGCACTTGTATGTAATTGCTTTAATTTTAAAATTCAAGTTCTGGAAGATGGAGAAATAGGAAGCTTCAAAAATTTGTCTCCCTGTTACTGGCAGCAAATCCATACAGGTCTGCAGCAACCTCGATTCTTGCCTTCTGAGAAGAAAGACTTTGATTGAGGGGCATAAGGCAGAAGGAGAGACTGAGGCAAGTTTTAGAGCAGGAATTAGAGGAAGTAAAGTATACTTGGAAGAAGGCCAAATGGGGGACTGGAGAGGTTAATGCCCTGTTTAACCTTTGACTTAGGGTTTTATATGTTTTCTCCCCTAATTTTTCCTTGGGGTGGGCTATCCACATGCACAGTGGCCTTTTAGCAATTGGGAGGGGAGCATGCTTAGTATGTTTACTGGAGTTGTATACATGCTCACTTGAGGCTTCTTCCATTACCAGTCAAATGTCTCTAGAAGGTCATATACCAGTTAAACTACTCCACCATTTTGGCTCTTAATGTGCATGTTTAAACCCACTCATCCAACTCCTGAGATCTTATTGGGAAACTGCTGATCACCAGTTTCAGTTTTTTTCTGTCTGTTGGGAGGCTGCCTTTCCCTGGCACTGGCTGTGACCAATATTATTTTAGAGAGACAGTTAACAACCACTAAACCATCACCTGATGGTCACCCGACATTCCTGGTGTGGGGGTGTATTAGTCTATTTTCATACTGCTATGAAGAAATACCTGAGATAGGGTAATTTATAAAGACAAAGAGATTTAATGGAATCACAGTTCTGTATGGCTGGGGAGGCCTCACAATCATGGTGGAACATGAAAGAGGAGAAAAGGCACATCTTATATGGTGGCAGGCAAGATAGTGTGTGCTGGGGAACTACCCTTATAAAACCATGAGATCTCATGAGACTTATTCACTATCACAAGACCAGCATAGAGAAAACCTGTCCCCATGATTCAATTACCTTCCACTGGGTCTCTTTCATGACACATGGGGATTATGGGAGCTACAATTCAAGAAGAGATCTGGGTGGGGACACAGACAAACCATATTGTGGTGGGGGCAGCCCTCTCCTGCCTTGCTCATGACTGACTAGCTATCTACTGTAACATCCCAACCTAGACAAAAATTCCACCTACAGAATTAGTCTAATGTAACTGTTTTGGAACTTTACAGTTCATTGAAGTTTTGCAACTTCCAGGGGAAGAGTTGGGCAATAAATTGTGATTAACTTTATCAAGTTTAGCATTTAACACAGTCGTAGCTAACCCTCCTTCACTCTTCAGCCACATAGCAGGCAGCTGTACATGTGTTCCTGGATTAGTTTGTAAACAGACTGCAGGAGCTAGTGAGGGCAGAAAGGAGCCTATCCTCCAAATATCGTTGGTCTGTGCTCTGATCACTTATTTCTGATTCTAATGACAGAGATGCAGACAAAGAGGAAGGCGATCATCGTTGTATTTCCACCCACTGTTGCAAATCCTTCCTGCTCTGGCTAAAGTGGCTTCCAGGGGATTTAAAGAGTCAGAATCCTTCTTTTTTCTTTCCTTTTCTTTTTTCCCCTTTGGAAGTCAGACAATAAGACTAGGACATTCGAAAAACAACTGTATATACGATAAAAATTAGAAAGTTATGCCACAGGCCTAAGTAAAGACTTAGAAAAGACCAGAGAAGAGCTTAAGTTTACACATCAGGCTAATCCTTATCATAGAGACAGGCTACAGCAATAACAAAAGTAACCAAACCCAGAAAATTTGGAGTAAGGGGAAAAGTCTCAAGAGTTACTACATTACAAAAATCCAGGTTTCAACAAAAAATTACAAAAAAATTCTATTGGTAGATATATTAGACAAAGACTTTAAGGTAACTATATTAAAGATGCTCAAATAACATAAAAGAAATGTAAAGACAAGAAATGATATATAAACAAAATGGAAACATTAACAAAAATATTAAAAACATAAAAAATTAAAACTAGAAAGCTAAAAAGTACAATAACTGAAACAAAAAAGTTGCTAGAGAGATTTAAAGGCAGATTTGGGCAGGCAGAAGAAAGAATCAGTGAACTTGAAGATAGAATAATATAAATTATTAAGTATGAGAAATAGAAAGAAAAAAGATTGAAGAAAAGTGAACAGCATCTAAAAGAAATACAAGGAAAAGAGAGAAAAAGGTGCAGAGAGAATATCTGAAGTAATAGAAAAAACTTTCCAAATTTGATGAAAGACACGAAACTCTTACCTTGGATTAAACATCCAAGAAGCTCAAAAAACTTCAGGTGAATGAACTGTAAGAGACTCACACTGAGATACATTGTAATCAAACTTTTGAAAGCATAGGCCATAGAGGGAATTTTGAAAACAGCAAGAGAGAAGCATCTTGTCTCATACAAGGGATATTTAATACGATAATTAGTAGATTTCTTATAAGAAACTTTGGAAGCCAGAAGGCAGTGGGACAACTTTTTCAAAGTACTGAAAGAAAAAACTGACAACTGAGAATCTTATATAAAGCAAAACGATCCTTTGAAAATGAGGGATAAATTGATAATCCCAGATAATCAAAAGCTGAGGAAATTTGTTACCACTTCAACTTCCCTGCAAAAAATACTCAAGGGAGTTTTGCAAGGTGAAACAAAAGAACTCTAGAGAGTAACTTGAAGACATATGAAGAAATAAAGGTCTCAAAAAAGGTATATACTTGGGCAGTTATAGAATCTAGTATTACTGTAACACTATTTTATAATGACACTTCTTGTTTTCTACATGATTTCAGAGACTAATGCATTTTTTTAAAAAGCAATTATTTGTCTAAAAGCCAGTAGTATCACTATTTTGGTTTTTAACTTTCTTTTTAAATATTTAAGAGATAGTGTATCTAAAATTATTATTAGTTTATGTGTTTTGACATGCAATGTATGAAGATCTAATCTTGTGACAATCAACAACCCAAACTGGTGGGGAAAGATCTAGAAAGAAGCAGACTTTTTGTGTACTATTTAAGTTAGGTTGCTGTATTCATGTGTTCTCACCCAGCTATAAAGAACTAAGTGAGCCTGGGTAATTTATGAAGAAAAGAGATTTAATTGACTCACATTTTAAAAGGAAGCATGACTGAGAGGCCTCAGGAAACATACAACCATGGCAGAAGGCAAAGGTAAAGAAAGCACCTTCTAATGGTGGCAGTAGAGAGGAACTATGAAGGTGGGAAGTGCCACACACTTTTAAGCAACCAGATCGCATGAGAACCCACTCACTACCATGAGAACAGCAAGGGGGAAGTCCATTGTCATTATCCAATTACCTCCCACCAGGCAGCTTCTTTGACACATGGGGATTACAATTCAACATGAGATTTGGTTGGGGAAACAAAGCCAAACCATATTATTCTGCCACTGGCCACTCTCAAATCTTGTCCTTCTCACATTTTGAAACCAATCATGCCTTCTGAATAGTCCCCCAAAGTCTTAACTCATTCAGCATTAACCCAAAAGTCCAAGCCCAAAGTCTCATTTGAGACAAGGCAAGTCCCTTCTGCCTATGAGCCTGTAAAAATAATTAAAAAACAAGTTAGTTACTTCAAAGGATACAACGGGGGTACACGAATTGGGTAAATGCTCTCATTCCAAAGAAGAAAAATTAGACAAAACAAAAGTACTACAGGCCCCATGCAAGTCCAAAACTCAGCAGGATCCTCATTAAAACTTGAAGCTCCAAGTCTGCTTTGATTCTATGTCTCACATCCAGGGCTTGCTGATGCAGAGTGGGCTCCCAAGGCCTTGGGAAGCTCTGCTACTGTGGATCTGCAGGGTACACCCCTGTGGCTGCTTTCACAGGCTGGCGTTGAGTGCCTGTGGCTTTTCTGGGCACATGGTGCAAGCTATTGGTGGATCTACCTTTCTGGGGTCTGGAGAACAGTGGCCATCTTCTCACAGCTCCACTAGGCAGTGCCCCAGTGGGGACTCTGTGTGGGGGATCCAACCCCACATTTCCCCTCTGCATTGCCCTAGTAGAGGATCTCCATGAGTGCTCCTCCCCTTTATCACCCTTCTTCCTGGACATCCAGGCATTTTCCTACATCTTCTGAAATCTAGGTGGGGGTTCCCAAACCTCAACTCTTGCCTTCTGTGCACCTACAAGCCCAACACCAAGTGGAAGCCTCCAAGATTTTGGGCTTGCACCCCCTGAAGCAACAGCCTGAGCTGTAGCTTGGCCCCTTTTAGCCACAGCTGGAGCTGGGTGGCTGGGATACAGGGCTACACAGAGTATACCAAGGCTACACAGAGCAGCAGGACCTGGGGCCTGGTCCATGAAACCCTTTTTCCCTCCTAGGCCCATGATAGGAGGGACTGCTGTGAAGGTCTCTGAAATGCCATGGAGACATTTTTTCCACTGTCTTGGCTATTAACATTCGGCTTCTCTACTTATGCAAATTTCTGTAGCAGGCTTGAATTTCTCCCCAGAAAATGGGTTTTTCTTTTCTACCACATATCCAGGCTACAAATTTTCTAAACTTTTATGCTGTGCTTCCCCTTTTAAATATAAGTTCCAGCTTCAGCTAATCTCTTTGTTCACATATATGATCATACACATTTAGAAACAGTAAGGTCACCTCTTGAATGGTTTGCTGCTTAGAGATTCTTCTGCTAGATACCCTAAATCATCTCTCTCAAGTTTAAAGTTTCACAGATCTCTAGGTTGGGGCAAAATGCCTCCAGTCTCTTTGCTAAAGAATTGCAAGAGTGACCTTTACTCCAGTTCCCAATAAGTTATTCATCTCTATCTCAGACCACCACAACCTGGACTTTATTGTCTATATCACCATAGCATTTTGGTCAGCACCATTCAGCAAGTCTCTAGGAAGTCTGAAAGTTTCCCACATCTTCCTGTCTTCTTCTGATCCCTTCAAATTTTTCCAACCTTGCTCATTACCCAGTTCCAAAATCGCTTCCACATTTTCAGGTATCTTTATGGCAATGCCCCACACACCTCTGGTACCAATTTTCTATATTAGTTTGTTCTTACACTGCTACAAAGAATTACCTGAGACTGGGTAATTTATTAAGAAAAGAGGTTTCAATTAACTCACAGTTCTCCAGGCTTAACAGGATGCATAACCCGGAGGCCTCAGGAAACTTGCAATTATGGCAAAAGGCAAAGGGGAAGCAAGCAAGTTCTAATGGCAGCATAAGAGAGAGAGAGAGCAAGAGAGCGCAAAAGGAGAAGTGTCACACACTTTTAAGCCATCAGATATCATGAGAATTCACTCACTGTCATGAGAACAGCAAGGGAGAAATCCACCGCCATGATCCAATCACTTCCCAGGAGGCCCCTCCCCTGACACGTGGGGATTATAATTTGACATATTTGGGTTGGGATACAGAGCCAAGCCATATCAGCTGGTATAAGTTAATTCAGAATGTTACAACTTTAGGATATTAAATGTAATCCCTATTATAACCACAAAGAAAATATTTGTGGAATATACACAAAAGGAAATTAGAAAAAATTAAAAACATTTCACTGCAAAAAACCAATAAAACACAAATGAAGACGGTAATGGAAGAAATTAGGCACACAAGAAATTTTAAAGTACACAGAAATAGCACACCCAAATCAGTTGCATTCTAATACATTGACAATGAACCATCTGTAAAGGAAATTACAAAAGCAATTTAATTTACAGTAGCATGAAAATGAATAAGATGTTTAGAAATCAATTTAACCAAAGAGGTAAAAAACTTGCATAATGACAACTATGGAACACTGTTAAAAAAAATTACAACATAAATAAATGGAAACATAGCCCATGATCTTGGACTAGAAGCATTAATAGTGTTAAGATGTCAATATTACTCAAAGCAACCTACGGACTCACTGCAATCCATATCAAAATCCCAATGATGTCTTTTCATAAATAGAAAATCATATCCAAAAATTCATATGTCAAGGGACTCTGGATGGTCAAAATAGATGGTCAATAGAAAAGGAAGAATAAAGCTAGAGGACTCATACTTCCTGATTTCAAATTTTGTTACAAAGTGACAGTAACAAAAACAATGTGGCACTGGCATAAAGACAGACATATAGGCCATTGGAATAAAATAGAGATCCTAAAAATAAATTCTCACACACATGGTCAAATGTTTTCTGACAAGGGTTTCAAGACCATTCAATTGGAAAAGAAAAGACTTTTCAACAAATGGTGCTTGGAACTGGATATTAACATGCAAAAGAATGAAGATGTACTCCTACCTAATACAATAGACACAAACACACACACACACACAAACCTCGAAGAGCTAAATGTAACATCAAAGGCCTAAATGCAAAACCTAAAATAACAAAACTCTAAGAATAAAATAGATTAAAAAGCCTAAGAGAGTAGAAAGGCAACCCACAGATTGGGAAAACATATCTGCAAATCATATTTCTGATAAGGGGTCAATATCCAGAATATATAGTAATCTCCTAAAACTCAAAGATAAGAAAAATATAACAACTCAAATATTCCATTGTATACCACATGTCCTTTTCCCATTGATCTGTCAATGGACATTTAAATTGTTTCTGTATCTTTCTATTGTGAATAGTGCTGAAATGAGCATGGGAGTACAGCTATCTCTTTCAGATCCTGATTTCAATTCTTTTGAATAAATAATCAGAATTGCTGGTTCACAAGTTAATTCTATTTGTAATTTTTTGAGGAACTGCCATATTGTTTTTCACAGTGACTGCACCATTTACATTCCTACCACCTGTGCACAAATGTTCCAATTCCTCTACATTCTCACCAATGCTCATTATTTTCTATTTTTATAGAAGCCATCCTAATGAATATGGTGATACTGTAGTTTTGATTTTCATTGCCTGACTTGTGACATTGAGCATCTTTTCCTGTGCTAATTGGTCATTTGTATATTTTCTTTGGGAAAGCGTGTACATAAGTCCTTTGTCTATTTTTATTTGAGTTATATGAAACAATAAAAGATCCCTAATAGCCAAAGCAATCTTGGGTAAAAGGAACAAACTTAGTGGCATCATATTATCTATGAAATAAACTACCATATGAAAATATACTACAAAGCTATAGTAATCAAAACGACATGATATTGGCATAAAAATAGACACATTTACCAATGGAACAGGATGGAGTCCAGAAATAAACTAATGCACTTATAGACAATAGATTTTCAATAAAGTTGCCAAGAACGCACAACAGAGGAAAGACAGTTTCTTCAATAAATGATTCTAGAAAACGGAATATCTACATGCAGAAGGATAAAATTGGATTTTTAATCTCATACCATATACAAAAATCAACTCAACATGGGTTAATGCCTTAAATATAAGACTTGCAACTGTAAAACTAGTATAAGAAAACGCAGGGAAGAAGCTGCATGACACTGGCTTGGGCAATATATATTTTTAATCTGATCCCGAAAGCACAGGCAACAAAAACAAAAATAAACAAATGAGATTGCATCAGACTGGAAAACTTCTTCACAGTAAATGAAATAATTAGCACAGTGAAGAGACAACCCACAGAATGGGAGAAAATATTTGCAAACAATATGTCTGATAAAGGGTTAATATACAATATGTAGTTATGTGCCACATAATGACATGTCCATCAATGACAGACTCCATATACAATGGTGATCCTATAAAATTATAGTGAAGCTTAAAAAGTCCTGTCACCTATTGACATCATAGCTGTCCTAACATCAAAGTGCAACACATTACCTTTTCTATGTTTAGATATATTTAGATACACAAATACTTACCATTGTGTTATAATTGCGTACAGCATAGAGTGCAGTAAAATGCTTGCCAGGTTTGTAGCCTAGGAACAATAGGCTGTACCATATAGCCTAGGTGTGTAGTAGGCTATACCATCTAGGTTTGCATAAGCACTCTATGATGTTGGTACAATGGCAAAAACCACCTAAGCACACATTTCTCAGAACATATACCCCTCATTAAGCAACACGACTGTATATAAGGAACTCAAACATTTCAATAACAAGAAAACAAGCAACCCAATGTAAATGGGCAATCCTGTTTGCAGAAACATGGATGAATATGGAGAACATTATGCTAAGTGAAATAGCCAGGCACAAAAAGATAAACTCCATATGATCTTACCCATATGTGGAATCTAAAGAAGTCAAGCTCATGGAAGTGGAAACTAGAATTGTGGTTGAGTATGATATTAGCTATAGGCTTGTTATATATAGCTTTTATTGTGTTGAGGTACATTCCTTTTATACTTAAT
Organism: Homo sapiens; assembly: GCF_000001405.40. Classification (NCBI taxonomy): domain Eukaryota; kingdom Metazoa; phylum Chordata; class Mammalia; order Primates; family Hominidae; genus Homo; species Homo sapiens. The sequence goes on along the minus strand of NC_000006.12, from coordinate 140,404,298 downwards.
CTGTTGAGTTTTTATCATGAAAGGATGTTGAATTGTGTCAAATGCTTATTCTTCATCTATTTAGATGATTATGTATTTTGTCCTTCATCCAATTAATGTGGTGTACCACATTAATTGATTTGCATATTTGAACCATCCTTGCATCTCAGGAATAAATCCCACTTGATTATGGATGAGTTTACTTCTTGATCTTACAGCTTTAAATCTTCATTTGCATAAATAAAACACATAAACAAACATCAGCTCATCTTTTAATTTTACTTTAAGTAACTTCACTATTTAATGGTAAACATCCTAGAAATTTAAATGAAAACTCTAAAGCAAACTAACGTAATTTCCCTCTGACATTATTATTTCAAACTGTTATATTTTTTAATGAGACTTCTGTGTTTAAACAACATGTAATCTTCATCACAGGTAGGCTTTTTTTCCCCTTATAGGTTAACAATATACAGGTTAGAATAATTATTTTTGATTAATAAATTAGTTTACTATAACAGAGATAGACATGCATATTAACATTTCTTCATAATGAAATATATAGAAAATAAGAGTTTCTAGTAAAATCACCATATTAATACCATTTAGTTTGGCAATTTGTATATATGCATTTAGGTTTTTTATGTATATATTTCATTTATTTAGCAAATATTGAACTTTTTTGTCTGTTTTCCATGCACTGTGTTATAAGAAAAAAAAATAGATAATTCCCCTACCTACACTGAATGTCCAGTATGGCAAGAAAGATGAGTTTTAATCCAATAATAATTCTTACAGAAATTAAATACACTTTGATATTTTTGGGGACAAAAAACTACATAATACTATAGAGTAAATAATTTCAGTTATTTGGCATAATTTAATGGGATCCAAGAAAGCAAAGTTATTACTTTACAAAATTAAAATTAGATACTGTTCCATAAATGAATATTTTCACCTATAATTTGGAGATATGTCCTAAAAGTACATATGTTTCCACTTCATTCTGTTTTAATTCTGTGACTTCTGCTTTTCTTATCCATTGTAAACACAGAATTTGAATATTAACCACTGTTTCACAATGTGATCTTTGTATCCTGTATACTTCAGGCTCCTATCCATTTCTTGGAATTGATTATCTGCTTAAATATGCTTGACCCCTAATTATACTTGACCATTGTCTAACTGATCTTTTCCATGAGGCACTCCTATGCCCAGAACTTATTTATTTATTTATTTATTTTTAAACAATATTGTTTTGTTTTAATGTCCTATTTTTCAATTGACTGCTAATCAAGGTTCCAGTTTCATGCAAATATGAAAGACTAAAAGCAGAAGAATTCTAGGGGAAAAATCTCATTTAGTATTATTATAAAATATGTTCTTCTCCCCCATTCCAATAAGAAAACACCTAGTCCCTTGCCACCAGTGTCCTTGTACCAGTGTTATGGGACACCTTCCATTTTGACTGCCAGGGTGTCTGGTTCCTGCTCTATTTCCTTTTCATGGTCACTTGCCCATAGATGTCGGTGATTAGCTTTGTTTTTTGAAACTTAATATTTATTAAAATCCCTGTTTCTGTAGCCAATGGGATTACAAAGTCCAAAGTAAAGATTTCAGAGACATATCCCTACTGCTGAAATATCAGGATATACCATTTTGTGGTATTTTAATTTTTACAAAGCATTTTCTAATAACTTCTGTGATCTGATATCCTGAAATTGGTTCATAAATTTTAAAATTATTTCTTAAAATTCAATAGTTTAACAAACATGTAAGTGCCTACTATGAGTCAAATACTGTGCTTGGTTCTAGTTCTGCAAAGACAAATATAAAACCAATCTAACCCTGGTGGTACTTTCTTAGTAGCTAAACAAATAAATACAACGAAATATGGTACATTTATGAAACAAGAAAGGAATAATTACTTTTATCAAAACAGCATCAGGAAAGACTCAACATGAAAGCATCTCTCACATTTTACCAAACTACAGTACTCAACTATATTAGTTATCTGTACACGCTGTGCCACTTCAAATCATGATCTTTTACTCATGTTGTTTCTTCTGCTTGGAATAATCTAGTCCCTTGGCCTTTTTGAAAAATGACTATTTATATTTGAAAGCCAAAAACAGATTTGACATATCGAATAAGGAGACTGGAGAGGGAAAGAAATAGTGAGAAGATGAGAGGGTGGTGATAACACACGAGCCAGATTATGAGGGCTTCACATGTCATATCAGAAATCTTGGAATTTCCAGAGAGCTATTGAACATTTGTAGCCAGATGGTGATAATTTCCAATGGTAAGTCTGGCATCAATTTAGATAATATATTGGAGGGTAAAATAAGACTGGATACAGTGTCTCCCTGCAATGTTTCAGCAATAGAAAGCAGTTGACAAATTTGGTAGAATTAAACTAGTAATGGGAGGAGGGTTAGGGAGAACATTCAAGAGACATTCCATAGTAGGATTTTCATACCTTGAATTGTTTGGATGTGTGTCATGTGTCTAAGAAAGGCTTCAAATATGCAGGGTGCAAGGTATTATTATTAGCAAATAACACATCATTTGAATCTGAAATATATTATGTTTCCTATTGGGGAATATTAAAAAATTACTCAAATTCAGGACAAAACATACTTCTGAAGGAGTGTTCCTTGAGAAAAATTTAAATATTATGACAAAAAAGAGTTAGATGCCATTTACTTGGGGATATACTATGTCATTTTTTTTTAACAAAAATAGTGGCTTTAAGGATGAGTAGGATGTTAGGGTAAATGGAATGTAGTCAAAATCTATATGGTGACCAAGAACTAGGACATGTGTTTGCAGGACAGTAAATCATTCTTATAAAAATTAATGAAACAATTCTTATAGAACAAATCATTTAGGTTATAGGGCATGTGCTATAGAGTGAAATACACTTACATACAAATTATGATTTTACTTCCTATTTTTTTTTAATTTGAGAAAGAGACTTAAGGTTGTGAAATCTTGATTTTCTAATACACTCATGGGATAATAATGTATATCTTCTACATGTCAAATAGGAAGCACTAAGTACTAAAATTATAATTACGTAAAAGCATCATGAACTGTAAAACAAGTAACAGATGGTATTATTGTTATTAACAAATTAAAGATTGTTGGTTCTAATAACAAATATATTTCTAAAAACTTATTGCTTTCAAATTTCAAGAAATATCAGAATTAATATTTAGTTCTAATTGACTATAATGACCATATACTTAATAGAAATTTCCCCTACCCCATTTTTTCTTTATTTAATATGTAAACACAACAAACAAGGTAAACATAAGTCTATTAAACAGTTATTGAGACAAAAATGGAAATATTTTAATTCTCCAATCAGCCTATTTTAAGATATATTAGAAATACTTTGTCACTAACCTAAATGTATAACTGCTTCTCTTTAGCTTTTTTGAAGGGATATTTTGGTTAAAATAAATGAATGCACCTGTATGCAATTGTATAGGTGTACTATGTCATATCTTTCCTCCCACAAATTCAACCTGAGCTTGACAACAACACAGTTATTGATTAGATATCATCAGTGCTGACATATACAGAGAGAACATAATTTCATTTTATGGGCTGTGCTGTTAGATAGAATTCTTTTTATGAAATGGCTATTGCAAGGCCTTTCATTATAGCCACTTTGAAAAATTTTGTTTTACATTGGGATAATATTTTCTTACACCACATTGGTTTTTAAATGGCTTATCTTTTGAAAATAATTTAACAATGGCCTGTTTTACGTACTGTAGTATGGGGCACTCTACAAAATAGATCAGATCTGTCCAGGTATGCATTTAATCTCTGTAATTGAAGATAGTTTGCCTTATAGCTGTCTGTATTCTTCAGCCCAGGAGTCACTACCTTGGGACTTTATATAATTTGGCATCATTTTCCGTTGAGCCTAAAATATATACCAGTGTTTTGTTTTTATACCCAACTTGTTCTCAGTAAGATTTTGAAGTAGCATATGTGCTTTGTTTTTGGTACAAACCTGGCACTTTCACATTTATTATCTCATTTATACAAAAATGAAAAAGACATGGTCCCAAAGCTTCAGAAGCTCATAAACTAACTACAAACCAGCCAAAATTATGATGCTATTGGAAACAAGAAAGTAAATTTTGCTGTTTTAATACAAAGGAAATATCCACTGCAAACATCTTGGGAAGAATACCAACACTGCCTGAGAGGCTGAAAAAACATCTCTGCCTTGGAAACAACCGGTGCTGGAGAGGGTGTGGAAAAATAGGAACCCTTTTACACGTTGGTGGGACGGTAAACTAGTTCAACCATTGTGGAAGGCAGTGTGGCAATTCCTCAAGGATCTAGAACTAGAAATACCATTTGACTCAGCCATCCCATTACTGGGTATATACCCAAAGGATTATAAATCATGCTGCTATAAAGACACATACACACATATGTTTATTGCAGCAATGGCAGTATTCACAATAGCAAAGACTTGGAACCAACCCAAAAGTCCATCAGTGATAGACAGGGTTAAGAAAATGTGGCACATATACACCATGGAATACTATGCAGCCATAAAAAAGGATGAGTTCATGTCCTTTGTAGGGACATGGATGAAGCTGGAAACCATCATTCTGAGCAAACTATCGCAAGGACAGAAAACCAAACACCACATGTTCTCACTCATAGGTGGGAATTGAACAATGAGAACACTTGGACACAGGGTAGGGAACATCACACACCAGGGCCTGTTGTGGGGTGGGGGGAGTGGGGAGAGAGAGCATTAGGAGATATACCTAATGTAAATGACGAGTTAATGGGTGCAGCACACCAACATGGCACATGTATACATATGTTAACAAACCTGCAAGTTGTGCACACGTACCCTAGAACTAAAAGTATAATATGAATAAATAAATAAATAAATAAATAAATAAATAAAACATCTCTGCCTTAAGTTATAATGGGGCCCTTGATTGAACTGGTTCTGGGGTAATACACATTGTTAGGTCCTGACGATTCACAAACATAAACACAGTTGTGATACTCTGCACCTATTTTAGAAATTATTTTGAATTATTCACTCAATAGAGGCGGTCACTGAGTTAATGTTATCAACTCACCAATGTTTAGAATTACATAATTTAAAAATTAAAAATTTGCCATGTAAAACTTAAAACATTTTGGAGCGATCTGTACCTAAAATCCAGAATATTCTTGGCTGAATGACTTGCCAAATAAAGGCTGACATTTTGTCCTCTTTATTCTGTCCCCTATGTGGTAGAAAATATTTCAATCATACTTTAAAATTAGATAGCCCTACGGTAGTAAAGACATGGAGAGTAAATGTCATTTTACAATTGTCCGAACCCCAAAAATGTACAACACCAAGAGTGAACCCTGATATAATCTATGAACTTGGGTGATAATGATGTATTAATGTAAGTTCATCAGTTGTAACACATGTCCCACTCTGGTGGGGGATATTGATAATGGAGGAGGCTATTCATGTGTGGGGGTAGTGAGTATGTGGGGAATCTCTGTGCCATCCCCTCAATTTTACTATGACTCTAAAACTACTGTAAAAAATAGTCCAGCACTGCCTTACCTGCATTTTCTCATCCCCTAGGCTTTTTTCTAATAAGCACACAAACATACAATTTTCCTGCTTATTGTTAGGTTATTTTTAAGATTAACACAATGATAACTGAAGTAGCCACCATTTGCCTTAATATAAGTGCTCTAAAATACATTCTGTCATATGCTGAAAAAGAATAAGATGTAAACAACCAAAAAGAGCCAGTTATTTTGCTGATTAGAAAGGTATTAATTTCATATGTGAAAATGCAGTAAATAGCACCATTGTACACACACATACACACATACATTTTTTAAAAATTATTTTTTTCTCTCAAGTCAATATGACTTCAATCTTGCATGCAGGGGAAATAAAACACACATTCTATAATTTCTTTCTTTTGTTTATGTTGAGTTCTTTAAAGAAAACCATAGCCAAGAACATAATGTTCTCTCTTTTTGATGAATAGCTGAGTTTGTTTTAAAAGGAAAATCCTTTCTTTCAAAATTCTTTAAAATAGAATTACTTTAAAAATAACTCCATCTGGCTCATTGTGAAATACAATTTTAAAAATGTATGCAGACCTTAAAGTTATTTTATTTGGTCATGAAATAAATATCTGTGAATATACTACATATCACATTTATCTAAGTTTTTGTGTCTGGTATCGAGCTTGAGACTTGATGGTTACATAAATATCAATACTGATAATAGCCTCAACAGCATCAATATTAAATATATTTTATCTATATAGAGCCAGAAAAAGATTACCAGCCAAAGAAGTTCTTGTCCTTAATGTTACCGATTGAGTCCTGATAAGGTAATAAATTTACATTTTACACTAATTTACTTTTTATCCAGTAACTTAGCCATGTTTGCTGCAGCCCTGCAGCCTTGCCCTTTCACTGGAAGCCACTGCCTGGTAGTAATAAACTTGAAGTACAATATGGAACTTTCTGGTAATTTTCCCCTGCTTCTTACTCACTATGTTAGTCTTATGTATGGCAACATCAACAGGAACTCTCATTCCAGTAGCAGGTACAATACATCCTTAACCTTGAGACTTTTGTAATTGATGAGGGTCTAGAATCAAGTGGTACATTCCTTCATATGGTTATCTGTGGGCGATATTAAACCAATAAAAATGTATGATGGATTCCTCTGCCTCAAATCCTCTTTGGTCTCAGCATAAGCTATTAAGAACTTTGTTTTTTGTCTCTTTATTTCTCATTACTTGACATAATAAAGAAAATGAAATACCGAGTGGATGCCTGTCTGTCTCTCCTACTCTCTCTCTTTTTCAATTTTCTTCTATAAAAGAGGGAAAAATGAGCTCCCAATAAATATAGCTGAGGGAATTAAGCCTGTGTTGTTGCTACACTGCACATATTCTTAGAGCCTTCTAAATTGTAAAATGTTAACAGCAAAACTAAATCTTGACATGTTGATAGCTAAAACCATACTGCAATATGGCACATCAATTGCCTGTTATGTTTCTGAGAATGAAAAAATATTCTCTTCTGTACCATTAGCATAAATCATACTGGTTAAATCACTTTAATACTCCAGGTGGGCTTTTTTGTTTATTTGTTTGTTTGTTTCTGTTTTTTCAGATGGTGCATTCGTCAGTTTGTGGGGGGAAGGGATATCAGATAAGCTGTAGATTTGCTGTGGAGTTATGCACACAAATCAAACTCAATAAGCCTGTCAGATAAACATTCCACATTAACCAAAATAATAACCTATCATATGACTTTAAACAGTTTCTCCATTTCCCATGTTCTAGATAAGCAATGTAGTGCTGTAAGTACCATAGCTGCATGCTTTCTTAAAAAAAAAAAAAAGATTTTAAAGACCTCCATTATCGTTATCCTATAGCTCTCCAGATATAAGTTCTAAGGCTGTGAAAAAGAAAATTTACTGGATATAACAGAACTTTAGAGCATTGTAGATATTTTTTAGAAACATTAAATAACTGGAAAAATACTGGAGGTAATATTCGGTCCCAGGTGGCAGATGTCGACTAATTTCTTAAACATACGTATAATTGACAATTTTCCTGTTTTTTTTTTTTTATATTTGGAAAGCTGAACATGGTACATGAAGCAAACAAGATCAAGACCTCAGCATCCTCTCTGCTAACCACAAGTGGTTGATTTTGTTCAAAGCTGCTCTATCCTCTCACCTTGGTGAATATTTTAATCCCTAAAGGTGACAGCAGCCTGTGTTTGAAAGTCTTTCATTTTGAAAATAAGCAGAGGCTCTAAAAAACCTCAGGAGTTCAAATAGGGTAATAAGACCTTGAATTTGGTTCTCAGGAGATTGCTTACCAGTTTGCTAAATAATATATGGTAATTTTCTTGCTGCCCATCTGGCCCCCGAGGTACTCTTGTCTTCCCATAGTCATCTCCTTCTACATGCTCTGTTTTCTGCTATATTGAAATATGTTTTGTTGCTGAGTATTGGTATAACATCAGTTGTTAATGCACAATTATATTCAAGAAATATATGTAGTATCTCTCCATTATGGGTCACTAAGACTCTCTCAATTCTATACCTTGAACCCCTTCCTTATGCAAATTTCAGTGTTGGAAATATAAACGAGGATGCAGTAACTTCCATCAAAGGGCTTGAAATCTTTAGCTACATAAAGAAAGTTACTCAAATATTCATAACCCAAGGTGAATTAACATAAATGCCATATTAAAATGCAAATCAAGCAACATTCAAAGGTTGAAAGAAAAGAGAATATTGAGGGGTTAAGAAAACAGAATATGGCAGATACATAATCAATTGTGTACCTGGAAGAATGAGTTAATATTAACACAGAAAGTTGGGAGTCAGAGAGAATTTCAGGTAGAAATAACATTAACAAAACCCATAAGAGTTTATCAGAGTCCTACTGGAAGCAGTAAAAGTAATACAACTTTAAACATGGAGATACAACAGTGAGCAGCAGGAGGGAGGCATATTAGGAAGGAATATTAGAAAAATACTACTACTGGAAAATGCCTGGCTGGAGAATTTATTATTCAGAATATTCAGATAACCAATGAAATTTAAATAATTATGTATAAGGCGGGGCCCAATATGATTCCATATGCACTTTGGGAAGTATAATCTGACAAAAAAATTAACAAGAAGTGATACGGGATGCATAGCTTCTCTTTTTCTCCCCTAAGTTCTATAAACTACCTTAACCTAAAGGATGATAAAGATTTGCCAATCTTGGACTGTGCAACTAAGTAGTTGCACGGTGGTGTTCAACAAGTAACATGTTAATATTTATTTACTACATAGAACTAGTAATTTTTACTGACAGCTTTCCAGGCATTTTCAAGAGGCATACTTCCCCCACTGTATTTTTGTGTGACACACACGCACACTGATCCCTAATACATATACGTGGATACATGCACATGGATATATATATACATGGATTGCTCAGAGTGTAGACAGCAGTTTGCTTTAAATAAGGAGAAAATTACCCCCATTTAAAAATACCATAAGTGATGGTAGATGTGGTCATTTTAAAAAATACTCCTTAATGCCTATAATGAGAAGGGAGTGGATTCTATTGTTTCAGGGAGGCAGGAAATCAATATGGAAACAATGGACTTGAACTACACTCTAGACCAGACCAAAGGAACCTAATAGACGTATACAGAACATTCCATTCAATCCCTACAGACTACACATTTTTCTCAAGTGCACAAAACATTCTCCAGGATAGATTATATGTTAGGTCACAAAACAAATCTTAATAAATTTAAGAAAATTGAAATCATATCAAGTATATTTTCTGAACATAATGGCATGAAACTACAAGTCAGTAACAGAATAAAATTTGGAAAATTTATAAATATGTAGAAATTAAACAACATGATCCTAAACAACCAATCGATCAAGGAAGAAATTAAAAGCAAAATTAAAACATATGTTGAGAAAAATGAAAATGGAAACACAACATACCAAAGCTTATAGGATGCAGTGAAAATAGTTCTAAGACAGAAGTTTATAGCAATAAACACATCTGAAAAGCAGAAAGATCACAACTAAACAACCTAATATTAAACCTCAAAAAACAGAAAGAGAAGAATAACTAGCCCAGAGTTAATAGCAGGAAAGAAATAACGTCAGAGCAGAAAGAAATCAAATAAATCCTAGAAAAATGATAGAAAAGATAAACAAAAGAGAGGTTTTTTTTAAAAAAGATAAACAAAATCAACAAACTTTTTACTAGTCTAACTAAAAAAGAGAGAGAAGCTAAAAGCATCTTTTATTCTTTAGGCACTCCATCTCTTGCAGCAAGGAATGACCATCTGACTGAATTTTTGATCAGTGAGGTATAAGCAGATGTCTTCCAGAAAGACTTTTTGTATGAGCTTTATTGTGATATAATTCACATACCCTAAAATTCACATAGTTAAAGCATCAGATTAAATTCCTTTTCGTATATTTACAAAGTTTTGCAATCATCATCACAGTCAATTGTAGATCACTTTTATCAGCCCTCCAAAAAACTCTGTTCTCATTATCCCCTCAATCTTATATGCCCTAGATAAACATTACTCTCTTTCTTCATAGAATTGACCATCTGGACATTTTGTATAAATGGAATCATGTAATATGTGGTCTTTTGTGACAGGCGTGTTTCATTTAGCATCATGTTTTCAAGGCATCCATGTTGTACCATTATCCCTTTTTATTGCTGATAATACTGTATTGTAGGAATTGCCCATATTTTATCTACCCATTCATCAGCTAATAGACACGTGTGTTATTTCCTCTTTCCAACTATTACAAGTAATGCTAGAAAGATTCATGCCAAGCTTTTTTGTGTGTGCCGTGTTTATGCTAACAATGTGATTTTTGTGTCATTTCCTCTTTCCAACTATTATAAGTAATGCTAGGAAGATTCTTGCCCAACTTTTTGTGTATGCTGTGTTTATGCTAACAATGTGATTTTTGGTGTATGCATCAGACCACATGTCGGTTTTACCTCGGCAGGGTCTGAACATTGAGTAAATAAGGTCAATTGTTTTTGCATTTTATGCCTACTTGACTGACTCCCAGTAAAACCCTCCACACCTAGGCTCACCGGGTAATCTTCCCTAGTTAGCACTATTTTGTGCTGCTGTCACACATCATTGCTGGGGGAATTAAGTGTTGTCTATATGGCCACAATAAGAGAGGAAAATTGGAAGCTTTTGTCTGGTACCTTGTGGACTCTGTTTTATGTGCCTTTATTCTTTGCTAAATGTAATCTGTATTTTTTCTAATAGTAAATCATAACCGCAGGTGTAACAGGTTTTCTGAGTTCTGTGAGTTTTTCTAGTGAATCAAGGAAAGTGAAGATGGTCTTGAGAATTCCAACAACAATATTCTTTGCCTATTTTATTTAAATTGGGTCATTTGCCTTGTACTGTTGAGCTGTATGAGTTATTTTATGTATTCTAGATACATAAAATATGAAAAGATTCAAGTCTCTTAGCAGCTATTTAAGTTGCAAACATTTTCTCCCATTCTGTTGGTTATCTTATCATTTTTTTCATGGTGCCCTAAGCAAAAAAGTTTTTGTTTTGATGCAGTTAAATTTATTATTTTTTCCTTTCATCACTTACGCTTTTGGTGTCTTATCTAAAAAGTTTTTCCTAATCTTAGATCACAGCGATTTACTTCTATATTTTCTTCTAAGTGTTTTTAAAGTTTTAGCTTTTACATTTAGGCATTTGATTCATTTGAGTTAATTTTAGTGTATGGTATGTGTGGAAAGGTCCAACTTCATTTTTTGCATATTGATATCTAATTGAGTGCAATTTCTTCCACTGAATTATCTTGGAACCTTTTGTTGTAAATCAATTGACTGTAAATATAATTATTTATTTCTGAACTGTCAATTCTATCAATCTATGTCTATGCTTATGTTAGTAACACACTGTCTTGACTGCTGCAGCTTTGTAGTAAGTCCTCCAATTGTGTTGTTCTTTGCAATACCAGTTAAAAAGAGACTGTACTAAATCTCTTGAGTTTTCATATGAATTATAGAGTAGATTTCTGCAAAAAGTCACCAGGAGTTTTGACAGTGAGGCATTACGTTGAATCTGTAGATCAGTTTGGGAAGGCTAGTGTTTTGACAGGGAGAGATTACATTGAATCTGTAGATCAATTTGGAGAGGCTAGAGTTTTGACAGGGAGGGATTACATTGAATCTGTATATCAATTTATTAGTTTATCCTTATAAAGTCTTCCTATCCATGATCCAGGAAGTCTTTACTTTTATTTAAGCCTTATTTTATTTCTTCAAAAATGTTTTGTTGCTTTCCGAGTATAAAATTGCAATTCTTTTAAAAATAGAATATTTTAATTGTGATTTTGTTCTTTGTTAATGGAATTATTTTCTAATTTCATTTTGAATTCTTCTCTGCTAATATATAAATACAATTGATGTTTATATTTATCTTCTACTCTGCAACCTTACTGAACTCATTTATTAGTTTTAATAGTTTTCTAGCCAATTCCTTAGAATGCTCTATTCACAAAATATTATCATCTCTCAACAAAGTTTTACTTTTTCCTTTCAAATCTGGATGTCTTTATTTTTTGTCTAATTTCTCTGACTTAACTTCTATGAATACAAGTTAATAGAACTGGAAAGAGTATAAATACATGTCTTATTTCTGACCATCAGATGAAAGCACTCAGACTTTCACTATTGCAAAGAATATTTGCTAGAGATTAGATGCCCCTTATCAGGTTTACGAAGTTCCCTTCAATTCCCAGCTTGTTGAGAATATTTTTTTCATGAAATCAAGTTAAATATTGTCAAATGCTCTTCTTGAGTCTATGGAGATTATTATGTGTTTTTGTCTTTTACTCTCATGATGTGTATCACATTACCTGATTTTCATATTAAACCAACTTTTTAAAAAATTTTTCTATTTTTTCCTATTCCCTAATCCGTTTATTTTCACTGTAATCTTTATTATTTCCTTCCTTCTGCTTGCTTTAGTTTGTGTTCTCTTTTACTAGTGTCTTAACATGGAACATTAGATTGTTGATTTGAAATTACTCTTTTTTAATATAGGCATTTACAGTTATGCATTTCCCTTAAATAATTTGTTTAGCTGCATTCCATAATATATGCTATGTTGTTTTTTCATTTTTATTCATTTCAAAGTATTTTCCAATTTCCCTTTCAATGCTTCTTTGACCCATTGGTTATTTAAAGGTACGTTTTTCAATTTTTTATATTATGTCTGAATTTTCCAAATTTCTTTATGTTATTGATTCCCAATGTCATTGTATTGTGGTCAAAGAAAATGATTTGGATTATTTCAGTCCTATTATATTTATTGAGGCTTGTTTTATGGCCTAGAATATTGTCTATCTGGAAAAAATGTTCCATGTTTACTTCAGAAGAATGGATATTCTCTTGATTTTTGGTGGTGTGTTCTATTGCTATCTGTTACGTCTTTTGGATTTTATAGTTTTATTCTTTTGTTCAAATATTCTATATTCTGTTCATCCTCTGCCTGCTTGTTCTATTCATTATTGAAAGGGAAGTATTAAATTATCCAGCTATCATTGCCAATTATGTCTTTTTCCTTCCTTTTTTTTTTTCCATTTTTGCTTCATGTAAGTCATGGCTCTTTTGTAGGCTGCATTTATGCTTTGAACTCATATACATTCCTCATAAAATTGACCACTTTCATTATAATAAAGTATCTCTCATTATCTGTAGTTATATATATATATGTGTGTATATATATAGGTTTATTTTTCCTATTAGGATGGCCACTCTAGCTCTCTTATGAGTGCTGTTTGCGTAATATCTTTTCCCATTCTTTTACTTTCAACTTGTTTCTATCTCTGAATCTAAAGTGTCCCCTCTACACAGCATATGATTAAATCATGTGTTGTTTTTCTTTTTGTTTTTTATTTACTCTGCCAATCCTTGTCTTTTAATTGGATTATTTTCATTTAATGCTATTATTGATAGAGCTAAATTTTGGTCTGCCACTTTACTTTTTGTCTCATTTGTTTTGACTCTTTTCCTTCTTTATTGTTTTCTTTTGCATTAAATATATGTTTCTACTTAAATATTTTATTTGTTTAATAGTTTTTTTTCTATTTTTGAGTTATTTTCTTAGTGGTTTTCCTAGAATTACTATATACATACTAACTTTTCAGAATCTACTTCAGATATATACTATCTTAATTCTATTAAGTTATAGAAAAATTTGCTCTTCTTTAACTCTATTATGTCCCCTTTTTGTGTTATTATTGTTGTATATATTGCATGTAAATATGAACAATGAATCAATTTATTGTTATAATTATTAATATTTTTGATATCCTTAAATAAGTTGAGAGAAAAAAAGAACAAGAATATATTTATAGAGTTTGTAATATTAACCTTCTTCTTTACCATATCTTAGTCTCTTGATTTGTTCCTATTTATTTGAATTACCATATGATATCATTTCCTTAAGCTAATACAAGTTTGTTTCCATGTACCCTCTTTATCATCTTATTGCCAAATATATTTCTATAATTACAGAATGTCTAATTGTAATAGAAATATACAATGTATAAATTTTAAAGGAACACTTGTAGTCTCCAGAATACAATTAGATGCATATCATTTTATATAATTCTATTTAGACCAGAAGAAGAAAGAACTATACATTTATATCTTGCATAATGTAATTACTTTACCAATACTCTTAGTTTTACATGATTTTGAAATATACTGTATAATTACTTAATTTCAGCCTGAAGAACTTAATCTAATATTTTTAAGGCATATCTGCTATCTAGCAGATTTCTCTCTTTCTCTCTCATTTATCTGGGAATGGCATATTTCAGCTTCATTTTTGAAATGTAGTTTTCCTGGACATATAATTGCTGGTTGACCTTTTCTATCAGCACTTAAATATGTCATCTCACTACCTTCTGGCCTCCACTGGTTCTGATCAGATTTTAGTTGTTAACCTTACTGAGATTTTCTTGTACATGTTGAATTATTTGTGTCTTGCTGCTTTCAAGATATCTCCCTAGCCTTTATTTTTCAAACTTTTTACTATAATGTGCATGGTGGTGATATGGTTTGACTCTGTGTCCCCACCCAAATCTCATTTTGTAGCTCCCATAATTCCCATGTATTGTGGGAGAGACCCGGTGGGAGATGATTGAATCATGGGAGTGGGTCTTTTCTGTGCTATTTTCTCGTGATAGCGAAAAAGTTTCATGGCATCTGATGGCTTTAAAAATGGAAATGAGAGTTTGCCTGTACAAGTTCTCTCTTTTTGCCTGCTGCCATCCACTTAAGATGTGACTTGATACTCCTTGCCTTCTGCCATGATTGTGAGGCCTCCCCAGCCATGTGGAAGTGTGAGTCCAATTAAACCTCTTTCTTTTGTAAATTTCCCAGTCTCGGTTATGTCTTTATCAGCAGCACGAAAACAGACTAATACAGTGTGGATCTTTTTTTTTACATGTATTCTATTTGGAGTTTGTTGAGATACTTGGATGTATAGATTGATGTTTTCATCAAACATTAATAAAATGTTATCTATAATCTCTTCCTTTCCTATCTCTGTTTTTTTCCTTGTATCTCCAGTACTTTTAATAGCGTCCCACATTCCTCTGAAGCTCTTTTATATTTTTCATTCACTTTCTCTCTGTTCTTCATATTGAATAATCCCTGTTAATAATCTACCTTCAAGTTTGTTGATTCTTTCTTCTTGTTCAAATATACTCATTCCCTTCTAGTAAATTTCCACTTATATTATCATAAAAGCCCACTTCTAAATTTACTTTTCAATTTTTAAAATAATTTCTATCATTTTATTCATATTCTGTTTGATAACACATTTTCATCATTTTTTTTTTATTTCTTTAAACATGTTTTCCTTTTTCTCTTTCAATATATTTATGATGGTTGTTTTGAAGCCTTTATCTGATAAGTCTGTCATCTAGGCCTTCTTATAGGTAGTTTCTGATGCCTAATTTTCCCCCTATGCCCAGCTCACATTTTCTATGGAGCTTAATGTTATTGTTTGTGTGTGTATTTACTCAGTAATTAACTCAGTGACTCAGTATTTCAACGAAGTCAATTTCTCCCAAAGTGGGAAACTTCTGATATCATTGCTCAGGGCATGCACACAGACATCCTGGGATGACACAGGGTTCTCTTTGATTGTTTTGTTCCCTTTTTCTACGACAACATGTCTCCTTTTTTATTTATTTTTGGTATCATACCTAGTTGGTAGCCTCTACTAATGCCAGCCTTTGCCCTGTTGCTTTTACAATGTCTTAAGGCATACATTGCTCAACAGACAGATCCAATTAAACTGGGGCTCTTTTGCAAGGTATTTTTCATGCCTTACAGAAGAGACCCAATTTAATTGAATCAGACTGTTGAGCAATGGATGCCTTTGATGACAATGATTTTGATCTTTGAGGTTTGTTATGACTTCAGGATGACTTTTCCTGTCTTTCCTCCTGTTCTCTCTGTTAAACTAGTGTGCTTACAATTGATCTTGTTTTTCATGGAGCTTCTGGCCTTTTCAAATTATTTACCACCAAAATCTCTTTTATTTTTAGAAGTAACCTTAGGCTTGAGCTTTCCCGCACTCTGTTCTAAATAAATGTAGTTACTTTGGAAAGAGCTTGGTAGTTTTCTGTTCTTGTGGTCTGCTTCTCTCCCTGAGCAAAATCTTTGAGGCATCACTTCAGAACTGGAAGTTAATTCTGTTGGGGTAACCGTCCTCTTTCAAGAGAAGGGGTCTGGATTGGGCAGTAGTCTCTAGTATTCTGAGTTTTCATTTCTCAGCATTGATCCTAAACTCTAAACATGAACTGGGGCAAGAGTGATTGGAGTCCTAACAATTCTTGGTTTACTGTCCCTTAGGTAGAGCTTTTTTCTCACTAGTGAGATTAAGGAAATAAGTGGAATTTATGCACTTGTGTGGAGTTAGTTTTTGCAACATAGCACTAGGGAGAATGAGAAATGCTGGTGGAATACTTTGCCTGAAGGTGTACTGTAGTCCTTGACTGTAGCTTGGAACAGTGGGAGCCCCATCTTCTTTGTCATATGCACCTGGAGCTTCCATCACAATGTGCTGAGGGTTGTTTCTGATTTTGTTATTTTCCTCTTAATCTTGCTTAAAATATGAGTGTAGAATAGAGATGTAACAGTCGTCTTGTGACCACTGGGCAAACAGAATGAGAATAAAACTAACTTAATAAAAGAGATGTTGGTCCTAACATGATTGATCAGTTGAAGCAATGACAGCAGCTCCTCATCTCTAGATGAATGCTGTGTAAGAAAAATAAGCTACCATGTGCATAAGCCATAGACTGTGGATTTTCTATTAAACCATGATGAACAATATTAACTGATACATACCCGTATTTACCATTTGTGTCTGCACATAGCTCATATGCCTTGAAGCCATCCCAAACTTAGCAAAAACAAACCAAATTCTTCTCCCTTCAATCCCAATTCTTCTTCTTACTGTTGTTTTCTTACTGGCACAAACATCCAGAGAATCTCCCGAGCCCAAAGCTAACATATTATTTTATATTCTTCCATCTCCTCCATTTAATGGACCACTAAATTTTATTTTTTTTTCTTAAAAATGCCTTAGGTGTCCCTTTTGTTTCCTTTTCTATCATCACTGTCATAATGTAAGCCTTCAGGAAAATCACTTGAATTACTGCAAGAATATCTTAATTGTTCTTTGTTTCTTCAGTTTCTATGCATTGAGTTGTCAGTAATCATTTTTTTTTTTTGAGTCTGAGTTTTACTCTTGTCATCCAGGCTGGAGTGTAATGAAATGATCTCGGCTCCCTGCAACCTCTGCCTCCTGGGTTCAAGCAATTCTCCTGCCTCTACCTCCTGAATGGCTGGGATTACAGGCACACACCACCATGCCTGGCTAATTTTTGTATTTTTAGTAGAGACGGGGTTTCACCATGTTGGCCAGGCTGGTCTCAAACTCCTGACCTCAGGTGATCTGCCTGACTTGGCCTCCCAATGTGCTGAGATTACAAGCATAAGCCACCATGCTCAGCAGCAATTATTTTTAAAAGTAATAATTTAAAAGGCACTTTTAACTTTTCTCTATTAAAATATAATACGATTTGGCTCAGTGTCCCCACCCAAATCTCACCTCAAATTGTAATCTCCACATGTTGCAGGAAGGACCTGGTTTTAGGTGATTGGATCATGAGGGCAGTTTCCCCCATTTTTGTTCGCATGAGAGTGAATGCGTTCTCACAAGAGCTGATGGTTTTAAGGTATGGTGCTTCCTTTCTCTCTCTCTCTCCTGGTTTGCCATGGTAAGACATGCCTTACTTCCCTTCACCTTTTCCCATGATTTTAAGTTTCCTGAGTCCTCCCCAGCCATGTGGAACTGTGAGTCAATTAAGCCTCCTTTCTTTATAAATTACCCAGTTTCAGGTAGTATCTTCATAGCAGTATGAAATCTGATTAATACAGAGAATTGGTACTGGCAGAGTGGGGTACTGCTCTGACTGGTTATAAAGATAACCAGAAAAATGTGGAAGCATCTTTGCAACTGGGTAATGGGCAGAGGTTGGAACAGTTTGGAGGACTCAGAAGAAGATAGGACGATATGGGAAATTTGGGAACTTCCTAGAGACTTGTTGAACAGTTTTAACCAAAATGCTCATAGTGATATGGACGATGAAGTCCAGGCTGAGATGGTTTCAGAGGCCGATGAGGAACTTATTGGGAACTGGAGTAAAGGTCACTCTTGCTATGCTTTAGTGAAGAGACTGGCGGCATTTTTTCCCTGCCCTAGAGATCTGTGGAATTTTGAACTTGAGAAAGGTTATTTAGGGTATCTGGTAGAAGACATTCCTAAGCAGCAAAACATTCAAGAAGTGACTTGACTTATTCTGAAAGCATTCAGTTATATGCATTCATGAGGAGATGGTTTCAAGTTGGAACTTATGTTTAAAAGGGAAGCAGAGCATAAAGGTTTAGAAAATTTGCAGCCTGACCATATGGTAGAAAATAAATACCCATTTCCTTGGAAAGAATTCAAGGCTGCTGCAGAAATTTGCTTCAGTAACAAGAAGCTGAATGTTATTAGCCAAGACAATGGAAAAACTGTCTTCAGGGCATGTCAGAGACCTTGGTGGCAACCCCTCCCATCACAGGCCCAGAGGCCTAGGAGAAAAAATGGTTTTGTGGGCCAGGCTCAGGCCTAGCTGCTCTGTACAGCTTTGGGACTTGGTGCCTTTTGACCCAGCTGCTTCAGCTCCAGCCATGGCTAAAAGGAGCTAAGGTTCAGCTTGGGCCATGGCATCAGAGGGTGCAAGCCCCAA
Organism: Homo sapiens; assembly: GCF_000001405.40. NCBI lineage: Eukaryota > Metazoa > Chordata > Mammalia > Primates > Hominidae > Homo > Homo sapiens. The sequence continues at coordinate 140,385,364 of NC_000006.12, read as the reverse complement.
GCCTTGGTGACTTCCAGGTGGTGTTGGGCCTGTTGGTGTGCAAAAGAGAAGAGTTGAGCTTTGGGAGCCTCTGCCTAGATTTCAGAGGATGTATGGAAATGCCTCAATGTACAGGCAGAAGTGTGATAAAAGGGTGGAGCCCTCATGGAGAACTTCTGCTAGGGCATTGTGGAAGGGTTGGATTCCCCATACAAAGTCCCCTCTTTGGCACTCCCTAGTGGAGCTGTGAGAAGAGGACCACCGTCCTCCAGACTGCAGACTAGTAGATCCACTGACAGCTTGCACTGTGCACCTGGAAAAGCCACAGGCACTTAATGCCAGTCCATGAAATTAGACACAGGGGCTTTACCCTGCAGAGCCAAAGGGATAGAGCTCTCCAAGGCCTTGGGAGCCTTCCCTTTGCATCAGCATGCCCTGGATGTGAGACAAGGAGTCAAAGGAGATTATTCTGGAGCTTTAAGATGTAATGACTACCCCATTGGATTTCAGACTTGCATCAGACCTGTACTGCCTTCGTTTTGGCCAATTTCTCCCATTTGAAATGGGAGCATTTACCCGATGTCTGTATTATCCCATTTTATCTTGGAAGTAACTATAGGGTTTCTGATTTTACAGGCTCATAGGTGGAGGGCCCATGCCTTGTCTCATATGAGACTTTGGACTTGGACTTTTGGGTTAATGCTAGAATGAGTTAAGACTTTAGGGGACTGTTGCAAAGGCATGATTGGTTTTGAAATGTGAAAAGGATATGAGATTTGAGAGGGTCAGGAGTGGATTGATATGGTTTGGCTCTGTGTCCCCACCCAAATCTCATGTCAAATTGTAATCCCATGTCAAATTGTAATCCCATGTTTCAAAGGAGGAACCTGGTGGGTGGTGATGGCATCATGGACATGGTTTTTCTCATGCTATTCTCGTGATAATGAGTTCTCATGTGAGCTGATGGTTTTAAAGTGTTGTACTTTCTCTCTCTCTGTCTCCTGCAGCTTTGTGAAAAATGGTGCCTGCTTCCTCTGCCTTCTGCCATAATTTTAAGTTTCCTGAGACCTCCCCAGTCATATGGAACTGTGAGCCAATTAAACTTCCTTTCTTTATAAATTGCTCAGCCTCAGGCAGTATCTTTAGAGAAGTGTGAAAATGGACTAATACAATATATTTTCAAAGACTCCCTTCTTCTCTAAACTGTATAAGGCTCTAATGCTGCTTAGCATAGCAGCAAGGGTCTTCATAAACTCACCTGTGAACTATTCTGCTTCAAAGTTCTACCACTGCCTACTGAACAGTAGTATTCTCTTACATTTTAGTCCATGTATGTAAGTCTTTCCTATATTAGAAATGCCTTCTTTCTTCTTCCCTTTCTCTGCCTTGAGAATTAGAATGGCCTTCAAAATCCCACAAAAACACTACTGTAAAAAAGATTTCTGCATCTTCTTTTGTATTCTAAGAATTACCACATTGCAATAAATTTTATTTTTTTTTCTTCTTAGACTATAAATTCCTGGAAATTCAGGCCCTTTGTGTGTATGTTTTGTGTGTGTGCATATTTTTGCTTAATTACAGGTATGCTGAGTAGCAGCATTGTGGCTTAATAAATGTTTACATAAAATATATATGCAAAATATTATTTTAACATGTAATCTAATTAAAACGTACTAATGAGATATTTTACATTAATTTGTTTAGTCTTCAAATTCTGGTGTGTACAATTATAAACACACTCAATTTGAATTTCATATTTTTAATGGTTATGGTAATGTATAGTCCAACCAAAACAATAAAAATATTATAACAGATTAAAAAATGAATGTTAAATAGAAAGCAAAGAAAGAATGCAGGGAGATAGTTTGAGTCTAAGCTCCTAAGCAAAAACACATGAGAAATCAAATTTATCATAAAATTATCACATATACAATATACTTCAAGTACATTGTAGGAGCCACGAAAACATTAGATCTCTTATATTAACAACTAATATAAAAATTTTTTGAAGTTTCACAGTGAATATCAGCCCCTAGAACAACCTAAATTTACCTCAAGTTTTACAAGACTTGATCATTGAGATAAACAAAGTAGAAACATTACTCCTTCAAATCACTGGATACATGCCTCCATGTACATTTTATCTGTGTTTTCAGACTCAGATATTAAAACACAGATATTAATATCTCAGACTCAGATATTAAAATCACAAAATGATTTTCTCTAAAAACATGAAAAATGCAGTCAATAAAATATTAATAAGTTCATGGCACCTTCAAAGTCTGTCTATGAATTAAAGAGTGATTTACCTTTTACAAAGGCAGTTTTTATTAATTTTAATGTAAATATCAAACAACTCAGCTTTCATTCTCAAGGAGTTGAGAATAAATATAAAACTGGTATAAATTTATATATAGTTACACATAACAACATATATGGGAATAAAATAAAATAAGTGCTGTGACATAAGTACAAAGCAGTGGGCACAGCAGAGAAGGCAATTCTACTTTGAAGAGGTGATATGAAGTGAGGAGGGGGCAAGAATACCTTGACGTTTAAGATGGTTAAAGGAAAATTCCTAAAGAAAAATTGTTTACTAAGATTCACCAAATGAAGCAGGGTAGCTCAGGGAGTGAAAGCTACTTCAACAAAGATGTCAAGATATACCCTCCCTGGTAGCTTCAGAAAAGTGAAAGGCAGAGCATTCAGAGAAAAGGAGTCAAAGTGATCATGTCATAGACTAAGAGAGTGGTCAGAATTAAAACTAGGAAGAGAAGTAGAGGAAAACTGATTATGAAAGGTCTTGAAGAGCATGCTAAGGATGTGGGTGGGGCTGTTACATTGTTTTCGACACATCATTAGCTTTCTGTTTTAGAGAGATCACCCAAGTTCCACTGCAAAAGATGTGGTGGAGAAGGCAACACTAAGGAAGCAGAAGAAAAACAGACCAGAAATCATTGCAGGCAAGAGATGAATGTCTAAACCAATGAACTGTGGAAACTGAGAGATTATTGTACTTCGGGAATAAGTAAAAGGAGTTAACACCAGCAGATCATAGTGATGATTTGGCATCTAGAATGACTACCAGGTTACTTAGTTTGATGCCTGGGAATTTGGCCTAAGTAACAAAGGATAACTTGGTTTAGATCTAAAGTGGGTCATTTAGTACAACTCCTTTATTTTATAAGTAATTAAAGTACATAGATCTTAAGTGATTTGCCCAAAGTTTCACAGCTGTTTGTCTAATCCTGAAAAGAATAGCATGTGACTCTTCTAACTTCTATTTCATCCTGTTTCCAACATACAGGACTGTATTCAGCACCCAATTTTCAAACCATGCAAGATGACATAATGGGGAAAAAATAAGAGTTCCTGCTTCCTAATTGTTCCATAGAAGGATCTGGGTGCTATGTATCAGACAATGACAGATTTGCCATTTGAAGATGTTATCTAAAATTTATGAGACAATTATTATAATCTAATCACTTTATTTTTAGGAATAAAAGTTTAAAATCCATCTAATTTTGTAATGCAAAAAATCATCACACTTTCTCTCAGTGATATATCATTTATCATCAGATGTAAAGAAATAGTGAAGTTTTATGTTTAATAATAAGGCAGCTCTTCTTGTGTAATGTCAGATAAGAAAATTTAAAAATCAAATTGCTTTCAGTAATTGCCCTGGCAACTTTGCATACATCAAAATGAGCATGGTGCAAATTTAAAATAGGAGAAAGAGTTCACAGTAGGCATTTTAGAAAATATACAGATAGATTTCTAGTGTGTGTGTGTGTGTGTGTGTGTGTGTGTGTGTGCGCATGTGCGCGCCTTTCCCTGGCCTGAGAGAGTATAGACCACAAAATTAATGATAAGAAAATGTATGCCATTAATTTAGCATAACCAGTAACAAAATACAATCCTGTTCATGAACATAATGCAATACATATGAAATCATGATTACTGTCTTCAGCCACCCCACTTGATGGAACTTGGGGGAAGCACCGGGTTCTTAACTATTAAAATGCTTCACCACATCTACCAATGAGGAATGGAACTGGTAAAAGGACACATTTTCTGTATTTTAGACTTAAAAGTTAAACCCACCTCTGTAGTAAAAATTTCATTAAAAGTGCTCTCACTCTATTTCATAAACTTTCCACAAATAATTCTGTTTTCTCTTTCTCAAACAAAACTGCTTAGTCTTCTCCCTTCCTATGATTGCAAAAGCGATGTGTTCACTCATCTGAACTTAACCACAGGTCTTGCACTCTGACAATATTTGTCTTTACAGCCACCTTTCCTTGCTCCAAACAGTACACCTTTTAAGTCAGTCTCTTTCCACATGCTCTGTCTACAAACATATCTTCCTGGCTTAAAGTTAGTCCTACTTTTTTTTAATTAATCACCCTACAGACACCAGCTAATTGCAAAACACTCAAAGTTACCCCGTGTATCATGATTCCTCTGTCCTGTGACTCATTAGCTCACTAAACATTGAATAATCACAGACATTAATTTCAAATAAGAAAAAATTTACTTCTAAAGGTAATACATTCTTTTCATTTTGTTTCTCAATTCCATTTTAACTCCTTCTGTGATCTTGCCTCATCTTTCTAACTCAGGCATTTCCTAAGCCATAAAGTTTGGAAAGCACTATGTATCAAAGGCCTGGTGTTAGACCATGCTGGCCCTAAAACGCCATGCTACCTTGAGTCTCATGCTTTGTAAATGGGGTTATTTGGCTGGAAAATTGGTTCTTAACTTGGATATAGATACTAGAGAGAAATGATTAACAATATTGCAATGCAATACACTAGCAGAGAAATAAGTATATAATATGACTTGTGATGAAATTCTAAAACCCTCTTCAGACAATCTAGCATGCATAGAACCAGATGTTTCTGAAATACCTTCCTTCCTTCCCTATTGAGATTAATTGGTCTGGAATTATTTCTTTAAACCTTCAGCTTTATCATCTCATGATTCTATAAAGCACATTTTACATTTAAATATAGTCTATTTATAACCACCATCACACAGATACCAGTAAATAGCATTGTAAATCCTTTCATACAGAGAACCATTAATGAATTAATTATTACATTAATTCACTCCATAAATATGTACCATATGTCTCATATGTTGGAGCTCATGCAGAATAATTTCCAGTAGGTTTTACAGATTAAACAAAAACAAAGCTCAAAAAGTTAAATAACTTGCCCAAGGTCACATAGCCAGTAGTTAAACATATGGTCAAGTCGTAGCAAAGTCCATGTGTTTTTCATTCCATTCCACTGACCTCAAGGAGCTCCTGGGTTAGAGAAGGAAATGTACGACCAAGTAAATAGTTTTAAAATGAAGAACAAGAAGGTGTTTTGCTATGAAGTTTTTTGGTGTATCCTCTCCCTCTGAGATTCTCCTGAGTCCAAAAAATAAATAAAATATTTTTTATTATTTTAATCACTAGACTTTCTTTTAAAGTAGAAGAACTTTGAACAAGCCATAAAATTTATTATGGCTTGTATGAAGATTTCTTTGCTGATGGTTTAAAATGTAAATATATTTGGCCTTAAGAGTAACTTTAAAAAAATGGTATTGTTACTTGAAGAAAGAACCTCAATATGCAAATTTTTCTGTACGCCTCTGGCCACCCTTGAAACAAGCAGATGGACTGGGCTCTGCCTGCCTGATCACTTTCCCAATGAGAGTCAGACTCTGTGGGGAGAGGGAAAGTTAATTAAGGCCTCTTAACAAAGCAAGTCAAAGCAACAAGTCTCATCTTTGGCCACATTACTGCTATTTTGCATTCTGAGCCCTGTTGTTGGAAGTTCTCTTACTTATTAATGCACTTAATGAACAGATTCCATCTTTCTTCAGAGCAATTGCTGTAGGGACAGCACATCCTGCCCCTTCTCAGCCATCGTTACCCTATTGTGCATAGGGTGGTCAAAAATGAAAATCTCAACTCTCCTATTTGACTTGAAAGCTTCCTATTTTTATTCTACTATTCCATTGGTTTGCAGAGGAAGAAAAGGAGTATTCAGATTTATCTGTCTTTATTTGATACTATATGTGTGGCTGCTCCTATATAAAGTTCACTCATGGAGAAGAAAATAGCCTGTACAAGTATTACTTCTCAAACCAAAAAATTATTTTTCACTAGTTATACCTAAAGGCTATAACTTAGCTAAATATGAAAGGCAAGGAAGCATGAAACAGAGAGGAATGAGCCATGGTTAAGGGTAGAAAACTTCTGAAGATGTCATGTAGAAGCTGATGTTACAGTAGGGATCAGAAGGAAAAAAAAAAGAATAAGAATGTTTAAGCAAAGCAGGGCAGGAAAGAAAAATCCAGGCCAAGGAAATAGCATGTGTCTGGATAAGGGGGTTTTAAGAGTTTATATAGGAATTTGATCTCTGGGTATATCAGGCAGGAGGGGAGGTATTCCAAAATCGAATAGATGAATGCCAAATTATAATTCCCACCCTAAGAAGACAAAAACTTCACCACAAGATTATTTGTAATAGATTTCCTTGGCTGATTTTGATCAGTCAATAAGAAAACATGAATGAAGTAACAGAGGGGGTGTTGCTGGTTTTATGACTAGAAGCATTGATCTTTTTATTAATTCAAACAAACTATGCTTGACTCTCCTCTTAAATATTTGCTTCCTGAATACAAATTTTAATTATTTAAAGATAGATAGTTTATTCCAAAGGTATTTTTGTGCATAGCCTTATACTGTCACATTTTTCCCCATGCAACTTTCTCATAAAATTAGAGGCAAACTGCAAAAAAGCAAAGTATCCAAAACAGAAAACAGGAAATTCTTCTTAAGCAAATATATCATTAACTCATTTACCACTGCCTGAGAACACTGAAGCGACCTAGAATATTTTTAAATGAGATAATAAATTTATACAAAGTAAACTAGATTTTAAAGTTATAACTTTGTAACAACTCAAACAAAACATAAATCCTTATGCAGAAAAATCCAGGTTTATCAGGAAATATATTAGGGACTAAAATGTCTTCTAAAATTATACTATAATTTCATGGTTTCTGCATAAAAGTTGAAAAACATACTTTAAAATTATTTATGATTTTTTATATTTTTCCTGTTACTTTATTAAAATAATTGACATTTATATAGTAGTGTTTACAGTCTACCATGTGATTTATTTACATATATTATAACATTTGATCTTTAAATAAAACTGATTTTTATAATAACATTGAGATATTTATCATCATCTCTATTTTACAAATAATGAAACTAAGACTAAACAGGTTAAGGATTTATTCAGATTTATACCATAGCATAATAAATACAAATTTGGGAAGCAGTCTTAACATCTGCTTTTTTATATAGAAAAAAATTGTAAGACATTTTATGGGAAGTACATACAACTTAGATAAAGGTTATGTATTTTCAACTAATAAAGAAAATCCAGAAGATTATGTCCGGGAAGCAGATTTTTAAAATTTTACACCAAAAGTTACATTAAATAAAGTCAACAGACAACAGCTGAATTTGAAAAACACATTTATGATACATTTTATAGACTGTGAATTTAGATCTATAAGACAAATATAAACTAACAATGAAAAATCTAATACCTACTTTATTTATATCCATTTAACTAGCAAAAATTTAGAAAGAAGTACAAACATACTTATTGTTGGTTGGGATGTGAAGATGTATTGGTAAGTGATATGTTTAAGACTGTACCAGAATCCATTAAAATTAATTATTCCATATGCTTTCAACAGAGCAATTGTGCAACTGTGGGTACATCTCGTAATAATAAAACCAAGTATGTAAAATTGTGTATACCAAAGATGTGTATCACAATATAATTTATAATAAATAAGGGGCAAATAAATGTTTTCACTCACTTTGAGGAATCACTAATATGATCACTAGATATGTTTAGAAACATATCTAAACATAATATTATACAGACATGAAAATATATTAATTGGAACATATTAGATTCAATATATCAGCATTTCAATATGATATTGTTGAGTAAGGAAGCCAAGATGTAGAAAAGTAGGATAATATTTCTTAAAATAATATCTTATTTTTAGCATTAAAAGAAGAAAAATATGTATTCGTGTATGTGAAAAGTATATTATACATATGTCTATCTGTATATGACTATATGAAAATTGAGGATCATAAGAACACATATTAATGAGAATTATGATGTGGATTATTAGAGGGAAGGGAGTGATTTAGGTTGAAAGAAACAGTGGTCGTGTTCAGATAACATAAGAAAATGTAAAACAATCTGCTTTTTAAAAATATAAATTTTTAAGAATTAACAAATATGTAATACGATAATAATTGCTACTGTCACTGTTATTTTAACAATAGTTTATCATCTAATATTTCGTGTATAATAAAAAAAGCAAATTTGATTATGCTCAGTATGAAGATTTAATGTCAATGCTTTGCTGGACTTCTTGATAGGAATTGTAGAAATATATAAAAAAGCGGTGAAAATATAGTTCAAAAAATTTTAGGATACTTATATCATTGGACACTAGTTTTGTCAGTTAATTACTTTGATCAAATAATATGACATTGAATAATTTTACCTATCCCAAAATTAATACCCCTTTCCAGGTCCCTATATAAGTTGTACAAAGTCATTGTTTCTTTTATCTTATTTTTATGAAATTTTACTATCTTTGCTTTGGCTTTATAAGCCAAAGAAGGAAGGAAGGAAGGGAGGAAGGGAGGGAGGGAGGGAGGGAGGGGGAGAAAGAGAAAGGAAGGGAGGAAGAGAGGGCTAGAGGGAGGGAGGGAGGAAACAAGGGAGAGAAGAAGGAAAGAAGGAAGGAAGGAAGGGAGGGAAGGAGAAAGGGGGGGGAGAAAGAAAGAGAAAGGAAGGGAGGAAGAGAGGGCTAGAGGGAGGGAGGGAGGGAGGAAACAAGGGAGAGAAGAAGGAAGGAAGGAAGGAAAAGGAAAATGGTTTGGTTTGGTTTGGTTTGGTTTGGGAGGGAGGTTTGTTAGGGTTTGTGCCATCTAGGTCTGATAGTAATACATTCATGCCTTTAAACTTTGGTAAAATAATACAAAAAATCCATAAGAATTTTGAAAGAGTAAATTTTAAAAGCTCTTACTAAAGAAATGGGTCCTAAGAAATGCACATATGACTAAAAACATATATGTCTTTTAAAATGTCTAAATTAAAAGAGATTAGAGTTTATCTCCAGAATAATAAATAATGCCACTTTCACTCGCTTTTTATATGTTTACTTCAGTGTAATACCATGGAGATGGAATTTACAAGGACCTATACAAATTTCATCATACCATAGCCTATGATGTTAGCAACTCAGATTATCAGCTATTAAGATATTATGAGTCTTCATCCTGTTCTTATTTTCATTTTTATAGAATGGATATTATAGATGATATGTAAATGAAAAAGAAGAAAATGATGGACAAAGAAGAGATAAAGAGTAGATCTACATTTACATTTCACAAGAGCTACAATGATGCCTATTTCATTGTTTTCTTTAATGATTTAAAAGCTAGAATTATGCATTCAAGGCAAAGTCATAGAGCAGTGGACATCTGCTATGAATCTATACATATTATTATTTAAATTTGTGTATTCTAATATTGTTGTTTTAACAGTAACATAAAAGTTACTCTTTCATTGAGATAGAAATATATAAAAGGCAGACTTATGAATATTACCTGCAGCATTTCAAGTTGAAAAAAATTGAGAATAATTTTTATAAATGTCAGTATTTTAAAAATTAAATAACCTATATCTATTTCATTTTCTTTGGTCAATAATGGTGTAGAATAATTTTATTTTTTTCAGTTTCTTGTTTTTCTACATTTATTTTAGGTTCAAAGGACACGTGTACAGGTTTTTTGCGTGGGTAAATTGCGTGTTGTTGGGGCTTGGTTGCAAATGATCCTGTTACCAAGGTAGTGAGCACAGTACCTGGATAGGTACACTTCCAACCCAGGTAGTGAGCAAGTACCTGGACAGGTATCCTTCCAACCCAGGTAGTGAGCACAGTACCTGGATAGGTATCCTTCCAACCCACACCCCTTTCCCAAATCCCCTCCCCACCACATCTGTCAAGAAATACTTTGTTGACTGTCGCACAACCTCTGCTAGCTCCCTACCAAAAATAAAAAAGATCTAGAGAGAGCAAGAGGCAGAGCTGTGCTATTAGCTGTACTATGTAACTTTTTTTCTAAGTTTTGCGTTCAGAGGGGCGTTGAATAGATAAATACTATCTCCACATGTGTGAGAACTTTCATGTGAAAAGACACACCATTTCCCCACATTTTCAATACTAGCTCCCCCTGACTTCCAGGAATTAAAAGGCAATTCTATGATGAATCAGGCCATGTTTTCTTTTCTGTACTATCCTGTCTGCACATTTATGTACTTATTCTACACAACTCAATCACAAAATCAGGCCCTTCACAAATGAAGCCGAAATGTATATTGAAGAATTTAATGCTATATTTTTACAGGTAGAAAAAAATTCTTGCTCTCCCTCTCCCTCTCCCCACGGTCTCCCTCTCCTTCTCCCTCTCCCTCTCCCCACGGTCTCCCTCTCCCTCTCCCTCTCCCCACGGTCTCCCTCTCCCTCTCCCCACGGTCTCCCTCTCCCTCTCCCCACGGTCTCCCTCTCCCTCTCCCCACGGTCTCCCTCTCCCCACGGTCTCCCTCTCCCTCTCTCTCCACGGTCTCCCTCTGATGCCGAGCCGAAGCTGGACTGTACTGCCACCATCTCAGCTCACTGCAACCTCCCTGCCTGATTCTCCTGCCTCAGCCTGCCGAGTGCCTGGGATTGCAGGCGCGCGCCGCCACGCCTGACTGGTTTTCATATTTTTTTGGTGGAGACGGGGTTTTGCTGTGTTGGCTGGGCTGGTCTCCAGCTCCTAACCGCGAGTGATCTGCCAGCCTCGGCCTCCAGAGGTGCCGGGATTGCAGACGGAGTCTCATTCACTCAGTGCTCAATGTTGCCCAGGCTGGAGTACAGTGGCGTGATCATGGCTCGCTACAACCTCCACCTCCTAGCCGCCTGCCTTGAACTCCCAAAGTGCCGAGATTGCAGCCTCTGCCCAGCCGCCACCCCGTCTGGGAACTGAGGAGCGTCTCTGCCTGGCTGCCCATCGTCTGGGATGTGAGGAGCCCCTCTGCCCAGCCGCCCAGTCTGGGAAGAGGAGCACCTCTTCCCGGCCGCCATCCCGTCTAGGAAGTGAGGAGCGTCTCTGCCCAGCCGCCCATCGTCTGAGATGTGGGGAGCGCCTCTGCCCCACCGCCCCATCTGGGATGTGAGGAGTGCCTCTGCCCGGCCGCGACCCCATCTGGGAGGTGAGGAGCGTCTCTGCCCGCCACCCAGTCTGAGAAGTGAAGAGCCCCTCCACCCGGCAGCCGCCCCGTCTGTGAAGTGAGGAGCCCCTCCACCTGGCAGCCGCCCCATCTGGGAAGTGAGGAGCATCTCCGCCCAGCAGCCGCCCCGTCCGGGAGGGAGGTGGGGGGCAGCCCCCGCCCGGCCAGCCGCCCCATCCGGGAGGTGGGGGGTGCCTCTGCCCGGCCGCCCCATCTGGGAAGTGAGGAGCCCCTCTGCCCAGCAGCCACCCTGTCTGGGAGGTGTACCCAACAGCTCATTGAGAACGGGCCATGATGACGATGGCAGTTTTGTCGAGTAGAAAAGGGTGAAATGTGGGGAAAAGATAGAGAAGTCGGATGGTTGCTGTGTCTGTTTAGAGGGAAGTAGACGTAGGAGACTCCATTTTGTTCTGTGCTAAGAAGAATTCTTCTGTCTTGGGATGCTGTTGATCTATAACCTTACCCCCAACCCCGTGCTCTCTGAAACATGTGCTGTGTACACTCAGGGTTAAATGGATTAAGGGCAGTGCAAGATGTGCTTTGTTAAACAGATGCTTGAAGGCAGCTTGCTCCTTAAGAGTCATCACCACTCCCTAATCTCAAGTACCCAGGGACACAAACACTGCAGAAGGCTGCAGGGTCCTCTGCCTAGGAAAACCAGAGACCCTTGTTGACTTGTTTATCTGCTGACCTTCCCTCCACTATTGTCCTATGACCCTGCCAAATCCCCCTCTCCGAGAAACACCCAAGAATGATCAATAAATACTAAAAAAAAAAAAAAAAGAAAAAAATTCTTGAAGAACGTGGGTATATCTGAAAGAGCCACATGTTCTAGTAATAAAAATAAGATTCTCTATGAGATTCTCAAACATCAAGAAATGTATCCTACTACATCTCAAATAAATTGATTACATTGAAGTCATAAATTAAAAGAAAAAGATTATTTTGACTAAAGGAAATGAAGTCATTACATTGAAGAACTTCCAGCCATAAAAAATGAATTAGTAGAGGCCCCCAAGCTGAAGAACTTTGAATCTCTAGATATATGGTGAAATTGAATAACACTCAGTTAATTTGTTTACTGCACTAAAACATTTGCATGGGTCTTATATAGGAAAATGAAAGTGACCAGCAGGTTCATTATATTTTTTGAGTCAATAATTAATGTTTAGAATAAGAAGAATAATCTATATCATAATAATTACTTTTCATTTCTATTCATTCTCTGTGCAAAATATGCAAATATATGTTTCATCTTGTTTTATGCTGTGAATAGTGTGAATCTATGAAAACCAAGTCAGAAGAGAAAAAGCTTTACCTTAAGTCCTCTACAACGATGATGTCTAGTAGACATTTATGACTTTTTAATCTTAAAATTTCTGATCAGCAAACAAATGGTTTTCTTACCTACTGAATGGTTTCTTTATAAAACATTACTATAATTGTTTCTGCAAATGTGTGCATGTATAGAAGAGATGTAGGAGGGAGGTGTGTGGTAATTTTACCATTTGCTTGCTTCCTGGTGTGCTGATTGGACCAGCGGATGTAGGTATCAAGTAAAAATTGAACACATCTTTTGCACAATTATAGGGATGAGTGGGTAACAGAACCTCTGATCCTCCCTCTACCACATGAAGTTTGACCACAAAGTTTGGAGTCGCATCATCACTCCTGTTGGAAGTATGTATGCCAATGTCACAGACTGAAAACAAGGCAGCATTGAATATGGTGCTCCTGCAGGGTGTCTTCCTGTTTCTCAGTGTGATTTCTTCTTCTTTCTTCTCTAGCCGGATATTAGCCCCAAGAAAGTCACCAGTTTCTTTCCCACAACAAACAAAAACACTTGATGTTGAGAGGTTTAAATAATCACGTCAGGATGGATAAACAAATTCTCTAAATGTATGCATTTTTAGAAACAGCTTTAATTTCTTTCACAGGAAGAGTAAACTTTTGAGGGGTAAATGTGTGCCATAGGTAATATATTTCAGTCTATCTTAAGAATCATAGTCACTGCAACTTTTGGAACCACAAAAAAAATTGAACTGATTCATTTACTAAAATGCCTTTTCCTACCTTTATGCTTAACCTACTTTTATATTTATTGTAATATACTTTAAATAGCAGGAAATTGTTATGATAATACAGAGCTGCTTTTTAAATGACATTTTAAAAAGTTTAGACAACCCCATCATTTTACAAAGGTGTTGCTTGTGTGAAAGACAAACCCACCACCATCAGATCAGAATGGTTTATGTAACTCAGATCATTTCACTGTGAAAAAAAAAAAAACTCTTCTGAAATACAGTAAAGTCGTAAATACATGACTAAGCTATTTCCTAAAAGTAGAAGTGGTGGCTTCAATTAAATTATCAGAGAAGCAGTAAGTCAGAATATTCTTAGAGTTCACACACATCATATGATCTATGTGAAGGAAGATTTTAAAAATAGAAATTTGGCTCACGAGAGCCAAACTGTTCCCATAGCATTCACTTATCAGTATAGTATTAAGGGGGAAAAATTACCTCCACCCTCTCATATTTTATGTCATGTGTGTGCACATGTGCACATATGCTTGCATGCATGCAAATTTGTTATTTGTGAATTTAGAGAATTTGCAGAAGTGTGTACATTTAGAAAATTCACAGAAATGTGTGAACTTATCTTTATGTGTGTTTACCTTGTATATTTGACTTCAGTTTGCACTGATCAAAGATAAACAGTTACCAATAAATTTCATGGAGATATTTTCTTTGATGAGAGCTGCAAAATTACATTAAAGAGCAATGACCATCTTTTCCATTCAGTCTACTGAGCAGAACCCTTTGCAAATGATTGAAGTATCCATGCCTCATATGCTGAAGCATCTGAAACTGTGCCTATTTTTGGCATGGTATTTTACTGTAACATTTACAGGATTGCAGTGCATTAACTATTAGACAAATTAGCATGGTCTTATTTTCAGATATATGGATGGAATCCTTTTTATGTGTAAAAGTAGAATGGGATTAATTCATTTTCAAATTAATGAAATATAATCCAGGTAGAATTTGGATCCTTAGATATTATATGCCCATTAAAAACAGGAAAGATGATTCTTCTGAATAATGGCAGTAGATATTACATAATTCATAGATAAATCCATTAAATTAAAAAAATCAGTTAACCATTTTAACCGTTTTCACTGTTCAGTTTTGCATGTATGCTTATTTTAATAATTAATTTGATTCATTCAAGTGCACATTCAGTGTGACTTTTTTGGAATTAAAACCACACATTTTTTTTTTCTCACAGTATACATTTCAAGAAATCACATCATTGTAACTATATCAAACACTTCAGGAAGGAATGTTGGGATGATTTTGCTCTCTGGAAGGAATAGAATGTCAAGAATACTACAACTTTTCCTGTGAACTTAGAGACAGATCAAAATATATTCCTGGGATACAGCAAAACCATTAATGTAGCTTTTTGAAAACAAAATATATGCACATTTGCATGGCAGTTATCATAGAGGACCATTTGGAAATTGTCTCTGAAATGAGCTTTAGATTTCATCCTATTAGTGCAGCATTTGTTTTCAACACATTCTATGGGCATTCATCAGCAAAGGGACATCTTACAATACAATAATTTATTTATAAAACCCCTAAAATAGAATTTGCACATAAGAAATTTCTAAAGGAGGAATGAAAACTGTGAAACACTGGATTTCAATTTAACTTTATTAGAAAATGTCTCACTTTTCTTGATTATAATATATATCACTTTTTTTTTATTATACTTTAAGTTTTAGGGTACATGTGCACAATGTGCAGGTTAGTTATATATGTATACATGTGCCATGCTGGTGTGCTGCACCCATTAACTCATCATTTAGCATTAGGTATATCTCCTAATGCTATCCCTCCCCCCCTCCCCCCACCCCACAACAGTCCCCAGAGTGTGATGTTCCCCTTCCTGTGTCCATGTGTTCTCATTGTTCAATTCCCACCTATGAGTGAGAACATGCGGTGTTTGGTTTTTTGTCCTTGCGACAGTTTACTGAGAATGATGATTTCCAATTTCATCCATGTCCCTACAAAGGACATGAACTCATCATTTTTTATGGCTGCATAGTATTCCATGGTGTATATATGCCACATTTTCTTAATCCAGTCTATCATTGTTGGACATTTGGGTTGGTTCCAAGTCTTTGCTATTGTGAATAGTGCCGCAATAAACATACGTGTGCATGTGTCTTTATAGCAGCATGATTTCTAGTCCTTTGGGTATATACCCAGTAATGGGATGGCTGGGTCAAATGGTATTTCTAGCTCTAGATCCCTGAGGAATCGCCACACTGATTTCCACAAGGGTTGAACTAGTTTACAGTCCCACCAACAGTGTAAAAGTGTTCCTATTTCTCCACATCCTCTCCAGCACCTGTTGTTTCCTGACTTTTTAATGATTGCCATTCTAACTGGTGTGAGACGGTATCTAATTGTGGTTTTGATTTGCATTTCTCTGATGGCCAGTGATGATGAGCATTTTTTCATGTGTGTTTTGGCTGCACAAATGTCTTCTTTTGAGAAGTGTCTGTTCATATCTTTGCCCACTTTTTGATGGGGTTGTTTGTTTTTTTCTTGTAAATTTGTTTGAGTTCATTGTAGATTCTGGATATTAGCCCTTTGTCAGATGAGTAGGTTGCGAAAATTTTCTCCCATTTTGTAGGTTGCCTGTTCACTCTGATGGTAGTTTCTTTTGCTGTGCAGAAGCTCTTGAGTTTAATTAGATCCCATTTGTCAATTTTGGCTTTTGTTGCCATTGCTTTTGGTGTTTTAGACATGAAGTCCTTGCCCATACCTATGTCCTGAATGGTAATGCCTATTATAATATATATCACTTTTTTAAAAGACATGTATAGAACTGTCTTTCTAGAAAATATTATGAAGTTTCATATAACCATACATAGCTTAAACATGCCAAAGTTAACACTGCTAAAAGATAAACATAGGTACATTAAAATTCTAGAGTTCATTTGAGCAGACATAGATTCACGAATTGGGCAATACCAGAAAGCAAGTGGTTGGGGCTTCACCAAGGGGAGACGCAGTTTCACTCTTTATTGCCCAGGCTGGAGTGCAGTGGCGCGATCTCAGCTCACTGCAACCTCAGCCTCCTGGGTTCAAACGATTCTCCTGTTCAGCCTCCCAAGTAGCTGGGATTACAGGCACCCACCCCCATGCCTGGCTAATTTTTGTATTTTTAGTAGAGATGGGGTTTCATCATGTTGGCCAGGCTGGTCTCCAACTCCTGACCTCAGGTGATCTGCCTGCCTCAGCCTCCGGAAGTGCTGGGATTACAGGCGTGACCCACCACGCTCGGCCAGGGGAAAACTTTCATACAATGTTTATGGAAGCAAGACAAAGTTTCCAGTAGAGGTTAGTTGGCAGTTTCTGATTGGTAAAGCTTAAGTTTCATTTTTCTAGGATGTTATTTACATTGAATTGAGTTTCAATTTACTCATGTGGGGACCCAGGCTGCTGGAGCCACATTGATCTTATGCCTCCGACACAGTTAATTACATTTTGGTGACAACTTATATGGAAAGTAATCAAAGAATTTTGGGGGGATTAATTTATTTGTTTTTATATATCAGATACTAGTTACAGCACTCAAAGTTTTCAGGTTAGCCTTTAAATATGAAGCTACCTCTATGAGATCAATATTATGCTATGCATGCTCTCACTTTCTATACCTTTACATATCTTCTTTCTCTTTGCAGAATTCTGCCAAGTAATTTTGGATTACACTTTTCTGGAATTAATAAAATGAGACAATGAAGAATCTTCTTTGTGGAGTTGTTTGTTCTTCCTTCGACATTTCCAATAGTTTCTTTTTTTTTTAATTGAGACGGAGTCTTGCTCTGTCACCCAGGCTGGAGTGCAGTGGCACGATCTGGACTCACTGCCTGCAAGCTCCGCCTCCTGGGTTCACGCCATTCTCTTGCCTCAGCCTCCTGAGTAGCTGGGACTACAGGTGCCTGCCACCACGCCCGGCTAATTTTTTTGTATTTTTAGTAGAGATGGGGTTTCACGGTGTTAGCCAGGATGGTCTCCATCTCCCCACCTCGTGATCCGCCCGCCTCGGCCTCCCAAAGTGCTGGGATTATAGGCAGTAGCCACTGCGCCCGGCCTTCAATAGTTTCAAAGTTTAGGATTTACTACCTTATACTTCAATGTGCTAATAAATCTCACTGAAAAACTTTTAGAAATGGATCTTCTTAACTCTGTCATAATTTGTATACAGTAACATGCCACTTAACGACGGGGATGTTCTAAGATATGCATCACTAGGCAATTTTGTGATTGTACTATCATCGAGTATACTTACACAAACCTAGATGGTATAGCCTACTACACTTAGTCAATATATCATAGCCTATTGTCCATATGCTACAAACCTGTACAGCATGTTACTGTACTGCATGCTACAGGCAATTATAAACACAATGGTAAACAATTTATTGATCTAAAAATATATAAATGTAGAAAAGGTACAGTAAAAATAGGTATTATAATTTTATTGGACCACTGTCTTCTATGTGTGGTTCATCATTGGCTGAAACATCATTATGTTGTGCACAGCTGTATTTAAACAGAACAAATTATTTATAATGCTGATGGTAGGATGTTGTTTTATAATAGTGGATTTCACTGGTTTTTGACTTTGGTTCCTGGAAGGGGCTTTTTGTCTTTGTTATTACTAAGCCCTTGGGTCACAGGTGAGTTTATACTAATGAAGTGACTCATAGTAGGCCTCTAAGATAGCTTCAGGCTGTGGTTGGTCACCAGAAAAACAAACCACATGATTAGATCTCTGGAATTTTGAGCCAGCCCAACCTCTGGGGGAATAGGGAGGTAGAGAGAGAGTTCAATCACAAGGCCAGTGATTTAATCAATTATGCCTGTGTAATGGAATCTCAATTAAAAGTCTAAACACTCCAAAACTCAGAGGAAATTCTGGGTTGCTGAATATATTAATGTTCCAGGAAGGTGACATGCCCTGATTTATAGGGGAAGGTACTGAAGCTCTATGTCAGGACCCCTCCAGACCTTACATTATGTGTCTTTTCTTTTGGCTGTTCCTAATTTTTATACGTTTTAAGAAAAATATAATCATGTAATCATTGTAAGCAATTTGCAAAGTTCTCTTAGCCATTTTAGCAAATAACCAAACCTGAGGGTGGTTCTACGAACCCCTGGATTTGTACTCTGATGATCAGAAGTGGAGTTGGGGACCCCACCTCTGGCTGGCATCTAAAGTGAGAGCAGTCTCCTTGGGAACCATGCACACCAACCCTAGGTAGTTAGTGTCAGAACTGAATTGCATACATCAATATATGAATATATATTAATAAGCACATCAATAAATCTAAAAGATGTATATGAAGGTAAACTTTAAGTATTTTGGGACACAAAAGAAAGTAGAAAAAAAGAAAAGACATACCAGTGGTTTTAGATAAGATAATTCACCAACTTGAAATGTTGAACATAACTGTGTATAATTATTATATGATTTCAATAAAAAATAACAGCAGAATTTTTAAGAAAAAGACAAGCTGATATTGCATTTTATATTAAGAAATCAAACATAATATCAAATGAAATTATAATAAAGAAAAGAAATAAAAGGAACTAGTTTCATCAAATAGTAAGTCATATGAACCTATTAAAATAATAGTGATTATGACTGTATTCCATATATTTAAGAAGGATAAAGAAAAAATGACCGAATTAAGAAGAGACATAGAAGATGTTTTAAAATACCCAAATAAGACTCCTAGATGTGAAAATACAATGTTTCAAGTTAAAAACAAATAAACAAAAACCTCTACATAAGATTCATAGTGTAATAGATAGTGCAGAAGAAAATATCAATAAACTTGAAAACATAGCAGCAGAAATTATTGAAAAGGAAACAGAAAGAAAAAGATGGGAATAAACAAACTTATAAATTAAATGAACTTTTTTAGCAGCCTAATGTATGTGTAATTAGTGTACATGAAGAAGAGAGTGAGTAGGGGAATAGAAAAATATCTGAAGAAATAATGGTAAAAAGCCCAAATTTGATTCTTAAAAAATCTAAAACATAATTCCATGGGTGCAAAAAGTTCAGTAAAGTCCAAGCATGAGAAATATAAAGAAAATCAGAGCAAGGCACAATACAATCATGAACTAGAAGACTCAATATTGCTAAGATGTCACTTAGCCAAAATACTGATCTACATATTCAATACAATTCCAATAAATATACCAGCTAGATTTTTTGAAATTAATAAACAGTTCTAAAATTAGATGGAAAGGCAAAGGAGGTAGAATAGCTAAAATGGCTGTGAAAAAGAATAACAGAGTTTGACGACTTAAACCTGATTTCAAAAGTTACTATTAACCACAGTAACAACACTGTGTGGTAATGGCAAAAAGATAGACAATCAAACAGAACACAGATTCTAGAGGTAGACGCACACATATATAGTCACCATTTTTGACACAATTGCTAAGACAATTCAATGGCAAAAACAGACTTTTCATCAAATGATGGAACAATTTAATATTCATATGCAAATAAATGAATTGTCTACATTCCTTATACCACACACAAAAATTAATTCAAAATTGACCTTGAACCTAAAAACAATAAAATTAAAAACTGAAAACTATGAAATGTATAAGAAAAACAAACAAGAAAATATTTATAAACTTTGTGTTAGTCCATTTTCATGCTACTGATAAAGACATGCCCATGACTGGGCAAGTTACAAAAGAGAGATTTAATGGACTTACAGTTCCACCTGGCTGGGGAGGTCTCACAAGCATGGTGGAAAGCAAGGAGGAGCAAGTCACATCTTACATGGATGGCAGCAAGCAAAGAGAGACATTGGAGAGGGAAACTCACATTTTTAAAACCAGCAAATCTTGTGAGACTTATTTACTATCATGAGAACAGCACAGGAAAGACCCACCCTCATGATTCAATTACCTCCCACTGGGTCCCTCCAATAACACATAGGAATTCAAGATGAGATTTGGGTGGCAACACAGTCAAACCATGTCATTCCACCCCCAGCCCTCCCAAATCTCACATCCTTACATTTTGAAGCCAATCACGCCTTCCCAGCAGTCCCCCAAAGTCTTAATTCATTTCAGCATTAACTGAAAAGTCCACAGTCCCAAGTCTCATCTGAGACAAGGCAAGTGCCTTCTGCCTAGGAGCATGTAAAATTAAAAGTAAGTTGGTTAATTCCTAGATACAATGGGGGTACAGGCATTGGGTAAATACGGCCATTAAAAATGGAAGAAATTAGCTAAAACAAAGGGGCTACAGACCCCATGCAAGTCTGAAATCCAGCAGGCAGTCAACTCTTAAAGCTCCAAAATGAACTCCTTTGACTCCATGTCTCACATCTAGGTCATGCTGATACAAGAGGTGAGTTCCTATGGTCTTGGTAGCTCCACCCCTGTGACTTTGCAGGGTACAGCCTCCCTCCTGGCTACTTTCATGGGCTGATGTTGAATGTCTGTGGCTTTTCCCAGGCACATGGTGCAAGCTGTTGGTGGATCTACCAGTCTGGGATCTGGAGGACAAGGACACTTTTCTCACAGCTCCACTAGGCAGTGCCCCATTAGGGACTCTGTGTTGGGGCTCCCATCCCACACTTCCCTTTCGCACTGCCTTAGCAAAGGTTCTCCATGAGGGCCCCACCCCTACAGTAAACTTCTGCCTGGGCATCCAGGCATTTCCATACATCTTCTGAAATCTAGGCAGAGGTTCCCAAACCTCAATTCTTGATATCTGTGCACTCGCAGCCTCAGTACCACACGAAAGCTGCTTGAGCCTTGCCCCATCTGAAGCCATGGCCTGAGCTCTACACTGGCCCCTTTCAGCCATGGCTGCAGCAGCAGGGATGCAGTGCACCAAGTCTCTAGGCTGCACACAGCACGAGGACCTTAGGCCAGGCCCGCAAAATCACGTTTTCCTCCTAGGCCTCCAGGCCTATGATGGGAGGGACTGCCACAAAGGTCTCTGACATGCCCTGGAGACATTTTCCCCATTGTCTTCGGTGATTAACATTCAGCTCCTTGTTACTTACGCAAATGTCTGCAGCTGGCTTGAATTTCTCCTCAGAAAATGGGATTTTCTTTTCTATTGCATTGTTAGGCTGCAAATTTTCCAAACTTTTATGCACTAGTTTTGTTTTGAAACTGAATGCCTTTAACAGCACCCAAGTCACTTCAAATTTTTTGAAGTGAATGTTTTGCTGCTTAGAAATTTTTTCCATCAAATACCCTACATCATCTTTCTCAAGTTCAAAGTTTTCCACAAATCTCTAGGGAAGGGGTAAAATGCCACCAGTCCCTTTGCTAAAACATAACAAGAGTCACCTTTGCTTTAGTTCCCAACAAGTTCCTCATATCCATCTGAGACCACCTCAGCCTGGATTTTATTGTCCATATCATTATCAGCATTTTGGTCAAAGCTATTCAACAAGTCTCTAGAGAGTTCCAGACTTTCCCACATTTCCTTGTCTTCTTCTGAGCCCTCCAAACTGTTCCAACTCTTTGGAACTGTTACCCAGTTCCAAAGTCACTTCCTTATTTTGGGGTATCTTTTCAACAACACC
This sequence comes from Homo sapiens, assembly GCF_000001405.40. Lineage (NCBI taxonomy): Eukaryota > Metazoa > Chordata > Mammalia > Primates > Hominidae > Homo > Homo sapiens. Next base: position 140,363,338 of record NC_000006.12, on the reverse strand, counting down.
CCCCCCCCCCACTCTACTGGTACCAAGTTTCTGTATTACTCTGTTTTCATGCCGCTGATAAAGACATACCTGAGACTGGGCAATTTACAAAAGAAAGAGAGATTTAATGGACTTACAGTTCCATGTGGCTGGGGAGGCCTCACAGTCATGGCAGAAGGCAAGGAGGAGCAAGTCATGTTTTACGTGGATGGCAGCAGGCAAAGAGAGAGCCTGTGTAGAGAAACTCCTGTTTTTAAAACCAGCAGGTGTAACCTCCCACCAGGTCCCTCCCACAATATATGGGAATTTAAGATGAGATTTGGGTGGGGACACAGCCAAACTATATCAACCATGATTTAGACAAAAATGATTGAGATACAAACCCAAAAACATGATTTATACAAGAACAAACAGAATAAATGATCTTTGTTAAAAACTAAGTACCTCTGTTCTTTGAAAGACATTGGTAAGTAAGAGAATTAACAGGCAATCCACACACTGGAAAACATATTTTCAAATGAGACAGATAAAAGTTCTATATCCAGGATATATACATATATGTGTGTGTATATATATATATATATATATATATATATATATATATATATATATACACCTCTCAAAACTCAATTGTTTAAAAAATCCAATTTAAAAATGGGTAAAAAATTTATAGACACTTCACCAATGAACAGTACATAAAAATGGCAAATATGCACATAAAGGTGCTCCACATTTTACTTCATTAGGCTAATACAAATTAAAACCACAACCAGATAATACCACCCAACTGTTAGAATGGCTAAAATCAAAGAAACATCAGTAATAAATACTGAGTAGGATAAGAAACACATTCCTGGTGGCTATGAAAAATTATAGTTACTTTGGAAAATATTTTGGCAGCTTCTTATAAAATTAAGCATATGCTTACCTTACAACTCAACAATCTGACCCCTAGGTATTACCCAAGTGCACTAAAAAACCTGAATGCAGTTGTTTACAGTGGCTTTAATTGTAATTGTCAAAGCTGGAAACAGCCCAAATATCCCTCAACTGGCAAATGGATGAAGTGTGGTACAGTCAAAGAATAAATACTACTCAACAATGAAACAGAAATGAACAGGTGATTCACACAGCAACATCATGGATAAGTCTCAAATGCATCATTCCAAGTGAAAGAAGCCAGTCTCTGAAAAACACATTCTCTATGATTATTTTAAGATGATATTCTAAAAAAGGCCAATAGAAATTTAGACATATTAACTATGGTTCTAGACACATGCTTTTATAAGGGAAAATCAATGTAATAAAAATAAAAACAAATAACAGTAACGACGGTAAGAAAAATACCACATTAGGTTTACGTAATATTGTATGGCTTTCAAAGTTATTTATTCCTCACACCTCTGGGAATTTGGGTATATCTGAATCATTGTGCTTTAACAGGATTCTGCTATAATTCAACAAAGTTGCCTCCAGAGCTTCATTTTCATGGTATATCCCTGCAATCCATCATTTAAGAGAATCTCATACCATCAACAATGGTTTATAGCAATATCAACAACAAAGATAAAGCTAATTGATATTATCAAGCATCTTATTCTCTCACTGTTTGCAAAAACAATGAAGGGAAAATACTTATGCATTAAGAACAAAATTTATCTTTGCATTGACTGAAATGCAAGAAGTCACATACACACTGCACTAAATTTAGTAATACTATCCTAAGCAAGTATTCAAACTTAGGAAATAATGCAGTGACTAAAGCTAGGTGGAAAATAAAGAACCATATTTTTTAAAAGTCTATACATATGAGCTAACCTCTGACTGACCTATTCCCTCAAGCCATATGCATTGCAATATATCTTCACTATGTCAGATTTTCAATATCACATGGGTTATTAGAATTTGTGTCTACAGCAACCCCAATGTTTGAGACCATACTGAAAGAAATATTTTAAGGACAGAGTGAAGAGAGGTCTTTATGGTTATAACCAGCCTGTTTTCAGCTATTCTGAGCTATTTTGGCTGTAAGATTTTAACCTTGCCTTGATTTCTTATTTTATCTATACATTTGAAATACGGTTTTCACACACACACACACACACACACACACACACACACACACACACACACACAAATCAGAAATATATTTGCATATGTCTTGCATTTTCAAATAGATTTCACAAATGGATTTCTAGCAGAAGTTTGAAAAATACATGAATATATAAATAAACATGAATATAAATAACACTGGCACTCTGGTACATTTATGTTGAATGTGTTTACATCTATTTTTTTCATAGGCATCTATCAGATTTCCATGATGATGTTGTTTTAAGGATAAAAGGAAGCAAATATGTTCTGGCAATGCAATTAAACCACCAAACACGAAGATACCTAAACATATCAATTGGCAACATAGCATTACCACGAGGTAACTGTTCCAACATCTGCAGCTCTGAAGTTAATCATGATTCTAGCAACAGCCTCCTCCTAATGTGCTGCATGAGAGAAGTACTAATTAATCATTAAGTGGCCTTACATCATAAAGGGCTTCTGCTTCTGTTTCAAATCAACTGGAGTGGTGCAGAGCAGCAGTGGCAGTAGCAACAGCACCAACTCCAAACATTAAACGTAATGGGGAAAGTGTGGATTACTGAAACTGAGAGAACCACAGTTTGGAACTGATACTTGAATTGTTTAAGAAGTAAGCACCCAACCTCACTTTACTGATTGACAGGCTGTATGGGCTACTTGCCAGGAGTGTTTCCTAATTTGCACTAACAGGAGCTAAATTTTCCTTGATTGTGGAGGTGTGAGCTCTTAAGACTTTCCTCCTTTTATCATGATTGAATATGATATGCTAAGATCAGTACTTTCTGGCAGGTTTGTCTTTAAAATTGAGGGCATAACCCAGTATTTGAGAGGTTACATTTGATCACTCCACACAATATATACCCTCAGAAATAGTAACTAAAGTAAGCAGACTATCATGATGATAATGTATTCCCCTCACTAATATTCTCACTCACTTATTTTATGCTCCCATTATTAGAGATTTGGAAAATATATAATAGATCACAGATGAAAATAAGTATTTTGGCCTAGTGCGGTGGCTCATTACTATAATCTCAGCACTATGGGAGGCCAAGGCAGGCAAATTGCTTGAGCTCAGGAGTTTGAGACCAGCCTGGGCAACATGGCAAAATCCGGTCGCTACAAAAAATGCAAAAAAACTAGTGGTGTGGTGGCACATGCCTGTAGTCCCAGCTACTCAGGAGGCTGAGGTAGGGGGATTGCTGGAGCCTGGGAGGCAGAGGTTGCAGTGAACTGAGATTGTGCCCCTGCACTCCAGCCTGAGTGACAGAGCCAGACACTGTCTCAAAAGAATTGCATTTGTAATAGCTACCAATCAAAGAAACTCAGTGTTAAAATCTCTCTCTCTCTCATATATATATACACACACACACATACACATATATATATATAAATCAGATATATATATATATAAATCAGATATATATATATCACTGATTGCTTAAGGAATCACCGATTGCTTAAGATATATATATCACTGATTGCTTAAGGAACATATATATGTATTCACACACATACTTAGATGGGTTTCTTCATCTCACAGAAATATCCAACCTTTCCATGTGGGTGAACTAGGACACAGACAAACTTAGTGATTTCCCCATGGACGTATGATTATTACATGGCAGAACCTGGATTTTAAATCCCACAGGCATATGTTGCTATAGACTTTTTCATTCAAACGCACATCTATATGCAATGGATATTCCAAGCAATGCCAAGGCCAACACGGCCAGAAATATAACATTCCCCAGCTTTCTTCTATCCAAGTATTCCCAGGACTCCTGTGTCTGCATAAAGTGATCCATTAAATTAGACCTTTTTGATGTTCCCTGCTTCTATTTGCTGGACGAGAGCAAGAACTCAGGTTTGTTTCTTTGCCACCGTTGACTGCTAGGTAGCTCTCCCTACTTCACCTGGTTTCTGTCATCAATGTCCTTGGTTACTCTTTAAGTGGGCCCATGGTTTTGCCCTTGAAAATTCTGAGATCAGCCATAACACCAATTGCTAAAGGAATTGCTGGAGAACCTGAGGAAACCCAAGCCACCTGACAGTTCTGTGCAAGACCTTCCCTGTGCAGCTCCATGTAGTTTCTTGGGAAGTAAGAGAAGATACTCATTTCTTCAGGGTGAAGCTCACTCAACTTATGCTCCTTGCCAAAGTCACCAGTTCCACCTTCCCTTTTTTTAGCAATGGGATGCACATGGAGACCACCACTGTCTTTTCCAGAAGCTCCTCAATCTGGGTTGCCTTAGTTCATCAGTAATAGTGTTGAACATCAAAGAATAAGTGGTCAGGATCCTGCCTTGCTCATTCCGTGAGAAGATCCTTGTACCTTAAGAAAGCAGAGATACGGGAAGAGCAAGGTGGCTCACGCCTGTAATCCCAGCCCTTTGGGAGGCTGAGGTGGACGGATCACATAAGGTCAGGAGTTTGAGACAAGCCTGGCTAACACAGTGAAACCCCATCTCTACTAAAAGACAAAAAATAGCTGGGTGTGGTGGAATGCACCTGTAGTTCCAGCTACTCGGGAGGCTGAGGCAGGGGAATCACTCGAACCCAGGAGGTGGAGGTTGCAGTGAGCCAAGATAGTGCCACTGCACTCCAGCCTGGGTAACAGAGAGAGATCCTTCCCCCCAAAAAAAAGAAAAAAATTGCTTCTGTGTTTTTTGTACTCTTTTTATAGTATCTTGCTACAAGCATTCTTCTTGAGGATACTACAACTCTTGCTGCACAGGTTGTAAACTTTGTGAGAGCAGAAATATTTGCAAATAAGATCAGATAAAAATCCTATATCCAGAATATATATAAATAACTCACAAACCTGAAAATTTAAAAAATAAAATTTAAAAATAGGCAAAATATATGAACAGACATGTCACCAAAAAGATATATAGATGTCAAATAAGCACATGAAAAAGTGTTCAATATTATCAGTCATTAGGGAAATGCAAATTAAAACCACTATAATGAGATATCACTATGCCCTATTAAAATAGCTAAAATTAAACAAACTGAGAATTCAAAGTGTTGGGATAAAGTTGAACCACTTAGAACTCTCATGCATTATTTTTGGGAATTCCAAAAGGTTAAAATCACCTTGGAAACAATTTGGAAGTGTCTTAAAAACTTAAACATACACCAACAATCAGTCATAGTTGTTCCATTCTTAGGTATTTCCCCAAGAGAAATGAAGGCATATATCTAATCCTGGCATCTCAACTGTCCCTTCTAAAACTCCAATGAAGCAGGTAAAAGGACCATTCCCCTTCCAGTGTAGTTGGGATCTGCACCTCACCTCCCTTTTGTGACCAATTTTTCCCAGTCAAGGTTATAACTTTTACACAGATGTTTATAAGGGCTTTATCAGTAATGATCACAAACTGGAAACAACCAAAATTCCCATCAAAAGGAAAGTGAATCTACCATCTGTGGTTTATACATATAATAAAATATTACTCGGCAATAGAAAGAAATAAACTACTGATATACCCAATCACATGCATAAATTTCAAAACAAAAGCATTGAGAAAAAGAAGCCAGATAAAAATGCGGTACACATTCTAAGATTCTATTTATTAAAAATTCTAGAAAATGCAATCCAATATATAGTGAAATAATGTTGCTCAGTGGTTTCCTGGAGGAGGATGTGGGAGGGGGCATGGTGAGAGTGAAGGATTAAAAACTGTATGAGGGAAATATGGGGGGATAATGGATATATTCACTATCTTGATTGGGGTGATGCTTTCACACATGTATACATACGTCAGAACCCATAGTATATATAAAAGATATGTGCAGTTTATTGCACTGTATGTATACCTACGCAGATCATTTTTTCATTTAAAAACCATCATTTACTGATTCTTTGGATCCTCCTGCTTTGTCCTTGTTACCCCATGTTACATAGCACTGGTTTAATTTCCTTTTGTTTTATCAATTCTTTCTCTGCTAATGTCTTTTAACAGGCTATAGTATGTTAACGTCAAGTTCATGTAAAGTTCATGAAGATTAAGTTTCAGATATCCCACTTGAATAAATTCTTTACAAAGAATTGCACCTAATTTGAATTTATAATTTTATATTTATTTTATTCATTTGTATTCTCATTATTACACAAGTTTCATACCCTACAAATCCTAGATTGTCTTCTGACTGAATTTCTCTTGGGTATTATAGTAAGCAATTAAATCATTGAGTTAAAGGGAGTATTAATGCTCAATTCTATAAAATAGTGCCAAGTTGTTTTCCAAGGTGATTGTTTCCATTTTAACACCTATCAGTGAGATGAAATTGCACCCGAGATCCCACTGCTCCAGGTCTTTTTCAGCACTCGGTGTTTTCAGGGTTAATTTAAAGTCTGTTTCTGATAATTACTTGGATTTTCTATAGATTCTTTTATATAGTCTGTTGTTTCTTTTCATTTTGAAGAATAAAATTTGGTCTCCTTTTATGCTTTTATTTAAAAGTGATAGACATTGCACATGAAAAAAATCGTAGATAACTTAAGGCTCCACATAGTCTTAAATTTCCTCAGAGAGGATTCACTTTACCTGTTGTAGACAATTAGTTCAGTGTGAGTGTCTTTTCGGTTAGAGCTATCATAACAGAACACCAAAGAATGGGTGGCTTACAAACAACATAAATTTATTTTTTACAGTTCTTGGGGCTGAAAAGTCCAAAATCAAGGAGCTGGCAGATTCAGTGTCTGGTGGGGGCCTGTTTCCTGGTTCACAGACAGCCTGGCCATCTTGATTGAGCTCTTATACAGCAGCAGAAGGGAGAGAACTCTCTGGGAGATCTTCTCATCTTCTGTTGTTTATTTAGGAAAAAACAGATATCTTTACTGGAAAATCTATCCAGATGTTACACCCAACTCTCTGGGTTTTTTTGCTTTTCTCCCGGATATTGATCTGCAATTCTTCATTTTCTTGTTACCTATGTTCTTCAAAAGGACATATGTGTATTTACTTGTTTTTGTCTACTACTGAAGTTGTTCTAAGTTAAGAGTGGTCTGAATTAGCTAGCCTATCAGTATAGAAAGATTAACTCCATTTGGTATTTTTAAAGTAAATTTTTTTTATTGACATATAACATGTACATATACAAGTGTACCAATCATATATAGCCTGATTAATTTTCACAAAGTAAATGCTCTTGTGTAACCAGATCAAAAAATATAATGTTTCCTGCACTTGAGAAATATCCCTCATGCTCCCTGTGTCTCCATCCACCAAGGTAACCACTGTCTTGATTTTTAATACCGTAGATTATTTTTGCCTGTTTTTGAAATTTTTAGCTCAGGGCAAAACATGATTAAGAGAAAGCTTGACACTGTCAAGGTAATGCTCTTTATATCAAGAGAGACAGATACAGAGGCAGAAATGCAGACTAGAAATGATCTGAGAATTATGGTTAGGAAAGTATTGTAGGATTGTTATTAGCACATGGAATGGACTGGAATCATAAATAAAACAAACATTATAACTTTGAAAAAACTGACCTGCCAAACAAAACACAAGTCTGGACTAGAAAGTTCTATATCTGCTCCAGATTTAACCTTCATGCAATAGAAAGTGAATTGGGAAAGCTGCTCAGCTCCCAATTAGGTCATTTCCCCCAATGTTTATTTCAGATGCGGTCAAGGAGGATAACAGAAAAGAAACAATATTCCTGCAGTAGAACCAGCAACCATTAAGAACATAGACAAGTGAGCACAATTAGGTTGCATTTAAGGAACAATCCCTATTCCCAGAGTAACAAGTCCTCACATTACCTAGTTCAATGGGATCTGAAAAATATTAAGTACCATGACTATTTTGTGACACTCATTCTTCCTCTTCCCACATTGTAATGTTTCCTGTGGATCTAGTCCTTGTACTGTCACTTTACAGTGTTCACTACCCAATGGGCAGACAACTCTTTGGGGTTTATTAGTTTCTAGACTTAGAGATGCCACTTCCAAATTTGCTGCAGAAAACAACGCACATCACCCAGATGTCCTTGACTTTGAGCTCAGAATGCCAACTGGGTTGACTTGGGGTTGATGAGAATCCCTTGGAGAGGACGGAGTGTGTTATAAGTTTAGAATGGAGCAAAGGGATATTTAATGACAAGAAGAATGGACTTTTACAGAAACAGTGGTCCTCACCAAAAAATGCCCTCTGATGTCCCAGTTACTTTAGTCCTTTTGGAGTGAGACAGGACCATACACGTAGGGTTGGCCAATGGCATGTAGGTGGGAGTGACATATGTTGCTTCTAAGCTACACTATAGAAGAGCTTGATGTCTTTTCCCTTGCTGAGATGACCCAGAAAACTCTGTTTCCTGTGGTGTAGTTACATAATGATGGAGAAGAAAATTACCTTTATTCACAAAGTTTCCATATCCTGAGAAACTAGCCAATGTAACATGATATAAAGTAGAGGAAGGGATAAAATACACTCATCCATCCTCAGATAGACAGAACTCCCCCTTTCAAGGGTCTGAAATAGAGAAACATCTCATCAAATCACAGCAAGCATCCTGAGATTACTTGGTTTTTCTTCCTATGCTGTACAATATAGTACTTAAATCTTTTCCCTTCAAATGGTCATTGTTTTTTCTAGTTCTAATTATCTGAAAGTTAGAAACATTCAAAAGGATCATAATCAGAATTGTTTTCCCTTTAAACATCTATTTATCTTCTTACTGGTTTTCTTATCTTTTATTATTACCACAATAGAATGTAAGCCCCATAGTACTCACACTGAGAGATAACATAGCATAATAAAGGGAGTAAACTCTATATCCACTCTGATTTGTATCCGGGCTGCATAGCTTCTGCAGACATGGAGGACAACATGAAACTATCTGCTGCCTTAGTTTTATCATCTGTAAAATATGTCTAATATTAATACCTACCTCATAGAGCTATTCTGAGGACAAAATAAGTTAACACAGTTAAATTATTTATAGATCAATGACAGGTACACCTTCAGTGTTTTATAAATGTAGCCGATTCCATTAGAGCTTGGATTGTATTTATTAACATATTGCTTGCTAAGATATTCCCATTTATTTGTAAATGACCTAGCATACGTCACCAGAAAATGGCCCAGAGACAAAAATGAATGCACGTACTTATCACTATAAGAATAAATATCTTTGTCCACAAACTTGAGAATGACTTAAAATATCTGAAGAGTCCTGAAAAACATAAATTTATTCATAGGGACTTTACAGTAACCACCTCAGTAGCCTTTAATAACACACTATAGATCAGCTATTTCAGGATAATTTTCTTGGTTCATCTTGGCAAGAATATTCCACTATTAAGACAGAAAAATCAATCCAATATACCACCTATTGCCTTATGATGTAAATAGTGCAATATAAATATTTGTTTGGATGGCTATGAATGAGGCATCAAAACAATTCATCATTTTCTTGAGTAATAACAGATAATGATTTCTGCTAACTATTATGGAACTGAAATGTTATTGTGTTGTTTGGATAAGGCACTTGGAGCTAAGTACAGAATGTTCACTAGCCCACTATGTGTACTGCCCTCTTTCTCTGACCAAACAAAATATCGAAAGCAATCACACACACACACACACACACACACACAAACACACACATACACACACACACACACACACACAGAGAGAGAGAGAGAGAGAGGCAGATCAGTGTTATTGATCAATGGGCTATACCATAATATAACTAGAAAATTGTTTTATGCTGAGATAAAGCAAATGAGGAAATCTCCAGTATCCAGTATTGAAATATGAATTGTATGAAACAACTATACCCTGTTTTGCCAAAGTAGCTACACTACTTCGTTTTCACTCTCAACTCAGAAAGATGATGAAAGAAAGGAAGACAGAGAAGGTCAAAACAGTTGAATTCTGCTGCTCATTTTCAACTGTTGAGATCTAGCTTAAGGGAAGAGAGAAAGATGAGAAATTGAGAGTTAAAATCAGATGCTGAGAGAAGCTGCAAGTTTCCCCTGGCTTCGATTTATCTAGGTTATGCAAACCTCCATTAGTACAGACAATTAAGAGTTTCTAAATTGAGGATTCTGTTTATTTGGTGTAGCATTTAACATTTCTCAGGCTTTAAATTCTTAGATCTAAATGTACTGATCATGGAGGGGAGAGAATGTGGTCTATTCTGTGGTAACAATTTCGGAGTTAGCTGGAAGACAAATTCTGAACGAAGGAATCATTTCCTTAATACTGCTAATGGCTTCAAGGAAAGGTGTGATTACAAGAACAAGGGTGAATGTAAATATTGTATAAAGCTTCTTGGCTGGAAGTAAGAACAGCCTGCAGAAAACATCATATTCTAATGGACACTTATCCTTATCGGAGAAAGATGTTAATGTTAATTCAAAAAAAAATCCCTAAACACTAGTCTGAATTATAATTACAGATTTTGAGGCATCTGCTCCAGGAATATCTACAAGCTTTGGTAGATTGCTATTAAACAAACAAATAAAACTAGGTTTCTGTCTGTCTTGCCTGTATTTACTAAGCTTGTATAAGAATTACATCAAATTTGACTTCAGGCAAGACCTTCTCACAAAAATATTTTCTTCTCCAGTTTCTAAAAACAAACAAAAATGAACATTTTCAAAAGCATTGAAATTGAATTGCTAGTTCAACAAGATGACCCCTTGTTAGCCAAAACTGGAGGAATTAGAAGAAAGTTTCCATCCAAGAGGTACATTCAACATGCCTTTAATGTCCTAAACACTCCCCTTTACGACAGACATGATTACTCCAAGTAACCAGAAACCAATAATCAGCTGATGTATTTCCTTGCCCCATCATATGCCCAGCATCTATTATACTACATTTTAAAAGAAAAGGACAAATCAAACTAAAGTAACCAAATGTCAGGTTTTATTTTTTTAAAAATTCTAACCCAGGAGCAGTTCAGGTAAGACTCAATCAGAAATACTCTGCAGTTGAAGTCTGATAACTAATGTTTAAATGATGAACATCTCCCCTCATTCCAAGGAAAAGCAATCTGAGTCATGGAAAAAAAACTATCAAAATAAAATGTATAAGACCAAAAAGTGCTACTATAAACACTATAGTTAAGTAGAAATCAGTTGAATGGATTATGTCTATTTCACTAACATATTGCTTAAGTTTTGCTGTACTCAATTCTATTACATTTGTTGACTGATAAGATTTCATCTTGAATTTCAGAAATAATTACCTTTTGGTTGCTAATTCTGCAGGGAACTAATCTAGTCCACATTCTAATTTAATTATTATTATTATTATACAATTTTTTGTGCATTCAAGTATACCAAATATTGTAATGAGAAAACAAATAGCCATAAATAAATTTCAACAGCAGTTAAAGTCTTGCCATATTTTGTGTACTAAAAATTCTTTTGCAGAAACATTCTAAAGAAAATTACAAACTATGTATTTTTAACTCTAAATATTTTAGTATATATTGCCAAGAAAATAAGGACATTTTCACCCAACCACAACACTATTGTTATGCATGACAAAATTAATAGTAATTTCTTAACATTATAGAATGCAAAAATCTTTATTCAAATTCCTCTATTGGTAATCAAAATGTGTCTGCAGCTTGTTTTTCAAACCAGAACTAAATCAAAGAGTACACGTAATATCCACATGTAATGTTTCTTAAAGAGTTTTTAAAAATTTTTGAATTGCACACAAAAGGTAAGTATAGAGCCAATGAGTTACTACTAATTGAACTCATTTTTTTAATGGTGACTCTTAACAAGAAATAGGCTAGCACCTTAGTAGTGTGGCATCCCTGTCTGTCCCCTCTTAACCAATATCCCACCTTCCTCCCTAAATATAACTACTGTCCTGTCTTCTGACAACATATTGAAAGTTTCATCGTTCTTCTTCAAAGGAATATTGGCTTTCCTTGGTTCTTTGAATAACTACTATATACATTTTGAAAACAGCTCATTGTCTTTCAAACCATTCACACACAAAAATATGCATATACATATGGAAATTTCTGTTGGCATTGTATATGTAGATCAACCTGAAATAAACTGATACTTTAAAAATTTTTGGAATACTCCCAAGCCAATGAACATACTATATCCTTCCATTTACTCAGGTCTTCAGAAAAAAACTTTTTGTAATAATGTTTTATAGTTTTTAATGTAGAGGTCTTATTTTTCTTTTTCACATTTATCCCAAGATAATTGGTTATTTTTATGTTAATGAAGGTGTTCACATTGTTTCATTTTCTCATTGTGTTTTGCTGGTTTATAAAAATATACAAATTTTTTTTTGTATAATTACCTCAAATTCTGAAGCTCTGCTAATTCATTTACTGATCCAAATAGTGTATTTATAGGTTCTTTCAAATTTTTCACCACACATAAACAACTTGCTATTAAATGACTGTTTCGTATCTCCCTTTCCAATTCTTAGAACTTTTCTTTCTTTCCTTTTTTTTTTTTTTTTTGTGCTGGCTACCACCCCTAGTACAATATTGAAGGAATGCAGTGATTGAAGAAACATAGAGAGCATCTCAGAAGAAGTGACATTTAAGGAAATAATTATCACAGGAAGGAGTGAGCCATAGAAAATTGGGGGAAGAACTTTCTATGAAACGGACTAGCACTAATGCTAAGGAATATACAAGTTTAGCTTCTAGAAATTATAAAAAGGCAGTGGTGGTTGAAGCACAGCAAGAAAGGAGAGAGATTAGATAAAAGGTCAAGGCACAGAGATCATATTTGCTCTTCACACCTTAACTCCATGATAAAGATATTATAATTTTTTTCCAAGTGTCAACAGAATTCAAGGCAGATTTTTACTAATCTATATTTTAAAAAGACATCTCTCACTGCTCTCCTGAGAATAAAATGTAGCCATACAGGAGAGGAAAGGCCTCAATAATGAAACAGACTGATTTAACGAGTGAATAAATGCATGAATGAAGGCAAGGAGTTAGGAGACAGTGTGACCTAACTTCCTCTTTAAAGATATGATATTTTATCACTGATGCAAAAATCAAGTAATGAGTAGAGAAGAATTCTCAGATATAATTGGCCAAAGTGCTTATCAATCTGTATTTATTCAAGACACTCAGGAAGCCAGGTTTTGATGTCAAAATAAAAATTTTAATTGGAATTGTACAAGAGTGGAAAAAGAAGGTAATCTAGCCAAGAACATTAACCAGTGAGTGATAAAGATATTGACACTCAAGTTTTTACCTTGATCATCTATGTTCAGCTTTTGTTTGTTTGTTTGTCTGTTTTTCAAGCTGCCCAGTTTATTTGGTCTGGTTTCAAGTTCTCAGTGAACAAACTTCACATAATGTAAAAGCGAGGTTGAATCTACAAATAGAGACTAAATCTCTCATTTCTTAGAATCCTGGCATGCACAATTAATCTCTGGGTATGTTTAAAGGTTGTGATAAAAAGAAAATATTGTGGGTTCAAGGAGAGAATTACTCTCACTTAAATAGAAAGCAACAATGATTACACCTGTTAATGCCTAGTTCTGCCAACTAGAGCTATCAATATATGAAAGGCAAAATAACTTTAAAATATTTTATCAAAATGACTAGAACCAGAAAGGAGCTGAGAACAAAGAGTAAGGGCCCAGATTAAGCATCACAGCTTGAATCTGACTCATTCAGCGGCTATGGTCTTTTCAGAATCAGGCCTCTTTCTGTTATTTTGTTCATTTTTTGGGCATCTTTCCCATCCTACTTCTACCTTCTTTTTTTCTTCCTTTAGTTTCTCCTTTTTTAAAATCAATAATTCAATCCAAGTGCAAAAATACCATGAATGTCAGGTCCTTATACTGAGTACAATGGGCACCCATCTTTGGAGTATTCACTCTGGAACTTTTTCTGTACTAAAAGGCCTTAAGTTGGGAACATTTATTTTACATCTGCAGGGCATTTCAGTCAACAAAAAAGTGTGTCTTTCATTTCTACCTAGCATTGTGATCATACACAATGGGAAGAATGACAAAGGCCACTAAGACCAAGATTCGCTCATATTTTATTTGAGATTTGGATAGCATAAGTGACTGAAAGCTCATCTCTATAACATTATATAAAAGATTCAAAACTTTTCCTAAACCATTCTTTCATTAATGCTTATCACTGTCCAGTCAATAGTCAATATAAATTCGTCCACAGAAAATATATACAATGCAAACATGTATAATTATAATTCTAATGTCTAAAACTGCAGAATAAACCTATGCCTATCCTAAAACTTCAGTTAGAAATTTATGTAACATACAAAAATCTATGCCAAGTTTTATTCTCTTCTGAGAATAATTTTTTTCCAGTAGAAAAAATACTTTTTATGTAATAGAATTTTCACACAGTGAAATATTGACTGATTACTTATAACAATTTTCTTTACCTATAAGTCTACAAGGTATAACTCAAAATGATAACCATTTTATTTATCATTTTGAGTTTTTTAAAAAACTTTATTGATACTCTCTGTAGTTTTGTAATAGTGTAATGTAATTGCTTATTTAATAGAGTAGGATGAGGATAGGAAGTCAGAACAGCCATGAGAGTCAGTCAGTCTTTAGAAATACATTGATCAAGACATATCTAAGCTATGACTAAGGAAGCCAAGAAATGTTTAATACAATAATTTTGAGTTTACCTTTATATCAACTTGAAGTCAGGAAACGTGATCAGGAAAAATATGGAATCCAACATAGGCAGCTTTTTACCTTGATAATCATTGTCTCCATTTCTCCACAGATGACCCCTAAAATTTGGTTGCCCTTCCTTCTCAAAATGAATAGTATGCTATCTGCATATGTTACTGATAGATAGAAGCAAACCCTTCCTAGTCCCTGCCTGCTACCCAACATGTCATGGTCCATAGAGACCCTCTTCCACATCCTGTCCCTGTTGTATGTATGATAAAAATTACCCATCTGGAAAGTACTTAGCTTCATTACTTCTCTGAAAATTCTATCCTGTGTTTAGAATCCTAATGACTTTTAGTGGTGTATTTTTAAAAATTTTTTCTCACTCGTATTTCTATAAAACTATAATGATCTTACAATTTTAAAGACAGAGAGCACAGGAATAATATGATTGTATATTTCCCAATATAGCTAATAGAATACATTTTGGAGAGGCTGAATGATTTTTTCAAGGTTATGTAGACTACAAAGCCATGATTATAATAAGTGAAACTCTTTCACAAGAGCTAGCCATGAAATGCATTATCTCAATCAAGTGTTTTTTTATTTTTTCACAGAGTAATAATGGCAATAGGTTAAAAAAAGAATAAATAGATTGCAACCCAACCCTATTTATATCCAATAGATATAAATAGTACCTAGACACTTTTTAGCAGAGTACAATGCATTGTTATTGCTGGATTTTTAGATTAAAAAAAAAATCCTAGCCATAGAACTCTGACCTACAACCTAAGATACAACCAGCCCAAGAAGCCACACCACAATCTCTGTAGTAACTGGCCCAGAATGGTCAGGCCTTTGTCAATAGCTGCCAGCTTTCCTACTGCTTTGTCCCACCCCCAATTCAGGAGGAACTAGACAAAGCCCAAAATGTTCCTCAAACAATTGCATAGGATGTCCTGCTTCTAGGTAGCCTACCTGCAGCTTCCCCATGCCAACAAACTCCAACAGTGCATATCTAAAGCCTTTATTTTTTATCACTATACACCTTTTATTTTTTATCACTATAAATGGCTTCTATCCACAGCCTGTCTTTGAGTCTCTGCCAAATTTAATTCATGGTGGCTGACTCCTTTGATACAGCAAGCTCTGAATAACTGCCTTTGTTTGTTGTCATTTGGGTGGTCTACCTTTATTTCCAAAAGGTAAAATCTTTAAGAAATCATGGATCTTGAGAGTTTATGATAAAATTTGAAAGAATAACTTTACTAAGCAAAACTTGCCCTACTTCCAAGGCTTGATATAATTAAAAAACTTCAAAGATAAAGTTTCTTTGCTGTAACTTGAGTAAAGCACCTAGCTAAGTGTCCCTGTGCTATCTTTACACATTCAGTCTATAAGAATATACCTCGGGACCAATTTGCCTTAGTAGACTGAGGTCAGACCAATAAAAAAGATGGAAAAAGCTCTTGAGAATCAAATAGGCTTTTTAAAAGTACCCAAATTACAGCTAATACAACTGGAATTGAAATGTACTAAGAATGCCTTTAAGCATGGAACAGAGGGCAATAGGGAAAAGACCCCAGTTATTGAAGAAATAAAGATATCCATCCCTAATGTGGCAGAAGTTGGTGAAATATTCAACTCCCAGAGCAATACAAAGCAAAGAAGAAATCATTTTTAGATAAGAGGACAAAACTAATGGATATTCTCAGCAAGCCTAAAAGCTGTGTTACCACAATAGTGCAAAGATAGTGGTTTCTCCCTCTACAATTCCTTTCAATGATTGTTTTGCCAATATACAGTGTAAAGGAAACAAAGACTAATAATTGCTTGTCAGTACTGACGAAGTATGACTGGCATCACGAAGGGGAAGAGCTGGGGGAGGTGGATGCCACTTCACGGCTATCACAGATATTAACGGCCTGTGCTGTGCTCATACCAAAAGGAGGAAGGAAGGAACATTTGAAGGTCAAGTTAAATGAGCTGTTTACATCTTTCCAGTTAACAAAACACATTCCAAAGGCCAAGGATTTGAGTCATTGAGGACATTTTAAAAGGTGTAAAATGATGCAAGAAATAACATTAAGAGTTAGAACTCTGTGTGCCAAGTCCCATTATAGTAGGTTGAGAGAAAGTTTGACTGTAGAATCTTATGAAGCAAAATCGTCAGCTATCAAGTATTTTTACTATATGGGAAAAAGTCCTATACTACACTGACGTCCAATTCCTCAATGATATGTAACACAAAACACTCAGACAGATTTGAGTAACTAAAAGGATTTTCTCACTTTCTACAATAAAATGAAAATGTATTACATAAAAATTGACGTTTCACTTTCAAATAAAGTAGCCTCAAAAAAGCAATACCAAAGAACTCACTGCCTTTAAACACATATTGAGTTCTAGCTATATCTGTCTAGAGCTATAAAGAAAGCCTGGAACTGGAGGAGCTTCCAGTGTAGGGAAAGTAAAATTAGACGATCATGGGAGTTAAATGTGTCGTTATAGGCATTTAGTGCATCTGTAGTCAGTAACAGGAATAGCATTTTGCCCAGCAAGATCTCACAACACAAATGAAGAGCTGGAACAAAATGATAGGAATAGACTACATACAAAAATAGTAGCTTGATATCCACATGTTTAAAAGACTTCCCTAAGAATTTAAAAACAATTTTTTATATCTTTCCCTGGTAAATAGTATGAGAATTTAAGTAGTACTTGAGTTGAAAAGCTTTGTATATTTCCCATTACGGTTTAACTAAGCATGCTTGTGCTGATAATACCCAAATATCTTGAACATGAAAAAATTAATAACATGTTATTATGTTATGGCCAGACTTGTAACACATTAGTTTCACCATTATCCACCAGCATTTCAACAGTAAAGCTCATTTGACTGGTATTTTTCTCCTGGATCAGCCTAATTGCAACTCACTCAAGGAGAGGCATGGCAATGAAAATGTTAGCAAACCTCACTCTTAGTAAGCAAATTCGATGCTATGTAAACTCATCACTTTATTTTTGTACTCAGGCACCCCTCTTGTTCAACAACCATTCAGATTCAAGGAAGGTAGGAGTTAGCCACTACAGATTTTTCTGCCTGTAGAAAAAATCAGCAATAAACCATAAATAAGATTGTATACTTCTGAAAACGTTCCTCTATGCTGGCTGTAGATTTCTCACCACTAACGTACAAAGTATAAACATTCATTTTATTTGGTGGCTTCTTAAAACAGTCTCAAAAGGATAGTCCAAAAAATGACATAATTCACTTCATGCCTAAACTTCACATCAGCCACATGTTACAACACAGATCAAACTGAGATTTAACCTTTCCATGGACAAGCCAGCATTTTTATTAAACAAGCAAACAAACCCATAAATTTTCCAATGTCTTCCTCCTCTTTCGCTTAAATTACTTCCCCATTTTTCTTCTTCTTTTTATAATCAATTTTATTTAAAGACTTATCTGTATTTGGTATATTATCTCAAATCACTTTAATTCTAAAGAGTCAATATCTATGTTCTATTTTCCACCATTGAACTAGAAATGGCCTTCCTAGCTATTAAATGAGTGACTCTTTTTTTTGTTGTTGTTGTTGTTTTTTTTCAGTACCCTCGTCTGTAACTTCCTTTCCATCCAGGACTTCATTGAAGTCCTCAATATATCTCATAAGGGATTTTGCAACTGCTTTCAAAATTGCACTCTTGTCGCTTTTTACTCAAGTCCACCCCTAACACTGCTACCTGAGTATTTTCCTAAGACCAGCATCTGATCATGTTATTTTTTGCTCACAAACCTATTGACTCCTTACTACCTACAGAATAAAGTCAAAATTTCTTAACTTCACAAACAACATTCCCAAGCTACCATTTTAGTTACTTTCCTTCCTTCCTGACACAGACACTAAACTTCTGCCAATATAATTCTTCACTCTGTGAGTCATTGGGTAAATTAGAGATAGGAAATAGCATGGCATACCATGCTGAAATACCTCTCATTTCTCTTTCCCATGGCAAGTCTATACTCACTTTTAGAGTGAGTTCAAATTTTACCTTTCAAGAGGCCTGGATATCCTGGACTAATTTTTACCTTCCTCTAAGATTGTTTATACAGCTACTATTGCATCTATATACTGAAGCATTAATTTATAAATGTACATTCCTACTATATAACAGATTGCAACCTTCTTAACTGAGAGACTCATTAGCTTTTGCACTCTGTGGGACCTTGCTTAGGGCATCTAACACCTAAGGGCTGTCAACACATCTTCATTGAATTATTGCAGTGAATGAGAATTTGACTAAATGAATATGCTATGACTACACACTGTGCACTAATCTTTACACTGTCTTTAAATGATGACAGAAAAGACTGGGAAGTTAATGTAGATGGAGTAATATCAATATATCTACATTTTAGAGTAAACAAGTGAACCTGACACTTAAATATTTAGAAAGATACACATGGAACACATAGGAACTCCTATAATAAAGGAAAAGTACATTAGTATTCTCTCATATCCCTTGAAGCATTTGCTTGTGGGCAACTATCCTACATATCGTATTGTCAAGTTTCAGAATGGCTAATCCAAAAGCTTTTCTCATTTTCCCTATCAGAAAGCACAGACAGGAGGGAGTTCTCAATTCAAAAACTGGAGACATTCTTAACTTGCCGTTGCAACGTGACTATATTCTAGAATGTATACTGACTCAAAACTCAGTGATTTCAGGAGATTTTTAGCTGAAGGTAAAGTTTCTACGCACAGGTTTTGACTTGTTTTTAGTTCACAGTTGATTGTTCTCATATCAGATGAGATTTTATCTTAATTTATTGTCCTCCATAATTCATTTATTACTGTATCAATTAAGTTATAATTTATGAAGTCATTAAAAATTTAAAGTAGAAGAAATATCAGTAAATTTTACCATAGGTAGTTTTAAACAATTATTTATCAGTGATTTTCCAGAAATTTACTAAGGAATAGTAATTCTTTCTAAGAACAACAACAACAACAAAAAACCCATAAAGACTACAGTAACTTTTGAAATATATGTTAGTTCATTTTTTTTAAATGTGCATGAAGAAATGGAATATGTAGAAAATATGGATGTTACATAAAGGGAAGACTAGGGGAAAGATGGTGATCACGACTTATTTATCACAGAGAAAAAGGGAGAATAAACAATGAAAATACACCAATATCTGAGAATTTAAAGTCAAACTGAAAGGTTTGCCCTAGGATCCTAGTAGCTCCCACTGGGAAGAGTATTTGTGTTCTTTTCTATATCTGGATCACAGCATCGGGTAAAGGTTGTTTGCTAAGTCTCACAAAAACTTGGCTTCAATTTTATTTGCTGAAAGTTAAAATTTGTCATGTCTACTTTCATTTCTTTTATTTTTCCTCCTATTCCCCACTCCTGTTTTTCCTATTTCAACTCCTTGATTTTAAAAATAACAAGATTACAATTTTGTGTAAGTCCTTAGAAGTTTTTAAAGAAAATATTCATTTAGTGTCCTACTCAAATGTGGTTTTGGTGATGAGTTAATCTAACAATAAGAGTCGCCAAAGAAAGAGGGCATTATTTGTAACATAAATCTAAGGATCCAAAAGTATCTTTTCTTCATAACACTGCCGTATAGAATTGTAATTCCTCATTAACATCGCCACACTGTCATCTTATAGTGGCTGCATAAACAGCTAGATGATTACAAATGAGAATTATTCTTTATTCTCAGTAAGGAAGGCACTGTGCAGGCGAAAGTTGCTAATCACAAAACTCCTCTATAATAAAGCAAGTGAAGAGTCATAACTATGTTCAATAACCTCAGAACTAAACTCCACCAGTTGAGGTAAACAGGCTAACAAAAAAATCAAGACATTTCCTCAGAAGAATAACAATTTCTACCTGCTCCCCAAATCGTTCAAATAAATGTGGCTTTCAAAAGTTGGAGAAGGGAAAGAACAGATGGGGTTGTGAAAATGAAGCGTGCAGTACAGAATGAAACCATAGGGCTGGCCATGAAGAAGATCTTGAAGACTTCTGCACAAGACAGTATTAAGAAACCTATTAAACTTCCCTGAGAATCCTAAAAAATAGAAAAATATAGGAATTATCAATACCGTAAAAATTATTTCCTCCCAAATTAGTACACTGATATAATACAATGCTGATTATAATCTTAGTGTAGAAAATGTACAAAATTAATATTTCAATTTTAAAAATTACATTACAAAACTAAATGTACAGTTTGGGCCAGTTTGGGTCCTTTGGAAGACATATCTATGATAGCATATATAGGAACAAATACAGAAAAACGTTAATGATGATTGTCTCTTAATGGGAAGATCATTGTTAATTTAATTGTAATTGATATCATTTAGTATATTTAAATGAAGTAGTTACATAATAGAGCTCTTGAAGTTTATTGTTGTTGTGAAGCTTGAATGAAATGGAGAGGGAAGTGGTTGTAATCTATGAAAATTATGCAAATATGGAAATTTAAAATTATATGTTAAACATTAACCATCTGGCTTTTCAATATTATTGCTTTTAATTGACTTAATAACTCTACATATCTCTTAATATCTCTTGCCTCTTCTATTTTTTAGTAATTTCTAGAGTGCTTGGAAAGGGTTCTGTAAGTTAAAAAATATCTCATCAATTTTCTCAGCAAATAGATTTACCTTCTGCTTTACCAACATAGAAGCCCTCAGACAGGAACCCTTCCAAATCACATGATGTATCTTCTGAGCCCATGTTTATGGGCCCCCATGTATTCTTCCATTCTTCCTCCTTTTGTATTACAGGGGATGTACATCCCTCACATAGCTATCCTCCTTTTTAATAGATGGGTGATTGGATATTTTTCTCTCACCTCTTTCTGAAACGGACATTTCTCTTTAGCTTTAAAACTAATCAAATATTCCTCATTCTTTATTCTCACTTTCCCTACTCTTTCCTTCCATTAATAGTTAAATTCTGGAAAACCTCTTTTCTGAATATATTTGTTTCCTTAACTTGCATTTTTCATTGCACTCAACCCTGGCTCTCTTCCCCTACCCTTTCAGCCTCTTGGTAAGACCACAAATGGTCTACAGTTCCCTGAAACCAGTGAGCCTTTTTCTCTGCTCAAAATGAAACTCTATTGTTGACATACACTTTCCTTTGAACTTCTATGATTGTCACATTTGGCTACCTTTGATAGCAACAGGAGACAGACAAATTTCTAGGCAGATAGGGATGAGTCCCTGGTGAAACCCAACCTTCAAGCCAAGGACAGTTTAAAGCCTGAAAACCAAGCTCCTGGTATCAGATAGAGTCCATGCCCAGGGTGAGAACTCCTATCCCCATCTTACCCACTCTCTCGGTTCATTCTGAATTATGCCTTTTAAGCAATCAAATGGTGCTTTTTCCAAGACTACCCATGGACCAAACAGCACGCATCTCCCCATTCTAAGCCCATAAAACCCCTGGACTTAGCCTCACAGATGGCAACTTGCTTTCAGGTCCCATCTCATGGCTGAGAGCGTTCTTTCTGCTGCTCAATAAAATTCTACTCTTCCTTACTTACTCTCTGATGTCTGTGTACCTTATTCCTCTTGGTCACAAGACCAGAACCCAGAACTCACCAAACTGCAGAAGTGAAAAAGCTGTAACACTCCTGCTCACTGAGCTGCAGGCAGCAGGAGTAAAAACAGCAGTAACACTCCCAAACAACAGGAAAGAAGTAGCCACTACAGGAGGGGAGGAATGAATCCCTGGGTGCCACTCTCTCCAGCTCACTGAACTACAGGAGCAAAAACGCCACACATTTCTGGGGGCTCATCCAGAATCTTTGGAAGGGTGAGTAAGAGCAGACCTGTGACTCTTTACTTTCATTCTGAGGCTCCTCATCCTCAGATTTTTTCTGAAAACAAATTAAACACCAGACCTTTGTCAGCCAGTTAAGAGAAGATAGTGTAGCTGCTGAACTAAAAGACTCAGAGGACAGGCTTGCTGGGGAGGACTTTGTCAACTCCCCTTCACCCTAGGGTGTAGAGAATGTTGGCCTTGCTCAAATCCAGTTTCCCTTCACAGATGCCTAGCCATCATGTGGGATCAGAATAAGGTCCTGGGGCAACTGAAGGTATCTGGCCAAGGCCACACCTTAGTGTTACCTGAAGATGCCTAAACCGCCTCCAATCCCTGACAGCAGATTCAGGTGTCTGACCAAGACTTCCAAAGAGATAACATTACTGGGTAGAATGAGCATTTGGCTTAGTCATCAGGAGTTTAATCCAGAATGATGTTGTTTTTATCTATTCTTTGAAACACGGGATGTAACAATTAAGAGAGATTTCTTTCCCCTGTTGAAGAAACCCATTAGTACAGAGCAAGAGGCTATTTCCTCAAGTCACCTTTCCTTCTCTGCTTTTAAGTTGTTTTT
Source organism: Homo sapiens (assembly GCF_000001405.40). Lineage (NCBI taxonomy): Eukaryota > Metazoa > Chordata > Mammalia > Primates > Hominidae > Homo > Homo sapiens. The sequence goes on along the minus strand of NC_000006.12, from coordinate 140,340,190 downwards.
TCCACTATGTTAGTAGTCAACATAATCCTGTGAATACTAGGAGCTTTTATGTGCAAGGGACTATTTTTTTTCCTCTTGGGAGGGATCTTATTAGGCCAGGTCCCCAATTCCCAGGACTCCCACTTTTACCTTTGTTTGAGAAGGATCTCATTCCACAGCTTTACCTTAACATTACTCCAAAGTATTTTCCAAGCTTTGGTTTGGAGCTCTGAGAAGAAAACTAGATCTGAGGGAACCAGAGGCAGTTGACAGCAGAAGGCTAGGGCACAGCATACATAGGCATGACTATCCCAGCTAACTGGGCCTTCCTGCTTCATGGGTGGATGACTCACTCACATCCATGGCATAGATGAGGCCTAGGGTACCCAAATGTTACTGACAGCAGAGGGTTAGGGTGCAGTGTAGGTAAGTACAAATAGCCCCACCTGTGGGCCCTCTCACCCCTTGGTTGGAGGTCACCCTTACATCCATGGGTGGCTCCTGTAGTGGCTGCCAGGACTTGGGGAAGGAAAGGAGGAAAGAAAGAAAGGGACACCTGTTTTTCTCTCCCTCACATACCCCAGGTTTTAGCTGGAAGAAAGAAAGGAACTAAGGGATGCCATTTTCCCCCTTTTCAGATGGGTAATGAACAATCTTCATCCTGCACTCCTCTTGAGTACATCCTGAATCTCTGGGACTCCTTCGACCCTCAGATTCTGGAAAGAAAACACCTTATGGATCTAGAACCAGAAATACCATTTGATCCAGCAATCCCATTACTGGGTATATACCCAAAGGATTATAAATCATTCTACTATAAAGACACATGCACACGTATGTTTACTATGTCACCATTCACAATAGCAAAGACTTGGAACCAAGCCAAATGCCCATCAATGATAGACTGGATAAAGAAAATGTGGCACATATACACCATGGAATACTATGCAGCCATAAAAAAGGATGAGTTATTGTCCTTTTCAGGGACATGGATGAAGCTGGAAAATGTCATTCTCAGCAAACTAACACAGGAACAGAAAACCAAACACCGCATGTTCTCACTCAGAAGGGAGTTGAACAATGAGAACACATGGACACAGGGAGGAGAACATCACACACCAGGGCCTGTTGGGGGATGGGGAGCTAGGGGAGGGATAGCATTAGGAGAAATATCTAATGTAGATCACAGGTTGATGGGTGCAGCAAACCACTATGGCACGTGTATACATATGTAACAAACCTGCACGTTCTGCACATGTATCCCAGAACTTAAAGTATAATAAAAAACAAACAAACAACAACAACAACAAAAAATACCTTATGTTCCTTTGCACAACAGCATGGCCGAGTTATAAGTTACAGGATGGAGAGACTTAGTTGCCAGAGGAAACTATTAATTTTAATACTATCCTGCAGCTGGACCTTTTCTGTGTACTCAAGGGCAAATAATCTGAGGTCCCATATGTGCAGGCTTTCTTTGCCTTGCAGGATAATCTGAACCTTTGCTGACATTGTAGGATTGATCCAGCCCTCCTAGCGGTCATCTCAGGACAGGCTGCAAAGGACAATCCCAAGAGACTAGGGAAGCAAACCCCAGAGGCGCCTCCAGAGCGGGAATCAGCCCCTTCTGGTGCTGCTTTTCCTGGTCCATCCTCTCCTCCCTATCCAGGTTCTCTCTCAAGCTTCTCCTGTTTGTTTTAGGTGAGCCCCAGCCTCAGTCATGCCCCTAAAAGGGATGTGAAGAGCCTTGTGAATATGGCCCCGTTAAGGTCCAGGTCCCCTTTACTCTACAGCACTTAAGAAAAATTAAGGGGGATCTTGCTAAGTTTTGAGACAACCCTGACAGGTATAGAGAGGTTTTCCAGAATTTAACCCAAGTATTTGAAGACTCCTGGAAGGACCTTATGTTACTTTTGAATCAAACCCTGAGTACCACTGAGAAGCAGGCAGCCCTCCAAGTGGCAGATAAGTTTGGGGATGAGCTTTGTATTTCATATAGTGCCAAGGAAGGGGAAGAGACTTATCCAATTGGAAAAACAGCAGTACCATTAGAGGATCCTAACTGGGACCCCAGTGATGACGTGGAGAATTGAAGAGGAAACGCTTTCAGATGTACATATTGGAAGACTTATGAAGGACTAAAACTAAGCCTCTCAGTTACTCCAAACTCTTCATGATAAACCAGGGATCAGATGAGAATCCCACTGCCTTCCTGGAAAGGCTAAGAGAGGCCTTAGTAAAGCACACTTCTCTATCTCCTGATTCAGTCGAGGGACAACTAATCCTAAAGGATAAGTTTATTACTCAAGTGGACCCTGACATCAGGAGGAATCTGCAGAAATAAGCTATGGGACCAGAGAGTACTTTAGAGAACCTCCTGAAAGTGACCACCTTGGCCTTTTACAATAGGGATCAGAAGGAGGCTCGAGAGAGAGAGAAAACATAAGAAAAAGGCAGAGATTCTAATGGCTACCTGGCAGGCTTACCAACCCCAGAATCCTGGAGATACACCTGTTAACTGCTAAAATGTGGCAAGCCAGGGCACTTTAAGAAGGACTGCCCAGGCAGCATGAGGAAGTAACCTCAACCCTGTCCAATCTGCGGAGGGGACTACTGGAGGGTGGACTGTCCCTGGAGACACAGGTCACTGGATTCAGAGCCAGTCTCCTAAATGGTCTAGCAGGACTGATGGGTCCCAGGGCTACTCTCCCCAGCTCCGATGGCTCAAACCACCATTATCATCCAGGAGCCCCAGGTGATTCTGGAGGAGGAAGGGAGGAACTCCTGGATACTGCAGCTGCCATTTCTGTTCTCTGCAATCCAGGCTTCCCTTCCTCCATTAGCAAGACTATGAAGGGGTGTCTCAGGAAAGCCTTTAACCCAATACTTTCCCCAACCATTTACCCCTTGGTTGTAGTTGGGGAGTCCATTTGTTTACTCATCCTTTTTCATACCTGAAAGCCCAACTCCTCTGCTAGGAAGGTATATTTTAGCCCACATGGGAACCACCATCCTTATGGCTCCAGGACAGACTCTTTTTCTCCTCCTGGTGGAGACTGATGTTAATCCCGAAGTTTGCACAACTCACAGGAAAATTGGCTGAGCCACAACTGCCATACGAGTCCAAATCCACCTTAAGGATCCCACCTACTTCCCTAATCAGAGACAATATACCCTAAAACCAGAAGCTAGGAAAGGGCTAGGAGCCATCATCGATAATTGAGGATGCAAGTTATCCTCAAATCCTGCAATAACTCTTGTAATACTACGATACTGGGGGTAAAGAAACCCAACAGGAAATAGAGACTGGTCAAGGACCTGTGCCTCATTCATGAAGCTGTGGTTCCAATTCATCTGGTGATTCCCAATCCCTATACCATGCTAATTCAAATACCTGAGAGAACTAAATGGTTCACAATCCTGGACCTGAAGGATGCCTTTTTCTGCATACTGCCACACCCTGACTTCAAATATTTGTTTGCATTTGAGGATCCCTCCAACCAGACCACCCAGCTAACCTGGACGGTATTACCTCAGGAATTCTGAGACAGCCCCCACCTGTTCGGGCAGGCATTGTCAAAAGATCTGAGTTATTTTACACCCAGGTTAAAGTTTTACAATATGTAAATGGCATTCTTCTTTGTGCCTCAACTGAATAAATTATTCAGGAGGGCAGTAGAGCTATTCTTAATTTTCTGGCTAACAGAGGATATAAGGTCTCTGTGATGGTTAATATTGAACATCAACTTGATTGGATTGAAAGATGCAAATTTTGTTTCTGGGTGTTCTCTGAGGGTGTTGCTGAAGGAGATTAACATTTGAGCCTGGGAGAAGCAAACTCACTCTCAATCTGGGTGGTCACCATCTAATCAGCTGCCTTTGTGGCTAGAATAAAGTAGCCAGGAGAAGATGGATGGGTTGATTTGCTGAGTCTTCCAGCCTTCATCTTTCTCCCATGCTACATACTTGCTGCCCTATAACTTCATACTCCAAGTTCTTCAGTTTTTTGACTTTTGTACTTACACCAGTAGTTTTCCAGGGGCTCTTGAGCCTTTGGCCACAGACTGAAGGCTGTACTGTCGGCTTTCCTGCTTTTGAGGTTTTGGGACTTGGGCTGATCCACCACTGGCTTCCTTGTGCCTCAACTTGCAGATGGTTTATCATGGGACTTTACCTTGTGATAGTGTGAGTCAACTCTTCTTAATAAATTCCATTTCATATACCCATATATCCTATTAGTTCTGTCACTCTAGAGAACCCTTACTAATACAGATTTTGGTACCAGAGTTGTTCTAGAGGAAAATAATTTTAAGGATGGATTTCTTCAGTTGGTTTTGGGGTTTCTGGAGTTGGCTGCTTAATCTGATTAGACTCAAAAATGCTAAGGACTCTACTCCTAATAGTATGGAGAACACTGATAGTCCTTGGTGTGAACTGTTTACAGACTTATGCAAAATAAATGCATTTGATACTTCTGATTCACTGCTTGTGAGAGGCAAGGAGTTTAATGAATCTATGTATAATACCTTTTACCATATGTGTTGAACCAAAAGGAATACAATGAAGTTGGCTGGTTGCTCCTAAGTTTGCTGGAAAAAGTGATGAAAGGAAAGAATGAGCTCAAAGATTCTAACTCCCAGCTCCAGAAGCACATACTGTGCCTCAAGTCTTCTAACATTACCTTGAGTGATAGTCTTATCTCTTGTAGACAACTGGCAGAAATTGCCAAAAATCAGACACAAGTTTTTATCATGTGAGTGGCTGACCTGCAATGAAAAGTGCATGCTCAGTCTTACCAGATGTCCACAATTAAAGTGAGGGCATTGATTGGAAAATAATGTGCCCCTGCAACTTGAAACGGGGACATGTGGGAGGACCCTGATGAAGCTGGGGACACTAAGCTTGTAAACTCTGACGAGCCTTTTTGCCAGAGGAAACAGCCTTCCCACCTCCAATGGTGGCAACATCCCCTCCCCCACTTATGCTGCCATCAGCCTTTTCACCTTTGTCTGAGGAGATTAACTATGCACTGGCTGAGGCAACATTGATGGCCTCCCCTCAGGCAGTTGCCAGGAAAGACAAGGTTGAGTCTCCTCAGAACCCACCACTAACACCCCTGTTTGCTTCTAGACCTATCACTAGACTAAAGGCCCCTAGAAGTGAGGTTCAGAGTGTGATCCATGAGTTGTGCTACACCCCCCAAAAATGCTTGAATTTTCTAATTTATATAAGCATAAATCTGGAGAACAGGCATAAGAATGGATATTAGGGTGTGGAATAATGATAGAAGGAACATAAAGTTGGATCAGGCTGAATTCATTCATTTTGGGGCCACTAAGCAGGTATTCTGCATTTAATGTTGCAGCTTGGGGAGTTAAAAAAAAGTTCTAATAATTTAATTGCTTGGTTAGCTGAAATATAGATCAAAAGATAGCCCACAGTAAGCAAGCTGGAAATGCTGGATCTCCCTTGGTTTAATGTAGAGGAGGGGATCCAAAGGCTAAGGGAAATTGGGATGCTAGAGTGGCTTAGTCACTTTAGACCTACCCGTCTCAGCAGGGAGGATCCAGAAGACATACCGTTCACCAATACCTTGCCAAATAAATTTGTGAGGGGAGTACCTGCATCCTTGAAGAGCTCTTTCATTGGTCTTCTCTGTATGCCAGATCTTACCGTAGGAACCACAGTCATTCAATTATAAAATTTAAATGCGATGGGAATAATTGGATCTTGAGGTGGCAGGAGCCAAGAGGTGGCACTCAACTGTCAAAGGCAAAGTGGGCATAGTCACCCTAATGGACAGCAGAGGCAAAGCAGCAATCGGAATAGTCTGACTCATGTAGAGCTCCGGCACTGGCTAATTAATCATGGTATTTCTAGAAGTTAAATTAATAGGAAGTCTACTGCATTCTTACTTAATTTGTATAAGCAGAAAACTTCCAGGTCAAGTAAAAAAAGACTAATTTTAATTATAAAAACAGAGAATCACAGCCCCACAACCAATTTCAGACTTGTACCTGTTTACAGACCCAGAACCCCTTGAATGAAGGGAGGCCGGGTCCCATTGAGGAAGGACACCACTACACCACAGACAATTTATGCTGTTAATATTTCTCCCATCCTTCCCCAAGGAGACCTCTGGCTTTTTACCAGGATAACTGCACTGGGAGAAGGGGAATAATCAGATATTTTGGGGACTACTGGACACTGGCTCTGAGCTGTCACTGATTCCAGGGGACCCAAAATGTCATTGTGGTCCTCCAGTTAAAGCAGGGGCTTATGGAATTCGGGTGATTAATGCAGTTTTAGCTCAGGTCTGACTTACAGTGGATCCAGTGGGTCCCCAGACTCATTTCTCCAGTGCTGGAATGCATAATTGGCATAGGCATACTTAGCAGCTGGCAGAATCCCCACATTAGCTCCCTGACTGGTAAGGTGAGGGCTATTATGGTGGAAAGGCCAAATTAAAGCCATTAGAGCTGCTAGAGCTGCCTCTACCTAGAAAAATAGTAAATCAAAAACAATATTGCATTCCTGGAGGGATTGCAGAGATTAGTCCCACCATCAAGGACTCCTATGACATCCCCATTCAACTCTCCTATTTGGCTTGTGCAGAAGACAGTTGGATCTTGGAGAATGACAGTGGATTATCATAAGCTTAACCAAACGGTGACTCCAATTGCAGCTGCTGTACCAGATGTGGTTTCATTGCTTGAGCAAATTAACACATCTCCTGGTACCTGGTATGCAGCCATTGATTTGGCAAATGCCATTTTCTCCATTCCTGTCCATAAGGTCCACCAGAAACAATTAGCCTTCAGCTAGCAAGGCCAGCAATGTACCTTTACTGTCCTACATCAGGGGTATATCAACATTCCAGCTTTGTGTCATAATCTTGTTCACAGAGATCTTGGTTGCTTTTTCCTTCCACAAGATATCAAACTGATCCATTACACTAATGACATTATGCTGATTGGACCCATTAAGCGAGAAACAGCAAACACACTTATTGGTGAGACATTTGCCTGCCGGGGATAGGAAATAAATCCGACTAAGATTACATCAGTAAAATTTCTAGAGGTCCAGTGGTGTGGGATCTGTTAAAATATTTCTTCTAAGGTGAAGGATAAGTTGCTGCATTTGGCCCCTCCTACAACCAAAAAAGAGGCACAATGCCTAGTGGGGCTATTTGGATTTTGGAGGCAACACTTTCTTCATTTGGGTGTGTCACTCTGGGTCATTTATCGAGTGACCCTAAAGGCTGCCAGTTTTGAGTGGGGTCCAGAATATGAGAAGGCTCTGCAACAGATCCAGGCTGCAGTGCAAGCTGCTCTGCTACTAAGGCCATATGACCCAGAATATCCAATGGTGCTTGAGGTGTCAGTGACAGATAAGGATGCTGATTGGAGCCTTTGGCAGGCCCCCATAGGTGAATCACAGCAGAGGCCTCTAGGATTTTGGAGCAAGGCCTTGCCATTTTCTGCAGATAACTACTCTCCTTTTGAGAGACAGTTCTTGGCCTATTACTGGGCTTTAGTAGAAACTGAACGTTTGACTATGGGTCACAAGTCACCACATGACCTGAACTGCGTATCATGAACTGGGTGCTTTTTGACCCATCTACCATAAAGTAGGGCATGCACAGCAATATCCCATCATCAAATGGAAGTGTTATATATGTGATAGTGCTCGAGCAGGTCCTAAAGGCACAAATAAGTTACATGAGGAAGTGGCTCCAATGCCCATGGTCTCTACTCCTGTCACCCTGTCTTCTCTTCAACAACCTGCACCAACAGCCTCATGTGGAGTTCCCTGTGATCAATTGACAGAGGAAGAGAACACAAGGGCCTGGTTTACAGGTGGTTCTGCTCTATATGCAGGCACTACCTGAAAGTGGACAGCTGCAGCACAACAGCCCCTTTCTAGGACATTTCTGAAAGACAGTGGTGAAGGGAAAGCTTTTCAGTGGGCAGAACTTTGAGCAGTGCACCTGGTTGTGCACTTTGCATGAAAGGAGAAATGGCCAGATGTGCAATTATATAATGATTCATGGGCTGTAGCCAATGGTTTGGTTGGATGGTCAGGACTTGGAAGAAGCATGATTGAAAAACTGTTGACAAAGAAATTTGGGGAAGAGGTATGTGGATGGACCTGTCTGAGTTGTCAAAACTGTGAAGATATGTGTACCTCATGTGAGTGCTCATGAAAACGTGACCTCAGCAGAGGAAGATTCTAATAATCAAGTGGATAGGATGACTCGTTCTGTGGACACCTCTTAGCCTCTTTCCCCAGCCACCCCTGTCATCTCTCAATGGGCCTGTGAACAAAGTAGCCGTGATGGCAGGGATGGAGGTTATGCATGGGTTCAGCAACATGGACTTCCACTCACCAAGGCTGACCTGGCTACAGCCACCACTGAGTGTCCAATTTGCCAGCAGCAGAGACCAACACTGAGCCCTCTGTACGGCACCATTTCTCAGGGTGATCAGCCAGCTACTTGGTGACAGGTTGATTATACTGTATCTCTTCCATCATGGAAAGAGTAGTAGTTTGTCATCACCAGCATAGACCCTTACTCCAGGTATGGGTTTGCCTATCCTGCACACAATGCTTCTGCCAACACTACCATCTGTGGACTCACAGAATGCCTTACCCACCGTCATGGTATTCAACATAGCATTGCCTCTGACCAAGGCACTCACTTTGTGGCTAAAGAAGTATAGCAGTGGATTCATGCTCATTTAATTCACTGGTCTTACCATCTTCCCCATCATCCTGAAGCAGTTGGATTGATAGAATGGTAGAATGGCCTTTTGAAGTCACAATTATGATGCCAAGTAGGTGACAATACTTTGCAGAGCTGGGACAAAGTTCTTCAGAAGCCAATGTATGCTCTGAATCAGCATTTACTACATAGTACTCTTTCTCCCATAGTCAGAATTCAAGAATTCATGGGTCCAGGAATCAAGGGATGGAAGTGGAAGTGGCACCACACACCATCACTCCTAGTGACCCCCTAGAAAAATGTTTGCTTCCTGTTCCTGAGACATTACATTCTGCTGGCCTAGAAGTCTTAGTTCCAGAAGGAGGAATGTTGCCACCAGGAGACACAACAATGATTCCATTAAACTGATAGTTAAGATTGCCACCCGGACACTTTGGAGTCCTCCTACTCTGAGTCAACAGGCTAAGAAGGGAGTTACAGTGTTGGCTGGGTGATTGACCCAGACTAACAAGATGAAATCAGTCTACTACTCCACAATGGAGGTAAGAAAGAATATGTGTGGAATACAGGAGATCCCTTAGGGTGTCTCTTAGTATTACCATGCCCTGTGATTAAAGTCAATGGGAAACAACAACAACCCAATCCAGGAAGGACTACAAACGGCCCAAACCCTTCAGGAATGAAGGTTTGGGTCACTCTACAGGGTAAAAACCACAACCTGCTGAGGTGCTTGCTGAAGGCAAAGGGAATACAGAATAGACAGTAGAGGAAGGTAGTCATCAATACCAGCTATAACCACGTGACCAACTGCAGAAATGACTGTAATTGTCATGACTATTTCCTCCTTCTTTTGTTAAGAACATGTTTGTATATGTATACACCTGTACTAAGAAAATATCTTCATTTTATTTCCTTTCTTTTGCCTTTATCATGTGACAAAAGATTTGTTGAATTCATATTAGCATTTAAGCATTGTTAACTCTATGTAATAGCATTTATGTTAAGGATTAGTGTGCTTCTAGTTGTACGAAGGATAGTCGTATTGTATTAGGCATAAATATAACCTTACTATTAGCTTTATTTGAAGATTATGGATGATTTCAGGAGATATGTATGGGTTCAAGTTGACAAGGGGTGGACTTGTAATGGTTAATATTAAGTGTCAACTTGATTGGATTGGAGGATGCAAAGTATTGTTCCTGGGTGTGTCTGTGAGGGTGTTGCCAAAGGAGATTAACATTTGAATCAGTGGACTGGGAGAAGCAGACTCACCCTCAGTCCAGGTGGGCACCATCTAGCTGCCTGTGTGGCTAGAATAAAGCAGGCAGGAGAAGATGGATGAGCAGACTTGCTGAGTCTTCCAGCCTTCATCTTTCTCCCATGCTAGATGCTTCCTGCCCCATAACCTCGGACTCCAAGTTCTTCAGCTTTTGGACTCTTGGACTTACACCAGTGGTTCACCAAGGGCTCTCGGGCCCTTGGCCACAGACTGAAATCTGCACTGTTGGCTTCCCTACTTTTAAGGTTTTAGGACTCGAACTGATCCACCACTGGCTTCCTTGCTCCTCAACTTAACAACTTCACCCCAACTAGGTGAAAGCCTAACATAGGACTTCACCATGTGATCAGGTGAGTCAATTCTCCTTAATAAACTCATATATATCCTATTAGTTCTGTCCCTCTAGATAACCCTGACAAATGCAGTCTCAAAATCTAAGGCTCAGCTCTGTCAGACTTCAGTGAAGTACCTAGGTCTAGTCTTGTCAGAGCATATCGGGGTACTAGGTGAAGAAAGTATTAAGCCCATCTCTTCCTTTCACCTCCCCAAAACCCTCAAACAACTGAGGGGATTCTTGGGCATTACAAGATTCTGCAGATTATGGATGGATACCTGGGTACTGTGAGATAGCTCATTCTTTATACCACCTAATAAAGGATACTCAGGCAGCTAAGACTCAATCCCTGACTGGAGAACCAGAGGCTAAAAGGGCCTTTGACCAATTGAAACAAGCCTTGCTTGAGGCAACAGCCCTTAGTCTTCCCATAGGTAAGACATTCAATCTTTATGTATCAGAAAGGAAGGGAATGACTCTGGAAGTTCTAACCCAGGTCTGCAGTCCAGCCCAGCAGCCCATAGGCTACCTAAGCAAGGAGCTTAATTTGGTGGCTAAAGGATGGGTTTCCTGCCTCTGAGGAGTTGCAGAGGTAGCTCTGCTGGTTCCAGAGGCTACTAAGTTAACCATGGGGAATAACTTAACCATTTATACCCCACATAATGTGGCAGTACTGCTGTCTTCCAAGGGGAGTTTCTGGCTAATGGACAACCACCTCCTCAAATATCAAGCTCTGCCATTGGAGAGATCTACAGTCCAGGTAAGGACCTGTCCCTCCCTAAACATAGAGCCACCTTCCTCCCAGAGGAAGCTGGGGAGCCTGAAAATGACTGTGAACAGATAGTAGTGTAAACCTATGTGGCCAAAGAGGGCCTCAAAGAAACCCCCTTAAGGAACCCAGAATGAAGTCTCTTTACAAATGAAGTTCTTTTGTAGAACAAGGGATTCACAAAGCAGGATATGCAGTACTCACCCTGACTGACATTACTGAGAGTGTGCCTCTCTGCTTGGGCACAAGTGCTTAACCAGCTGAGCTAATTGCCCTCATGAGGGTTCTTGAATTAAGCAGAGAAAGCAGTTAACATTTATGCTGATTATAAGAATGCATTCCTAGACCTCCATGCCCATGCCACTATCTAGAAAGTGAAAGACTTCCTCACAGCTAATGGGTCTCCCATTAAATGCCTTCAGGAAATTAACTGACTATTATCCTCAATTTTCCTTCCACAGGGTGAGGCAGTAATACATTGTGAAGGCCACTAAAAGGGGATGGATGAAATAGGTGAGGGAAATACATTGGCAGATGAAGCAGCTAAATCAGCAGTGAGAGGCCCCAGATTTCTGATCCACTTGATGCCCCTCTGCTCTGAGAGGGCTCCATAAGAAAAATAAAACTTCAATATTCTGCAGAAATAGAATGGGCCACCTCTTGGGAATACACCTTTCACCCCTCACGATAGGTACAATAGGAGGATGGCAAACCATCCACCAACTTCCAGCCAATGGAAAGTTCTTAAAATCCTTCATCAAGCCTTCCACCTAGGAAAGGATAAAATGTATCAATTGGTCCAAAGGTTGTTCTCAGGTAAAAATCTGCTAAAAATAATCAAACAGGTCGTTAATGCTCATGAGACTTGCCTTAAAAATAATTTCCTCAATCAACAGGTTCTCCCCTGCTGGAACCCAAAGAATGGGAGGCTACACGGGGGAAGACTGGCAGATGAATTTCACCCATATGCCAAAGATAAGGGGCATCCAGTACCTCCTGGTATGGGTAGATACCTTCACAAACTGGGTAGAAGCACTTCCATGTCAGACAGAAAAAGCCTTTGAGGTGATAAACGTACTAATTAATGAGATAATTCCTGGCTTTGGACTCCCTAAGTAACTCCAGAGCGATAATGGCCCTTCATTCAAGGTGGCTGTCACCCAGGGATTATCAAAGGCACTAGGCATAGAATACCATCTCCATTGTGCTTGGAAACCACAATTCACAGGAAAGGTAGAAGAGGCAAATGATATTATGAAAAGGAACAGTAGAAGAGACAAATGATATTATGAAAAGGAACATCAGAAAACTCCCTCAAAAGACTCATCTCCCTTTGATTACTCTTCTTCCTATTGCCCTGCTACATGTTAGAAACACTCCTTTGAAACTGGGTTTAAGTTCCTTCTAAATCATGTATGGATGGCTTTTCTCACCAGTGATTTCTTGCTAGATGAAGAAACCAGATTTGATTAAACATGCAACTGCTTTGGCCCATTTTCTACAAGAACTGAAATAACTGTTGGAAGCCCAACCCTGTGAACCAGGGCCAACCATATTCAACCCAGGGGACTTAGTACTGGTACAGGCTCTTCCTTCTTTTTCTCCCTCTCTAGGCCTGGATTGGGAGACACCTTACACTTTACTTATTCCTACTCCTTCAGCAGTGAAGGTCACTAGAATAGATTCTTGGATTCATTATACTCAAGTAAAGGCAAGGCAAACTGGTGGAATTACCTCTGTTGACCCAGAAGAGCACCTGAAGCACCAGTGTGAAGAAATTGGAGACCTCAAGCTAAAAATCATAAAAGATAAGTGTCAATAATTAACCTTTCATGGATATCTTGTTTACAGTCTTGTCTATAATTGCTGTTCTCACCTTCATTCTGTTCCCCACCATAAGGTGTCTTTGCCAAGGATCACTTAGTCCTGAATACCCATGGGATTATATACTCCCCTAAACAGCTACCTCTCTTCTAAAATGTAACTGCCCTCCCCTATACAAAATTTAATTTCTTTCACCAGGGTGAAACAGCTCTGGCCACAACATTTTTTTCAGAATTAGTCTATTTTACTTCTTATTTCTGCTATCTCTGGCACTAAATTTTCCCCAGTTTACTCTTCTTTATATAATAGTCATATTTGAACCATGCATACTTAACTGCCTTAAAAAGTTTGTTTCTTCTGGCCTAGAGGCCATCAAACTCCAAATGGTCATGCAAATGGAGCCTTGGATGACGGCTCCCTTTTTACTGGGGACCCTCAGATAGGCCTCTGAGAGAGATGTGACTGCCGTTTTCCCAAAACAATGCCCCATCTCAACATAAAGCAGTTATAACCGTCCTTGTCCCTGTCCTAAACAGTTAGATGTACCTCTTCAGAGGGGGAATTAATAGTAACAGGAGACAGACAAATTCTTATAGGTGAACAGGGACAGGTGCCCAGTGAAACACAACATTCAAGCCAAGGACAGTTTAAAGCCTGAAAATTTAACTGCCAGTTCCTGATAGAGTCCACAAGTAGAGTGAGAACTTCTATCCCCATCTTACCCATTCTCTCTTGATTGGTTCCCTCTGAATGATGTCTTTTAACCAATTGAATGGTGCTTTATCCAAGACCACCCAGGGAACAATCAGCACTCATTCTCCTATTCTTAGCCCATAAAAACCCTGGACTCAGTCTCACAGATGGCAACTTGCTTTCGGGTCCTCTCTTCTGGCTAAGAGTTTTTCTGTCACCCAATAAAATTCTACTCTGCCTTACTCACTCTCCATTGCCCACATACTTATTCCTCTTGGTCATGGGACAAGAACCTGGAACTCACCAAACTGCAGGAGTGAAAGAGCTCCTGCTCGCTGAGCTGTGGGCAGTGGAAATAAAAGAGCTGTAACCCTCCTTCCCATTCACTGTACTACAGAAGAAGAGAAGCCACTGGGTGCCACTCCCTCCCACTCCCCAAAAAACCAGAGTGAAGAAGCAAAGCTGCTGGGCACCACTCTGTCCTGCTCACTGAGCTACAGGAATGAAGAAGTGAAGCCGCTGCATGCCACTCCCTCCCACTTGCCAAATTACGGGAGCAAAAAAGCCACACTTTGACCATCACTATGCCAGATATTTCTAAATTTGTGTCTCTAAATTTCTTATTTGAATTATTGAGGCATATGCTGAATACATACTGTCATTGGATGCCCAATGGGTGCCACAGACTATACATGTCAAATTAATGATCTCTTACTCACTTTATCACCATGCTTATTTTTAAAAAGTGATCCTTAACAAACTAATACAGGAACAGAAAACCAAATACTGCATGTTCTCACTTATCAGTGAGAGCTAAATAAGAACATGTAGACACGAAGTGGGGAATAACAGACACTGGGACCTACCTGAGGGTGGAAGATGAAAGGAGAGATTCAGAAAAATAACTATTGGGTACCACACTTAGTACATAGGTGACAAAATAATCTGTACAACAAATCCCCAGGATAAGACTTTGCCTATATAACAAACGTGCACATGTACCCCTGAACCTAAAAGTTTAAAAACAGAAAAAGAAAAAAAATAGTGAAATTTACAATTTATCTATTGAATGAATTTGAACTTAATTCATCAAACACTGGAAAATATGTTAACTAATATAATTTGGAATAAAAAAAGTTCTATTTATTCATGTATTTAGATATGTAGATACTTTATGTCACAATGTTTAAGAACATGGGGTTTTAGTTAAATATCTAAGCCCAAGTGCCAGTTCCACCACTTAAAAGATGAAAATCTTGGACAATTTGTTTAATATCTGCCTTGACTCTCTCATGTGAAACATTCAAATTCATTTTGAGAATTAATTGACTTAACTGAAGTAAAGCTGAGAACATTATCTGACTTAGTGAACATTCAATAAATATTAGCTATTATTTCCTATGTCACCTATATCACAATTACATTAGATACAAATCTCAGAATTATACATGAAATGTACTAGTCTCTTGCCTTCATACCAATTCTACCACCTACTCCCAATTTTTAAGCTCTTAAAGAGCTCTCAAAAGTGTTTATCTCACCCTCTCTCCATCATTCCTACTATAGTACAAACAATCATTATAAATCACTTATTTATTTCCCCATATCACTGCCAAACAAGAGTTTTAATTTTACTGACTAGAATCTTTTGGAGAAAATTAAATCTACTTAGTCTTCATTTCACCATGAAACCAACTGAAGGGTTCCATTTCAGAACTGTATTAGAATGGTTTAATTTCCCATGTCATTGTTATATTGTGATTTATATATATTTTATCTTCATCCCCATTTTTTGACATACAGCCCCTAAAATCATTGTAATCTCCATAGTGATGAGTGTCTACTGTATGCTAATGAGTTGAATGGTGTTTGACAGCCCTTTGGTAGCTTCAGAATAACATGGATCGTGGTAAAATCCAAGTTGCAATTTGGGAGTTGAGGCTTTTTAGCCCTAGCCTCCAACCTCCAGGGAAGGGAGAATGACTGAAGACTAAGTTGATCACCAATGGACAAAGATTTAATCAACCAGGTGTATGTAATGAAGCTTTCACTAAAAAAAATAAATAAATAACAGGATTTGGGGAGTTTCAGATAGCTGGACATGTCCGGGTTCTTGGATGGTGGTACAGCTGGGAAGAAAACTGAAACTTAGAAACTCTGCTCCCCTTCTTCCATACCCAGTCTTATGCATTTCTTCCATAAGTAAGTGTTTCCCTCAGTTCTGTAAGCTGCTCTAGCAAATTAATTGAATATTGGGGGGAGGGTAATGGGAACCCCCAATTTATAGCAGGTCAGCCAGAACTTTAGGTGATAACCTACTACTTGTGATTGGGATCAGAGATTAGCAGAAGCTTTGTAAAACAGATTCCTCGGCCTGTGGGATCTGAGCCAACTTTCAGGTAGATAATGTCATAATTGAATTGAATTAGAAGATACCAAGCTGGTGTCCACTGTACAATCATTTGTTTGCTTGGCATAATGGAGAACCCTGCCCCCCAACCACCACACACACACATATATTTTGGTTACCAGAGACACTGAGTTGTGTTGAGATGTGTACACTTTTTATTTTTGTTTTTGTTTTTGTTTTCTCTCTATTCCTACAGAGAATACCTACAAATAAAATTTCCTACCTATAAAGAATACATGCAAAGAAAAACAAGAACACTATGGTCAGGTAAATTTGATAAACACTGTATACTATTCCATTTTCAAAAGATTGGCCACTAATTATTTCTAAAAAACATACAATTTCTCTTTGTGTAACCTAGTATTCACTGATGTATTTGGTCATCAAACATTATTGTGAAGTAACATGATTAGCACAGCTTGGGACATGACATTCCACATAATGAGGGCCTATGAACTTTTTAGCAGGAAAGGGACAAGAATCGAGTAGACCTATGTTGTAGAAAGACAATTGACAGTAACATAAACAATAGATTTAATGCTATTAAAAAAAAATATATATATATATACATTATAACTAAGGGTAGTAGTCTGTGATTTTTCCTTAAGTATTTTCATGTAAACTAGTAATTCATCTTTTCAAATGATAACCCAAAACATCCCTTCAGTCACTTAAGCTCGAAATCAGTCAATCTTTATTCTCTAGGTTCTCCTGTACTCTCCAGATAATTTCTAATACCACTGCAGTCACACCTTTCAAACACTCATTATCTTTAAAAAGAGAAATAATTAAAATAATTACCTGATTTCACCCTGTATCCATATTGTACATCTGAGCCAGATAAACATTACTAAAGCAGCTACTGAACATGTAATTTTTCTAATAATGTCACAAATTAGTAAATTTTGGCTGTGGGGGGAAGGTAGGAGATGAGGAGCAAGGTCAAATTTGGAAAAGGAACATACAAGGGAGAATAAAGAAAACATTCACACCAAATTCAGTGGAGGCTAGGAAAATGTCAGGAAAGAGTTGTAAGTATTGGCATCCTGGAGGAAATTATAGCGAATATATATCTTTGATTAGTTGTTCTCATCTTTAACCCTACCTCCACTCCAAATGCTAGTGCTTCAATCCTCAGAGTATTATAATAGCACGAAAAGCAATTTCTGAGGCTTAAAAACAGATGGGTTTCAATTGCCTATAATTTAAAGTACAAATCCCTTAGGCTAAGATAGTCTACCACAATCTAGCCACAGTCTATCTTTCCGATTTATATTTCCACAGTGACATAACATAAACTCTATGATAGAAAATTCTGGAACAATTCACATTCAGTTCTCCTTTCCTTCTTGGTACCTCAGTGGATTCTACTTCCCAGTCCTTTGGGAAATAGTTGGGTCTTTGTAACAAATTGTGGTCAATGGGCTTTAGGTAGTAATGATGCATGTCATTACCAGTCCAAACGAGTAATTGTGGAAGCAATGCTTTCCCTTCCTCTCTTATTCTGCTACACAGACTGAGAAAGACATCTATTCCGTATACCTCAATTTCAAGATGGTAGAGTTTTTGTCAGCCTGAATCAATGATTGACCTTGTGCAAGAGAGTTCCTCAGCTGACCCTTGCGGGACATGAAAGTTTAGGAAGAAGTAACATTTTGCTCTGTTCAGCCATTGAGAAATGAGGGTAGTTAGTTACTGTAGTGTAACCTAGCTGATCCTTACTGGCAAAAGAACTTTATAAAAACCACCTCTTAATTCTTATAGCAAATGGGCATTCAACTTATTTGCATCTTTTCCAAGAAAAAGTAAGAGAAAATAAGATATCATAACTAAGAGGAGAAAATATAACAAATCATCTTTTTAAAATTCTGTAATTATCCTGGGAAATAGTTCCTGATAAAGGTCAGTGTACCATTAGTAGAGAAGCATGCTTTTCTATTTCTTTTCTTTTTTTTTTTGTTAGCATACCATATAGTCACAGAGAAGATATCAGTTTTAAGAACATCAATCTTCTAAGCGATCAATTCTGCACATTTTATTACAGTCATTTCACATAAAAAAGGAAGTTAACATTCAAAGTTTCTAAGAAAAAGAAATTTCACAAGAGACACATCAGAAAAATATCAAAGAGTCAGACAAATGAAGAAAGACGAATCCTCTCTGTTCTTATAGGAATAAACCTTGCACATTCTTTTCTGAGTTTAGCACTGTTTAAAGTCAGTATGTTATTGTTATCAAGGACAGAGGGCTTGATTGTTTTCCTCTGGTGATTTTGGGTGGTGTGTTGTCTGACATGAAAGAGATTTTTCTCCCTCTTATTTGGATTTGCCTTCTTAGGGATTTTCTTTGTATTTAGTTATTTGAAGTATTTTTGGGCAGAGTGAATTTAAAAGGCTTACCACTCACTATTTTTGTCTTACTTATTGGAGTTCTTCTCTCTTAGTAAATGGCTTTGTGCCATACAAGTATGGAATGATTCTCAGTCTGTGTTTTTTAAAAAAGGTTTTTTTTTCTTTATTAGAAACATACTATTTCCCAGTTGCATTGATTCCATGACAATACATTCTGCTATGTGAGATTTTAAGAAAATCAACTAGGCCATGTGCTAGATGAGATAAAGAGAGACAACTGGCTTTCATGGCTTCTCATTCAAGGATATTGGAATTAGGGAAAGCTGGTCAGTAGCAATATCATAGAATCAAGAGAGGAAGAAAAATCTCCTCTCTACCTGCTGCAGCAGCTCCAACTTTTTCTTCCAAGCCCTGGCCTTATTACTTTGCAAAAATCCACAGCATCCCTCTTCCCACTCATCCAGGGAAAAACTGGATTGAATTATTTTACAAGATAAATTTTTCTCACATATGAATATTGAAACAAAATTGGATCTGTTTGTAAATATCATTTTGCTTTAACAGACTTAGGTTAAAAATGAAAATTTAAAATATGGCCTTGGCTTGACCTTAGCTTTCTTATCTCAGAGGGTCATTGTGGAGGGTTTTAAATAAAAGATGATCACGTTAACTGAGGCTTCTTCAAAGGTCAGCTTGTCTATTTGTCTAAAAAGGTTTTTTTTTTTTTTTAAAGATAGTCATGTTTTCATTTGGAAGTCATCCATATGTATGGTTAAGTAGTATCTATTGTTTAAAATTGCCAATTCCATAGTTTAGCTTAAAATACAAAGCATCCCTTAGAAAACTGTAATATGTCATTTCCTACATTCCTTGCTGTTATAGGAAGGAACTTGGGCAATGAGGAAATAGTGGCTTCCTTGGGAAACAGAAGGAAGTGCTGGGAGGACGTGCAGGGAGGACACAAAAAGAGACTTGTCCTACTTCTCAATTTTTTTCTAGGAATAGTTCCCTTCACATTACAAGCATTTCCTTACATACTCTTACATGTAAATAAGTCAAGATTCTTTCGAGAAAGAACTGCTGAAACAAAACCTAACCTACAAATTAGCTCCACGTTAAAGGAAATTGGACTGTGTACAGTGCTGGAAGAGAAACAAGTTGACTTTCAAGTTCTTGGTTTGTGATTATTGACCAGAAATATTTATTCAATGTCCCAATGAATGTGAAGCTGTGGTAAGTTAAATATTGTGTGGGGGAAAGGGTAGGGAAGAACATAGTTAACATGGTTTTCTGAAGAATTTCCTTGAAAAGAGGAACCTCACGTAGTTCTGCTTTTTAGTGAAAAGGAAACAAGCAAAATTATATAACTACAATAATACTCTATTGACTTGAGGGTCACATTAACATTTTGATTTCATATATTTACATTCAAAAAGACTCCCCAGCACTGTTGTTCAACACACAGAACCAGGTGCTAGAGATAAACAAAGATGATCCCTACTCTGAAGGAACTTAAACAGCACCATCAGCAACCACCATATCAACAAAAATGAACTGGTATTTTTGGGTTCATGAGCTCATCATCCAAGTATAAGGCTTTTATTATGGAGGTGTGAATCCTGGCACACATTTTATTTTTAAATGTGTGATAATCCAATCATTCTAAACCTATCTTACTTGATTTGAAAAAGCCTGTCATTGCAAGATGAAAATAAAAAAGAGCTGTAATTTTATACTCTTTCAAAGTGCTTCCTGTTACTGCAAAAGTGGCCAGAATAGATTTCCAAATGGCTTCTCATCATACTCCTCTTCTGTTCACACATGGCTCTGGGTCACAGGAAGATAAACAAAATTTCTGAAAAAATTTAAAAATCTCCCTATTACATTTAGTTTTCATTGTTTTTAAGTTAATTGAATTCTACTCCATTTAAGGCAGGTATTAATTTATGATGTGTGGAAATATCTATAATTAAATATGAAAAATATTTAAATATTAAAACTGAAAATGGTTTCTTATATACTATTCTTAAATTCCATATAAAGTGTTTTTTTTATTTTTTTAACTAGAAAACAGGGCTCAGGATAAGTGCTTTGAGCATTCTTTCTCATGCCAGTATAATATAAGCATTTGATTCAAATTTTATTTTAATCCAACTATATTTTCATGTTTTGCATTTGTAGCAAAGCCTATTCTTATGCACATTTATAAAATTGTTCAATGTGAGTGAATCTACAGTAAACTGCCATTCTGAAGAATTGCACTGTTAATCAGTTCAGGAAAGGTCATGCTTTGTTTGCTTGTTCTATAAATCATGTACACATTTCTTCTAAGTTGTTTAAAGATGTGCAAGGTCTCAATTCCACAAAGGAAGTAACTGCATATTTTTAAATGAAAATTTTCAACAGCTATCTTGGCAGAAGTGACATGGTGCACAGTCTACGTAAATACAACTAATCGTACATTCAAGGGCAAAAATCAGCCTGTGAAAATGAAACCAAAATGACTGGAAACAGAAAGCACACACTAAGTTAGTCATTGACTGATTTACTTGGGAGGGTCCCAGTAACAAGCTGACATTGATTTATCTTTTAATCTAACAGAATAACAACAAATGTTAAAGCAATCAGTTCTAATGGTCTTAATAACTCCAATCAAATTATTCACCTTCCACATTAATATAGGAGGTTGCCTTCATATTTATTCATCAGATTTGTCAAATAAACATCGGTTTGCCAAACTAAACCCTAGTCCTTCAGTCCTAATAGATTCTGTTAGCATTCCATTTTTAATTGTCCTCTTCTCATAATTAGGGTGACCACAGGTCTCAGTTTTCCAGGCAATGGTCCTGGTTTATGTTCTTTGCACTGGTACTATTTTTAAAAACGCTCCATTTTCTGAAGTGTCCTGATTTTTAAAGATAAAGTGTATGTCCACCAAAGTTCATAACTCCACTTTTATTAATTTGTGTTTCTTTAGGGCCTGTTAAACCTAAACATCTTTAAGATCAGTATGAGCAAATACATGAAAAATATTCAATTTAACAAATCGACTTGATATTTCCACACCTAACCAAAGAAAGAGCTTTCCTCAGCTTCAGGTGGTCCTCAAAAATAGCAGCCTAGTGAGATAAAACTTTGCAGACAGGCTGCCCTATGCAAAAAAGGCAAGCCACTGCCTGTTTGTTTATTTGATTTGATCTTTCCTAGTACGAACTTTAAATGTCTAAGATAGTGGTGTACTGTTTACTAATATCGATCACATTTTGCATTGGTTTTAGGTTCTGTAACTACAGGAGTTCTGTTAGGTATAAAAATGGTAAGCACAGGAATCTTCAGGATACTTTTGATGTCACACTGACTCTTTCACCATCAAAGTAATAGTTTTTCAAAGTGACATGCTACAGGGGGCCACCTGGGGCTCTTCATGAGATGATGATAGGTGAGTAAATGGACCCACTGCCAGGAGGGTGTGTTCAATGGATACAAGGTAAGGTTAATACCAGAGAGGAGAAATCAATGGCCACAGCAATGCAACTTCTAGGAGTTTCCAAGCTAATGGATTTCTCATTTAGCTGGACTGTAAATTTGATACTCTGAAGCATTTACTTTATTTAGATCAGGATTAAAAAGGAACACCTAAAAAGGCCACATAGGATAAAGAGGCTGTGAGGTGCCTTCAAATAGATGAGCATTTCCCAGTGGCTATAAATAGATTGTCGTTTTGATATATTTCAAAGGTCATCAGTCAACTGTTCTGTTTCTTTCTCTCACTCATTTCTCTCTATTTATTTCTGAAGCGCAGAAGCATACATTAGAAAAAGAAATTAAGTCAATGAGCCAACCCATCCCTAGCTGTAACAATAAAACAAAAATTTAGAACAAAATTGTTAGAGGTTTTAAAATTCAAGTTCTACATGCTCAGATAAATGCAGGCCCTTTTAATTCAACTATAATCTACTTAAAGTCCTTCAAAATGCATGGAAACGGTGAACTCAACGCCTTGTTTCAACCATAAGAATTTGAGAAATCATGTTGCCAACTTTTGCCCTCTTTCTAAATTCATAGCCAGATAAAGCCATTAACTTCAGGTGCTTTGCTTCTCCATTTAAATTTTATATAAAGGATCCATCAAATTACTAATTGCTGATAATAATCAGGTTTCACCAGGTTTACATAGCCAATTTTGAGGTGCTAATAGGCCCTAATGGGGAAATCAGTACTGAGTTAAATAAACAAATCATTAGGTTTGCAGAATAGTTAATATGGACAGAGTGCAAAATGGCTAATCTTGTTAGTACCCTAAAATATTGCTCAAGTGAATGCTGTAAACATTACCTGAACACTATGACAGGAGAGATGGCCAATGGCATAAAAGAAAAACATATAGTCCTGACTTAGTTATTTATATATAACTGAAGAGGGATGCACGGCAGGCATAAAGCAACAGAGAACAGTTCCAAGCAAACTGTGCTACGCTCACATTTGATTACAAGTTCCCAGTGTACATGGTCTATGTCTTAAAACAATATTTACTATTTAACAAATATTTATTATATACCTATTATAAGGTACCTTAGTGAGCACTGGGTTTATGCCAGAGACAAAGACACGGTCCTTACTGAGGAACATACCTGCTCTTAGGACAGAGAAAAATGAGTCATAGGGAGGTGACAACCACAGTGGGGCCCAAGGTGAGGCACAGTCGGGCAAAAGTGACAATGTGCTAGAGGTGAGAGGGAGTATAATGCATTATTAGTGCTACAGATAATGGAACACATCTTGAAAACAGAACTGTAGGGACACAGCGCCTTAGCTCTACCAAGGCTCAGGGCTCCAGAGTGTGCACAGAACAGATCCTTAATGAAAATCGGTTTGAATTAAATTGTGAGGCTTTCTATTAAAAACACACTGAATGAGTTATATGGGCACTTTAAAATCATCATCATTATAGACTTTACAACACAGTGACATCCCCAAATACCACTCCCATTTACTTGTCTCACTCTGAAGACACTTTTGTTTTCTTGGATTCCTCTGCAAACCACATATTACCTCCTAAATGATCCACAGGTGTCCCAAACCTGGCAGATCTAAAAACTAGGCTTATCATCTATTAATCCCAAAACCTGCACTTTCCTCGCATCCTGCTAAGTCAATGAACACAACCTGTATTCACTTAGATCCAGAGTCAGGTAGTCTTTCCAGATTCCTCCCTCTTCCTGATCTTGCCACATGCATTGGGTCACACATTGTCTCAATTCTACCTCTTAAATACCCCTGGAATCAGATCTCTTTCTCTCAATCACCACTGACTATATTGGTCTAACACCAATTTCTATGATTGTCCCCTAACATTTAATTTTGCACATAATCTTGCAAACTGTTCTGCCAGAGTGATCTTTGTAAAATGTAAAGCTGATCCAGTTCTTCACTTGGTGAAATGCACCAGTGGCCATGCAAGACCTACAGGATGCAGATGCTATGGAGCCTCCATGACCTGAAGGCCTCAGGGCCACAAACTGCTGTTGCTTTGCACACCTGGGTCTTTGCCAATAATCTACCCTATAATATGGGAAGCCTTTTCATAAATCTCTATCATATCACCAAATCAGACTGCATTTATTTGTAAATTAAAGAGTTAAAAGTGTATGGGGTAATTCAGAAATGTGTTATCATGCTAATCATATTTTATAGCACATGCTTTTAAAGAAGCATCCATGCCAATACATCGACTATTCATTTTAGTGCATTATATTAATCCATTCATTTATTCAATAAATATTGAGTACCTACTGCATACCAGACACATATTTACTATATAACTAGAGCCAAATTTATCTATACATTTCCTCTATGGACTGCTTCCAGATTTTGACTATTAAAATCTATGCTGCATTGTACAGTTTTCTCCATCTCTCCTTATATACATGTGCAATTCCGGGAATACCATTGTCAGGTTGAGTTAAAGCTTTCTTAAATTTTTAAAATATTATTGAATTGTTCTCCAAAGATTGGAGTGATTTACATTTCCACCTGTAGCATATAAGAGTTCTACATTTGTTGACATTTTGTGGTGACATCTGTTATTGTGAGAGGTTTTATTTTTTGGCAATATACAGGATGTGAGAAAGTATTTACTTGTTTCAAACTCTGTTTCCATTATTTTTTGCTACAAAACAAACTACACTGAAACTTAATGGCATATGATAATAACCATTTTATTTTATGTTCATTCTTCCCATGGATCAGGAATGTATTGTGTCTCCACCATAACATCCATGCCCTCAGGAAGAAAGATTTGAACAGCCAAGGATGACCAATAGCTGAGGCTTAAAGACCAGAGCACCTATAAGCTTCTTATCAACACAGCAACTCAGAGAGGTCAGACTTGTTGCTCAGGACTACAAGAGCAAGCATTTGAGTGGCCAAGAGTGAATCTGCCTGGCCTTTTATGACCTGGGCCTGGAAACAACAGACCATCAATTTTGTCATACTTTTTATTGATTGAAGCCAGAAAGGTCCACTCAGATTCAAGAGGAGGGGACACAGATCCACCATCTAGTTGGAAGAAATGTCCAAAAATGTTGCTGTAAAGTTTTAAGACTACCAAAATCTACATATCTCTGATCATTAATGGATATCTTTTCATATATCATTCTCTATTCTTGTATCCTTTTTAATAAATCACCCATTCATTTAGTTTTTTCTTCTTATTATTAGATTGTTGTTTATCACTAATTGATCAGTAGGAATCTTTATATATTTTATTCCAAATTCCTTGGGAATGACATGAATTACAAGTATTTTCTCTTTGTAGTTTAAGTTTCTTTGTGGTATCTTTCCTGTTATTAAATCTTAAATAAAAAGCAGTAAAAGTCAGGCGTTGTGGTACGTGCCTGTAGTTCCAGACAGGAGGATTCCTTGTACCCAGGAGTTCAAGGTTTCAGTGAACTGTGATTGCACCACTTCACTCCAGCCTGAGTGACAGAGTGAGGCCCTGTCAAAAAACAAAACAAAACAGAAGTCAGTAAAGCATATGAATCTCTTCATTTAAGAATTATAAATCTTGTAGTTTTTAAATCTTTTTCTATTCAAAAGTCATAGTTATAATATACTTAATACTGACATTTGCAGATTTTGATTTAATGATTAAGTATTACATTTATAAAGAATTTAGCTTTGAAATTCAATAAGCTTTCCATTCTGCTTCCTTCCTCTCTCAATTTCTTTCTCTCTTTTTCTCAGGTTACCTCTCTCCACACACACACACACACACACACACACACACACACTTATACCTATAGCTATATATCTCTCTACATTTTTTTATATATATACATATATGTACACACACAAGTATATAATGATATATAAACGTATCACATATGCATATACATACATGCACTGATATGGTTTGCCTCTATGTCCCCACCCAAATCTCATCTCGAATTGTAGTCCCCACATGTTGAGGGAGGGACCTGGTGAGAGGTGATTGGATCATGGTGGTGGTTTCCCCCATGCTGTTCTCATGATAGTGAGGGAGTTCTCATGATAGTGAGGGAGTTCTCATGAGATTTGATGGTCTTAAGTGTAGCACTGCCTCGATCTTTCTCTCTCTCTCTCCTGCCACCATGTAAGACATGCTTTGATTCTCCTTCATCTTTCACCATGATTATAAGTTTCCTGAGGCCTCCCCAGCCATGTGGAACTGTGAATTAAACCTCTTTTCTTCTTAAATTACCCAGTCTCAGGTAGTTCTTTATAGCAGTGTGAGAATGGACTAATACAGAGAATTGGCACTGAAGTAGTAGGGTATGGCTATAAAGATAATCTGAAAATATGGAATTGACTTTGGAACTGGGTAACAGTCAGAGGTTGAAACAGTTTGGAGGGCTCAGAAGACCAGAATATGAGTGAAAGTTTTGAACTTCCTAGAGACTTGTTGAATTGTTTCAACCAAAACACTGATAGTGATATAGACAATGAAGTCCAGGTTGACATGGTCTCAGATGAAGATGATGAACTTATTGGGAATTGGAGTAAAGGTCACTCATGCTATGCTTTAGCGGAGAGACTGGAGGCATTTTACTCCTGCCCTAGAGATCCGTAGAACTTTCAAGTTGAGAGAGAAAACTTAGAGTATCTGGCAGAAGAAATCTCTGAGCAACAAAGCATTCAAGAGGTGACCTGGCTTATTCTGAAAGCATTCGGTTATATGTGTTCACAAACAGATGATTTGGAATTGGAACTTATATTTTAAAGGGAAGCAGAGCATAAAGGTTTGGAAAATTTGCAGCCTGACCATGTGGTAGAAAAGAAAACTCCATTTTCCGAGGGAGAAATTCAAGCCTGTTACAGAAATTTGCATAAGTAATGAGGAGCCAAATGTTAATAGCCAAGACAATGGTGAAAATGTCTTCAGGCCATGTCAGAGATCTTTGTGGCAGCCCCTCCCATCACAGGCCCAAGGCCTAGGAGGGAAAAATGGCTTCTTGGGTCAGGCCCAGGGCTCTGCTGCTCTGTGCAGCTTTGGGACTTGGTGCCCTGCATTCCAGTCACTCCGGCTCCAGCTATTTGCTACAAGGAGCCAAGGTACAGCTCAGGCCATTGCTTAAGAGGGTGCAAGCCTCAAGCCTTAGCAGCTGCCATGTGGTGTTGGGTCTACGGGTGCATAGAAGACAAGAGTTGAGCTTTGGGAACCTCCACCTAGATTTCATAGGATGTATAAAAATGACTGAATGTCTAAGCAAAAGTTCACTGCAGAGGCAGAGCCCTCATGGACAGCCTCTACTAGGGGAATGCAAAGGGGAAATGTGGGGTTGGAGTCCCCACACAGAGTCCCCACTGGGGCACTGCCTATTGGAGCTGTGAGAAGAGGGCCACACTCCTCCAAAACCAAGAATAATAGATACACTGACAGCTTTCATTGTGACCCTGGAACAGCTGGAGGCACTCAATACCAGTCCATGAAAGCCACCCGGGAGACTGTACCCTGCAGAGCCACGGGGGCGGGGTTGCCCAAGGCTTGGGATCTCACCCTTTGCATCAGCATGCCCTGGATGTGAGACATGGAGTCAATAGAGAGTATTCTGGACCTTTAAGATTTACTGAGTGCCCTGCCAGGGCCTGTGGTCCCTTTGTTTTGGCCAATTCCTCCTTTTTGGAATGGGAGCATTTACCCAATTCCTGTACCTCTATCGTATTTTGGAAGTAACTAATTTGGTGGGGTTTTTTTGTTTTTTGTGGTTTTTTTTAATTGTATAGGCTTATAGGTGGAAGGCATTTGCCTTTTCTCAAATGAGACTTTGGACTTGGACTTTTGGGTCCAATGGGTTAATGCTGGAATGAGTTAAGACTCTGGGGGACTGCTGGGAAGGCATGATTGGTTTCCAAATGTAAAAAGTATATTGAATTCTGGGAGAAGGAAGAGGTGGACTGATTTGCTTTGGATCTGTGTTTTCACCCATATCTCATCTTGAATCGTAATCCCCATGTATCAAGGGAGAGACCTGGTGGAAGATGATTTGATGGATCATGGGGGCAGTTTCCCCCATTCTGTTCTCATGATAATGAGGGAGTTCTCACAAGAGCTGATGGTTTTAAGTGTGGCTCTTCCTCTCTCTCTCTCTCTCTCCTCTGCCATCATGTAAGAAAGACATATCTTGTTTCCACTTCTACTTTGCCTTCTGCCATGATTGTAAATTTCCTGAGGCCTCCGGAGCCATGCAGAACTGTGAGTCAATTAAACTTCCCTTCTTTATAAATTACTCTGTCTCAGATAGTATCTTTACAGCAGTATGAAAATGGAATAATACATACACATATATATTTTAGCATATGTTGTATATACAAATGTATGTTACAGCAAAGATATATGAATACATATATTTGTGTGTTTGTTTTTGTACTAATGCTACATCTTTGTAAGTGTTGCTATCTAGTCCTCTATTCTTATTCAAAATTGTCTTCATTGCTATGATTTATTTACTTTTATATATGAATTGTAGGACCAACTGATCTCTATTTAGAAAAAGAGATCTGTTGGAAGTTTATAAATAATTACATTATGTATATATATTAATTTAGGAAGAACGGATATCTTTATCATATTAAGTCTTCCTACCTGTAAGTATGCCTTATCTTTTTATTTAGTAAATATCTTTTAAATAAGTTTTATAGTTTTCTCCTTCCAGATAAATTTGTACTTTTTGATAGAAATATTCTGCAGCAATATATAATTTTGAAAATGGGATGTTTTATTACTGTTATTATTTTAAAATTTCTAATTATTGTTGCTTGTATGAATACTATTCATTTTGTACATTGATTTAACTAAAGCCTATTATTATTTCTAACAGTTTGTGTGGATAGCTTGGGTTGTTTTACAGATAATCATTTATCTCTGAATGATGGCAATTTTACCTAATTTTTTCCTATCTTAAAATCAGGCCTGTTTTATTGTACATTCCAGAGGCATCATTCACATTGCATATTATGTTCCCCTTAGAGTTATTCATTGTGGCAGTCCTCATTATAACTCTTCTTTTTAGTTCTTTGTTCTTTTTGTTTTGTGTTGCAGTGATAGATTAGAATCAGTGATACCAGATGCCCTTGTTTTGATCCTGACATTAAATAGATTTCTTCTAAGGATTCACCATTATCTATGATGCTTTGCTTAATATTATTGATGAAAAGCCTTCATTTGGTTAGGGAAATTTCTTCCTTTTTCTACTTTTCTAAATGTCTGTTTGCATGAATGAGGGTTGAAATATCTCAAATGAGTGTTTTTTTTTTTTTCATCAGTTGAGTAATCCTATGACTTTTCCTCTTTTACTCTACATAATATATAATTTGCATTAAGAATGCTAAATCTTTCCTGCATTAATGAAACAAATACCCCTTGGTCAGGATATAAATTATATATTTTATACATTAGTAGATTTTATATGCCAAAGTTTGCATTATATTAATACTTTCATTATGTAAGATTTCTGAATCTTTATTAATCTGACTGGCCTATAGTTTTCTTTTCTTGTACTTTTTAGGGTCTGTTTCTGGTAAAAGTAGGCTTATAAAAGTAATTGGAGGCCTTTTCCTATCTAAGTTTTCTTTGGAAATATATAACATTAAAAACAACAATAATACTACTAATAAATGTATTTTCATAGTTCTATATGTCAGACATTATTCTAAGTCATCTAAATATATTAATTCATTCAATACTTGCAAAAATCCTCTGTGATACATACTATTACTATTCCCATTTTACAGGTGAAGAATCTGAGGTACTGAAAGGTTAAATAACTTGCTCTGGACCAAATAGATACAAACTCAGTTCTTCAAATTTAAGCAGTCTTGCTCCAGAGTTCACTTAAAAGAGGGAGTACCCCAGCTACTCGGAAGGCTGAGGCAGGAGAATAGCTTGAACCTGGGAGGCGGAGGTTGCAGTGAGCTGAGATCACGCCATTGCACTCCAGCGTGGACAACAAGAACGAAACTCTGTCTCAAAAAATAAAAATAAAAATAACTAGTTGAAGTATAGTAAGGTCCTTTGCTGTTCAGGAAGGGTTAAGAAACTCCTGGACACATTATGTCACTTCCTACTAAAAAAAAATACTGCCGTCTAGCATTTTATTGTGTGTTTTCTTTGCTTTGTAGACATTATTTTTATTACCCTACAGAGACTATTTACATGGATTTAATTATATATTTGCCAACTTTTTTCCTACTTTTAGGGTCATTGTCTTTTTTAATAAGGTGCACCCCTTAGAAGCTTTTTCTCAAGAGTATCATTATGGTCAGATCTCTTAATATATTTTTATCTGAAAATAATTGTATTTTGTTCTGTTTTCTGAAGATAGATTACAGGGATACAATACAAGGCTGGCACTTCATTTTTTTCTCAGAACATAACTTGAACACTACTACCTTGGTTCATGGCTGTTGAAAAATCATCTGTCACTCAAATTTTATTTGTATTCATATATGTATACACATACATACAAATGACAGAACTTCAAAATTTTCATAGAAAAATTGAATTAAAAGATAAAAAATATAAACTTTATTTCTTCACATAAAGTTCTTAATAATTGTCCATCAGGGTCAAGACAATTTCATAAGTCATGATATCAGACACTTATTCTATCCCTAACGAACTGAGGGTCCTGAGAATTTCATCATGTCAATGCAGTCTTTTTATACATTATTAACTGAAGAAAAACAGGTGCCATTTAAATATTTTTTTTAAGACTTTTAAGGAAAAAAAGGAGTCAAAAGGTGCCAAATCAGGACTGCCATGTGGATGCCTAATGATTTCCCACAGAAACTTTTGCAAAATTGCCTTTTTTGAGAGGAATGAGCAGGAGAATTTTCATGGTAGAGAAAGATTCTGGTGAAGCTTTCCTGGAAGATTCTTTGCTAAACACTAGGCTAACATTCTAAAAACACTCTCATAATTAAGCAGATGTTATTATTCTTTGGTTCTTCAGGAAGTTAACAAGCAAAATACCTTGAGCATCCCAAAACACTTTTGCCAT
Source organism: Homo sapiens (assembly GCF_000001405.40). NCBI lineage: Eukaryota > Metazoa > Chordata > Mammalia > Primates > Hominidae > Homo > Homo sapiens. The sequence goes on along the minus strand of NC_000006.12, from coordinate 140,309,287 downwards.
AATCTTTACTCTTGACTTTTGCTCTTGTGCTTTGCCTGGACCACTTCCACTTCTTGGTAGCCATTGCTTTGATTGTGCTCTGTGTTCAGGATCATGATCATGCTTATAGAGCATTGTTTAATCTTCTTTCAAAATTCTTTAAAGATATGCTTCATTATTTTTATTTCCCTTGTTTAAAATTTTCATTGAAAGCTCTGCTCTTGTCTAGAGCTGATCTGGTCCAATAGTTTTGGCTCCATCAAGTAGAAAGTTTGTTCAACTTTAATTTTTCAGTCAGAATTGTGTAACATAAGCCAACTGAGATGTCTAATGGTGTTATTTATTGTTTGTGCTGTTCATTGTTGGTTCTCTTCAATTAAGGCACAAATCAGATGAATTTTTCCTTGTAAACGAATGTGGATGGTCTGCCTATGTGGACTTGATCTTCAACTTCTTGTCACTTAAAAAAAAACGAGTTTGGCTGGGCGCGATGGCTCACGCCTGAAATCCCAGTACTCTGGGAGGCCGAAGAGGGCCGATCACGAGGTCAGGAGATCGAGACCATCCTGGCTAACACGGTGAAACCCTGTCTCTATTAAAAATACAAATTAAGAAAAAAAAAAAGAATTATCCGTTTGTAAACTTCTGATTTCTTTGGGGCATTGTCCCCATAAACTTTCTGTAAGGCATCAATGATTGCACCATTCTTCTGCTCAAGCTTCATAAATTTGATATTTGCTCTTGCTTCAACTTTAGCAGAATTCATGTAGCTCTGATAAGGGATCTTTTTAAACTGATGCCTTATTCTTTTCGGTGCATCAAACTAGATCCTGTTCAGATAAGTTATAGCAAGTTAGAATTAGTTTATTTTAGTGCAAAAAATTTTTGAAATCTATGCCTAGTTTTTCCATAATATGAATTTTCCATGAATTTTTTGAAGACCCTTCCCTTGTATGTGTGTGTTGGTCTTTTTCCTCTTATTTTGATCTTCTCTGTTCTGTTTTGTATTTTGAAGTTTCTCCTCCATGTATCTACATATAGATTTCTTTTACTTCTTTCTGCTTGGTATACATAGTGATTTTTATATTTGGTCTATACTTCTATTTGTTATATAATATTTCCAGCATTTATCACTTTGAATATTGGTTCTTCCCATTCTCTTCATTTTTCTGGAATTCTCATTAGATATATGACAAACTTTCTCAATGTACCCTTTAAGTCTCACAACTTTTTAAAAAATTCCCCATATTATTGTTTCTCTGTCATCATTTATAAGAGATATACAGTTTTATCTTTCAGCTTATTATTCCTTTTTTCAGGGGGCTGTAACCTGTTATTCAATGCATCCACTGATTTTCTTGTCAGTTTATTAATTGCATATTTGCATATAAAATATATATTTCTTTAGAAAAGTATCTACCTATTTTAAATAGTTACCAATACCCTTGTTATTTTTCATTCTATGTTTTATAATTTACACTTTTGAAAAATAATTCCTTACGGTTTACCTTGTAATTTCAATATGAGAAATTGTGTATTGTTCTTCTGACGCTCAATTATGATGGTTTACTCCCTCCTATGTTGGGTAATGTATTTTCTTATTGGGAGAACATATTTTGTGGAACACAATGTAAGCTTGGGGTTTCCCTGACTAAATAATTAGCGAATATTTGAACACCAGACCTGTATGAGAGCAGGCTACTAGCTATAAATTTTCTGTAAAGAGAATTATTAATATTTTCCCCTGTAGTCACCTTGAAAATTACCAATTTCTTGGTAAGATCTATTTTTTAGTGGATTTTTTTTCTACCCCATATCATCACTATCGGGGTACTCTCTTCAAGGGTCTAGGCCTGTTGGAAGAGTCTTAAGTTCACAACTTAAACTGAAGATTCTCAGGTATGTATTCTCAACCATTCATGGGGCTCAAAGGTTGGCCTCCACCTCTTCATGCTTTTAAAGTCATCTATAGCTCATGGCTCTACTTTCATCTGTGTGTTCATTTATCTATTTGTATGTTTCCTTTTGTTTTTTTTTTTACACTATTGAGTGCTAGTCTATTGTTTCTGGGTAAGAAACAAATTATAATTTATCTAGAATCTATTTTCATTGTAGCATTATATCATTTTTAAAGCACCTAGCTCACTAGCCTGCTAGTCAAAAGTGGAAGTGCTCCACTGTTTTGAGCTCTTTAAAGTGAGGGACTATGGTTTGTTCCGTTTTTTAATATTAACTTTGTTACAGTATGGTACAAGGAGTAATCAGAATGAGCTGAAATATGTAAGGAAATTTTAAAAAGTTTTCTTATGTTTTAAATTCACTTCATAAAAAGTTTAATTGCTTTATTAGAGTACAATTTACTGTACTTAACCGTACTTAGTAAGAATGTGCAATTTGGTAAGTTTTGGCATCTGTACACATTCACGGAACCACCACAATCTGGATAATGAACATATTAATTTCTCTTAAATGTTTCCTTATGTTCTTTTGTAGCTCTTACTTCTCACCACTCCTCACCCATCCTCAGGCAATCTCTGATCTGTTTTCTGTTCTCATATTTTAATTTAAATTTTCTAGAATTTTACATAAATTGAATCATCTAGTAGGTATTCTTTTTTGCCCGGCTTCATTCACTCAGACTAATTATTCTGAGATTCATCAACATTGTAGTTTGTGTCAAATTCATTTATGTTTATTGCTGAGTTGTATTCCTGTGTAGTTTGAGATATCTTTATATATGGTGGCACAAATCCTTTATCAAATTTATTATTTGTAAATATTTCCTCCCATTCTGTGGTTTCTCTCTTATTTGCTCGATAGAAGAGCAGGAGTTTTTAATTATAACGACATTAATGTAAGTAATTTGTCTTTTTGTGGATTATACTTCTGATATTATATCTAAAAAATATTACTTAACACAATATTCTGTTTTTTTATTCTGGAAGTTTTCTAATTTTAAATTTTACATTTAGGATTATGACTGAATTTGAATTAATCCTGGTATATGATACAAGGTATAAATTGAAGTTCTTTTGCTTGCATATGAATATGCAATTATTCCAGGGATATTTGTTGAAAGATATTATATCGTCTTACTTCTGGTGGTATAAAACTTTTATAATGGAAATTAAGGAGACTATTGTTTGCTGTGCATTCACATTATAGAAACTCTTGTTAGAGGATGACTGTTCCACTGAGGAAGATGTACATGTAGCTGAGTTGTTAAAAAAAAAAAAAAAAAAAGCTATGTTCATCCCAGAGGAAATGATGGAGAAGCCTATGTTAAAGAAATCAGAATTACAAATATTTCTTTCGTAATTTGGGTGTTGTATGTAGGTGTTTCATCCTAAGTTCAAAAAAACCAATTTCACATCCTTTTTTATTTTTTGAGACAGGGTCTCATTTTGTCACCCAGGCTGGGGTACAATGGAGTGATCACGGCTTGCTGCAGCCTCAACTTCCCAGGCTCAAGCAATCCTCCCACCTCAGCCTCACAAGTAGCTGGGACTACAGTTGTATGCCACCATACCTGGCTAATTTTTGGTATTTTTTTTTTTAGAGATGGGCTGTTGTGATGTTGCCCAGGCTGGTTTCTAACTCCTGAGCTCAAGCGATCCACTCGCCTCAGCCTCCCAAAGTGCTGGCTTTACAGGCACAAGTCACTGTGCCCAGTCCAATTTCACATCATTTTCAAGAATAAAACATCTTAACAACTGTATCACTTCCATTTAGAATTAAAATCACTTTGTAAAACTTGCTTTGTTTTCTGCATCTTATTCTAATTATTTATTATATACATCAGAAGACTGCAGCTAGTATCAAAGACAATTCTTTTACCTCACTCACCAACATCCACACTTTGCAAAACCATAGACTATCAGTCTACCATCATTCCATTTTAGTAATATGTGTCTCAGAGATGTTAAGTAACTGCTCTAGTCACATCACCAGTTAATTACAAAATAAAGATTAAAAGCCAAGTGTCCTATTTCTAGTATAATTCCCTTTTCTTCATACTACTTTTATAATCTAATAAAACATGTTTGATTAGCTCCTATCAGTCCAAGTAAAAATTGCAGAAGAAAAGTATTGGCTAAATAAGATTTTCTGAATATTCCTGAATTTTAAAATCATATAAAATCAATTTGATCTAAAAATTTTATTACTGTATGACTTTTATGATTATTTTAAAATATGTTTAATATATTTTTAATACATTCAGTTGTAACATTAACGATTATTTACTAATTATTTCAAGTGTATATTTTATACAAAGCAATACTTTAACTATATTAAGAAAGGTAGTTGCCAAATTAACCAAACAAGCAAATAAAAATGGTTTCTTAGGGATTCTGGTTATTTATTTTAAAATTTTAAATTATTCCACTATAATAGATTTCCCCAGCCTTTAATTATTGTGATGATTATTTAAATTAATATGAATGACACCATTTACTCAATGAGTACCAATGTGTGCCTACTGCATGCAAAGCTTTCTATAAGGCAATACAAATAATAATATCAAGGCTCTGTCCCTAAGGAGCTTACAGTTCAAAGACAGGTGAAATAAGTCCATAAGTGGCTGGTTTGCAATACAAACTGTAACTGACAAAAGAAAGGGAGCAAACGTAATGGAGGCTTTGAAAAGAGAAACTAATGAAGGCTTCATAATGAGTGAATTATTTATTTCTCTTTACCCTTAAATTCCTGTAGTGCAGTAGTGCATTATCTATACCGACTTGAGGAATTATTGAAAAATCTGTGATGTGATCAAAACACTAACAGAAACCAACCAACCAATGAGAGAAGAAATAGACTGTTGCTCTAGGCACCCTGCATTTGTGTAACACTATCTCTTCCACAAAATCTGTCCTCATAAGTCATTTAGAAGGCTTAATATTAGGGCTACTATCTTTAGGTTACACATATACCTTTTTCTGAATTTATCTCTCTCTCTTTTTTTTTTAACTTATAAAGAAAGCTTTTATAAAAGTATTAGGGGATATCAGTATTTAAAAATGGTATGATAGTACATGATTTAGTCCCAAATATTTCCTATGTCATTTTCTGGCTCATGATTTGGACCAGAAGTGTGACAAGCAAGGTATAGAGTTTCCTAAACTCTAAATATGGTTTAATTCCACAGATATTTTTTTCAACTCAAAAATGGCTTACTGAAACACAAAAATGATATTATTATATGAGTAATCTTAGACCCAATCTAATTTGTAAAAACTAAATTATTTACCAAACTTTAACACTTTATTACTAATAACAAAATTACATATGATTTGCTTCACAAATGTCAGAGATATGGACAGGAGACAGGAGGCAGGAGGCTGGGATTCCTGGTGAGGGCTCCACCTTCAAGCCTGGACTTGCGGCCCTAAATGTGAACTGGCATTCCTGTTTTCATGCCCAAATATTGTCTTTTGGCCTGCTATGCACTCCCCATCCTGTGCCCATATAAACCACAAACCCCAGGCTTCACAAGCAAAAGAGTGGCAGAGCTGCAGAGAAGGAGAGCAGAGGGGGAGTATCTGAACACCCAGAGTTCTGCTGTGGCTGAACTCCAGAAGATGATTATCTTCCCACTCCATCCCCTCTCCAGCTACCCATGCTGCTGAAAGCGACCTCCATCACTCAATAAAATCCCCATATTTACCATCCTTCAAGTCTGTGTGACCCGATTCTTTTTGGACACTGGACAAAAATTCGGGACACACTGGGTGCAGGAACCCAAAAAGACTGTCACACTGACTCTTCACTGAGCTATTTAACACTTAAGCCATTCCCGGATGGCAGGGCTAAAAAGGCATTGTAACACCCCTAGACACTGCCATGGGGCCGGAGCCCAAAACACTCACACTGGCTCCTGCACCCGCTCATTTGCATGCTCCCTCTCCCTAAGGAGTTTGAGCTGAATAAACAAGCCACACCACTGTCACACATCCATAAGAGGGTCAGGAAACTCCCATGTTATTAGAACACACCACTTCGGAATCACTCCTGAGACAGAAGAAAGGTGCCTGGAGAAGCCAGGAGAATGTTGTCCAGAGTGAAATCACAGTGGTCCAGTGTCAAGCACTCTGACTTGCAAACCTGCAAATGTATTTCCAATCAACATCTTGAAGGTATTGGGCCTACAGAAAAGATGTCAGTTTAGCCACCCTTAGAAAAGACTGATACATAAAGCCAAAAGTCAAATGCACTTATTTACAGAGGGTAACATATTAAGTGCTCAGGATACTCTTAACTTTTCTTCAGGACCTGTTGTTTCTTCATTTTATGGTAACTGAGAAATGGAGATTCTAATCGAAAAGCAAGAATGAGAAGTAACAGGAGGTAAATAACCAGATCAAGGAAACGTCTGATTAAACATTTTTGTCTGCTCAATACGAACTTTCTGGTTATATAGAAATATTTTTATCATTTGATTCAGTGTCTCCCATTGGATGAAAACAAGAATGTTTCCTTTTCTGAGGTCAGGTTTTCTACATTTGCAAGTTGACTATTCTTTTATAAGTCAACATAATTTTATATCAGACTCCTCTCAAATCTGTGCTGGAATTCAATAACAAACAGTGCTTTATGAGAAAGTTTGATTCTTCTATAGAATATTGTACAATTGAAAAATATTTAACTGCATGTACATTATGGCCAATAAAAACAACCCATGGATACACTCTTGTTAATGTTCCTTGTGAAGATATTTCAGTGATTTTCTTTTTCTTTTCTTTTCTTTTTTTTTTTTTTTTTTTTTTTTTTGAGTTGGAGTCTCACCCTATTTCCCAGGCTGGAATGCAATGGCACAATCTCGGCTCACTGCAACCTCCGCCTCCTGGTTTCAAGCAACTCTCCTGCCTCAGCCTCCCAAGTAGCTGGGATTACAGGCACACGCCACCACGCCCAGCTAATTTTTGTATCTTTAATAGAGACAGGGTTTCACTGTGTTGGCCAGACTGGTCTGGAATTCCTGACCTCATGATCTGCCCACCTCGGCCTCCCAAAGTGCTGGGATTACAGGCCTGAGCCACCGTGCCCAGCCTCAGTGAATTTTTAAGTAACTGACCTCTTCATTTCTCCACATAACCTGAACCTGTTTACACTCACCTGTGAGTGCTAATGAAATATGAATTATTTTTAATAATTGGTCAGAAACAAAAATAAATCCAAATTTAACAGTAACAAAATAGTTTTATATTACAAAGCTAAAATACTTTGTCTTCTTTATCGTTTTTGCATTTATATTGTCAATAAGAAGAGTCAAACTCTGTAAAATATTTTTAAAAGTTTATTCGGAGCCAAATATGAGTAAGCCTGGCCTGTGACACAGCCCTGGGAGGTCCTGAGAACATATGCCCTAGGTGGTTGGGGTGCAGCTTGGTTTTACACATTTTAGGGAGACATGATGTTGCAGAATTTGCTCCTTAGTTCAGCTAAAACCAGGCTTTTGTCACACAACCAGGAAAATTTAGGCATGCAGACACACTGAAGGGTAAGTAGAGCACAATTTAATCAGGCAAAAAGAGAAAAAAATGGAGGAAAAAAAAAAAAAGCAAAGCAAGATGGAGTCCTGATTACAGGCCCCCCACCTCACAGATTGAATCCCAGGCCACTACATAGGGACTGAAGAGGCCAATGAGATTTCAATCAAATACATTTAATAAATACATTGGTTTGGTCCAGAAAGGTGGGACAACTGGAAATTGGGGGCTTCCAGGCTATAGGCATGTTTAAAATTTTTCTGGTTGACAATTGGTTGACTTTACTAAAGACTTGGGATCAATAGAAAGGAAATGTATGTGTTGAGATAAAGGATTGTGGAGATCAAAGTTCTTATTTGCCGAGGAAGCCTTCAGTTAGTAGGCTTCAGAAAGAATAGGTTGTAAGATGTTTTTTTATCAGACTTAAAGTATGTGTTGATGTTAATGATGGAGAGGTATAATAAGAGATGTCCAACCCCCACTTCCCATCATGACTTAAGTCAGTCTTTCTGGTTAAACTTGAGTGCTTTGGCTGAGGAAAAAGTCCGTTTGGATGGTTGAGGGGCCTTAGAATTTTATTTTTGGTTTATAATATATAACAATCTTTCCATTTCTTAACATATATAATAGAATATTAACTAAATTTCCTTTTTATGAGCTTAATGATGGTCAAAAAGAATGTCAGAAGCGCTGAAGAAATGAAGTGAATCACATAGCACTATTGTAGGAGCTCTGGGTCCATGAGAAAGCTTCGTGGGTTCAAATAAAGGTTAATCACTTAAAAGTTATGTGTCTTAGATGGATTTTGAAAGTTACCAAATCTCTGTAAGTTGTAGCTTCTTTATCTAATAAATGAAGATAATAATACTTCCATCATTGGGGTTATTAAAACTAAATATATATATGGAGAGAGAGGATGTACATAGTAAGCATTAAGAACTCATTGATACAAAACAGAATTTCCCCAATTTGCCTCCAATTTCAGATTTTAAATGTTTCTTTAAAGCCTTAAAGAGATAACATTCAGATGGCTATCAATTACTGAACACTTTAGTGTCTGTGGAAAAAAAATGCTTTCCTCACAACACAAATGCTTTAACCATAAGTAAGGCAAATTCCAGGAACAAATTTTATTGTATGTTTAATCTTCATTGATCATATAGTCAGTAATTCAGATAGAGATTAATGGTAAGCCATGGGAAAAAAATTGTGAGTGAACAATGTGTCCTGAAATCTCACTAATTAGTTTGGAAAAATAGAAGTTATTTTTACATTTAGTAACATGTATTTGTAAAAAAGCCTGAGGCACAAAGCATTCAAACACCTAATCCACGTTCCATTCTGATGGGATACATAATCACTTTGAACAAAAGAAACAAGCCATTTTGCAAAAGCCTAAATATTTAATTTCTGCTTCTCCTTCTAAAGAGAAATAATTCCCAGCACTGAGTATTTGTATATGCATCACTTAGTTATGGGATAATCTTCAATTGAGCAAAAATGTAAGCTCTTAGAAAATGATTAAATGAAAAGCGACTATGAAACAAAGGAAAGAGGAATAGTGGAGAAAAATAAATGAAAGAATTTCATTTAATCTTACCTTTCAAAGTCTACTAAATCAGTATTCCTGAAATTCTTTAATCATCAGGGTAGGTAATTTAGAATCCAAAATATGATGTTCACAGTGACTCTTAACAAAATATTAAGCCCATTCTTTAACTTAATGTGGAAAAACAAAACCAAAGCCACCATATCTATAAAACCAAAACAAAATCTAATCTGATAGATTAGCTCAATAGAACATAGCTTTCAGAGACTTCTCTACAAGTATGTTCTTAAATAGAAGAAGCATTTTATTCCTCTTGGAGCCTTTCTCATAGTTTTAGCTTGACACTCCTGAATCTTTTGATTCCTATAAGCAGCTCTAATTTTACCTTCAAAGGCAGATCAAACAAGTCTCCTTACTCCAATTTACTCTGTTTCTCTTACTGATAGATGCTTTGAAACAAAGATTTGTGATCATGCTGTCATTATTGTCTCTGACTTTTAAGACGTGATTTTATTGTCTATAATAGGAGTCAAAAGATATCATCTGACTAAGATCAAATTTTTTCTTTTTCTCTATACTTAATTTTATTCCATAAATAATCTATGAAAGAAAAGCTTTCAAGTTTGCCACAAGTCAGTGCTATTACATAACATTTTTTTTTGAAACAGGAAAAGGGTAATTTAATTGAATATGAAAATTTAAAGCAATAAATGGACTTCACTAATGATCACATTGTGAAGAGAAGAAGCAGCAGTATCTATTAAAAACCAACTCCGGCCAGGTACAGTGGCTCATGCCTGTAATCCCAGCACTTTGGGAGACAGAGGCAAATGGATCATGAGGTCAGGAGTTAAAGACCAGCCTGGCCAACACAGTGATATACCCCCGTCTCTACTAAAAGTACAAAAATTAGCTGGGTATGGTAGCATGAGCCTGTAATCCCAGCTACTCAGGAGGCTGAGGCAGAATAACTTGAACCTCGGAGGTGGAAGTTGCAGTGAGCCGAGACCACACCATTACACTCCAGCCTGGGCAACAGACTGGGGACTCTGTCTCAAAAAAAAAAAAAAAAAAAAAAAAAGAACCAATTCCATTCCCCATTATTCCCCATTGCCTCACTTCTCCTCATCTTTAGCTACCTGACCCCTCCTCTCTTGCTCTTCTTTCCCTGCCCCACATTAACCAAAACCCCAAAAAACATCAAGGTCTCTTCATCCCTATCCCTATCTTACTGAGCCATACATTCGTCTGCCTTCTCTCCACCCTAGCATCTTCCCAGACCTTTTCTCCATTCTTTTTCCCATGTAGAACAATTTTGTTCTCTCTGCTTTTCCAATTTAGTAGACAGAGAATTCACCTTTAAAGAAGGGATTATAAACAACAGACAATATTATTCTTTCTGAGACATTGTTAGACACCAACGATGTCTTCTGATTTTAATAAAATAGTGAATACAATTATACTACCAGAAAACCTAATTTCATTAAGAAACAAGTAGTTAAATATATACTGTGGATATTACTCTCTTGATCGGGCAGGAACAACTCATACCCTCTACAGGCCCCCAAGTTCTGTTGGGGCATTACCAAAAGTATGCCTCAGAAAAGCCCACCGATCATTCAATATCAGTTTCCATGTTAAAATCACAGTATACTTCTACTTTTTCTTCCATTTGTGACAAGCTCTACAAGCTGCTTGAAGAAGATGTATCAATATTCCTGTCCAGCCAGAGTAAGCATCATGAGGATACCAAATTCCATGGCAAAATTAGTCTCTCTGGATATTCTCAAAACCCCCATTAGATGTCAAAGAAGTACTGGCCTCCATGTATAACTACTGTGAAATTAAGAAGATCCACTGGGATGTTAGATTTATGATTCGCAAAATACCTAATTTATTGCCTCATTTGGTTTTATATCAGCCCTTTGATGCTGTAAACAGGTTAAAGTGTATTAAGTGTATCTCCCAAGTTCACAGAATTATTAAATCATGGGGAATAAGACTCAAACCCTGGTTTTTCTTTCCAATGTTTCTGTTGTTTTTCACTTTTGAATAAATAAACTAAAAAACTTTATTTGTAGATTAATGCTTTTTGTGGCAGCTACCTTAGCAAAGTTGTCTAAGAAAAAATTAGTAGGCATTGATAATTTTAAGTAATAAAATAAGTACATTATATAAATTCAAATCTGTCAGGAAAAAAAAGTTATTGATGCCAATAGTTGATAAACTATTTTGCCAAAGTAGCATTTCCTCTGACTTGCCAATATGCCAAAATTTTTGAAAGTAATTTCATAAAATCACTATAATTGTACCTTGTAGTTCAGAGTAATAGTTTTAAATAAATATAGATTATTTAAATACATTGTTACAATAAATAATTTTAACAAATCAAATTATTACAAATTATTTAATACCAATATAAATGATACCTTGTCATTTGTAAAATATATGGAGAACTCAGAAAAATAAACAACACAAAAACTAAAACTCACAATGATTCATCACCTAGATATGAAATATGACCTAAACTTTTTGAGATACTTTTTAGCCAGGAATCAATGATACAAAAGCATTTACATGAACTAATACAATCCAACAACAGAAATGAAACCTTAGGACTGCTAAAACAAACATACAAAAAAGACATTAGAGAGAGAAACTTTGTTATTTAATATCTCAGTTGGATAAATGGTAATTTATAGAGGGAATAGCAAATTTAGATTAACTTCCAGATTGTAAGTATCACAGAACGAATGCCTATTGCACTATTTATGGCAAATTAAAAATCAGTTGTCTAAAATAATGAGCTATTGAAACAAAAAAGTGTTTTTTCCCCCTGGGGATGACAATCGAGAATTTAGGGGAAGGGGAGAAAGAAAAGAAAGTGAGCCCCATTTATGATAACAGGTAAGTAGGTAGCTGTATATGTATGGCAACACACAGGAAGCATCGACTGCTCAAAAAGAGTCTCCCACTGGCTTGTCATATGGTCTGAAATCCCACTGTTAGAAATTATGCTTGGAGGTCTTAAAGGTCTTAAATAAATTTTCATACTCAAATAGAAGTATCTTGGAATGTAACAATTTAGCTTTGATTAGTCAATTTTATGGGGGACTTGGATTATTTAGTGAGAACCAGTCAAATAACGTTGACGCAGAATATCAATAAAGAGGGAGATTGCCTTGAGAAACAAGTAGGTAAATAATATTTGACATAGTTTAACTATTACCTCAAGTCTGTTCTTTGAGCTCAATTAATCAATGTGATAATACCTATAGAACGTGTATGATGCGAAAGTCAAGATGTCAATAATCAGGAAGATCAAGAAACCCATAAGAAAATATCATACCTTTCTAAGAAATTTGCTTTCTTGTTGGAAAAATAAGACATACATCTGAAAAAAGTAACTTGCTGGTTCTAGACATAAACTGGTAATTTACACCAGAGTGCATGGATGAAAATGTCCTATAAGAATTGAAAGGCATATTTTTTTTGCCTGTATCTGGAACACTCCATTGGAAAACAGAGAAGCAAAAGTGATCTAATGTGAGTTCAATTTATTTAAATTGCAGAAAATTAAATTTTTTGTATGATCTGGAAAACTGTATACATATAAATATCAAGGTAAACACACAGAATAATATAGATATTTAGATATAGCAAAAGTGAGTGAGTGAGCAAGAAAGAAATTCCTTGTCATGAGTAATACCAAATGAGGTCCACCCCATTCTGCCATCTTAGTAAATTTTTCCTGCTCCTCTCTGATTCATAACTCTACTCCTATATGTTAATTCTTTTATTATTTTCTTTTGCTTTTATTGATACCTAATATTTATACATATTTATGGGGTATATGCAGTATTTTGTTACATGCATAAAATGTATCATAAATAAGTCAGGGAACTAGGATGTCCATCACCTTGTGTATTTATCATTTCTATGTGTTGGTAACATTTTAAGTTCTCTTTTCAAACTATTTTGAAATAATACATTGTTGTTAACTAAAGTTACCCTACTCTGTTCTTAAACATTAGAACTTATTCCTTCTATCTAACTCTATGTCTATACCCATTAACCAATGTCTCTATCTCCTGCTACATCCTTCCCTGCCTCTGGTAACCATCATTCTACTCTCTAACTCCATGAGATCAACTCTTTTCCCTCCTACATGAGTGAGCACATGTGATATTTACCTTTTTGTGCCTCACTAATTTCACTTAATGTAATGATGATTTTCAGTTCTATCCATGTTGTTGCAAATGACATAATTTCTTTTTTTAGGGCTGAATAGTATTTTATTGTGTATATAGACCATATTTTCCTTATCATTCATCCATTGCTGGACAATTAGATTGATTCCTTATCTTTCCTATTATGGAGAGTGCTGCAATAAACATGGGGTGTGCCAGTATCTCTTTCATATAATGATTTCCTATCCTTTGGATAAATATCCAGTAATGGAATTGCTAGATTGTACTGTAGTTCCATTTTTAGTTGTTTTTGAGAAATCTCCATACTGTTTTCTGTAACAGCTTTAGTAATTTACATTTCCACTAACAGTGTGTAAGAGTTCCCTTTCACTTAATCCTTGCCAACATACATTATTTTTTGTACTTTTTATAATAGCCATTCTAACTAGGGTGAGATGATATTCTATTGTGATTTTGATTTGCACTTTCCTGATGACTAATGATCACATGACTGTTGGTCATTTTGTACATCTTCTTTTAAAAGTGTCTATTCATGCTCACTTTTAAATGTGATTAGTGTTTTGCTATTGAGTTGTTTGAGTTCCTTGTATATTCTCATTATTAGTCCTTTGTCAGAAGAGTAGCATCCAAATATTTTCTCCGATTCAACCAGTTGCTTCTGAACTCTGTTCATTGTTTTCTTAGCTGAGCAGAATCTTTTAGCTTAATATAGTCTCATTTGTCTGTTTTTGTTTTTTGTTGCCTTGGCTTTTGAGGTCTTTGACATAAAATCTTATTTTTAGAAGACTATTCTGAAGTGTTTTCCCTATGTTTTCTTCTAGCAGTTTTATAGTTTTTGGTCTTACATTTAAGTGTTTAATTCATTTTCAGTTTATTTTTGTATAAAGTGAGAGATAGGGGCCTACTTTCATTCTTCTGCATATGGATATCCAGTTATACCAGCATCATTTACTGAAGAGGATGTCCTTTACCTATTGTATATTCTTGGCACTTTTATCAAAAATAAGTTGGCTGTAAATATGTGAATTTCTGAGTGCTCTCTTTTCTTACATTGGTCTGTGTGTTTGATATCATGCTGTTTGGGTTACTATAGCCTTGTAATATATTTTGAAATCAAATTGTGTGATGCCTCCAGCATTGTTCTTTTTGTTTAGGATTGCTTTGGCTATTCAGGCTCTTTTGTGGCTTCACACAAATTTTAGGATTTTTTTTACATTTCTGTAAAGAAAGTCATTGGTATTTTGACAGGGATTGCATTGAATCTGTAGATTGCTTTGTATAGTATGATCATTTTAATTATATTAATTTTCCAATTAATGGGCATAAGATGTCTTTGCATTTATTTATGTCTTAATTTATTTCATCATTGTTTTGTAGTTTTCCTTGTAGAGATCTTTTATCTCCTTGGTTAAATTAATTCTTAGGTATTTTTTGTAGCTATTATGAATGGGATTGCCTTCTTTCTTAATTTGTCTTCAGCTAATATATTATTGGTATATAGAAATGCTACTGATTTTTGTATGTTAATTTTGTATCCTGCAACTTTACCAAATTTATGTATCAATTCTATGAATTTTCAGGGAGAGTCCTTAAGTTTTTCTAAATATAAGATAATGTCAACACTGAAGCAGGAGGATTGCTTGAGTTCAGTAGTTTGAGACCAGCCTGGAAACATGGAGAGACCTGTGTCTACAAAAAATACAAAAATTAGCCAGGCATGGTGGTGCATGCCTATAGTCTCAGCTACTCAGGAGGCTGAGGTGGGAGGATTGCTTGTGCCTGAGAGGTGGAAGTTGTGGTGAGCCAAAATTTCCGCACTGCACTCCACGCTGGGTGACAGAGTAAGACCTTGTCTCAAAAAAAAATATGTATATATATATGTATGTGTGTGCGTGTGTGTGTGTATATATATATATAAAATATATGTATATTATACATAATATATATTATATACGTATATATAATATATACGTATATATTATATATAATATATATTATATATTATATATATTTTATATATATATATATATATATATATTCTGCAAAGAGGGACAAGTTGACATCTTCTTTTTTTATTTGGATGTTTTTATTTCTTTTTCTTGCCTGGTTGCTCTTACTAGGACTTCCAGTACTATGTTGAATAGAAGTGGTCAGTGTGAACATTCTTGCCTTTCTTTGGTTCTTAGAGAAAAAGCTTTCATCTTTTCACTATTCAGTATGATGTTAGCTGTGGATTGACCATATATGGCCTTCATTATACTGAGGCATGGTCCTTCTATGACTAGTTTGTTCAGAGTTTTCATCACGAAGAGATGTTGAATTATGTCAAATGCTTTTTCTGCATCTATGATCATATGGTTTTTGTCCATATGAGGTGTGATGTATCACATTTATTGATTTGTATATGTTGAACCATCCTTGCATCCCTGGTATAAATCTCACTTGATCATCATATGTTACCTTTTTTATGTGGATTTTCATCACCTTTTCTATAGGGTTTGCTAGTATTTTGGTTACAACTTTCGCATCTATGTAAATCAGGGATTTTGGTATGTAGTTTTCTTTGTTTGCTGTGTCATTGTATGCTTTTGGTACCAGGGTAATCTTGGCTTCTTAGAATGAGATAGGGTGAAGTTCCTCCTCTTCAAATTTTGGAATAGTTTGAGCATTGGTGTTAATTCTTGTTTATATGTTTGGCAGAATTTGGCATTGAAGCCATCCAGTCCAGGGTTTTTCCTTCAGGGTAGAGACTTTTTATTACTGATTAATTCTCATTACTCATTACTGGCCTATTCAAGTTTTCTATTTATACCTAATTCAATCTTGGTAGATTGTATGTATGCAGGAATTTTCTGTTTTCTCTAGGTTTTCCAGTTTGTTAGCAAATAGTTGTTTATAATAGTCTCTGATGATCTTTGTATTTCTGTAGTATCAGTTTAATATCTCCTTTTTCATTTCTAATTTTGTTTATTTGAATATTTTTTATATTATTCTTGGTTAGACTACCTAGTAATTTATCAATTTTATCTTGTCAAAAATATAATTTTTTTATTTTATTGATCTTTAGTATTATTTATTTGCTGATAGTCATTATTTTTCTTCCAGTGATTTTAGGTTTAATTTGTTTTTGGCTATCTAGCTCCTTGAGAGACATTTTTAGATTTTTTTTTATGTAGGTATTTATCTTAGCACTGCTTTTCCTGTATTCCATAGGTTTTAATTTGTTGTGTTTCCATTTTTATTTATTTCAATAAACTTTTTGATTTTCTTCTTAATTTATTAATTGGCCCAGCGGTGATTCACAGAGAAAGATTTTTAATTTCCTTGTATTTGCACAGTTTTTGAAGCTCCTGTGGTTAGTGATTTCTAGTTTTATTCCACTGTGGTCTAAGAAGATAGATGATATAATTTTTAGTTTTAAAAATTTCATTGAGACTTGTTTTGTGGCCTAACATATTATCTATCTTGAAGGATATTCCATGTGCTGATGAGAAGATTGTGTATTCTGCATCTGTTGGATAAAATGTTCTGTAATGTCTGTTAGGTCTATTTGCTCTAAAATCTAGTTTAAAATCAATGTTTATTTGTTGATTTTACATCTAGACCATCTAATGCTAAGAGCAGGACATTGAAATCTCTGACTGTTATTGTATTGAAGTCTATCTCTTCTTTTACATCTAATAATATTTGCTTTATGTGGCTGGGTGCTCTGGTGTTGAATGCATATATATTTAGAATTATTTTATTCTCTTGCTGAATTGATACCTTTATATAATGACCTTCTTCATCTCTTTTTATTATTTTTGACTTAAAGTTTGTTTTATCTGATATAGGTATAGCTACTCCTGCTAACTTTTGGTTTCCATTTATTTGTACGGAATTTTTTTTTTGTATTCCTTTTCTTTTAGTCTATACGTGTCTTTACAAATGAATTGAGTTTCTCACAGATAGCACGTTGTTGGGTCATGTTTGTTTTAATCCATTCAGCCAGTATGTATCTTTTATGTGGAAAATTTAAATTTGTTTATATCCAAGGCTATTATTAATATGTGAGAACTTATTCCTATCATTTTAAAAATTGTTTTCTTATTTGTTTTGTATATATTTTCTTTCTTCTTTTCTTATTATCATTGATTTTTAGTGGTAATGCTCGAGTCATTGTTCTTTTTAATTTTGTCTTTGCTGTACCACTGAGTTTTGTCCCTTTCTGTGTTTTCACAATTATAGATATTGTTCTTTCATTTCCAGGTGTAGGTATCCCTTAAGTATTTCTTGTAGGGCCAGTCAGGTGGTGATGAATTACCTCAGTTTTTGCTTGTGTGGGAGAGACTTTATTTCTCCTTCATTTAGGAGGGATAGTTTTGCTATGTGTAGTATTCTTGGTTAACAGGTTTTTTTTCTTTCAGCACTTTTATTATATCATCCTGTTCCTGTCTGGTCTGTAAGGTTTCTGTTGAGAAATCCAATATTTGTCTGACGGAGGTTCCCTTTTATATAACCAGATGCTTTTTTCTCTTGATATTTTTAGAATTTTGTTATTGCCTTTGATTTTTTGGCGTTGAATTGCTTCAGTGGCATCTATGATTTCCTCAGTGGCTTAGCTGCAATTTTTAGTGATGGCTGTATTGAGGCTTTGCTGAGGATAAGGACGCCAGGTAGGTCAGACCTCAGGCTCCATGAGGCCAGTGGTGAGCCAACTGTGTCTATCCTTGGGCTTCCATGGGGGCATACATGGGCAGTGGTGTTAGCAGGTACAGGTGAGCTAGCTCTTGGGCCTCCTGGAAGCTCACTCATGTGCCAACAGTGGCAGGGGTCAAGGAGATGAGTGGGCATATCCTAGGGCTCGTGAGCTGCATGCCTAGAATGGGCAATGGTAGTAGTGATGGTAAGGCACTCTTGGGCTCCTAAGCTGCACTCATTAGTGTTAGTAGTGTCTATTGTGGGCTGGGAAGGTCAGTACCCAAGCCCCTAGATGGTATGTGCAGGTTGGTGCCACCAGTGGTGTTGGTTGGAGGCATTTTTGGATGTCTCAAATATAAATTCCTTAGGCCCTTCCTCAGGTAACCAGGAGAAGTACACAGATGCCAGTGGTGATAGGCTGGAAAGGGCAATCCTCAGTCTCTCAGATGACCTACTCTGACACTGAAGGTGTAGTGCCAGGCCAGGCAGGCCTGTCATGAGGCCCCTCTGTGGTGCATAATGGCACAGGCTATGGTGGGTAGGGAAGGGAGATCCATAGCAGTGGGTAGGGAGAGGCTTTCCTCAGGGTACATGCAAATGCTCAGCAGCCCTGCTGTTGGGGGACAGGGTTGCAATCAGTGGGAGTATCCCCAGGCAGGCAGGTGGCTTTCAGACTATGGAGAGCATGTACTTTGGCCCCCTGCAACAGCAGCAGGAAGGGTACACAGGGAAAGCCTGTCTTCAGGAAACATGCTAGTGCTCAGTGGCCCTGCTGCTGTGGGTGGGGACAGGGTAGTTGGGGAGCAGCCCCAGGAAAGTGACTCTCAGAATCTAGGTAGCACAAACTTGGTTTCCTTTGTTTTAGGGGCAGCTTCTTTGTTGCATTGCCCTGTCTATTCCCTGGGGTGTAGGATTCTGTGTGGGCTAGAGTGCTGGGGCCTTGCCACTGCCAGGTCCAGCCAGTGTTGTGCCACTACAGCCCTCCCAGGTGAATACAGGGTAATTTCAGTGGGGTTCCAAGAATGTGGAGGTTCTAGGGCTGTTGGGTCCCAAGGCATGATATAATCTAATTGGGCTAGGCTCTCAAAATGGCACTGCCTTGCAGCTTCTTAGGTCTCAAGGTGTCTGTGGGACCCAGCATAAGCTCCCTCCATAGAGCAACGCTGTTATGCAGTATCTGGTGGCTCCCTTTGCAAGTCTCAGGACCAGCAAAGGATGAGGGGTTTTCCCGTGGCTAGGGTTGCAGGAGACCCTGGTGGGAATGTGGACCACTGAGGCTCTCTCATTTACCCTTTCTCCACACAGGGGAGCCTCTTTGGGTTCTCAGTCAATCCAGGCAAAGTTGGCTGCCTGGCTTCCCATTCCTTGCATGTATCAGGTTTCCTGTCATTTCTCTTTTGAATTTCAGTATTATCTGTTAGATGTTCTATTCAAAATGTAATTGTCTCTTCCCTATTTTTTTACTTCTTTGTGGAGGAAGCAAGTGCTGGATGTTTCCAGTCAACCACCTTGTTCCTTCCCCTCCTATTAATTCTATTTTGTTGCAACACTGTGCATAATCTGTAATGCAGGTGCAATGTCCTAATATGTTATTTTATATAGTTTTCCCTAAAATTTCTCTCTGATAGGAAATTTTCCCCCTTCTATTAAAGCACTTTCTTGGCAATAAGAACAAACAAACAAACAAAAACCTTCTATTAGCTGTTCTGCCTCCTCTACCAGAACATGAATAAATAAGTCCAGCTGATGTGTCAATAATCATGATTTTTGGATGCCTCAAATATAAATTCCTTAGGCAAAAATCAGAATGGGCTCATCTAAGTTGTCTTTTTGCATTTTGGAAACGTATTACCAAAGGGAGAGCAACAGAGCAAGTCCACTGATGACAGTTTTTCCATAATCATTTTACACCAAGGTCAGATAGGTCCGGATAAAAGTACACTGGTCTAGACCGACTTTTCTAGTTTAGAGCCAGAATGAAATGATATCCTCTGCCCTCTTGCCCCATGGGAATGTGGTTTTTGAAAGAATAGATGAGTCCTGTGTTTCTTAGGCCTTTCAACCTATTATATTCTTGTCCTTCTGCTGTGAATGCTACTTTAATTCTAACATGCTTCCCAAATCATATATCCTTATAGGTAACAACAAATAAATGTTATTACTGTTGTTGCCTGTGAATGTCAGCTCTGTTGAGCATCTGAAACTAAGAAAACAGTTGATTGTATTTTAAAGCAGTAAAAAGGTAAACTGGCACCCTATGTATCTCAAAACTGTACTGGCACCTTCCTTTCTATTTCCCCCTATCACAATAGGTATAAATCACTATTGCCTAGTTTAATCAAATCCTATTCAAATATGCATTGCACAGAGTTTCAGAGATCTGATACATCTTATACAATTGAAACACTTCAGATCTAATTTCATCACTTTCATTAGAAAAACTAGTCATCGTAAAAGTGAAGTAAAATTAAACTATGATCAATAAGACCTGTTTTGGTATGGATAAAATGATCGGTGGTCAAAATAACAGACTTACGCAGCCAAATTCATCTGGAAGAGTTGCAAACTGTTTTTTTTCCAGCTATCTTTTTCCTATACTCTCTAGTCTATCTTTCTAATTGAAAACAATTAGACCATAGCGCAAACAAATCTCTAATTTAACTTTCATGGCATTTTATTCTTAGTACTGGATGGTTGGACCTGCTATTGCTACTCGAACTGTGAGACCAAAGGACATGGCAGGGACTGATTCTTGGTAGAAATGCAACATCTGCGGATAAACAAGTGTCTTGGCATTTTGTTTTATGAAAGAAACCCCAAACAAGCTAGATTCTCAGTGAGATCATATAAAGCACTGGCTGGCACACAAAAGATTCATCATCACACTTCATTTAACATGGAGGAGAAAGGTCTCTGGCCCTAAATTTATAATTCTGAAAATGCCAGGTTTTATCAAAAAGTTATTGCATGAACCTTTCTCCTATTTTCAAAGTGATGATATAATTCAATATTACTAATCAATAAAACAGAACTACTGATACATCCAACAGCATGGATAAATTTCAAATGCATTATGCTAAGTGAAAGAAGCCAGATTGACAAGGCTATATACTGATTCCATTTTAATAATATTCTTGCAAAGGCAAAATGATAGGAATAGAAAACAAAGCAGTGGTTTCAGGTGCTGGGAAGTGGAAGGGAGAGTGCTTGACTATCTGGAGGCAGAGAAGAATGTTTTGGAGTTATGGAACTATTCTGTGTCTTCATTTGTCAAAACACACAGAACTGGCACAAAAAGGTTAAATTTTACAGAATGTAAGTTACAGCTTAACAAGAAAGATAATCTCTGTTTCAATCACATGACTGAATCAAAGACTTAATCTCCACCCAGTGCTCTAAAAGGGAAAAGGAAGAGAGAAAGAGAGAATTTTACCACAACCGTTCTCCTTATTCCCTCTCCTGTGGACCCAAAGTGAGGCGAATATATCAGGGGACAGGTATAATGATAATAACGCTTCTTCATCGCAGTTGAAACATTATTTTTCTGTGCTTTGTAATACAGTAGCTAAGACACCACTTATGTCAAAGGACTAAAGCTGTCATATCTGAAGGAAAAGTTTAGTTTCTCCTTAGTGGTTTCATGTAATGTTGATGAAACAAATGTAATGCATACATAGAAATTAAAAAAAAATTCATAGCCCAAAGTCAGTAGCTCTACTGCATAATTTCTGATTATTTATAAAATTTAACAAGCACTCACTATTAAAAACAGAAACATATTAATTATTGTTTTCCCTAGTGAGATAATCATGGCAATGTTTTTTAGAAAATTTCCTACAAAATAAACATTCTTTTGTTTACCTTACAACTTAACATGAAATATGCACCAGCGTATCTTTAAAAAATATCTCCTGTGTAGGGTCATACTTACACAAAGAGGATGTTTTCTATGGAATGTCAGTCCCAGAAGGCAAGCTGCAATGATCTGGGAGGATCAAATATTGGAGGAGCGGGGAAGATAATAAAGCAATCGTATTTTGTCAGTCTCCTTGTGCTCACTCAAGAGTTTATTATAGCCTCGATGACACACTTAAATCAAATATTTTCTAAACCAAAAAACACATTACTGGATTTTTTAAGTGCTTGATTTTTAAATCATGTTTGTGGATTTTAGAAGGTTCATAAATTCTCTTAAATTGCATTTAAAATTTATTTTTGTATCTGTGTATATGCTTTTTGAGTTTTTGTTTGTTCCTGGGAAAATAATTCTTCATTCTTTTCAAAGAAGTTCAGAATCACTACTTCGGAAAGTATCAAGAGGTATTCACATTGTACACTGCCAAAAGATTAGCATTGCATTAGAAGATATCCAGAATATGGCAAGAACAGTATGTATGGGAGAGCTGGCATAATGGTCGTGTAGGCAATTATCCAGAGTCTGAACACAATCTTTCAATGCCTGAGCCACAGAAAAAATAAATGTAATGATGGTAGGCATTATGTAATGGTCCCTATCACACACACACTCACACACACACACAAACACACACACACATACGATAAGAATCATTTTACATATGTCCTTCTTTTCCTGTCCTTTTATCCATAAGTGTTAGATTAAGTTATAGTATGTGTAGGGCTTATATTGTGATACCCAGTGATCAATTTATTTCTGTACCGTAACGGTCTTGGAAATTACATTTGAAAAATATCAAATTAATTTTAGATAAAATAATGCTTAAGATAAAAGGACCCTTTATACCTTCAATAATTTATGACATAGTTGGATAACATCTACTTAGGATGGTGCTGCATGCTTGATGGAGGCTTAGAAATAGCTTGTTCAGCCATGTGGGAGGTTGAAGTAGGAGAACTGCTTGAACCCAGAAGTTTGACGCTGCAGTGAGTTATGATCACACCACTGCACTACAGCATGGATGACAAGTGAGACCTTGTGGAAGGAAGGAAGGAAGGGAGGGAGGGAGGGAGGGAGGGAGGAAGAAAGGAAGGAAGGAAGGAAGGAAGGAAGGAAGGAAGGAAGGAAGGAAGGAAGGAAGGAAGGAAATAAGAGAGAAATAAAAGAGAAAAAGAAAAAGAAAGCAAGCTTGTTCAATTTCCCAAGAATTATGCTTTTATTCTAAAACATACAGAGCCCAATAAATAACAGACACTGCTCTCAGTCTGAGTTCTAAACCATTTGTTAAATGATAAAAAGAATTCATATGTATAAAGAGCAAAATATCATTGATTACCAGTGAAAATTTGGTAATCAATTAGGTAAAAAAAAAATTAGGTAAAAATATAGGGCATAGCAAAGATGTATGTTGTAACAGTGGACTTTCTAATATCAAATGGCATAATTTGATAGACATTTCCCCCACTGTACTCCCAATCACAGGCAATGCTATAAAATCCCTCCACAACTCCCTTGTTTATGAAGCATTACAATTAAGGCATGGTGTTGCAGTACAGAATCTGTGTTAGTTAAGCTGAAGGGAGGGAGAAAAAGACTGTACACTCTTTATCCTCCTAACTCATCAGTAAAGTAACTCTCTTTTCCTTCCCTGGAAGAAGCCAGGAGTGTTACAGAAATGTAGACCCCTCTACATGAAGGGAAACGTGTGTGGTAACAGTGTTGTCTTCTTACAAGAAAGGGTCTTATGAGCTCAGAGGCTATTTGTTAGCACCAATCCATGAAGAGATGGGGTTACCAACACAGCTGTAGATCCTAGCTGTGCCTTCTCCCAGCACATTATTTCCCAAATATTTGTGGTAGCAGGAAGAGGAGGAAGCAACTCTAACCCCAGAGCAGCTGAGTTAGCTACAATCACCAAGTACAGCCACGTCTCCTGGGTTTTGAATGATTTGAGAGAGCAGCTGCTATCTTATTCTAACATTGGTATAAGAACATGGGTTTAAGGGAAAATCAAGCAGGTTTTCTTCTTTTTAATTCTCTAAAAAGACCTTGTAGCTAACATCTTCCTAAGCTTCAAGTAAGGGGGAGGGGAATTATGTCCTTCAAATTGAATTAAAAATAGTGGATTATTGATCTTCCTATAAACATTTTTCTAATATTTGAAAATATCTGCCATTTTCCATCATAATGTTTAACCTGAGCATTGCTTCTTACATTTGAACCTATGACTTTATTGTTCTTCCTTGGTTACCAAAGTGAACAAATTTTCTTTTTCCTTATCAGCTCAAAAAAATAGTAATTTACAGGCTTGTAGATTGCTATCACGTATCCTGTAGATATCTACTTCCTATGCTCATATCATTTTATGTTGTACTTTCTGTGGTCATAAGAGGTCATATAAACTTTGTTAAGCATGTGTGGTAAAATACTATATTTAGAAATACTAAATTTATTTCCCAAGGCTTCACATTGCTATCTGATTGTTGGTGATGGTGAGTTTAGTGTCACACTTAAGTAGATTTTTGTCATAAATATTGTACAGAGTAAAAGAAATCATAGATACAACCTAGATCCAGAAATGAAAGTGAGGATACCAGAAATCAACAGAGAGCTCTCCAAATTATTTTTGATTTCTGTTTAATCAATCCTGTAAGATGATATTCAATGGATACCTCAGCACTATTGCTTTAAGGAATACAAAGGTTGAAATAGAAGACCAAAATCAGATAGAAGGTGATTAAAAGATTGCATTAAGGTTCTTAGCCAAAGTTCGTACAACAAAGATAGTGCCAGTCCAAGTAATCATCTACCTAAGCAAAACCAGACATCCACCCAGGAGTTTTCTTAGACTATTTCTTGAGGATCCTATCAGTGAATCCAGTGTCCAGCTACAACCCCTACCCCTTTCCTTCTAAGTCAAACATTAGCGTCATGCTGGCTCATGGAACTTGAACAAATTAAAGATGGATCTTTAAAATCCTTAGTCAGACAAATGTTTCTAATTTTAGAGAGCTTAGCAAAATGATAAAATTGTGAAAATGTGCAAAGCTAAAGTAATCACTATTGGTTATAATTCAGAGAAAGAAGAATAACTTTGACAACATATTTTATCCTAAGGGGTAATAATAAAAAGTAGTATAGATAAAAATTCCAACTTCTTATTTTAATCCCAAAACCTCCTTAGTCTATACATTTAAATTATTTTGTAAGAATATTTGTAAGAAATAGCTCTCATGCAATTGTTTTTTGGACCAAAATATAAAATCATATATGAAGATTCTTGTCTAAGTCATGCTTTTGGAAAATAAAGAAAACAATATGTTACATAACAGTAAGTTAGAATTAATCTATTAAATTAATTGTATTAGAATAGCTAGATGGCAGGAAAACAGGAAAGATCCTTGCCAGTTTGGATAGCATAAAACAAACCTATCACAAGGACCAAATTGGAATATGGATCCTCCAAAATAGAAATCCTGGGTTTCAGATAAGCTGAAGTACGAACAGTCTAAGTCTTTCCAACATTCAGATCACATTTGAAATATAGGAGCCCGCTATGGCATGGCAGAACTAACTTGTGAGTGCCAATTGTTCAATGTTCAGAATTGTTCAAAACCATTTAATGTTACTTTGGTATCTTGAAATAGGCCAGAATAGAACTACGTACATAAGGAAAATCTCTAATGCTAAAAATCAGAGCCATTTTACTTTCCTTTCAAAGAGCTGGTTATTAAATATTTACTCACATAAAAATAAGAATATCCTATCCTAAAACAATTATTATATCCATTAGAAGGTACCATGATCTCTACAACAAACAACTACATTAAATAGCTAAAATACATATTTTGGTTACCTGAAAAAGGAATATTATGTTCTATCTTCAATACCAGACCTAAAATAAGCCCCATTAAACCAAAGAATGGTAGTAAATCATGTAAGAATACAATTATAAAACGATCTAAATGTGTTAGAAAATAGTTGGCTCTAACTGAAATAGGATGAATGGTACCCAGTGGGAATATAAATAACACACTGTGGCAATGTTGCAAGACTTTACTTGTGTTCCTCCCTCAGGGTTGATGAAAATGTGAAAAACAAATACACCTGCGGATGAAACTATTTGATTTTAC
The DNA here is from genome assembly GCF_000001405.40 of Homo sapiens. Lineage (NCBI taxonomy): Eukaryota > Metazoa > Chordata > Mammalia > Primates > Hominidae > Homo > Homo sapiens. Next base: position 140,283,332 of record NC_000006.12, on the reverse strand, counting down.
TGTTGTTAGAAATTAACTAATGCTGAAACCAAGGATTGCTTTATCTGGATTTTATCTTAAATGTGACAGAAACAAAAGATGCTTTGTAAAGTAAAAATAGTAGAAAGTTACTAATGTGTAAGAATAGTGGCAAAGAACAAATATGGCAGTGTTGACTCTCTTAAGACAAGTCAGTTTCTTACGATAGGTCATAAGAATTATGCAGAAATATTTCATATCCCAAAAGAAACCAAGAAAATACTAGGAGAGCTTATAACCTAACAGATTATGCATACTATAAAATAATGAGTAAAAAGTAAAGTGTTATTTTATTAATGTCAACTGAACTGCCACATATAAGTGAAATGAAAGCCTTTCACAAATAACAAATATATCTATCAAAATAAGAAAATACTATAGAAGAGCACATTTTTATTCCCTTTTAAAGTTATGCCCTTAGGAACAAACTCACTTATAAATAGAATAAAATCTATCTTGAAGAGGAAGTAAAATATTGCAGGAATAGCATACACTTTGAATTAGTAGATAATAGATTCATTGTTAGGTGCCTAGGAACAAACTATATAAACTATTATTTTATTCAGATTCTATGAATAAATTAGTAGATAACAGATTCACTGTTAGGTGCCTAGGAATTAGTAGGTAACAGATTCATTGTTAGGTGCCTAGGAACAATCTATATAAACTATTCTTACATTCAGATCTATGCCTACAATATTTTACTAGAGGCCATTAAATTAGTATTTATTTTGATAGTTTAAGGAAATCAGATTATTATTATTATTATTATCATTACTATTATTATGAGACAGAGTTTTGCTCTTGTCGCCCAGGCTGGAGTGCAGTGGCACGATCTCAGCTCACTGCAACCTCTGCCTTCCTGATTCAAACGATTCTCCTGCCTCCGCCTCCTGAGTAGCTGGGATTACAAGTGCCCACCTCCACGCCTGGCTGATTTTTGTATTTTTAGTAGAGACAGGGTTTCACCATGTTGGCCCAACTGGTCTCGAACTCCTGACCTCAGGTGATCCACCTGCCTCAGCCTCCCAAAGTGCTGGGATTACGGGCATGAGCCACCAAGCCCAGCCCAGATTATTTTCATATTAATAAAAATGAAATAATAACAGAAAAATAAGCAATACAGAAAAGCATAAGGAAATGGATAAAAATGATTCCAAATCTCTTCAGGTGGAGATAATAGTCACTATGTTTTCATACTTTTTTAACGCACATGTACATACATATGTGCTTTTACATAAATTACTACATATTGTTTGTTCATGTGGGAATGTAATTACAAGCAGTTTCTAAACATTAACTAAAGTCCATAGTTCACATCAGGGTTTCCTTTTTGTGTTGTACAGTTCTATGAATTTTGACAAATGTACACCATATATTCACCATTATAGTATCATGCAGTGTACTTTTACCAGCCTAAAAATCCCCTTTCACATATGCATCTGTCATTTCTTCCCCCAACCCTTGAGAAACCACTGAACTTTTAAATGTCTCCATAGTTTCACCTTTTCCAAAATGTCATATAACTGGAATCATAGACTAGGTATGACTATTTGCTTCTTTCACCTAGAAATATACATTTAGGGTTCCTCCGTGTCTTTTCATGGCTTGGTAGCTCATGTGTTTTAATTGTTGTACTGTTGTACTCCTGTTTATTTACCCACTCACCTATTAAAGGAATATCATTATTGCGTCTACATTTTGGCAATTATTAACAAAACTGCTATAAATATTCATGTGCAGAATTTTATGTGGATACATGTTTTCGACTCACTGGGGTAAAAACCTCTGAGTTCAATTACTGGAATGTATGATAAGACTATGTATAGCTTTGCAAGAAATTACATGACTGCCTTCTAAAGTGACTATGCCACTTGCATCCCTAAGCAATGAATAAGAGCTCCTGTTGCCCTGCACCATTACCAGCAGTTGGTATGTGTTAGTTTTACAGATTACAGCCATTCTACCAGGTGTGTAGTGGTTACTCTTTGTTTTAACTTAAAATTCCTTAGTGATATGTAACACTGAACATTTTTATATGTTTATTTGCTATTTGTATATCTTCTTTGGAGGTGTGTCTGTTCAGATCTTTTGCATATTTTTAAACTGCATTGTTTGCTTTCTTTTTTTTTTTTTTTTTTTTCTTGAGACGGCATCTCACTCTTTCACCCAGGCTGGAATGCAGTGGCGAGATCTCGGCTCACTGCAACCTCCGCCTCCCAGGTTCAAGCAATTCTCCTGCCTCAGCCTCCCAGGCACCCACCACCATGCCCAGCTAATTTTTGTATTTTTAGTAGAGGCAGGGTTTCACCATGTTGTCCAGGCTGGTCTTGAACTTCTGACCTCATGATCCACCTGCCTCAACTTCCCAAAGTGCTTGGATTACAGATGTGAGCCACTGCATCCAGCTGCAGTGTTTGCTTTCTTATTGTTGAGTTTTAAGAGTTCTTTGTATATTTTGGATACATATCCTTTATCAGATGTATCTTTTGCAAATATTTTCTCCCAGCCTGTGGATTCTCTTTTCACTCTCTTAGGAGTGTGATTGACAGAACAGAAGTTTTATTTTCAATGAGGTCTAAGTTTTCATTTTTTTTCTTTCATGGATAATACTTTTTGTGTTATACCCAAAAATTCACTACCAAACCCAAGATCACTTAGATATTTCTACTATATTATCTTTCAAAAATTCTATACTTTTCTAATTTTATCTTTATCTCTATGATCTATTTAAGTTAAATTTATAAAAGGTCTAAGGTCTATGTCTAGATAAATTTCTTTCTTTTGTGTGTGTGTGTGTTTGCTTTTGTTTTTGCACTTGAATGTCCATGTTATCTCACACCATTTCCTGGAAAGACTAAATTATTTTAAGTATTTGTGTGGGTCTATTTCTGAACTTTAATTCTGTTTTATTAATTTATTTGCCTATAATTTCACCAATAGCAGACTGTCCTTATCAAAGTACTTTTATAACAAGTCTTGCAGTAGGGTAGTGTCAGTCCTCTTATTTTTCTCTTCTTCACTATTGTTTTGACTAGTGTGTGTCTTTCCCTTTCCATATAAACTTAAATTAGTTTGTTGATATCCACAAAATAACTTGCTGGGGTTTTGAGTAAGATTGTGTTGAATCTATAGATGTAGTTGGAAAGAACTAACATTTTAACAATATTGAGTCTCTCTATTCATGAACATAAAATGTCTATTTTTTAGTTATTCTTTGATTTCTTTCAGGGTTGGTAGGTTTGTTCATATCAATCTGGTATATAATTTTTAAAATGTACATCTTAGCATTTCTTTTTCTAATTTTAAATTTTCATGCTAAAATAAGTCACATTGTGTTTTAAATTTCAAATTTCTATAACTCATTGTTGTCATGTACAAAAGGAACTGACTTTTGTGTATTAGGTTTGCATCCTACAACCTTGCTATAATCTGTTAGTTCCAGGAGTTTTCTTGTTGCTGTTGATTCCTTGGGATTTTCTACATGGACAAACATATTAGGTACAAATAAAAATAGTTTGTATTTTTTAGTTCTTTATCTTATTGCATTAGCTAATACTTTCAGTATTATCTTGAATAGGAATAGTGTTAGAGGACATCCTGGGTTTGTTCCTAATGTTATATGAAAATTATGACCATTGAGCATGATGTTAGCTATAGTTTTTTGTAGATTTTCTTTATCAACTTGAGGAATTTCTCCTCTATTCCTAGTCTGCTAAGGGTTTTTATCAGGAATGAGTATTCAACATTATCACCTGCCTTTTCAACACCTATTAATATTATCATCTGATTTTTCTTCTTTGGCCTATTGATACAATAGACTACATTATTTGATTTTCTAAAGTTGAACGGGACTTGCATACATGTAATAAATTCCACTTGGTTGTGGTGTATAATAGTTTCTATACTTTCTTGAATTTGGTTTGCTAATATTTTCTTGGGGATTTTGCATCAATATTCATGAGAGATATTATTCTGTATTTTATTTGATAGACATGAGCATATTCAGATGATTTATTACTCATTGGGTAAACTTTAGTAGGTTGTGCCTTTGGAGGAATTGGCTCATTTTATATAGGTTATCAAATCTGTGGGCATACAATTGTTCATAACATTCATTTATTATGCTTTTAATATCCATGGTATCAGTAGTCATTGCTCTTTTTTCATCTCTGACAACATTAATTTTTTCTCTCTTTTTCACTTGATTAGCCTGACTGGAGGTTTATGAATTTGAACTTTTCAAGGAACCAGGTCTTTGTGTTGTTGATGTTCTCTATTAATGTCTTGTGTTTAATTTTATTGTGCTATGCTCCAATGTTTATTATTACTTTTCTTCTGCTTGCTTTAGGGGTATATTGCCTTTCTTTAGATTGTTGGTTTTAGATATTTCTTCTTTTTAAATACATACATTCAATGCTAAAAATTTCATTCTAAAGACTGCTTTTGCTAATCACACAAATTTCGATGTTCTATTTTCATGTTTATTTAGTTCAATATATTTTTAACCTATCTTGAGACTTATTCTTAATCCATTTGTTATTTAGAGGTATGTTTAATTGCTAAAGCAATTGGTTTTTTAAGAAAAGTAAAAATTATCAGTATTTACCTACAAAAGAAAATAACAAAGAATGCCAATCCTAAAAATGTCTTTAGTGAAATCTATCAAAACATCAAGAAACTGATAACTTTACTATGATAACTTTACTTCTAGAACATATGTAGAGAAGAAAATATTTCAAATTATATTTATGGAATGATTTTTAACATCAATATACAATGCAGAAAAATATAGTAATGAAAACTCAATGACATTTACAAAAAACTTCACAGTGTCAATTATAATGTAGTAGTAACATATTAAAATGCAAAATGCCATTATCAAATTTATTGCATGCTAAGGTTTTACAGTATTAGGACAGCTATTATTGAAATTTATCACGTTAATAGGAAAAGGAAATAAAACAATATTGTCAGCTCTATGAATTCCCAGAAGTCATTTGAAAAACTCCCACATTCATTTCTGACAAAACTCTTAATAAAAAAGAATAAAGGGTCACTTAACATTATCAAAAGTACATGATATTTTGAAGCAAAAGTCAGCTTTATACTAAAGAGCCTGATAACATATGGTAGTTCTCAAAGTGGGGCCTTGTTCCGAGTGTGTCAGATGCACCTGAGAACGTGTTGGAAATATATATGCTTTGCCCCCATCCCACACCTACAGAATCAAGACTGGTGTGGAGAGCAACAATCTGTGTTTTAACAAGCCCTTTGTATGAACTGTTCCATGCTAAAGTTTGAGGACCATTTGTCTAAGTGGCATTAAAATCAGAAACAATAAAAATATGTCATTAGGACCACTACTGTTTAACATTATAACACAAATATTAGAAAATTTAACTGGAGAGTAGAATAAAATATAAGTGTAAAAACTGAAAAACAAGAGGAAGACTATCATTTTAGAAGATTTTATGATTTTATACCTGGAAAACATTTATAAATTAGCTTTAAAAAGTCTTAGAAACTACAGTAAGTTTCAGTATGATGGAGGCTGAATATGAAATTAATCTGTAAAAATAAACTGCTTTTCTACATAGAAACTAAAAATAGTTATATTTTCTATGTATTAGACTAATGAATCCTATTAAAAATAAAGAATATACTTTTATAAAATCTCAATTAAAAAGTCAGCAGCATTTTTTGGAAAGATAACAAAGCTAACACTAAGATTTGTTTGAGAATAATTAGGAAAACTTTGAAAAATGATGAGTAATGAATGGGGACTAATTCAATTATGCATCATAATGTAAAGAGCTATAGCAATTCTAAAACTGTGGCACTGGCACAAGAAGAAACAGAGTACTTGAACAGAATAAAGAAAAGCACAAATATTTAAATATTTAATAAATAATCAAAATAACATTTTAAAGCAGTGCAACAATAAGATTAATTTAACAAACTCTTTTGAGTTGACTGAGCTTTTTATTTAGGAACTAAAATCTTGATTCTTAACTTATAATGTATATCAAAATAACTTTTTCATGAATAAAATACTTAAATATAAAATATAAAATTGAAAATGTGCTAAGGTAAACATGAGAAATTATTTTAGAAATGCCTATGGATCCAGAAGCCATACAAAATTACATTTAACTGCATAAAATCTAAAAGCCTTTGAAAAACCAACTATTATAACAGAAATCATAAAATATAAACAAGAAACTGAGCAAAATAGCTAAGATAAGGATATACTATTAAAATGAAATTTTCTAATATATTAATTTTTTAAAAGAAGGCAAAAAAAGTAAGTAAACTCCTAAGATGCAATGGATCATGCCAAGCAAATAGTGAGATACATCCTTTCACAGATATGGAAATTAAATGACTGTGTTGATGATTATGTGGTGAATCACATATAAGCACATACTCTGTTGAAAACGTATATTGGCAAAATTAGTATGTACAGCAGGTTAAGAATATCTATAAAACATTTAAAATACATTCCTCTTTGAACTAGAAAATCTAATTGCATGAATTTGTTCAACAGATATATTTATCCATGCATTAAAATAAACACACACACAGTATATGTGTGTGTTTACACATATTTGAATATATCTGTGTGAATAGATGTGTGTATGTCAATATATATGTGTATTTGAATATGTGTGTGTACAAACACACACATATAAACATTATCTAATCATTCTATATATGTACATGATTATCACAGCATTGATTATGATTTAAAAAAAGAAAGAAACAGCTTAGAATCTATGAATGAAGAGACTGGTTATGTTTACACAAGGCCACTGTCAAAATGAATGAGCTTCTCCTATATTTAGTGAAATATAAAACTGTCAAAATATATTAAGTGAAACAAGGGTAAGGTATAGGCCAGTTTCTATTAGCATGTGCTGATTTGTATTAAAGAGAAAAGAGGAAGTATATACATGTATATGCATGGAATATGTGTGAAACTATGCCCACAGAACCAGAGATGGCTATTTATCTCTGGAGACTTAGGACCATGGACCGGAGAGGAGAGTGAGTTTCTCTTTCCATTGCATGATCTTTTGTATTATTCTTTGACAGTGCATAAGATATAAACATAACTTAAAAATAACCAAATCAAACAATATTTAAATAATAAAATACTGTAAATTCTGGGAAGTATGAAATATCAATAGCTGGTATATTGGGAGATTTACATAATTGATGCTCTTCTAATGGTTCAGATATATTAATTCATTTAGTTGTAAAAAATATCCTAAAAGCAGTTACTTGAAACTAGTAGTTAAACATTTTACATTCAAGAGAACAATGAATAGAAAAGTTAAATCATTGGTCAAACAGCTGGTGACTGGCAAATAAAGAATTCTGACTCAGGTAATAAAATCCAACATTGAAGCCCATAGCTGCTAAGCTAATCATCTAGCAAGCACCCCTGGCATATGTTAGGCTGTCAATAGATGTTTGTTTGTTTGTTTTTTCTGTCTTTATTTCATGATTGAATTGATTCATGGATCTATGTCAATCTAGAAGGGGAAATCTATCAGCCAATCACAGTACTGTCCAATTTAACACTTGTATTAACTACTTGCACAAGAGCACAGAGGGCTAGGCAATTAATTTTACTGAAAGATATTCAAGACATGAAATGAAAGAAAGTTTATTCAAATGATAAAAATAATACTGCTGAGATAGCCAGTGAGTTATGTAATGAATGGAGGTAGATGCAAAACTTTGGCGAGAACTCATAGCTTAAATTTGAATAATTATCTACATCCAAGGTCACTTAAAACAGATTTCAACTCTATTTACACATTTTAGGCAGAAAAATGAGAAATCCAGAAGTGAAATTTAAATAATCTGCATTAATCACTCTAGATAACTGTAATTAAATGACTTGTGAGACAATTATTTTTCCAATTTTTGAAGACTTCATGTTATTCACAATATAGTAAATAATAAGAGCAGAATTAGTTTTTTTCTCTTGAACTATATGACAAATTTAAATTGAATTCTTATCAAAAGATTTAGAATCAAAACATTATAGAAAACTCAGCAAATTTGATTTGAGAGTTAAAATAATCACATAAAATATAAATGATTATTAAATACTGTTAATTTAAAGAAAAATAGTCATCAGATCCATGTTATTCTAATATTTTATTGCCTTTTGCCAGGTAAGCCACTGTGGTCAGAGAGCACTGTGGAAGAACAGCTTGACTTAGGTTCTTTTAATCAACTCTCATGTAGAAGGTTGTAATCACAAACAAATTCTTAGGGATAATGTTTTTTAAATAGTTGAATTTTCAACAGTACCTAACTTATGCTTTACCCTTTGTACATAACAGAAGCTAAAATTAATGATTTTATCATTCCTCTATGAAAGGCATCTGAAAATAATAAAAAGTTACAGGTTAATAATCCCATATAGCGAAGGTCAGATGCCAGAAACTTTTTACAGCACTTTCTAAAAACAACTATATATTAGATCGAAATGTAGTCAATGAAGTCAGCCCACAAATTTGCAAGGTGTCTAGGTTCAACAGACCTAAAATCAATAAAGCCACTGAAATCAATACACCTTTCTCATGAATACAGCCTGTTAACTAATCAGGGTTTAAATGGTTTAAATGATCTTGCCTGCTGGAATATAAATGTCTCACTGCTTTGAATGTAATATTTGGATCAAACCATTATTCATTAACATGCCAGATTCATTAGAAATAGCCTATTGATTCCACAATCAATGAAGCATATTCACAAATTGCTGAAAAGATTGTTTATTAAAATCCCGTATTATAAATAAATTCATTGATCTCTAACTATTTGGGTAATGGGTAAACTAAAGGTTTACACATTTAAAGTCTCTATATACTGTAGAAATAAAATTTGTTACCAGGATTTATACTTTTTTATAATCATTATTATTTTTTTCAAATTCTAAAGGTAATAAATGTTGACTGCAGAATTGTTTTTAAATATGGAAGATCATAAGTTAAAGTTTATGAATAGTCCTATCATATTCTAGTAAACACACATACATACTTATATGCACACACATGTATATGTGTGTATGTGTGTGTACATATTTAATTTATTTAAATTTCATTTCTGAATTTCACATTTTTCTGCCTAAAGTGTGTAAATAGAGTTGAAATCTGTTGTAGGTGACCTTGGATACAGATAATTATTCAAATTTAACCTATGAGTTCTCACCAAAGTTTTGCAGCTACCTCCATTCATTACATAACTCATTGGCTGTCTCAGCAATACTATTTTTATCATTTGAATAAACTTTCTTTCATTTCATGTCTTGAATATCTTTCAGTAAAATTAACTGCCTAGCCCTCTGTGCTCTTGTGCAGGTAGTTATTACAAGTGTTAAATTGGACAGTACTGTGATTGGCTGACAGTTTTCCCCTTCTAGATTGACACATACACACACCTACACACACACACACACACACACACACACACACACATATATATACACTTTAAAATTACGCAAAAACAGGTATTTGGTTTTCTTTCTAAACAAAGGCACCTCTAGTTGTTTCTAAGCAGAAATTAAGGCATTTCTTAAAAATTTAACTGTGTATTATGTAAATTTATGTTAAACTATGCAGAGAAGAAGAAAGGATAGTGTAATAAACCCTCTGTGATCATCACTCAGCTCCAAGTATCATTTTTTTAACATTTACTTCTTTATCTTCTCTCTTTCTGTTTTTGTTAGTATATTTTAAAATGGACTCTACATATCACTTGACATATTTTAAAGGGATCAGATTTATCATAAACATTTTTATTAACAATATGTAGAAGCTGTTTTTGTAGAAGAAAATATTCTTCCATCATATAATTTCATAATGGTGGCAGAGTATTTGAATTTTTTACTGTTATATAAGTTACCTAGCTTTTCCCCTGCTTTTGAACATTTGTTTATTTTTCACTATTCTAAATACAGTTTTTAATCTATATTCTTTTCATTAGACCTTTGCACATATTCATTATGATTTTCATTGAATGAATTTCTAGAAGCTGAGGTTCTGGTCAAAGGGCATACTAAGTCTAAAGGTTTTTTTGATATATATTTGACATTGGGCTGTATTTAAAATGAAAAGGTTAATATTAATGGGTTAAATGTTGAATTATTCATTAAAAATATGACAGATAACTTCAGATTGAATATCTTAGCTTTTAAAATCTGACATTGGCTTGTGGTATATAACAATGTTTGGGTTTCCTTTATGATGTGTGCATTTCTGTGAAGGAAAAAAGCTAGACTATGTAGATTATCTTTGCAAGTATCAACTAATTAATTTTCCCTTTAAACCTATTAGCAAGGCAATATTATTATTAGCCTCCCATCTTGTTACTATGTTAATGAAATAGTATAGTCGACTGTCCTGGGGCCACGTCCTATTGATCTTTTAATGCAGATAATCTGAGCACAGAGACTGACTACTTATGAATAACGACTTCAGACCTGGTTTTTAGACAGGCTTCCAGAAAAGAGAATAATAAAAAGAACAGCCAGAACAAGGAGTTAAATTGGAATTGGTTATCAGATCATGGTGAATCAATAACTAATAAACATTCAAAATAACTAGAGTCCCATCAAGCTACAGACCACAAGAAAACATGATCAATGTCTTCAAACAGCTTAAAATATAAGCAAATAAAAATGAGTAAACCATAAATAAAGCAACATGATTTTGGCCACATTAGCTCCAACTATTTTTTAGGCAATTTATTAAAGTAATTTTTATAAAAACATTGCGGCATCTTTAATCCCATAACATGTATAAATAGAAAATGCAATTAGTAAATAATTTTCTTCTAGAAGTTGGCACAGTTTTCAAGAAGAGTTTTTTTCTTTCACTTAAAATTTTAGGTTTTTTTTGGCATTTATTATTCAGTATCTGGTGACATGTTTCAGAACAATAACAGAATGAATAGTTTGTTCTACTCTCTGTTCTTCGCTAAACTTTTCTACAGATTTCTTGTAGTGCTGCAAACACATCTCCCTAAAAAGCAATTTAAAACAAAACAAAACACTACAGAGACAGCATGTTCTTAGCAAAATTTGGTGTACAAGTCATAGAGAGCAGGTGGTTGATTCAAAGAGCCTTACACTTGAGTATTAAACTATGCGGTACTAATGTGGGAGGCAAACAAGGGAGCCAGGGTTGGGGGGCTCCTAGAAAGCTAAAGGAAAGAATTTACAAGAGCCAGTCAAAGCCCTCTTGGGCAGGTGACTTTGTAAGTATCTATTGCTGCCTTCTTATGAGCACAAGAGAAGAACAGAAAACAGCCATTTATAAATAGAGATTACCATAACCTTTTAACCTGAGGAAGTGTGAGGAAGTGAAAGCCAGAGACTCATTCATTTTCTATAGCCTCTATGAGAACAATGTGACAAGAGGGGAAAATCTAGCCAGCTTGAGAGAAAAGAGACCAGGTTTGGCCATAGCTGATTCCTGAGGAAAGATGTAAAATTAAAGCTGTTTTCTGACATAAACATAGCATAAGCCAATAATGTGTTATAAATACATTTTGGAAATGAATAAATCCTTAAAAGAATATTTTAAAGGTCTGAAAGTATATTTCTATGATAAAAATATTCCAATTTGATTACCCTTATTACTACTTAATGTAGGTCACCATAATGAAAAGACTTCTGAAGGATTCAGATTTCATTCTGTAAAGCTAGCTACAACTTGAGGTGAATGTCTTTTAGATACTTCTGAACAGTGCTTGAGAATAAAAGTTTGAGCTTTGGACATACAATTGTTAAACCTTTACTTTCTTTGATTTGTGTGAAATTAGTGGATAAAGAAAGATAAATAAATTATGGAACCTGAAACAACAAAATGAGTAGAATAATATTGAGTAGTATTGCATTTTCTGTGTTGTAACTGGACTATAAGCATCTCACAAATATTTATTTTAAAACCACTAACAGATTAAGATGCAGTATAGTTTCTATTGTAGACAAAGCACAAGTTGGAGCTTCTATTATGTCTTCCACAGACTATTACAGCAGGTATTAGCTTTACTCTGACCCCTTTGCCCATTCTAACGGCAGTTAGAATAATCTTTTAAAAATATAAATCAAATTCATTAATTCCCCTTAATTCACGTTAGCAACTTGATTGAGTTGTTGTTAGGATCATTGAGTTGTTGTTAGGATAATATATACAAAGTGTTGGGTATCTAGTACATAAACAGGTCATAGTCATAGCTACAGAAGCAGGAGGAGCTACCATCACTATCCTCACCATCACCACCACCATCATCATCATCATTAACAGTGGCTAGCTGCTGGTGATTTTAGGCTGAGAGCGGGCTAGAGTCAAGCAATGTAAACATTCTAAGGTTTTATTCTACTTATAAGCCAGCAAGTTAGCCTGTTACTATTTCAAGGGTCCTGGCAAAAGAGATGAGAGTCCTGAGCAACAGACAAAAGCCTCTATTAAACAACAAAAGCAGTAGTTAGACATTTATGTTTGTGGCAGTTCCCCATACTTCTGCTCAAAACCATAAGAGCAACACAAAAAGCTTATATTAGCTCAGGCTGCCATAAGAAAACATCAGAGGCTGAGGTGATTAAAACAACAGAAATTTATTTTCTCACAGTTCAGGAGGATAGGAAGTCCAAGATCAAGGTACTAGCAGAGTCTATGGCTGGACAGGGCTCACTTCCTGCCTTCTTGAGAGGACAAAAAGATAGATCTCTTCTTCTTCTTCGTATAAGGCCACAGTCCTTGGGGATTAGGGTCCCACTTTTATGACCTCATCTAATCTTAATTAATTCCTAAAAACCCTATCTCCAGAAACAATCGCACTGGGAGTCAGGGCTTCAACATATGAATTTTGGGGGTCAGAATTCAGTCCATAACAGGACCCATACTATATGCCTACATGTGCAGTGGGTTGCATTCTTGGAGAGAACTACCAATTGTGAGGCTCTATGGTTTTTCTTATTGTTAGTGGAAGGAAGCTTGCCCTGGAACTGAAGATAGACATTACCCCATTCCACAAGGTCGCTCACTGCAAGCACAACTCAGAACTGATACAGGGAAGAGCATAGTCGGGGCTTCGCATTCTTGGCCTTCTCAGCAAGAAGAAGCAGAGGAAGCTCAAGGCCCATGGCAGATTGCCTCTTCCAACACCAGGGCAGAACTGAATCTCAGTGCCTGTATTTCTGTCTACCTAGGATTATCAGTACAGGCCTAGCTTCATCTGAAACCATTCTGTTAGCAATGCACGTCTGCATTGTTTTACCGAGGAAGGAGAAAGAACAGAATTGCCAAAGAACTAATCATCTCTGGTGCCAAGGTGTTAACAGTAATTCAGTGAACAAAGGATGATTCACACAGAACAAGGAACAACAGGAGAAAGAAGTGTACTCTTTAGTCTCTGTCAGTTTGTCTAATTTAACAGAGGACTTCTCTTCAAAGTGAAACTGTTTTGTTTTTTTTTTTAAAAAAAGGGAAGATATTTAGCCTGCAATAGCAATTTATTTGTTTGTTGGATCATTTCTTTTTCTTGGGTGTTTTCTGTGAGTCATACAGTTTTATTCTCAGAAACACAAGTGGTGGTCATTCCAATCAGAATTTGATATTATCTTAAAAGTAAAATCACAGCTATATCTAAACTAAACAGATTGATTTAAAGAATCAATTTCTTTTTGGGTATTACAGATTTATTCTTAGCAACGCCTTACAAGCAGGAAGCCCCACCACAGTTATACCACTAGTTTGAATATTTAAAAATATTTTTAAACATAAAAATTATTTTTTTCAAAACAAACAGCATTTTCTGTAACAAGAACTTATTGATATATTTTAATAAATGTAAGCCATTATTTATTTTCTATACTTATTTACAGACTAATTCTTTAATGGATAAGGACAGATCATTGGAATAAACTATGAAAGGGTATGAAAAAGACTGAAATCTCTTGACTGATATTTTTGGATATCTGATTTATTTTATTCGATATTGCTGTTGCGGTGTCTCTGGGCTCAGTAATCAATATTTGTTTTGAATGTTTATTTTTCTATTCATGGATCACTAACAATGTATCTTCTCTAGACTGAGAGCTCCTAGAGTTGGTGATCTCTCTAGGTACAATCAGAAAACAAAATTTCTCTGGTCAATCAGAAAACACAAATTCTCTCTGATTATGTGTAAACTGTAGCATGGTTTTAATTTTTTTTCAAACAAAGTACACGTTTTAAAAATCATTTCTTTTTTCTTTATTTTTTCAGGTGTCTTTCTGCATTTCTGAAGCGGTCCCTGTAAGACTAAAATTTGTATTCCTCAATAATTGAATTGAACTTGGTGAGGACACAATCTAAATATTATGTGCTGATTAAATAGAGATCACATTTAGGGGTGTGGAATAAGCATGTAATACAAAATTGTTTATACAACTTAATTAAAATTTTTTAAAAAGTATAAATTAAATATGAGAAATTATCTCCATAAAGATTCAGGCCCACTGAATTTAAAATTTACTTTGTGTGTGTATATATACACACACACACATATATACACACACATAACATATATATACACATATATATACACACACATATGCATATACACCAAAGTACGTTTTAGAAGAATTTTATAAATATCAGTATAATAAAACTTTAAACAAAGTTTTTGTATGAAATATAAGTGTACCTAAGTATTGTGCTTCAACTTATGGCATGTTTAGCTACTCTAAGGAAAGAAGAGGTTGTCGAGTAACTTTTTAAATAGACAAAAATATTGTATATATAAATGTACTTATTTATTTCTATGTATGTTACAATCCCCCAAAATTATGCTTTGCAATGCCTAAAGAAAGTCTCCACATAAACTGCATACACACAAACAGAAAGAAATATAGTAAAAATATTGGTTCATTGTTTAAATTCTAAAATAACTCAAATAATTCAAAAAAAGACAGGGAAAAAGATCATAGAATTAAAAAACAGTAGATTGACAAACGGAAAACTAATAATAAAATGATGGAAATAAATCTACCCATAGAAATAACTACATTAACTGTAAATGGTCTAAACATACTAACTAAAAGACAGTTATTTCAGGTCAGATAAAAAACGAAACCAGACATCAAAATATACTATTTAAAGAAACCAATGGTAAATATAATGATGAACAAAGGTTTAGAATAAAAGATGAATAAGGATATAAGATGAAACACAATTTATTTTTTTAAAAACTGAAGACAAAGTAGACTTTAGAACAACAACAACAAATCACTGGGAATAAAGAAAGATATCATATAGGGGAAAAATGCCAATTTTTTCAAGAAGACATAACAATGCTAAGTGCATATGTACCTAATAACAGGGATTCTAGATACATAAAACAAAACATATTGAAGGAAATGAAAAACTAGACAAAGCTGGTATACCTGGAGACTTTAGCACAACTCTCTCAGTAATTGATAAAAGAAGTAAAAATAAATCAGTAAGGATATAGAATATTTGAACACTATCATGTAGAAAACTCCATCTAACTATAGCATAATATATATTCTTTTCAGGTACACATGAAACATTCACCAAGTTAGACTGTATTTGTGAATCACAAAACAAGACCTAGTAAATTAAACCTGATGGGAATTATTCAAGGTAGGTTTTTACCATAAAAAATTAAACTGGGCCAGGCGTGGTGGCTCACGCCTGTAATCCCAACACTTTGGAAGTCCAAGATGAGGTCAGGAGTTTGAGACCAGCCTGGCCAACACGGCAAAACCCCGTCTCTACTAAAAATACGAAAAGTAGCTGGGCATGGTGGTGCACGCCTGTAATCCCAGCTACTCTGAAGGCTGAGGTGGGAGAATCATTTGAACCTAGGAGGCTGAGGTTGCAGTGAACCAAGATCGTGCCACTGCACTCTAGACTGGGGGACAGAGTGAGACTCTGTCTCAAATAAATAAATAAACAAACAAACAAACAAACTAAAAATCACTAACATAATTAAACTGAATTAACAACTAAAATAAACAAGAAATCAATTCGCCAAATATTTGGAAATTGAAAGTCACACTACATAATTTGTAAATAAAGACATTTCAAGGGAAATTAGAAAATATTTTACAGTGAATATTAAAATACAATGTATCAAAATGTAAGGGATATAAAAACATTTTTGACAGATGCTGCCAGAGAACAGCTTAGAGGGAAATGTGTAACTTTAAATGCTAATATTGGAAAAGAAAAATGGTTTCCACTTTAAGAAACTGGATAAAAAAAAGAGTAAACTAACCAAACACAAGCAGAAAAAAGGGAATTTTAAAGAGGAAAAATACATCTAAAAACAGAAAGATAATAGAGAAAATATTAAAAACAAATGCTGCTTTTTTGAAAGGATATGAAATTTATAAACCTCCACTGATAAATTTTAGTAAAAATTCAAAAAAGATAAGTAAAATTGACAAACCTCCACTGATAATCTTCCAGTTAACCAAGAAATAAAAAAGAATGTATCAATTAAAAATAGAAAAAGAATTCGTATAATGTGACTGACCCAGTGAACATTCAAAGGATAATAAGGAAATACTGTAGACAACTCCATGTGTATAAATTCAACAACCTAGGCCGGGCGCGGTGGCTCAAGCCTGTAATCCCAGCACTTTGGGAGGCCGAGGTGGGCGGATCACGAGGTCAGGAGATCGAGACCATCCTGGCTAACACGGTGAAACCCCATCTCTACTAAAAATACAAAAAAAAAATTAGCCGGGCATGGTGGCAGGCGCCTGTAGTCCCAGCTATTCGGGAGGCTGAGGCAGGAGAATGGCGTGAACCTGGGAGAGGGAGCTTGCAGTGAGCCGAGATCGTGCCACTGCACTCCAGCCTGGGCAACAGAGCAAGACTCCGTCTCAAAAAAAAAAAAAAAAATCAACAACCTAAATGAAATGGACTAATTTATTGAAAGACCCAAACCATCAAAACTCATGTGAAAAGAAGTAGGCAACAGTCAGTTCAATAGACAGATAGATAGATAGATAGATAGATAGATAGATAGATCGATAGATCAAATAGAATTTATAGTTGAAAATCCTCATTAAAATAAAAGAAAAATCTAGGCCCAGATGATATCACTTGCAAATTCTGTCTAACATTTAAAGTTGAAATGAACACCAGTTCCACAAAAAAAATTTCCAGAAAAATAAAAAAAAACAGTAAATGTTTCCTAATTCATTTTGTAAGACCAACCTTATCCTGGTAGCAAAATCAGACAAAATGATTACAAGAAAATAAAAGCACATTGAGAAAAATTGCTCAACAAAATAGAAAATTAAACCCAGCAGTATTTAAAAAGAAATATGCATCAAGAATGAATGGGATTTACCTCAGTAATGTAAAGCTGGTTTATAATTTGAAAAATCAGTTCACCATATTAACAGGCTAAACAAGCAAAACCTTATAATTAAATCAAGGCGTAAGGGAAACACATCTGACAAAATTTAACATGTATCCTTGATTTAAAAACAAACTTTTAGAAACAAAAATACTCTTAGAAAACTATTAATAGAAGAAAACTCCCTTAATATGAGAAAGAACATCTATAAAAACCTGCAATCATATCAGACTTCACAATGAAAGTGAAATACACTTAAGGTTAGGAACTCTGCGTAGATTTTCACTCTTATCACAGCTATTCAATAATCTACTGAAAGTCATAGCTAGTGCAATAAGATACGAAAAGAAATGAAAGATATTCACATTGGAAAAGAAAATGATTAAAACTGTCCCTACCCTAGATGAAATATTTGTCTTTGTAGAAAATTCCAAAACATTTTCTAAAAATTTCCTAGAAGTCAATCAGCTTACTAATGCACAGGATATAAGATCAGCAGTGTAAATTTGGTCATATTTCTATGCACCACTATTAAACATTGCAAATCAAAAATTTTAAAATACCACATTACTTATAATACTTTCCAAAAATAAATACCTGTGTATAATTCTAAAAAAATATAGAATTTAGGATCTGCATACTAAGTAAGTGGAGAAACATGTACTACCGATGGACTGGAAAACCTAATATGATTAAGATGCCAATTTTCTCCAAATTGATCTACAGATTTTGTACAATCTAAGAAAATCCTAGCAGAATGCTTTAAAGTTATAGGAAACCTGATTTTAAATTTTATATGCAAAGGGAAAGGAATTGGAACAGACAGAAACCTTGGGGAAAAACCCACCAAGTTGGAGAACTCTCAGTGCCTTATTTTATTTTATTTTGAGACAGGATCTGGCTCTGTTGCCCAGGCTGGAGTGCAGTGGCAATGCTCACTGCAACTTCCACCTCCTGGGCTTAAACCAACCTCCCACCTCAGCCTCCCAGTAGCTAGGACTACAGGCGTGCACCACCATGCTCAGCTGATTTTTGTATTCATTGTAAAGACAAGATTCTGCCATGTTGTCCAGGCTGGTCTCTAACTCCTGAGCTCAAGCAGTCCACCCACCTTGGCCTCCCAAAGTGCTAGGATTACAGGTATGAGCCTGGCCACAATGTCATATTTTAAGATATACTAGAAAGATACTATACTCAAGACAGTACAGTATTGGCGAAGGAATAACCACATAAAAGGATGGAATAGAATGGAGATTTCAGAAAACTGACTCATAAATGTGGTCAACTGATTTGTGTAAAAAGTACAATGCAATTCAAATGACAGTATTTTCCAAAAACCGTGCTTGAACTGCAAATCCATATGTCAAAAAACCCCACAAACTCACAAAAAACAAAGCCAAGAAAGCATCATGCTATATATCACTGCACGTTTTTAAAAAAGAAATTTGAGAAATCAGACTTACATGTAAAATGTGAAACTATAAAAATCTTAGGAAAAAAACCATAGAATATCATCATGACTTTTCCTGATTTTGGTATTAGGAAATGTTGGCCTCATAAAATAAGTGACATATCTACTTTATTTCTGCTCTGTTTTCCGGAAAAAAACATTTTACAAAATTGATATCAAATTTCCTCAAAATTGTTGAAATCAACTGGGACTAACATTTTCTTCATTAGAGTGTTTTTAATGATGAATTCAATTACACACTCACACAAGCTCACATTTTATATGTTAGCTGCAACCCTCACATTTTGATGCAGAGGCCAAGAAGGAAGCAAAGTACAGCAGTCCTCTGGGTATGTTCATGGAAACCCAGCCAGGGAAGTTGGCCTGGATGGAGGGAGGATTCACTAGGTAGGAGGTGTCAATAGGAGAAAAAAGATTGGATTTGAAAGATTCTTTATCCTAATGGAAATGGGAAATCATACCACTTTGATAAAAAAGATTCCTGCAGAAAGAAAGGTAAAATGCTAGTGAAAGGTAAAACTGGAGTGTAAGAGGAGACCACAGTTAGGAAGAGAGGCTCAAAAAGTTTGGCAGAAGTTGGCACAAGTGATAAGCGCATGAACTAAGGTGCAGGGAGTGGGAACAATAATGAAAGCCTGTATGCTTCCTGTGCTCACGTTTAGGGGCTTGTCTGCTAGTGCTTTACATACATTATCTTCTTAATACTCAAAACAAGCCTCTGAGGAAACCTGGGCTTACAGAGATGTTACCTAACTTTCTTAAAGACACACATCTAGTAAGTGGATGAGCCAAGATTGGAACTCAGTTCTGGCTATAAAGTTGCTTCTCCTTGAATGATAATGGGAGAATGCATAAAAATACTTTAAAAACAAAAACATCAGGATTTTTGAATAACTAGATAAACTGAAAGGATAGAAAAATGAATCAAATGGCTACATAAAAGGATAAAAGAGAGGAAGAGAAATCAAATGAATGTGAAGTTTCTAATTTATGAGTTTGAGTAGTTTTTTTAAAAAAGAACATGAGCAGAAGAAGGAGGGGTTTTTATTTCTGGGAAGGAAGTGAAAAGTTTGGTTTTGGATATTTAAATTTGAATAAACATAAGACATCCAGATGAAAATGTCTGATACGCTGCTGTACACAGTCAGAACTATGAGGCTAGAATTTAGTAAAACTCTGCACTACATGGTTTTTCACATGATTGTCTTCATAGCATAGAATAGGTATTATCCATTTTCTTAAGTTGTATTCCTGGTACCTGGCTCTTAGTAGATGATGGGTGAATATTCCTTGAAATAAATTACTAATTTTCTCAAAAACTTTATACTACATTAGATCTTTATAAACATTTAGGGATATGTGTCAGGCCTCTGAGCCCAAGCTAAGCCATCATATCCCCTGTGACCTGCATGTACACATCCAGATGGCCGGTTCCTGCCTTAACTGATAACATTCCACCACAAAAGAAGTGAAAATGGCCTGTTCCTGCCTTAACTGATGACATTGTCTTGTGAAATTCCTTCTCCTGGCTCATCCTGGCTCAAAAGCTCTCCCACTGAGTACCTTGTGACCCCCACTCTGCCTGCCAGAGAACAACCCCCCTTTGACTGTAATTTTCCTTTACCTACCCAAATCCTGTAAAACAGTCCCACCCCTATGTCCCTTTGCTGACTCTCTTTTCAGACTCAGCCCACCTGCACCCAGGTGAAATAAACAGCTTTATTGCTCACACAAAGCCTGTTTGGTGGTCTCTTCACATGGACGCACATGAAATTTGGTGCCGTGACTCGGATCGGGGGACCTCCCTTGGGAGATCAATCCCCTGTCCTCCTGCTCTTTGCTCCGTGAGAAAGGTCCACCTACGACCTCAAGTCCTCAGACCGACCAGCCCAAGAAACATCTCACTAATTTCAAATCCAGTAAGTGGCCTCTTTTTACTCTCTTCTCCAGCCTCCCTCACTATCCCTCAACCTCTTTCTCCTTTCAATCTTGGCGCCACACTTCAATCTCTCCCTTCTTTTAATTTCAATTCCTTTCATTTTCTGGTAGAGACAAAGGAGACACGTTTTATCTGTGGACCCAAAACTCCGGCGCCGGTCACGGACTGGGAAGGCAGCCTTTTCTTGGTGTTTAATCATTGCAGGGACGCCTCTCTGATTATTCACCCACGTTTCAGAGGTGTCAGACCACACAGGGACACCTGCCTTGGTCCTTCACCCTTAGCGGCAAGTCCCACTTTTCTAGAGGAGGGGCAAGTACCCCAACCTCGTATCTCTGTGCCCTGATCCCTTATTTCCATGCCCCGACCCCTTATATCTCTGCGCCCCAATCCCTTATTTCCACACCCCAACCTCTTATATCTCTGCACCCCGATCCCTTATTTCCGCACCACAACCTCTTATATATCTGTGCCCCAATCCCTTATTTCCATGCCCCGACCTCATATCTCTGTGCCCTGACCCCTTTCCCACTTTTCTGGAGGGTAAGAACCCCCGAACCCCTTCCCTCCGTGTCTCTACTCTCTCCTTTCTCTGGGCTTGCCTCCTTCACTATGGGCAACCTTCCACCCTCCATTCCTCCTTCTTTTCCCTTAGCCTGTGTTCTTAAGAACTTAAAACCTCTTCAACTCTCACCTGACCTAAAATCTAAGCATCTTATTTTCTTCTGCAATGCCGCTTGACCCCAATACAAACTCAACAGTAGTTCCACATAGCCAGAAAACGGCACTTTCAATTTTTCCATCCTGCAAGATCTAAATAATTCTTGTTGTAAAATGGGCAAATGGTCTGAGGTGCCTGATGTCCAGGCATTCTTTTACACATTGGTCCCTCTCTAGTCTCTGTTCCCAATGCAACTCATCCCAAATCTTCCTTCTTTCCCTCCCACCTGTCCCCTCAGTCCCAACCCCAAGCATCACTGAGTCTTTCTAATCTTCCTTTTCTACAGACCCATCTGACCTCTCCCTTCCTCCCCAGGCTGCTCCTCACCAGGCCCAGCTAGGTCCCAATTCTTCCTCAGCCTCCGCTCCTCCACCCTATAATCCTTTATCACCTCCCCTCCTCACACCTGGTCCGGCTTACAGTTTCATTCCGTGACTAGCCCTCCCCCACCTGCCCAGCAATTTACTCTTAAAAAGGTGGCTGGAGCTAAAGGCATAGTCAAGGTTAATGCTCCTTTTTCTTTATCCCAAATCAGATAGCGTTTAGGCTTTTTCATCACATATAAAAATCCAGCCCAGTTCATGACTCTTTTGGCAGCAACCCTGAGACATTTCACAGCCCTAGACCCTAAAAGGCCAAAAGGCCGTCTTATTCTCAAAATACATTTTATTACCCAATCTGCTCCCGACATTAAATAAAACTCCAAAAATTAAATTCCAGCCCTCAAACCCCACAAAAGGATTTAATTAACCTCACCTTCAAGGTGTACAATAATAGAAAAAAGTTGCAATTCCTTGCCTCCACTGTGAGACAAACCCCAGCCACATCTCCAGCACACAAGAACTTCCAAACGCCTGAACCGCAGCTGCCAGGCGTTCCTCCAGAACCTCCTCCCCCAGGAGCTTGCTACAAGTGCCAGAAATCTGTCCACCAGGCCAAGGAATGCCTGCAGCCCGGGATTCCTCCTAAGCCACGTCCCATCTGTGTGGGACCCCACTGGAAATCAGACTGTCCAACTCACCTGGCAGCCACTCCCAAGGCTCTCTGACTCCTTCTCGGCTTAGCAGCTGAAGACTGACGCTGCCCGATCACCTCGGAAGCCCCATAGACCATCACGGATGCCGAGCTTTGGGTAACTCTCACAGTGGAAGGTAAGTCCATCCCCTTAGTCAATACGGAGGCTACCCATTCCACATTACCTTCTTTTCAAGGGCCTGTTTCCCTTGCCTCCATAACTGTTGTGGGTATTGATGGCCAGGCTTCTAAACCCCTGAAAACTCCCCCACTCTGGTGCCAACTTGGACAACACTCTTTTAATGCACTCTTTTTTAGTTATCCCCACCTGCCCAGTTCCCTTATTAGGCCGAGACACTTTAACCAAATTATCTGCTTCCCTGACTATTCCTGAACTACAGCTGCATCTCATTGCCGCCCTTCTCCCCAACCCAAAGCCTCCTTTGCGTCTTCCTCTCGTATCCCCCGACCTTAACCAACAAGTATGGGACATCTGTACTCCTACCCTGGCAACTGATCACATGTCCATTACCATCCCATTAAAACCTAATCACCCTTACCCCACTCAACGCCAATATCCCATCCCACAGCACGCTTTAAAAGGATTAAAGCCTGTTATCACTTGCCTGCTACAGCATGGGCTTCTAAAACCTATAAACTCTCCTTACAATTCCCCCATCTTACCTGTCCAAAAACTGGACAAGTCTTACAGATTAGTTCAGGATCTGCACCTTATCAACAAATTGTTTTGCCTATCCATCCTGTGGTGCCCAAGCTGTACACTCTTTTGTCCTCAATACCTTCCTCCACAACTCACTATTCCATTCTCGATCTTAAAGATGCTTTTTTCACTATTCCCCTGCACCCCTCATCCCAGCCTCTCTTTGCTTTCACTTAGACTGACCCTGACACCCATTAGGCTCAGCAAATTACCTGGGCTGTACTGCCGCAAGCCTTCACAGACAGCCCCCATTACTTCAGTCAAGCCCAAATTTCATCCTCATCTGTTACCTATCGGCATAATTCTCATAAAAACACAAGTGTTTTCCCTGCTGATCATGTCCGATTAATCTCCCAAACCTCAATCCCTTATAAAACAACAGCTCCTTTCCTTCCTAGCATGCTTAGTGCGGTCAGAATTCTTACACAAAAGCCAGGACCGCACCCTGTAGCCTTTCTGTCCAAACAACTTGACCTTATTATTTTAGCCTAGCCCTCATGTCTGCGTGCAGCGGCTGCCACTGCTTTAATACTTTTAGAGGCCCTAAAAGTCACAAACTATGCTCAACTCACTCTCTACATTTCTCATAACTTCCAAAATCTATTTTCTTCCTCATACCTGACGCATATACTTTCTGCGCCCCGGCTCCTTCAGCTGTACTCACTCTTTGTTAAGTCCCATAATTACCATTGTTCCTGGCCCGGACTTCAATCTGGCCTCCCACATTATTCCTGATACCACACCTGACCCCCATGACTGTATCTCTCTGATCCACCTGACATTCACCCCATTTCCCCATATTTCCTTCTTTCCTGTTCCTCACCCTGATCACGCTTGATTTATTGATGGCAGTTCCACCAGGCCTAATCGCCACACACCAGCAAAGGCAGGCTATGCTATAGTACAAGCCACTAGCCCGCCTCTTAGAACCTCTCATTTTCTTTCCATCGTGGAAATCTATCCTCAAGGAAATAACTTCTCAG
Organism: Homo sapiens; assembly: GCF_000001405.40. Lineage (NCBI taxonomy): Eukaryota > Metazoa > Chordata > Mammalia > Primates > Hominidae > Homo > Homo sapiens. The sequence continues at coordinate 140,259,062 of NC_000006.12, read as the reverse complement.
TGTTCCATCTGCTATTATACTACTCCTCAAGGATTATTCAGGCCCCCTGCCTTCCCTACACATCAAGCTCAAGGATTTGCCCCCGCCCAGGACTGGCAAATTAGCTTTACTCAACATGCCCCGAGTCAGATAACTAAAATACCTCTTAGTCTAGGTAGACACTTTCACTGGATAGGTACAGGCCTTTCCTACAGGGTCTGAGAAGGCCACCGCAGTCATTTCTTCCCTTCTGTCAGACACAATTCCTCAGTTTAGCCTTCCCACCTCTATACAGTCTGATAACAGACCAGCCTTTATTAGTCAAATCAGCCAAGCAGTTTTTCAGGCTCTTAGTATTCAGTGAAACCTTTATATCCCTTACGGTCCTCCGTCTTCAGGAAAAGTAGAACGGACTAAAGGTCTTTTAAAAACACACCTCACCAAGCTCAGCCACCAACTTAAAAAGGACTGGACAATACTTTTACCACTTTCGCTTCTCAGAATTCAGGCCTGTCCTCGGAATGCTACAAGTTATAGCCCATTTGAGCTCCTTTTTATTAGGCCCCAGTCTCATTCCAGACACCAAACCAACTTGGACTGTGTCCCAAATAACTTGTCATCCCTACTATCTTCTGTCTAGTCATACTCCTATTCACCGTTCTCAACTACTCATACATGCCCTGCTCTTGTTTACACTGCCAGTTTACACTGTTTCTCCAAGCCAGCACAGCTGATATCTCCTGGTGCTATCCCCAAACCGCCACTCTTAACTCTTAAAGTAAATAATCTTTACTGGCAAGGCTGTGCTGAACCTCCTTAGGCACTCTCTAATTAGATGTCCTAGGTCCTCCCAATTCTTAGTCCTTTAATACCTGTTTTTCTCCTTCTCTTATTCCATTTAGTTTTTCAATTCATACAAAACTGTATCCAGGCCATCACCAATAATTCTAAAAGACAAATGTTTCGTCTAACAACCCCACAATATCACCCCTTACCACAAATCTTCCTTCAGCTTAATCTCTCCCACTCTAGGTTCCCACGCCGCGCCCCTAATCCCTCTCGAAGCAGCCCTGAGAAACATTGCCCATTATCTCTCCATACCACCCCCCAAAAATTTTCACCGTCCCAACACTTTACCACTATTTCGTTTTATTTTTCTTATTAATATAAGAAGACAGGAATGTCAGGCCTCTGAGCCCAAGCTAAGCCATCATATCCCCTGTGACCTGCATGTACACATCCAGATGGCTGGTTCCTGCCTTAACTGATAACATTCCACCACAAAAGAAGTGAAAATGGCCTGTTCCTGCCTTAACTGATGACATTGTCTTGTGAAATTCCTTCTCCTGGCTCATCCTGGCTCAAAAGCTCCCCCACTGAGTACCTTGTGACCCCCACTCTGCCCGTCAGAGAACAACCCCCCTTTGTAATTTTCCTTTACCTACCCAAATCCTATAAAACGGTCCCACCCCTATCTCCCTTTGCTGACTCTCTTTTCGGACTCAGCCCACCTGCACCCAGGTGAAATAAACAGCTTTATTGCTCACACAAAGCCTGTTTGGTGGTCTCTTCACATGGACGCGCATGAAAATATGTAGTTTGTGAGTAACTATACAGCCCAATTGGAGACATTTAACTGGATACCTCACACCTTCAAGGATAAAAACATGAAGGGTATTTATAGGTTCTTTGAAAAAAGTTCTCTACATTCAAGTACCTGAAAAGATTGTAGGTAAGAGCTGTCACCTTTTAACCCACTTTGACTATTAAAATCTTTGAAGATGAAAGATCTTTTTGAAACAAAAAACATTTTTTTCATAAAATGCTTATGCACAATCCTTTCATTGTTTATTCTTAAAACCTCTGACTAATTCTTTATAACACACCTTGGAAAGAAATATTAATAAAAGATTTTGCTTTTAACTTTATACTGACACCACGGGATTTTTAATGCACCAGATTAATGCTCGATGGTTTCCTTAAATTATACTACAGAACAAGTGTAAAATATGTTGCATAATTTTTTCTTATTTTTTTTAATGTTCCACATTGTAAAAAGGTACTTTATTTATTCCACTTTCTTCTCTGAGGATGTTAATTGGTTTAAGTATTCACCCACATTTTATGGAGAAGAAAATATCTGTTCCTTCTGATGCTAAATTTATATAATAGTATCACTTGGACATTAGAATAATCCAGATCAGTCTGTTAAGCTTAGTAATACCCAAAAGGACTAGTAGATAAATTCCTAATGTGCAATATTTCTAAAGAGTTTTCAGGAATATCAGGAAACTGAGTTTCCTTCCTCTACTTACCCTATATCCCCACAGGAGAGCCAATTAGCTAACCAGTGACCAGGAAAATCTCCAATACTTCTCTAAGTGAGTCAAGTCCTGATGGCAGTTATGAGTGGTGACGATATGCTAAGTAAAGGTCTCGTTTTCTGGGAATACCTATGAAGTTCTTACAGCATGTTTATGTCCCTTTGATTGGGCTTTGTTTTTGTGGGAGGCTGGCATTATTTTTATGTAAACCAAATTAAGCCTCCACCCCACATACTATAATCCCCCCCAAAGAAAACATGCCAGAATTGCCATATCCCAGAAGTTACCTAATGAAAGCAATTAGTCAGCATTCCTACATCTGAATACAACTTACAGTGTTGTATTTCTTTGGAGGCTTTGTTGTGGTTTTGACCTGGGCTACACATTTTTCTTTCTTATTTAAACTGAACTTCTCGAGATGACATCATATGATGATGTATTACATTACACAGAAATATTTCTATTGACCTTAGCTTGATGAAAAATAAACATATTGATTTTTTTTCTGGTTTAAATACCATCTGTCAAATAAGCTAGATATTGGTATATCTCTCTTTTGCATGGCACTGGGCCACATCAAACCAAATTTCACCTTTTTATATAGCAGATGAGAAAAATAAATCACATTTTAGATGGATCCAAGAAACAACTGGCCAAGACAGTATTTTTCATGTGTGGCGTTCGTTTGTTTGGTTCATTGGTTTTGGTTTTGGTAATTTTTTGTCAATAGTTTTCAAGTGCAAAAGCAGTCAAGCTTTTTTGCTTACCAAATCATTGTTCTTAAATTCATTCCTAGTTTTGTTTTATTGTTTGTTTCCCTCATTGCATATTATGAGTTAACATTTTTTATTATATCTAAAATTATTCATAAATATAATCTTTCTTATAAATAATTTTAATGGGGTAAATAGAAGTGATTCTAAATTCTAAAGTCAAGTTTTAGCGTGGCACATAAATTGATTATTGGCTACTGCTCAATGTGATTATTTTAATAACAATTTCAACAGGCATATGAGAATGTTACTGTTTATGAATGCACAGCAAGATAAAATAAACACAGTTCTTAGTTTCCCAGTACAATTTAACAGAGTTCCAAAAATAAGGGAAAAGAAGATTGGATAGTAATCAGGCATTAGAAATGTTAGAACAACACAAAGAGAAGAACATTAACTATTAGCCACTTCAAATTCTTGTTTTGAAATCAGTTGGAGATTAAAGTAGAAACAGAAAGACTGGAAGATAAGCAAGTGATGGTGGTACAAGAAAGGGAGGAAAAAAGAAAAGACAGGAGAAGGGAAAGAAGGAAAGGAGAAAAAGAAATAATTTTTCATCTTACCGAAAAGTTACTTGTGTTTATATGCAATGCCTCTACTTAGTCAAGATTTATCACCGTAAACCTAGCCCAGATTAGAACATTCATTATCATTTTCAATAGTGCTCTTTTCATACAGCCTATTGCTGCCTGCAAGTCCTAACACTTAGGTCACTGAAAATCATGTGTAACTGCTCTTCTTCCACGTTTTCTGACTTATCTCAGTTTATATGATCATAATCTATCTCTTCAGACTCCTCCGTGATTGTCTCTTTCATACGCTCTTCCATTCTAAAGCAAAATCCAGACTGTCAACATAGCTCTCTCAAAAATATGCCATCGATCATGGTATTTCCTGGCCCAAAAGGTTCAGACAACTTACCATCACCCTGACCACTTTTTCCATCTTAATTCCTGTCATTTTCTCTGTTCCATGGTTTAATCTAAAAAAAATTCAACCTTACAACATTTTCTGCACCACCTGATTAATATCTTGTCCATATTCTCTTTCACTGGACAATTTCCTCGTTATCTTTAAGACATAGTTCCATTGTCAAGCCTTTCTTTGAAAATCTTCTTCAACTTACCTGGCAAAATCAAATTCTCCTTATTCTGTACCTCAGTAAGGAATCACTTTGGTTACTCCACTAAAAGTGTTTGTACCACCATTTCTCAAATGCAACTGGATTGTCAAACGATTTGAACTTCAACGGGTTGTAAACATAAAACAATTTTTCTCTAATAATTGGCTTCCAATCATGGTATGTCACATCTTTTTTTTCTTGTCTCTTAATAACATGTCAGACTTATTCTGTATTTTTTCTGGTCACTTTTGGTAATTAAAAAATTATATTTGGCCACTTTTGGTAATTAAAAAAATTTATGTTTAGTCCAGTCTAAATCTGAAAACTCATATGTAGTTTAGCAGTCATCTGCACCACAGTGACATAGTAGAAATCCAGTGCCAACCAGATTTTGGCCCAAGGGAACTCAAGTGAGACTGAGCGTGATCTGCTCTTTCACTTTTATCCTTTTCTTTTTCAGGTTTTAGCTATTTTATGATTTAGATCTGGCCAGAGGAATGACAGGAAAATGCTCAACATCTATTTACTGAATAGGAATACAACTGTAATCAGCTGTTGGTCCCTGCTATCATTTACTTGCTGATGATACTCTTCTCTAGGCATGACCTGTGGGGTCTTCCCCATAGCACATCTCCCTGGCAGGTGAGAATTTCCCTGACTTGATCTCTTTTGCCTTTCCCTCTGACTCTGTATTGAGTCTCTTGAGTGGGGCACTGGCAGCCCCACCTAAGATTTTCCACGGGTGGCATGCCAAATGATGGGGCAGAGTGGAAAAGACTGGCAAATCCTCTTCTGACCTGTCTCTCTTTCCCACTCCCTTGCTTTCCATTTCTTCTTTTCAGTGTTTATATGGATTCAGCATATTTTACCGGGCCTGGTGCATGTTCAAATAGGGCTTAAAATGCCAATCTTACCTCCAAGTATGAAAATATCATTCTTACTAATTATTATCCAGCATATTATTTTCTGTTTGTTGATAGAAAGATAATTATTCTCCATTCTCCAAACAGTTATCCCTAATTCCATTACAATAAATTGGGACTCTGATACTGTCTTCTAATCTTTATAATTACCCTTAGTTTTCTCCTTTCAATAGATGGGGGAAGGAGAATCAAGAAGTGGGAAAAGGTGAATAGTTTGAGAAGCAGAATTAATTCTTAGGAAATCTGTTTCCCTGTTTAAAAAGTAGAGTACTTTTTGCTTTCTACTTTTCCAAATTTGAATATTATTTTATACTTCTGGAGAAAGAAAAAGTTTTCCACTTGATAACCTCATTGTAGGTAATAAATATTTGTCCTATGAAGCAATGAATGAATAAATTAGTCAGTCAGTTGTTTTTTTCTAAGTTTGAGTTATTAGAATTCACACTATCAGATGGAATTTAATAGAGAATTAGGTAACTCTCAGATATTCTGAATGGCCAGGGAAATAAGTTTGGAGGCTATATAACCAGGAATAACACAATCACTAAATAGATGCTACTACTTTCCTGAAATTGTTCTAAAAGATACCCTACTGTTGAAATGCAGTCTTAATCACAAAACAAATTTTTGATTAGTCATCTCCCAAACATCTTCCCATACTCAAAAGCAAAGCAACTCTAGCAAAAATCACGTATCTTACCTAATAGACTTTAACTATCATCATTCAAATGAAATATGCTCACTCCTCAACAAAAGAGGTCCATATTCTCATCAGATGCCACATGCATTGTTAGGTGATTTTTTTTTTTGTCCATAGTTCAGTCACTATCTTGGCAAGGTGTCCTCTAATTTATGTACTAAATTACATTTAATTATCCACTACATTATATTAATTAATAAGGAAATGAGTTTGAAAAAAAGTGAATGCATCTGAGTATACACATAACTCAGTAAAGAAAACACTATGGGTAGTTCTATGGTTTCGTTCTGCATCCCCACCAAAATCTCATGTCTAATTGCAGTTCCCAGTGTTGGGAGAGGGACTCAGTGGGAAGGGATTAGATCATGGGGGAGGATTTCCCCCTTGCTGTTCTCATTATAGTGAGTGAGTTCTCACGAGATCTGGTTATTTAAAAGTGTAAAGCAATTTCCCCTTAGCTCTCTCTCTTTCTCTTCTGCTGCCATGTGAAGATATGTTTGCTTCTCCTTCATCTTCTGCCATGATTGTAAGTTTGCTGAAGCCTCTCAACCATGCTTCCTGTACAGCCTGTGGAACTGTTAGTCAGTTAACTCCTCTTTGCTTCATAAATTACCCAGTCTCAGGTAGTTCTTTATAGCAGTGTGAGAACGAATTAATACAGGTAGCTGCTATTGCTTTTATTTCTGGAATTCTTCACAAGACCGTGGTTTGTATTTATACCTTCTTTTCACTATACCTATATCCATTTCTTATTCCATTTTCTCTCAGGAAGCATCTTGACTAGCTATAGTTCTTTAACTGAAGAGAAAATTTAAAAAACTTTATGCCCAAGATACCTGTGCAGTCCTGTCTGCATGAGATAGAGATAGTATTTAATTCATAGTTAGCATAGATTGTGTTGCAAGCATGATTCTCCCTCCTCTCATTGTATTGCATCATGTGCACATCACTTGCTAACTGAGTCAAGATGTTTGCCTGGTGGTATGACCATCCAGTGGCAGGAAAAGCAAGCAAAAAAATGGCTGGTTGATTGTCTCAACTTTTTGTTCAAGGGCAGCGACACAACCGTTGTTGGAGGTATTGATTTCTTGTCTTATAAGATTTCTATACCAGTACTGTATAAAGTTACAAGAATAGGAAGCAAAAAAGTAGCTCTCTCTCTTTCACCCTTTGGTTCCCAGATCCGTGCCTTCCAGCTATGGGGAAATGTCACTATATATCATTTGCTGGTTAAGAACCTGTTCTGCATTCTGTAGGGAAACACCAAAACTCCTTAATGCATTTTTCCCATCTGGTTCATTATTTCGTCTTAAATAAGGATTTTATTTTTATAAGGTAAGGGCTATTTGGTAATAGAATACATGAATTTTTAAAAAGTTTAAAAAATAAATTCCATGAGCACTAAAAAATCTCCTTACTTCTTCTGTTGCAAAACAAATTCATTGGTCAGAAACTATATTTTGTTTTGCTCATTTGGTTTTTATAACAGAAAATAAGAAAATATATTTATGAATAAAGTTTCTGCAGGAATAAGTTAGGGGCTCTGCATGGTGGCTCATTCCTGAAATCCCAACATTTTGGGAGACCAAGGAGGGAAGATTGCTTGAGCTCAGGAGTTGGAGACAATCCTGGGCCACATAGCAAGACCTCATATCTAAAAAACTATATAAATAAATACATACATAAATAAATAAATAAATAAATAAATAAATAAATAAAAGACAAAATAAATGTTAGGAAGAAAGGAAAAATTCATATCCAGAATAAGAGTCAATTATAATGAGGACAAGACATTGCCCTTTCAAAATTGAAGTCTCCAACATAACTGACCTTCTCCAAAGTGGAAGATTATTCTCTCCAAATTATGGTGCTATAGCAAATGTTCGATGTACATCCCACACATGGCAGGTTGGGTACTCAAGAATACCAACATCAGTCAGGCACAGTGGCTCACGCCTGTAATCCCAGCACTTTGGGAGGCCAACACGGGCAGATCATGAGATGAAGAGATAGAGACCATCCTGGCCAACATGGTGAAACCCCGTCTCTACCAAAAATACAAAAATTAGCTGGGTGTGGTGGCGGGCACCTGTAGTCCCAGCTACTCGGGAGGCTGAGGCAGAAGAATCACTTGAACCCAGGAGGTGGAGGTTGCAGTGAGCCAAGATCACGCCACTGTACTCCAGCCTGGTGATAGAGCAAGACTCTGTCTAAAAAAAAAACAACAAAAAAAAACAAAAAACAAACAAACAAAAATACCAACATGAAGAGCACCCTTGAGGAGGGTTGTCTCATGCTCATAAGCCTATCTGTAGACTTTCATTGTGGAACATTGTTCATGATCACATAAAATAAGAGCTGGGATGAGTGCAAAAAGAGACTGCCTGACAGAAACAAAAGTGAATCTTTTAGCTGATTACTGAGAGATTCCTCTGTAGACAGAACCATCTGCTGATCATTTACATGGGGCACAGATATTTCAAATGTGAGACCAATTTACATAATTTTCCCTCAAACCTTACTATTAATCTCCCAAACTTGTCCTTTCAAATCCCTGATCATCTGGCCAAAAACCGTACCTCATAAATTGAAATAAAGCCACACCATGCTCATCATTCCCTCTAATCAAAGAGAAAAAATATCTATACTCCTCAAAGTTTTGCTTACTGAGAGGATTTCTTTACTGAACTGTCATCCAAGGTTAATTATAAATTATATTTCTAGAGTATTCTACTTCTGATTGGTGCCAGAACATCTTACAGAGGTATTCACAGCTAGATTTCAAGTTTATCATCCTCAGTCATTAGGCACATAGAACTCCCTGAAGCTCCAAGAATTGGTTGAGGAAGAGGTAGCAATGCAGCAGGAGCAAGCACATGGAGAAAGTGATCACCTATTCATTTCCCTTTCTCATACCTTCAACATCTTCTTGAGTTTATTCTCATGTATACCACTTCCTGGCTTGCCAAAAATTATGTGTTTTGTGGATTAAATAACACAAACCATGATGGGAAGCTCAGGTCACATGATTAAATGGCATCTCATGAATATCCATAGAATATCTAACAGAGGCAAGTGCTATTTTTCAAACTAGTATAGTATTTTTAAAGGATATAGCTTTACTTAAAACCTAGAAGCTGGTAGTATGATTCTTTTCTTCAGGCTTGTCACAGGCTCCTTTCAGTATCCCAGTGGGTCACAAACATGTCCAACATCGCTAAATCTGTTTGCTCATATAGACTAAGTGGAAGAACTGCTTGTCCTCCAGCCCGAGGAAGCTAGAAGGTCTTCTTTTGTGCTTGGTCCCAATTAAAAACTAGTAGCCTAATTATCCAATAGATAGGTTGAGATTACAGATATACCAAATATCTACTGCTTCCAAAATTCAAATTAAAATTTTTTTTAAGGCTGGACATAGCTAAAAGCAGTGTGATTTTTACATTGAAAACAAGATCCCAATGTACTTCAAACTATTGGGTCTTGGGAAAAATTGATATCCTTTTGGGATTCTAAATTTCCTTAGAATTACATCTTACCCTCCTGAATGCATGTCTCTTATCAAAGCATCTAGGTACCTGTTATTTCTTGCTCCCTATATTCTATTCACACACTCCATCAGTGAAAAGGACTGGTGTGATGTTTTGGGTGATGTTGAAATTATAAGATTCTCTGCAGATATAATTATGGTCCAGAGGTAGAGAAATAACATATTTCTAAAGTTAGACACTGAAGGTATAGTATTTGCCTGACCAGATGAAATAAATTCCTTCTAGTGTTCTCAACTTATCAAAATAGAAAGTTGGCAAAAAACAATAACTGCATATAAAGTGTCATGGTGACATATGGTACTTATTTGTATTATTAAAGAATCATATACCCCATAAGATATTAAAAGCATCAGTTTAAACCATTTTGTCTTCTATATAGGCAATCCGGTCACTTAAATTGGGAGGAGTAGATGAAAATTCCTATATCTTTTAAGTCAGTCCTTAATTTTGTTACTTTATGCTCATTAGCTCTTCCTTACAAGGAAAAAAATAGCTTTTTCAGTACCCAGAAGATTAGCAGTAACTCTGTGCCTATTTTCCAATATCTAAAAACAATCTGTTTATGTACCTTTTCCACTGCACAATTACTTTGGTGAATGGTCATAGGTTTTTTGAGCAAGGCTAAAAAGAAATCTTATTTTATATACTTAGGCTGTTTCAAACATCTTCTTCCAACAGATCTGGCTTTGCATTCCTGCAAGCTGTGCTGTATCTCTAAACTTATTTGGGTTTAGCAATTGAGTGGGTAATAAAATTGGCCATTTTGCAGCTCAATTTAGGCCTCAGTTTAGTAGACTATTTTGTCTTTTTAAAAATTTTTTTGAGTGAGAGAAGTATTAATAGCAATTAGGAAGGACTTAGGAACCTGGCTATCTATTTTGGTACCAAAGCCTTTATGACATATTGGAGGTTGACAAAGATCTAGGTGGACCAAAATATTCTGCTTACCATTCTTTCTTTGTTGCCCATCATTATAACCATGCCATTTTATCTGGCAGTGGAATACTGATATTTAGCCTCTTCAAACATGAAATAAAAAGCCCACTTCAATGGCAACGTCTCCTACTTTTATTTCAGGCTACAGGGAACAATCGTCACACTGCTTTTCAAAGATTCTAGTGCTATCCCAAGTGCCATAGAAAATGTACTCTTTGGGTTACTCTGAGGACTGTATTTGAGGGTAGATGGGGTGTACATACTAAATGCTCTTCAATATTCCTATCGCTCAAAGTCATTGCATTCCTTCCTCTGCATTTTTCTACAAGGATATTTTTGTTATGTAAACTTCATTGAGCACAAACCTCGTCTGAGAAGTAGAGGCCAGGCGCAGTGGCTCACGCCTGTAATCCCAGCACTTTGGGAGGCCGAGGCAGGTGGATCACGAGGTCAGGAGATCAAGACCATCCTGGCTAACACAGTGAAACCCCGTCTCTACTAAAAACATACAAAAAAAAAAGAAAAAAGAAGTATCAGTCAACTAATAAAGCCAACAGAGCCACTGCTGCTCTTTCTGGCACACAAGTCCAGAATTTTTTAGTTCCCTATACAAATAAGTTTGTCAATAATTGTTTCTCCCTCTTCTGCCTCAAAACCCATTCAAACTCATATTTAACAGGTTTTTGCACAATCCTTCCTAACTTTCGCAAGGTTGTGAATGCAATTAGCCAATCATTATAATACAGTAATACTAAAAACTAAATTCTGCATCTTATTTTCGGTGATGTCAGTGTTGCCCTTTGGGGACACATTTCTTTCTTCTTTCTTCTCTCTTTGTTCCTTTTTTTTTTTTTTTTTTTTTTGTTCAATCATGGGATATTATCTGGTGGCAGTTATTCCAGCCAAACATTTAAAATCTTAATTATGTTATTTTTTTCCCCATAAGATCGCTATGGAAGTCAGAAATAGCCAGCTGATCTCATAAGTTCATATGCATTCTGACTTTCAAAATGAACAACTACCATATCCATTCAGTCTGCAAAAGCCTTGGCTTTATGAAAAAATGCATTTGAATTGACAAGAGGCATAATTTAAGCAGACCTCTGTCCCTCATGGACTATCAGTATCTCGTTCTCTAATGCTAACCAGATCCTCACTGTTCCAAGCTCCATCTAGGTCAGAAAATCAATTCTAGTTTCCATATAATTGACGTTATATCACTTGAAGGCACTTCTATTTTGGCCAGCATTCTTAATTGCAGACAACAGTATCCTTTCTATAATTTGTTTAAACTAGCAAGATGTTATTAAGAGCTAAAAAAAAAAAAAAAAAAAAAAAACTGTCTTGGAAGCATTGGTAAATCAGCTTGGTTTTTACATAAGAATATTGAAAAAGCCCCACTAGTCCTGTAATATGTTGTTTGGCATCTACACTACTAAGCCCTGGATGGTAGAAATGCTAACAAAGCTTCCCAAAATATAATCTTCCCAGTCATGATGGTTAATTTATATGTCAAATTGGCTAGGCTGTGGTGCCCAGCTGTTTCATCAAACACTAGTATAATTGTTGCCCTGAAGGTATTTTTTACAACATAGTTAACATTTATAATCAGTTGACTTGAGTTTAAGTAAAGCAGATTACCCTTCATAATGTGGGAGATTATGCTCCTTACCCTCATAAGGCCTCATTCAATCAGTTGAGGGCCTTATAAGCAAAGAAAAATTTCTCAAAAAACGAGAAAAATTCTGCATCAAGTCTGCAATATAAAAATTCTGCCTGAGTTTCCAACATGCTAACATGCTTTATAGATTTTGGAGTCAATACTACAACTCTTAACTGAATTTCCATCCTGCAACCCTTCCTTACAGATTTCACACTTGCTAACTGTCATAATTGTGTAAGCCAATTATTTAATAGTATTAAATGTGTGCACACACATTTATATGTATGTATATATACATACATATCTATGCATATATTTATACAGCTGTCCTTTGGTATCTGCAGGAAGAATACCAACATTTGTGCATACTCAAGTCCTGCAAGTCCTGCGGTGTGCCCTGTGGAACTCAAGGACACGAAAAGTCAGCACTCCATGTATGGAGGTTTTGTATCCCACTAATCCTGTATTTTCCATTTGCTTTGAGTTGTGGATGTGGAACCTGCTGATAAAGACGGCTGACTGCATTTATTGAAAAAAACTCCACATATAAGCAGACGTGTGAGTTTCAAACCCATGTTGTCAAGGGTCAGTCAACTGTACATATATACAACACCATATTGTTTTGTTTCTCTGGAAAACTAGCACTCTAGGTGTAGCTGCCATCTCACATTGTTTATCTTTGGCTTCCAAGTCTTATGTGGGTTTGTCTGCTGAAAATATCCTGGAGTACGTGCATAAATCTAGCTGCAAAGGAATCCAGAAAACATGCTCATTAGTTGTCTAGCCCCTGTGGAAGAGAAAAGCATGTAGAAGGGGACTGGAAATAGTACTTAGTGAGTCAATCTGAAGAATCTGCCACAAAGATTTGCTTATTAGCTTTCCCAAGTCATCAGCCCTGAATCAATAGTTGTAACCTCATACCAGCCATCAAATCTGGCCATATGTTTTTTTAACAAATAAATAAATGATAAGATATATTTGCCCCTGATTTACCAGCTACAAAGGACTTAAACTATATACTTAGTTTTTGTTTCCTTGGTGTTATTAAATATATCTGCAAGCAAAAGAAAATTAGTATAAAAATTAGAACTCCATTTCGAGGACACAGACGCCATGTGGCTGAACAATTTAACAAAAGTAATTTAGCAATTTAACTCGAGAAAGTAACAGAGTCTGGTCTAGAATGCAGGCTTTGCAAGTTCTAGATTAGTGCCCTTTGCATGCTACCATGCACAAGTAAACATTATAATCTACAAGGAGATATTTACCTAACTAAAGTTGGACGTGTCCAGGTGTAAATAAACCAAGGCGATAGGAAGAAATGTGGATTTGAAACAGAGGAAATTGCAAATAGACAAAAGCTCTGGGGCCAAATCTCAAACTTCATTGTTTTACAGAGGGATGAAATCCATGGAGCATATTATTTTCCTTGAATGTTTGTCATCCTTTTATATGTAGAAATTAGAAAACAGTCCAAAATTCTAACAGCAGTCTGTGCTCTTTCACTGAATTCAAATAGTCCACTTTTATTGAACATTTTACTAAGCTCAGATAAATCAGAGAGATTATCCCAAAGCATTCGGCTCATTGTAAAAAACACCAGAGAGACCTTTAAAAGGATTGTAAAGACTCTCAATCAAACTAGTTCTCACAGAAAATGTGTAAAAGGACATGGGACACAGTTAAAAAGCTGAAAGCAGGATCCATTTTCACAGCTACCATTTAAATCCAGGCCTTTGTTACCTCCATCCAGAATTCGTTAACAGCCCTCTAAATTGTCTCTCTTTTCTAGTCGTTCCTCTTCAATTCTACCTGAAGACACTGTTTCCAGATTAGTCTTGAATAAATCATCATGCCATCCTACTCCTTAGGCAAAGTGATGAAGAACTAAAAGCCAAGAAATTTTGGCTTGAGTTCAGGTCCTGTCGCCTAAAATCTGATCTTGGACAAAATATATCTTTTCTGAGTATGTTTTTCTGAGTTTCTCATATTATCTCTCTCTCTCTCTCTCTCTCTCTCTCTCTCTCTCTCCCTCCCCACCCCCCAATCCCAAACACCCAGCCCCTGCCAATAACAATCACTTCCATAATACATGGTTCTTATGACAATCACATGTAGTGAATAACTTGAGAAAACATTAAACACTTGGAATTACAAAATAGAAAATAGTAAAATACTTGGGGCTATCAACTCAACAGTCTAAACTTAAAACCAGTAGTCAGCCTGTCTAATTTTAATTGTGACCATATATAGATTCTGATATATAGTTTTCTTTCTTTAATATACAACCCATGAAAATAAAATTAATTTTGTGAACTTTTACATAAAATGATATTTGTTAGTTCAAGGTCGCATTCCTTAGACTGTTTATCCATGACACTCACCATGCTTTAACAGTTTTATCTGTAGAACACTTCAGCCATTGTTTCAGTATTCTTATTTTTCTTGTTTTTTTTCTCCTCCCAAATATATACATGTGCCTATGCACACACACATATACACTCACGTTCAAAACCACTGTACATAGAACATTTTATTGAATACATAATAAAACAATCAAATAATTTCAAGGGAAATGGTAAGAACTACTTTCAAATATTTTATTTAAAAGAGAACTTGTGGCTGTTACATAACTTAATGATATTTAAACAATTCTGAGAATTTTGAAAGGTGAAAATGATTGCACTCTCGTAACATGCTACAAATCAGAGTAGTATTCTCCAATGAAATAGAGATGCTTCTAATGCCATGTTACCAGTGGGTTTCCTCTCTTTTTACTCTTTCTTGAAGAACTCAAGCCACACTGATATTTCTACAATCAGAAAGCTCTTGAAATGCACATGTTAGATGGTTGGCTATTGGGTGAATCAAGGACATCTACACACTTACTTATTCTCCACCCCACCAAACATAGGACAAACCTGTTAAGTAAAATATGAAGCCAAAATTAGCATCCCCTGGCCAGGCGTGGTGGCTCACGCCTGTACTTCCAGCACTTTGGGAGGCCGAGGAAGGTGGATCACTTGAGGTTAGGAGTTCAAGATCAAGATTAGCCTGGCCAACATGGTGAAACCCTATCTCTACTAAAAAATACAACAATTAGCCAGCTGCAGTGGCACACACCTGTAGTCCCAGCTAGTCGGGAGGCTGAGGCAGGGGAATCACTTTAACTCAGGAGGCAGAGGTTGCAGTGAGCCAAGATTGCACCAGTGCACTCCAGCCTGGGCAACAGGGCAAGACTCTGTCTCAAAAAAAATAAAAAATAGCATCCCTAGAGTTTTTATATCAAAATGATTTAGAATAGTTTAGATAGTTTCATATTAATTGATTTAGAACTTTTCATGCTCTCTCAAGATTGTATTTTAGAAGGTAAACCAATGTTGTTATGAAACATGCAATGCATAAAAAGTCTAAACAAGTGTGTGCATGAATTTATATATATTCAGCTGTAGCTTATGATGTTAATATAATAAACACCTGAGCTATCAAAACACAAGTTAAAATACAGAACTTTATAGTTCCTCAGAAGCTGTCTGCATTTATGCCATTGTTCTCCTCCTGAAGACATAACCATGATCCAATATTTTGTATTAAACATACCTTTGCTGGAACTTATAATTATACAACTTAATTATGCATCTCGTAAAAAGATATTGCTTGTGACAGTGGCTTTTAAAATTTGCATAAGTAGACTCATACTGTAATGAATTCATGCTGTATTATCCTGTGACTTACTTTTGAAAAAACTGAAAGATATAATAAATCTGATAAAGAGATTTATTCATATAGCTGAATATCGTTCTAATACAGTCTTCACTGCTGTATTGTACTTCCTTATATAAATATACTGCAATAACCTAATTTTCTATTGATACATATTAGAGGCATTTCAGTTTTGACCTTTATGAAATTACTTCCAAGCACAGAATTACTGGGTCACAGAGTGTGTGCACTTTCAGTTTTATAAGGAACGTGGATTGTGTAGATTGCAGCTTTGTATCATATCCTTGAAACCTTGTATATTCATTTCAGTTCAAGTTACCTGAGGTCTGACTGAAGCCCTTAGGCTAGAAAAAGACTTTGACACTTGCTAACTCTGTGCTTACCTGTTTCATTTTATTTGAGCCTATTGAATTCCTTTTATTTGGGCCATGTACTTCTTAAAGTATGTTTGATTGTCTAGGATGTTATATGTGTCACTTTGAATTTTGGTTTTATTTACTTTTTTGCTTAATTTTTCCTAATAACTATGTTGAAAATAAATATGCAGTTATATTCTAGTCATCTTCCCTTGATGTACTTTGATCTTCTATATTTATTTTTCTCTTACAAATTATTTTGCTTTTTTCTACTCTTAGTTTTATTATTTACAAAATTAGCCCTTTTTTTAAAAAATTCCATCTCTATCTCTCACTTTCTTTGTGATTATTTTAAGTGGCTTACGTTAACGTGCTTTAGGAAAGTTGTAGATTTGCTATAAATCTGTCTTCATAGCAAGGAACAACGGTCATAGATTATGTCATAATAATTGGTGGTGGCAGGAAAACAGTCATTAAAATCAATACAGTGTGTATCAGTCAGGGCTGGGCACCAAGGCTCATGCTGTAATCCCAGCACTTTGAGAGGCTGAGGTGGGAAGATCACTTAAGGCCAAGAGTTTGAGACCAGCTTTTGCAACCATAGCGATATCTCATTCTACCAAAAAATAAAAAATAAATTAA
Source organism: Homo sapiens (assembly GCF_000001405.40). Lineage (NCBI taxonomy): Eukaryota > Metazoa > Chordata > Mammalia > Primates > Hominidae > Homo > Homo sapiens. Next base: position 140,242,372 of record NC_000006.12, on the reverse strand, counting down.
TAAGCTGGGCATAGTAGTGCATGCCTGTAGTCCTAGCTACTCAGGAAGGTGATGCAGGAAAATTCCTTGAGCCCAGGAGTTTCAGGGTGCAATTAGCTGTAACTACACTACTGCACACCCACTAGGGCAACAGAGACAGACCCCATCTCTCTCTTTTTTTTTTTTTTTTGAGACGGAGTCTCGCTCTGTCACACAGGCTGGAGTGCAATGGCGCCATCTCGGCTCACTGCAAGCTCCGCCTCCCGGGTTCACGCCATTGTCCTGCCTCAGCCTCCCGAGTAGCTGGGACTACAGGCGCCTGCCACTGTGCCCGGCTAATTTTTTTGTATTTTTAGTAGAGACGGGGTTTCACCGTGTTAGCCAGGATGGGTCTCGATCTCCTGACCTCATGACCTGCCCGCCTCAGCCTCCCAAAGTGCTGGGATTACAAGTGTGAGCCACCATGCCCGGCCAACAGACCCCATCTCTTAAAGAGAAAGAAAAGAAATAAATAAAATGAACTATTAACTATAACAGGGCACTTGAATAATGAGGGATTATCTACTAAGGGGAAAAGAGAACTATAAAGAAGAGAGGAATAGTAGTTATAAGAATCAGCCATATTTCTAGGGCTGTGTTAGAGCATCCAAAGAAGAGTCCCCATCCCCATGACTGAGCTCCAAAACTTGCTGGAAAGAGCATGGCTTGGCACCTAAATGGCCAAGAAATCACCGTAGTATCACACTGGAAAGACTTGCTGGAAATCACCCTTTGGACCCTACCACATCTTCCTTCTGTGGTGCCAAGAAGAGTTGTTCTTAAGGAATTACCTTGCTGGAGGCATTCTGCTGCAAAACCACTCAAAGAAGTTGCAGGGGAAAGCTGTTTGCCATTGGGTGCTGCTGTCCACTGTGTACTGAATTCTACCAACAACCACCTGGGTTTAGAAGAGGGCCCTGAAAGCTCAAGAATGGAACATTGCCCAGCCAACAGCAAGACTGTAGCCTTGTGGAACCCAGAAAAAATAGCTAGGCTAAGCTGGACTCAAACTACTGAGACAATATATTTCTTGTCTCCAAGAGACAATAAATATATCAGTTTAAGCTGTTGTTTGTTGTAATTTATTATACAACAGTAAGTTTTATGCAAAAGAAGTATACTGACCATCTATAGTAACATTATTCCTGAGACCTTTGCTAATTTTGGCCATAGCTAGTGGATAAAGATCCATGTTTTGCCAAAGCAGAGGGATGCTACTACAGTAACAAAATTGAAGATATGAGGGCTTCAAACACACAATGACTTTTCCCCACCAGGCGTTTGCTTCATTATGAATTTGGTTAAATAAAAAAAAAACAGTAGAATAAAATCCTAAATGACAATCCTCTAAAATACTGATCTTAATTTTTGGCAGTGTTTTGGTATTAAGAAACAAAAAAAACACTAGAGAGGAAACTACTAATCACCATATGCGTAGAGAGTTATAATCTAGAAACTGGGAAAAATAGATATAGATTGACTATGGACATAGCTTGGCTTAATCCCTGATTAGGTTAAGATGGTCATCCCCCATTGTATCTACTTCACAAATGAAAATACGGACCCACTCCCTGTTACAATGTATTATGACATGAAGAACTTAAAAATCTATATTTTTATGCACAATGTCTGGAATATAATTTTTTAAATTCAACTTTTAAAATTTATCTCAAGATTAGGCACAGTGGCTCATGCCTGTAATCCCAGAACTTTGGGAGGCCGAGGCAGGCGGATCACTTGAGGTCAGGAGTTTGAGGAGCCTGGCCAACATGGTGAAACTCTGTTTCTACTAAAAGTACAAAAATTAGCCAGGAACTGTGGTGCACACTTGTTATCCCAGCTACTTGGGAGGCTGAGGTGGAAGGATCATTTGAACCTGGGATGTAGAGGTTGCAGTGAGCTAAGATCACACCACTACACTCAAGCCTGGGTGACAGAGTGAGACTCTGTCTCAAAAAATATAAATATAAATAAATTAATTAATTTAATTAAATTCATCTAAGAAAGTACAGTATAATAAAAAATAGAACAGATCTGTAGATGATCCAGATTTTGCAGAAAAGGATACAACAATGACTAGTATGTTTAAGAAAATACAGAAAACTGGCTAAAACAGTAAAATTTCAGGGATTTTATAAGAAAATTTGACTCCGCAAAATATAATAAGATAGAAATTATAAAACTGGAACTATTAATATAATATGTGAAATTAGATGAATGCATGATAATAACAGTAAATTTAAATATAAGCAAAAAGAGAATTAGTGAACTGGGAGACAGATCAAAAAGAATTATTTATACAGATACACGCAGAGAGAAAAAAGAAAAACACAGGAAAGACTGTAAGAGACTAGTGAAATATATATGAACTAAACTACTTATAATTGGAATTCTAAGAGATGTAACAAAGAATTGGGCAGAATAAATATTTGAAGAGATAATGAATTTTAAAAATACCAACAGAGGATATTCAATCATAGAACTGAGAATCTCTACAAACACCAAGAAAGATAAATAATAATAAAATTAAATCAAATAATATACTGAAGTAGCATCATATTCAAAATTCTGAAAACCAAAGAAAAACAGTGTAAAAAGCAACCAGAGGAAAAACACATATTACCTTCAAAAGAGAAACAATATTATTGACAGCTGACATCTCTCTAAAAATATAGGAGCCAAAAGAAAGTGCTGGAAGCAAATAAATGTCCCCTCAGAATCCTATAAACCACAATGTCTCTGTAATACAAAGACAATTTTTTTTTTTTACTAGCAGACCTGCATTTTTAAAATGCTAAGGGGAATTATTTGGTCAGAAGGAAAATGATACCAGAAGAAAAGACAGCAATGAAGATGAAAGTAAGTTTATATAAAAATAAGTATGTTCTATAAATGTTTAAATATATGTATAACTAATATTCATAAAAATAACAACACAAAAAAGGTGATGAGCATAAATAGAATTGGTAAAACTGATTATTTATATTAGATTGTAATAAGTTAAATGTGTATGCTATAATATTTAGAGTAATATACTACTACAGTTCAATAAGGACCAGACAGATAATCCGATAGACAATTTCACAAAACACTTGAATATGAACTTCACAAAAGAGGTAATGCAAGTAGCTAATAAACATTTGAAAACAGCTCAACATCATTAGTCACCTTGGAAATACAAAAAAAAGGAGGTACAAAAATTGCACGCTCCAATATCACTATAAACACACAAGAATGGCTAAAATGTAAAATACTGACAATACCAACAATTGATGAGAAGGTAAAGGAAAATGTGAATGAAACAACCACCTACTTTTACAACCACTTTGAAAATCTGTTTGACGGTATTTACTAAAGCTGGATATATTATCACCTTTTGACCCAGGAATTCTGAACCTAGATAAATGCCTAAGAGAAATCATTGCTTTTGTTCATCAAAAGACGTGTATCAAATGTTCATATAAGAAAGACAATCAGTGCTACATGACTTCTGTTAAGTTTACTCATGTATAGCATTGGAAAACGTCTAGAAAGATAGTCATACAAACTTTAAGATGCTTTTTACTGTGTCAACGTAAAAGTGATTTTAAAGTATTAATTACACAGTTTTTACTATATTATTTAACTATTTGCAGTGAATAAACTTTTATAGTTTGAAAAAACAACAAGTCTAGGTCGCTATTTTGGTAATAGTCAATCTATATCCTTTTTTCCCAGTTTCTAGATTATAACTCTCCTTTATCTTTTATTTTTTCTTTTCTACTCCATATTCTCCCTGTAAACCATGCCTTCATCTTTCAGCAGCTAAGTTAATTACATAGCTACACTGGAAAATTATTTAGCTTCCTTTTCCCTCTTTAATAAAAACAATTTAAATTTCTAAAAATTTAACCCTTTTACTTAAGGAATCAAATCAGATTAAATAAAACTGATTGGCACCTAATCAATTATATTATATTTCCATTTTTAAAGATGCAAAACTCTGAGGTAGAGAATATTTTAATTACAGCTGAGTTAATGACAAAATTTGGTTAAAAGCGTTGCATATTCTCTTTCTTAGTGTAAACATAAGTGCGGCAAAGCAAAGGATAAAAATAGTTCTCTTGTAAATGGGAATGAACTAATGTAGAGCAAAACCTTTGGTCAGAATCCTTGCAAGTATTCCAAACCAAAGTAGAATTTCCTCTCTATAATCCTTTACTGATAGGTTTATATATAAGTTTATTAGGTTTATCAATCTTCCTTAACACACTTACATGCCATAAAACATCTGGTAGAAAAAAACAGAACGCAGTATTTGGCTTAATGGTAGTGTAGTCGGGATATGTATTTCTTATTATATTAGTAACAGACACAATTCTACAATACAATAAGTAAAAATATTTCCTCTTAAAAGCAAAGAACTCCCTTCTTGGAAATAAATTACCCTTGTTGGACCATCATGGGGCTCCTGAGAATATGTAATTCACTTCAAATGAATTAGCCCTCAACTACAGGGAAAGTGTTTCTACTAGCAGATTTTAAGCCACCACTTAACTTTCTGCCTCAGTTTCCTTATTTAGAAGGTGAGGTAACACAAATTTCTTATTTAAAAAGTGAGGCTAATACTAGTCTATTAACATGAAGGTTGTGAATATATTGAAACAGATTTAAATGTATTTAAATGGTAAATCCTATACAAATACTGAATAATAAATGATCCAAAATTAAATTCATCCCTCGTGTGTTTTTATTCAACCTAACTCCTCAGCATTGTCTGAAATATACCTATATACAAGATGAAAATGCTCCTAGTATTTCAACACTTCAGCAGCATCATTAGATAAGTATCTCTTGAGTTGAATATGAAATATTCTGGGGTTGTTGGGTTTTTCCCTCTACTGTAAAAGGTCTATAACTCTTGGGCCCTCAGGGTTAGAATGAGCAATTAATGCCTTTTTCAACCACGCAGCACGTATAAAATTGAATGTTTCAGATTCATCTGAGTGCTTTGTTTATTCACTTTTGAGTGAGATATTTTCAACTGGAGTTTTAATATTTACTTCTTTTTTATACTCTTTATGATACAGATTTGCATGCATACCTTTGACACAGTACTTAAAAAGTAAACACTTCATTGACCTATTTTTGGATGTTTTGTGTTTCCTTAGACACTATTTATATAATTTGATTTTGAATTCTAGCTTGAGGTCAGAGATGCATGAAAGTGAAGCCCTGATTACTGACTAGTATGAATAGCATCAGTAGGAGAAAATGAGCACCTCCCTTCAGCCCTGTTCAGCCCCTCACTTTTAAACTCACATCCTCTCATTTCTTCTTTCCTTGGCTTTCCTTTGGAAGATGTATGGTCATGTCAGATCATATGTAAATGTGTGGAGGTTAATGATGTGTTCCCTCTGTTTCCCTTCTCACTTGGCACCGCTCGCATCTAAATAGATTTTCTTTCCTCCCTAAGACATTGTAAACAAAGCAGAGTCCCTCAGAGTGCCTTAGAGACTCTCATATGACCATTACCGAGCTAGACAAATTACTTCAGCAGAAAAGGATCTTCATAAGTCTTTCCCCAGCTCTTCCTCTCTTTCCCCTTTTCTCTCACTGTCTCACTGTCTATTTCTCTATCTTTATCTCTCTCTCTGCCTCTGTCTCTGTCTCTCTGTTTCTCCACCTCTGTCTCTCTCCCTTTCTTTCCTATATTGCAGAATAAGAAACTCAGTTGGACACTGATGGATCTTCCAGCGCAGAAAGAGAATGGAGGAAGAAGAAACTACCGATTACTGGGTACTGGACACATGACATTTAATCAAAAGGCTGAAGTTGATAGCAAGACACTCAATAAAGTGTGGCATATAAACCAAGAACAGATTAAAAAATGAGTTAATCCCAGCTCCACTATATGAAGCTCCCAGCTCCATTATAACTATATGACTTCAGACAAATTTACTTAAAATCTAGAAGTGAGCATCAGTTTTATCTGTGAAATGGAGATAATAATCTCTGCCTTGAATAACAGGTTTTCTCTGACATTTTTTCTTCAATATAACCTTTCAGCATTAATAATCCTCAGACAAGGTGTGTTGTTTCTACCACATATTCCAATCCACTGAAAGGCAATTTTTTTTATTATACTTTAAGTTCTGGGGTACATGTGCAGAATGTGCAGTTTTGTTACATAGGTATACACGCGCCATGGTGGTTTGCTGCACCCATCAACCTGTCACCTACGTTAGGTATTTCTCCTAATGTTATCCCTCCCCTAACCCCCCACCCACCAACAGGCCCCAGTGTGTGATGTTCCTCTCCTATGTCCATGTGCTCTCATTGTTCAACTCCCACTTATGAGTGAGAACATGCAGTGTTTGGTTTTCTGTTCTTGGAATAGTTTGCTGAGAATGATGGTTTCCAGCTTCATCCATGTTCCTGCAAAGGACATGAACTCATTCTTTTTTATGGCTGCATAGTGTTCCATGGTGTATATGTGCCACATTTTCTTTATCCAGTCTATTATTGATTGACATTTGGGTTGGTTCCAAGTCTTTGCTATTGTGAATAGTGCTGTAATAAACATACGTGTGCATGTGTCTTTATAGTAGCATGATTTATAATCCTTTGGGTATATATCCAGTAATGGGATTGCTGGGTCAAATAGTATTTCTAGTTCTAGATCCTTGAGGAATCGCCACACTGTCTTCCACAATGGTTGAACTAATTTACACTCCCACCAACAGTGTAAAAGCATTCCTATCTCTCCATACCCTCTCTAGCATCTGTTGTTTCCTGACTTTTTAATGATTGCCATTCTAACTGGCATGAGATGGTATCACATTGTGGTTTTGATTTGCATTTCTCTAATGACCAGTGATGATGAGCTTTTTTTCATGTTTGTTGGCTGCGTAAATGTCTTCTTTTGAGAAGTGTCTGTTCATATCCTTTGCCCACTTTTTGATGGGGTTGTTTTTTTCTTGTAAATTTGCTTAAGTTCTTTATAGATTCTGGGTATTAGCCCTTTGTCAGATGGGTAGATTGCAAAAATTTTCTCCCATTCTGTAGGTTGCCCGTTCACTCTGATGTTAGTTTCTCTTGCTGTGCAGAAGCTCTTTAGTTTAATTAGATCCCATTTGTCAATTTTGGCTTTTGTTTCCATTGCTTCTGGTGTTTTACACATGAAATCTTTGCCCATGCGTATGTCCTGAATGGTATTGCCCAGGTTTTCTTCTAGGATTTTTATGGTCCTAGGTCTTACATTTAAGTCTTTGATCCATCTTGAGTTGATTTTTGTATAAGGTATAAGGAGGGGGTACAGTTTCAGTTTTCTGCATATGCCTAGCCAGTATTCCCAACACTACTTATTAAATAGGGAATCTTTTCCCCATTGCTTGTTTGTGTCTGGTTTGTCAAAGATCAGATGGTTGCAGATATGTGGTGTAATTTCTGAGGCTTCTGTCCTGTTCCAGTGGTCTATATATCTGTTTTGGTACCAGTACCATGCTGTTTTGATTATTGTAGCCTTGTAGTCTAGTTTGAAGTCAGGTAGCGTGATGCCTCCAGCTTTGTTCTTCTTCCCCAAGATTGTCTTGGCTCTGCGGGCTCTTTTTTGGTTCCATATGAACTTTAAAGTAGTTTTTTCCAATTCTGTGAAGAAAGTCTGTGGTAGCATGATGGGGATAGCATTGAATCTGTAAATTACTTTGGGCAGTATGGCCATTTTCACGATATTGATTCTTCCTATCTATGAGCATGGAATGTTTTTCCATTTGTTTGTTTCCTCTCTTATTTCCTTGAACAGTGGTTTGTAGTTCTCCTTGAAGAGGCCCTTCATATCCCTTGTAAATTGTATTCCTAGGTATTTTATCCTCTTTGTTGCAATTGTGAATGGGAGTTCACTAATGATTTGGCTCTCTGTCTGTTATTGGTGAATAGGAACGCTTGTGATTTTTGCACATTTATTTTGTATCCTGAGACTTTGCTGAAGTTACTTGTCAGCTTAAGTAGATTTTGGACTGAGACAATGGGGTTTTCTAAATATACAATCACATCATCTGCAAATGGATAATAATTTGACTTCCTCTCTTCCCATTTGAATACTCTTTATTTCTTTCTCTTGCCTGATTGCCCTGGCCAGAACGTCCAATACTGTTTTGAATAGGAGTGGTGAGAGAGGGCATCCTTGTCTTGTGCCAGTTTTCAAAGGGAATGCTTCCAGTTTTTGCCCATTCAGTATGATATTGGCTGTGGGTTTGTCATAAATAGCTCTTATTATTTTGAGATACATTCCATTGATACCTAGTCTGTTAAGAGTTTTTAGCATGCAGGCGTATTGAATTTTGTGGAAGGCCTTTTCTGCATCTATTGAGATAATCACGTGGTTTTTGTCATTGGTTCTGTTTATGTGATGGATTGCATTTATTGATTTGCATATGCTGAACCAGCCTTGCATCCCAGGGATGAAGCCGACTTGATCATGGTGGATAAGCTTTATGATGTGCTGCTGGATTTGGTTTGCCAGTATTTTATTGAGGATTTTCACATCAATGTTCATCAGGGATATTGGCCTAGAATTTTCTTTTTTTTTGTTGTGTCTCTGCCAGGTTTTGGTATCAGGATGATGCTGGCCTCATAAAATGAGTTAGAGAGGATTCCCTCTTTTTCTATTGATTGGAATAGTTTCAGAAGGAATGGTACCAGCTCCTCTTTGTACCTAAGGTAGAATTCGGCTGTGAATCCATCTGGTCCTGGGCTTTTTTTTTGGTTGGTAGGCTATTAATTACTGCCTCAATTTCAGAACTTGTTACTGGTTTATTCAGAGATTCGACTTCTTCCTGGTTTAGACTTGGGACATGTATGTGTCCAGGAATTTATCCATTTCTTCTAGATTTTCTAGTTTATTTGCGTAGAAGTGTTTATAGTATTCTCTGTTGGTAGTTTGTATAACTGTGGCATCAGTGGTGATATCCCCTTTATCATTTTTTATGGCATCTATTTTATTCATCTCTCTTTTCTTCTTTATTAGTCTGGCTAGCAGTCTATCTATTTTGTTGATCTTTTCAAAAAACCAGCTCCTGGATTCATTGATATTTTTGAAGGGTTTTTCATGTCTCTATCTCCTTCAGTTCTGCTCTGATCTTAGTTATTTCTTGTCTTCTGCTAGATTTTGAATGTGTTTGCTCTTGCTTCTCTAGTTCTTTTAATTTTGATGTTAGGGTGTCCATTTTAGATCTTTCCTGCTTTCTTTTGTGGGCATTTAGTGCTATAAATTTTCCTCTACACGCTGCTTTAAATGTGTCCCAGAGATTTTGGTAAGTTGCGTCATTTTTCTCACTGGTTTCAAAGAACATCTTTATTTCTGCCTTCATTTCGTTATTTACCCAGTAGTCATTCAGGAGCAGGTTGTTGAGTTTCCATGTAGTTTTGCAGTTTTGAGTGAGTTCCTTAATCCTGACATCCTGACTTCTAATTTGATTGCACTGTGGTCTGAAAGACAGTTTGTTGTGATTTCTATTCTTTTACATTTGCTGAGGTGTGCTTTACTTCAAATTTTGTGGTCTATTTTAGAATAAGTGTGATGTGGTGCTAAGAAGAATGTATATTCTGTTGATTTGGGGTGGAGAGTTCTGTCAATGTCTATTAGGTCCGCTTGGTGCAGAGCTGAGTTCAAGTCCTAAATATCCTTGTTAATTTTCTGTCTCGTTGATCTGTCTAATATTGACAGTGGGATGTTAAAGTCTCCCACTATTATTGTGTGGGAGTCTAAGTCTCTTTGTAGGTCTCTAAGAACTTGCTTTAGGAACCTGGGTACTCCTGTATTAGGTGCATATATATTTATATATATATTTTGCTGCATTGATCCCTTTATCATTATGTAATGCCCATCTTTGTCTCTTTTGATCTTTGTTGGCTTAAAGTCTGTTTTATCAGAGATTAGGATTGAAACTCCTGCTTTTGCTTCCCATTTGCTTGGTAAATATTCCTCCATCCCTTTATTTTGAGCCTATGTGTGTCTTTTCACGTGAGATGGGTCTCCTGAATACAGCACACTGATGGGTCTTGACTCTATCCAATTTGCCAGTCTGTGTCTTTTAACTGGGGAATTTAGCCCATTTACATTTAAGGTTAGTATGTTATGTGTGAATTTGATCCTCTCATTATGATGCTAGCTGGTTGTTTTGCCTGTTGATGCAGTTTCTTGATAGTGTTGATGTTCTTTACAATTTGGCATGTTTTTGCAGTGGCTGGTACTGGTTATTTCTTTCCATATTTAGTGCTTCCTTCAGGAGCCTCTGTAAGGCAGGCCTGGTGGTGACAAAAATCTCTCAGCATTTGCTTGTCTGTAAAGGATTTTATTTCTCCTTCACTTATGAAGCTTAGTTTGGCTGGATATGAAATTCTGGGTTGAAAATTCTTTTCTTTAAGAATGTTGAATATTGGCCCCCACTCTCTTCTGGTTTGTAGGGTTTCTGCCAAGAGATCTGCTATTAGTCTGATGGGCTTCCCTTTGTGGGTAACCCAACCTTTCTCTTTGGCTGCCCTTAACATTTTTTCCTTCATTTCAACCTTGGTGAATCTGACAATTATGTGTCTTGGGGTTGCTCTTCTCAAGGAGTATCTTTGTGGTGTCTCTATATTTCCTGAATTTGAATGTTGGCCTGTCTTGCTAGGTTGTGGAAGTTCTCCTGGATAATATCCTGAAGAGTGTTTTCCAACTTGGTTCCATTCTCCTTATCACTTTCAGGAACATCAAACCTAGATTTGGTCTTTTCACATAGTCCCATGTTTCTTAGAGGCTTTATTCATTCCTTTTTATTCTTTATTCTCTAATCTTGTCTTCTCTCTTTATTTCATTAAGTTGATCTTCAATCGCTGATAGCTTTTCCTCTGCTTGATCGATTCGGCTATTGAAACTTGTGTATGCTTCACGAAGTTCTTGTGCTGTGTTTTTCAGCTCCATTCCATTTATGTTCTTCTCTACACTGGTTATTCTAGTTAGCAATTCGTCCTAACGTTTTTTCAAGGTTCTTATCTTTCTTGCATTGAATTAGAACATGCTCCTTTAGCTCGGAGGAGTTTGTTATTACCCAACTTCTGAAGCATACTTCTATCAGTTTGTCAAACTCATTCTCCGTCCAGTTTTGTTCCCTTTCTGGCAGGGAGTTGTGACCCTTTGGAGGAGAAGAGGCTTTCTGGTTCTTGGAATTTTCAGGCTTTTGCACTGGTTTCTCCCCATTTTTGTGGATTTATCTACCCTTGGTCTTTGATCTTGGTGACCTTTGAATGGGGTCTTCAAGTGGACATGCTATTCCTTTCTGTTTGTTAGTTTTCCTTCTGACAGTCAGGCCCCTCTGCTGCCAGTCTGCTGTAGTTTGCTGGAGGTCTATTCCCAACCCCATTTGCCTGGGTGTCACCAGCAGAGGCTGCAGAACAGCAAAGATTGTTGCCTGATCTTTCCTCTGGAAGCTTCATCCTAGAGGGGCACCTGCCAGATGTCAGCCAGAGCTCTCCTGTATGAGGTGTCTGTCGGCTCCTACGGGGAGGTGTCTCCAAGTCAGGATATGCAGGGGTCAGGTACCCACTTGAGGAGGCAGTCTGACCCTTAGCAGAGCTTGAATGCTGTGCCAGGAGGTCTGCTGTGCTCTTCAGAGATGTTTAAGTCTGCTGAAGCTGTGTCCACAGCCACCCCTTTCCCCAGGTGCTCTGTCCCAGGGAGATGGGGGTTTTATCTATAAGTCCCTGACTGGTGTTGCTGCCTTTTTTCTTTCTCTTGCCCAGAGAAGAGAAATCTGGCATTCTGGCCACAGCAGCCTTGCTAAGCTGCAATGGGCTCTGCCCAGTTCAAACTTCCCAGTGGCTTTGTTTACACTGTGCTTGTAAAACCACCTACTCGAGCCTCAGAAATGGTGCATGCCCCTCCCCCCACCAAGCTCCAGTGTTCCAGGTCAATCTCAGACTTCCACTGTGCTGGGAGTGAGAATTTCAAGCCAGTGGATATTAGTTTGCTGGGCTCCATGGGGATGGGACCCACCGAGCCAGACCACTTGGCTCCCTGGCTTCAGCACCCCTTTCTAGGGGAGTAAATGGTTCTGTCTCGCTGGCCTTCCAGGAGCCACTGGGGTATGGAAAAAAAGGAACTCCTACAGCTAGCTTGGTGTCTGCCCAAATGGCTGCCCAGTTTTGTGCTTGACACCCAGGGCCCTGGAGGGGTAGGCATCAGAGGGAATCTCCTGGTTTGCAGGTTGCGAAGACCATGGGACAAGTGCAGTATCTGTGCCGGAGTTCCTCAGGCTCAGTCCCTCACGGCTTCCCTTGGATAGGAGAGAAAATTCCCCAACCCCTTGAGCTTCCTGGGTGAGGCAACGCCCCATCCTGCTTCGGCTCGCCCTCCATGGGCTGCACCCACTGTCCAAACAGTCCCAATGAGATGAACCGGGTACCTCATTTGGAAATGCAGAAATCACCCGCCTTCTGCATCAATCTCGCTGGGAGTTGCAGACCGGAGCTGTTCCTATTCGGCATCTTGCCCGCAATATTTACCCTTGTGTCTTTAACTATCTTCATTTTTATGTCAATAACTCCAAAATGTATTTACAGCCCAGAATTCTCCTCGACCTATTCCACATGTCCTGAAAGTCCTAACTGCACTTCATATATATATAAAATTCTAAAACCAAACTAATGATCTCCCACCTGGCTCTAAAGTAATACCTTTCCACTATTCTCTTTCTAAGTGAAGGAGAAATCTATCGATTGCCTAATTTAAAAACCTGGGAGTTATCCTTGACATGTCCAATGCTCTTTCTTTTTGATGTCTTTCAAAATTTGTGTAGTTGTCTGTGTCTCTATTCTCACCAACTGAATCCAAGAACCACCCCAGGATGACAGTAGATGTTTAACTGCATTTTCTACCATAATTGAGTACCACAGTTGAGTACTCCATACAACAAGCAGAGTGATCTTTTAAACTGTAAATCTGATCATATTATATTCTGTCTTAAAATTCAATTATAATATGGTTAATGTATATTAAGTATTTACTATGTTCTAGACCTTGCTCTAAGGACTTTATGTATATTACCTCATTTCAAACATGAGATATGTATCATTTTTGTCATTATTACTTTCATTTTACAGCTGAGAAGGCTGGAACACAAACAGACTAAGAAAATTCCTCATGGACACACCACAACTGAGCAGTAGAGGGAGAACATCTAACATTCGCGTTAGATGTTCGCGTTAACATTCCTAACAGGCCTCTGCAATGATTTCCAATAGCTTCTGTTTACTCTTGGGAAAAGGCAAAAGTTTTAAGAGCATCTATACATCCAGAGTGTTCTTATTATGCCTCACCTTGTGCTACATTTAGTGGTGCGTGTGAACTGGCTTGTATTGCATTGCAAGAACCCATCATTAAATTTTTAGGAATATTGCGAGCCCCATTTTAAATATGGCCATCAGTAAAAATTAAATTTTATATAAGTAAAATTAATTAAATTATATTTAAAACAGATATTACTCAAAACTCATTACTTTCTAATTATTTTATGTTCTTGAGGTTATTTATGTCTATTGTTTATGTTTATTGTATTAGTATGGTGGAAATATGATATAATGGTGAATTACTGCACATCTCTTTCCAATCCATGTTTGGTGATGCAATATTGGCAGCATGAAATTGCTAACAGTTACAGTATTAACTCCATGAAAATCTGTAAATGCTTAGCTTATCACTTTTGTATTCCAGACTTAAGAAAGTGATGGATAAAAATGTTTAATACAGAATAAACTTGGTAGAAGTGACTAGCAGTCTGTTGTGACTAACACAAAAAATTTAAGGAAATATACCCTGTCAGCTCAAGAGCGAAAATTTTCAATTAATTAGACTTGTGCAAGAAATAGATGTGTAGCGAGTTATCTATTTCCAGATCTATATTCTATGTGTATAAAGTTAACTATCCACAAGATCTATATTCAACCAACTGATAAATGTACACTGGACATACGTGTATAACTGAAGGTTTCATGAGATTGGATGTGGTTGCCCCAGTATTCAAAAACTATTATCTACTTAAGTAAAAAAGTCTCTCATACCACTAATGAATGAGTGAAGTTCTGACATATATATTTTTTTCACTTTAATCTTACTTTTTCATGTAAATTTAAATACCAACTAACATTCACGTGCAGGTTATATTCTTTCATTTTTTGCAACCATAGGTTACCTACAAATGCACTAGATTGGCAAAAAACATAAACAAAAGTATATTGTTAGAATCAATCAAATGGAATTGATTTTACTATTATACATAATATATAATAGTAAAATCTGTACATTGTACATACAAAATAAGTATATTTTGTTTTTATCAATTTCAAATTATTGTTAAAAACTGTTTCAGTGAATAAATCATTTTCTTTTTAACAAAATTAACAAAATTGCTAAATTCTTACTGTAAGTTATTTTTTAGATTCTAAGTCATATACTTTGTAAATAATGAAAAATCTTATTTTTCTTTTTAAATATAGCCCACGAGTTTTTATGGAACTATTGGACTTGATAACTCTTTTATATGTTGCAAGGTGTTGTGTAATCTTGACATACACTTATTTGACATTGATCCTGGTCCAGGCAAGAAACCAGGTAGACAACTTAAAGAGATGACTTATGAGTATAGAAAAAGTGAATGACAATCACTAGAAGACCACATGAGTTTGCTCAACTCAAGTAATGGCAGATAGCCAGATGAACACTTTCTGAAAAAGTGACTACCTTGTTAAATTGTTGAAATGCAATTGATATGTAATATATTTTTGCTTCAGTAAAGTATTTGAAGACTCAAGATGTTGTGTAAACAAATGTTGAAATACGGATTTAATGGTAGTACCAATAGGTATAATTACATGAGACAGATATCAGCTTAAGAGTGAGAACTTTCAATTAATTATACTTGTGCAAGAAACAGATGTGCAGAGAGTTATCTATTACCAGATCTACATTCTGTGTGTAGAAAGTTATCTATCAGCAGATCTATATTCAATCAACTAAAGAATATCCACTGGACATAGGGTGTGTAATTGAAGGGTTCATAAGATTGGATGAGGTTGCCCTAGAATCTATTTCTGAGGGCCCCTTACAATTCTTGAGTTGGTTTCAAGTGTTTGTGTAAGTTGCAAAATATTCATTTCTAAAGAAAAGCATTTTAAATATTCCTGTGAAAACATGATGAAAGGTAAAGATTCATAAGCCACTTCTATCATTTTGACAAAGTTAATCAGTCATTTTTTTTAATGCTATGCAATTCACTTGATATCTCAAAAGTATCTCCGAAGGCTAACATATTATTCTCAAAAGATGAGATGGGGATTAGATTAAATATTATTATCCTTATATATAAATAGACTTATTTTTATCCTCTGGGATTCAACAAGGGACTTGGAAGATGTCAGTAAACTATGCTTCTGTTTTGTTTGAAGCACTTTCAGTACTTTGATTTGATAATCCATGATGGTAGTATTGAAATATTTTGCTCTTGGAAATGTTCACATCAAGTAAATAACTTGGGATTGCTGATCATTTGTCATAATCTGTACACAGTGAAAGAGGTAAACCTGGAGAGAATTGAAAATAAATAACAAATGACATCAAGGAATGTCTGCCAACAGAAAAAGATTTCTATTAAATTCTAAATGCAGAAATTTATCCATGATAGCTGCTAACTCACTAAGTGAAAAAGAAAAAATAATACAAACAAGTGCATAAAACTGAAGCATTTAATACAAATATCTCATCAATCACAAGAAAACATTAAAAGGCTAAAATAACACCATATAGCTCAGTGTCAATTAGCAAATAGATTTCATAGTTCTTAAACTTCATCTAATCCAAAAGTGTGGGTAACTCTAAACTTTGATTAGCTGGAGTGTATCTAGCTTCAAGTAATAGAAAAACCTAAGCAACTGCCTTGCAAAATAAAAACCTATTTTTCTCTCATAACAGAATATCCAGAGAAAGGAAGTTGCTTGTCTTGCTTTTGCTGCTCACTATTGTCATCAAAAACTCTTTCTACTTCTCTGCTCTTCAACCTCAATGTGTTGGCTTTTCATTCTCATGAATCTTATCTCATGATCACATCCTGATTTGCCAGAAACCTCTGTTCTCTGGCCTTGTGCTAAAAATGACAGAGTATAAAGGAATGAGCTATCTAATAATTCCAGGGCAAGCAGGAATTTAGAATTTCCTATCAGCAATGATGGTAATAATTTTTCTGGTATCTGTGAAAGTATGATTTATAGAAAATGGAAGAATAAATGAGTGTTTTCAATTTGATAGCAGTTGCTTTAAACTGCGCAGTAGTTCCTATAAATCACCATTCTTAGCTACAGAATCAATATGTTTTAGTTCTGGCATGGATA
Organism: Homo sapiens; assembly: GCF_000001405.40. Taxonomy (NCBI): domain Eukaryota; kingdom Metazoa; phylum Chordata; class Mammalia; order Primates; family Hominidae; genus Homo; species Homo sapiens. The sequence goes on along the minus strand of NC_000006.12, from coordinate 140,225,956 downwards.
TCGTGGGTTATCTGACCCAGCCCCCTTCCTTTACAAATAAAGAAATGGAGATACAGTCACCTTAAATAATTTCCTTGAGATCATGTGTGCTACAAAGTTGTGGATAAACAGCAGACATAGATTGCCAGCAAGAACATATTTTATGGATACCCACAGAGATCTGGACACAGACACATAAAAAGACTCATAGTCTAATGACTAGATTGGAAAGCATCCAACTTATTGTAATGGTACTGAGATCTGTGTAGGAAACATATTTAGAATTTCTTTTTATCCTCATCCAGATTCTGATACTAGATTTAAATGTTTTGCACTAAATAATTGATTCCTAATCTTTGCAGGTGGAATTAAGTAGAGTATCACAAAAATAATTGGGAGATACTTCGCATTTAACAAACAGCATCATCCTTATTTGCCTTTCATTTTTCTTTTGCTGGAGGGGAACATTGATTAGAGCATTTGAATTTTACCTTTGGAAAGACTGTCTACAAAGAACCAGAAAAACAGGCAACTATATATTTACAAGGCATATTTGTCGTGGAATGTATGTGTAATGTTACCACCCCAAAGCAGGGAGTATTTAGAATAACATCAATAAATACTATTTAAATACAGGCATGCATCTATAAGAAATGTAAAGATATGTAGAAACGCTGGCAGCAAATTGCCTTAAGTTATATTGAATGACTGGTGCAGACCAAAGAAGTCAATTCTGCTTGAAGGACAAAGCATGCACCCATAACATAGCCCCAGAGTAAAGCAACAAAACAGACATATGTGTGAACCTTGGCGTAAAAAGCAATTTTATTTTCAAATAGGTGAAATAAGCATTGTATGTATGATTTTAGCACCTACTGTGTTACAACTGAGGTCTGTAAGACAAGAGAAGCAAGTTCTAGAGTCAGAATGACCTGAGAATGGGTTGACAGTCTCAGTTGCCTCACACATAAAATGGAAATAATGAAAGAACATACTTCATTGTGGTGTTGTGAGAACTAAGTGAGCTAAGGCAAAGCAGGAACACCAAACCCAGGGTCTACACATAGTAAGCACTCAGCAACTGTGAGAAATTACTATTGTTAACAAGCCATATCCTACTATTTCTAGTAATCAAGTATTGTATAGATCTTCGAAGGGCTAGCTGCTATTAGCTCACAGAAAAGAAAAAAATGATACATTGAATCTCAGCAACTTTGGCTTATATAAAGGTTTCTTATACTTCCTAAACACTGCCTTGTTTCCAAAGCATTTTTAGAGACAGTTATATTTAAATGGCATCAACAGTGTCATACTCCTGTCATTCTATTAACTTTCTTATGCCAATAAGATTTGTGAAGAATAGAGAAGTTTATTACTTTATCATCTAAAATATTCCATCATGTTTAAATCAAATTTATAATTTAAGCATCAAATATTGCTGGCTATCTTTATTCTCATTTAATCCAGTTCAGAGGCTTCCCCCAGATATTCTAAAAGCAATGGCAATTATAGCATTCTATTTAACCTTCATTGTCATTGGAAATAGTCATTCTCCAAATCGAGCTCTGCATTGATTTTTACCACTACAAAATAAATAATTAAGGGTCAGTACCATTTGAGGTGTGTGTATGTGTCTACATGTGTGTGTGTAGTGAAAGAGAAAGAAAGAGAAAGATATTGGAGAGAAAAATTCTGTTTATTTTATTATTGTTTCTTTCACCCTAAGATGATTCAACTTTTGGTGTTGTGAAAGATTCAGTGCCAACCAATATGCAAAGCAGTCATTGTCACATAGAACAAATCCTTAGATGAGCAGATACAGTTGCTTTTGTCTGATAATGTTATTATTGATATGTTATGATGTCTGTCTCCCTACCTTTGTCTCTGGGACATTATAGTTCCTAACTCACTAAATAATTTGCATCTTTGCTGAAATTTAACACTCTTGGTTTGTCCTATTTATGCACTAAGAAATAACAGCTTGCATCAATTGCCCATTACTACTACTAGACTAAACTTCATGTTTCTATTAAATCATTCTTTCTTGATGGGAGGGACCATTTCTGATTCATTTTTAGATCTACAGAGTTTATCATAGTACTGTTCATAGTAGACCCTATATGAGTACTGAATTGAAGCATACCTGTCTTTAGCCAACTGTTTTTATATCTACCCCCTCTGGTTTTTCTAATTGAATTCAGATCACTTGCAGTGAGATTTCAACTGCTGGAGATGGTGGCATTTCCATTCTTAATTACCAGTGACCTACTCTTACTTATTGATGTTAACTGTGGGCTTTTAATGTCATGCCTATCATTGATCTAGAAGCCAAATACAATCTCTTCAGTTTGGGTAAAATTCTGAACCTACATTGCTTTGGATGACATTATTACACATAAACCTTAAACATATTCCTCATAATGACACCAACTCATAGTCTAGAAACTCTGGCATAGCTTCTATTGTAGACATAGAATAGAAATATCCTGAGTTTTATATTTCTAAGTTTTTTAACATCTTTAGCAGAATAAATTTGTGCATGTTTCTCCTGATATTCTGTATTCAGGAAAGGGTCTGTAGAAAAATTTTGCTTGATTTCTTTGAAAATAATTTCTGGTGAAATTAAAAAAAATTCTATTAATTCTAACGTGTATCCCTATTGCAGTAATCTTTTAGGAATAAATAAGATCAAATGAACAATCCAAGGATTGATTGTCTCATATAATTTATTAAACTATTAGCAAATAGTGATCCATTTGACTATTTCCTCATTTTCTTAAAAATTCATCCTCAGAGGCCAGGCACAGAGGTTCACGCCTGTAATTCCAGCATTTTGAGAGGTCGAGGCAGGCGGATCATCTAAGATCAGGAGTTCTAGACAAGCCTGACCAACGTGGTGAAACCCTGTCTCTAGTAAAAATACAAAAATTAGCCAGGCATGGTGACAGGCACCTGTAATCCCAGCTACTCTGGAGACTGAGGCAGGAGAATTGCTTGAACCCTGGAGACGGAGGTTGCAGTGAGCCGAGATCGCACCATTGCACTCCAGCCTGGGCAACAAGAGCAAAACTCCATTGCAAAAAAATAAAAATAAAATAATAATAGTAATAATAATCCTCAGCACACATTATAAAAACTTACCCTACAATATTGAACATCTAGGAATATTATGGTATAACTTGTGGCCTTAAATTGTAAATTCTAGGGAACTAGTTATAATCAGTATTTAGATTTTATAGCTGAATCAGACTTTAGAAATAAACTGTCCTAATTTCTCCATTTTATAAATAAGGAAACTAAAGTTTTGTGTGAGTTAATGACTGCCCCAAATCATAGTTAGTTAGGGAGATGACTTAAACTTGACAGTAAACTTTTTCATTTTGGGTCTAAGCATTTTACTGTCAAATCATGTATCCTCTTTGACTAATCCTTTTAGAAGATAATTGACCAGAAAATGTATGTGATGCCATTTTCAGACATTTAGAGCTATGTTACTGATTGTTGGCAGGTACTACAAATTACTGTGCAGATAGTTGAATATCATTACAGTATATCACCAATTCAAACATTTTGTGGCAATATAAACTCAATGTCTCATCTAGAAAATAACAATCTGTTAAGAAATATAAAGCCTAAATCATTCATTAGAATCATGCTGGGAAGAGGTATGGAGCATAGAAAAGAAATAGTTTGTGGGGGAAGAAATGTTTAAATTTTAAAACTAGAATCAATATTTAAATATATAATATATTATTATATATTTTATTTTATAATATTTAATATATAATATTATTTTTCTTAACAACAACAATGGTAAACAAAAATGGTAACATTTACCTTTTTTTGAGAGACTACTAAGGGCTAGGTTTTACTACATCATTCGAGAAATTTACAACAACCAATGTAGATGTGATTGTCCTCATTTTACAAAAAGAATATTAAAGTGCAAAAAGACTAAATTGCTAACTGGGAGAAACAGAATTAAAACCTAAGTATGCTTAATAGCAACGACATCTACCCCAAATAGGTAAATAACTCTTCCTTGCTTTCAATATGTTATTCTTTCTGCCCATGTAAATTCGAATCTTCTGGAAAGAAAATGCCAAAACAGAGTTTGCAGTAGAAGATATTTATTTGGAGTAATGTGTGTCAAAGATAACAGTAGAAGGAGTAAGAGTGGGCAGGAAGACCTTTCAGGCTGTAGATCAGGTCTGATACCTGTGGAAGAAAGGGAAGACAGCTGGGAAGGAGGAGACTCAGACTGTGGTACAAATCTGAGAAAGTCTAGAGCCCAAAGGCAAGCTCTAAAGCAAAGATTGCCAGCAGAGGAATCCTTCCTTGAGCAAACCCTGTTGTTCTACTGTACTTGAACATTGGCTGACACTGCCTGAGAAGAGCATATCTCCAGCTACACTGCTGTAGGAATTCTAAAGGCACTGCAATTGGAGAGGGTCAGCCTAGTGCTGACCAATTTCTTCATGGTGAGATTTCTCCTGAAGGGGCAATCAGAGTGGTGCTCCTCTACAGCTGCTATCTTCCTGTAAATTCCTTTGCAGCTCTGATCCTTAGTCTCCCTAAGATGGTGACCTTGTACCTAATTTAAGGTGTTAGCATTATATTGCAAGAAATAATTACTAAAAGTATCAAGGAATTTGCCTGGCACATGTGAGTATTCTAAAACAGTATTTCCATGAAAATAAATGCAGGGCATTAAACAATACCACTTTCAGCATTTTAAAAACTCTATTTTTATATAGATGTTTGTTAGACTTTTGTTATAAAGTATGGAAACGGTCTTTCAGAATGTATCATTCTGCCAGGTGCAGTGGCTCATGCCCGTAATTCCAGCACTTTGGGAGGCCAAGGTGGATGGATCACCTGAGGTCAGGAGTTCGAGACCAGCCTGGCCAACATGGTGAAACCCCGTCTCTACTAAAAATACAAAAATTAGCCGGGTGTGTTGGTGCACACCTGTAATCCCAGCTACTCCAGAGGCTGAGGCCTGAGAATGTCTTCAACCCGAGGGGCGGATGTTGCAGTGAACTGAGATGGTACCACTGCACTCCAGCCTGGGCAACAGAGTGAGACTCCAGCTCAAAAAAAAAAAAAAAAAAGTATCACTCTAAGTTTGTCAGTCTCAATCCTGGATCTGCTTGTAAGGGAATAACCCTTACTCAACTGCATCAACCATGGAAAATCCATGAACTACATCAGGTCAGTCACTAGCACTGTGGAAGAAATATCATCCCCAAGGGTATATTTCTGTGACTATTTCATATTATCACAGTCAATTAAAAATTTTTAAACCAAAGTTTATTGCAAAAGGATTGCTCAACTCCCAAGTGAATTTAAGACCGCAAACTAATAGGTCGCTATTTTCCAATCCTTATCTGGATAATTCAGGCAGAAAATAAAACTAATTGGGAAGGGATAAAATACTGTTTATTTTAGATTGAGGAAATTATGAGATGATTACATTAAAAACGATTCTGTGTATACAAAGATATTATAAAAATATATATAGTGATGGTATGTTTTCGATCTTCACTAACAATTGAGCAAAGGAAAATTAATGTGACTATAAATAATATACTTTAGAGTATAAGGAAAATTATCTTACATTCAGGATTCTTATACTGCAGAATCAGTCACTTAGGCAGGTAATAAAACCTCTTTATGTGGACACTGATTTATTGATTCATTCATGCATTCACTCTCAAAATACTGTTTAATATTTACTATATGTAGAATTCTGGACTTCATAGTAGAGAACCATCAAAAGTAGTATAAAATAAAAGTCCACACTGCAAGAAGTGACTATTCTAATTGTAAATTAAAATCAGTATTAAAAAGTAAGTTAGAATGGCCTTGGGAAAAAAAACAATAGAATAGAGAACTCCAAAACTCTGTCACACTGCAAAAGCAAACACTAAGATTGCAAAAATTGTCAGAATCAACTTTTGTGAGTTTTGGAATCAAAACAAAATCTTACGATAATCAGGAGAATGCTCAATGAAGGAAAAAGCTTGGATTATGGTAAGAGAGCTTTGGGGAATTTTTATTTACCCACTTACCATTTTCTATAACCCAAATCAGTGACACACTTAAGGATGACATCCCGCATTTTGGGGGTGAGTTATTCATGTTATAGGAAATAATACAGACCTTATTCTTAAAGAAATGTGGATTTTTCCCCCCAAGATGGCTGTCTAGAGGCATCTCAAGCATGTCTCATCCACTTAGAAGAACCAGAACAGTGTGTAGGCAATCACACTTTGAATACATTATCCCAAAGGAAGATGGGATTTTGTCAGAAAAGGAAAAGTAAACACCATAATCTAGAAAGGAGAAAGAAAACAGGTAGCTTGAATGGTTAAGGCTGCCCAAGACCTGGGAGAGAATCCCTAATACAGGAGAGGGTGAGTGAATGCATTTTTGTCATTCACTTTCCCACTGGGTAATTATGCATTTTAGGCCATGGATGTGCATCTTGAACCTCCCAGACCCTGAATCTAACTTAGGGAGTGTCCAGGAGACTGTGAGAAGAAACTACTCCAAGGAGGTAGCATGTCCTGAGTTCCATACCCTCTCGGAGACTTAAGCATCTGCAATAACATGCCATTCTTGATCGTAGCTCTTAACATACTGTGTGCAGTGCTTGGATCTGGTGGTGCCAGTCCTAGGTGTTAGGAAAGCTTAAGCTGTGGCTTATAGAACTAGGTATTGAGGGGAAATGGACTCCCACAACCAGAACTGAAAAGCAAACCTGGTGTGGGCTCCATCCACTAACACTGGAACCAGGCAACCCCCTTGGGATATAAGAAGGATGAGAGTTGCCAAGGAGGTTTGGTCCTGAGCTGAGTGGGTGCTCCTGCTCAGCCTGGGGCTGAGTGATGGAATAGGAGTGAACTGTCTAATCTGACTGAACTGCAGCATCAGCTTCGAAACTCAGGACAGAAGAGAGAACCCTGCCCAGTATGGAGTGTGAGAAAAATGCAAGTCCTCCACTTGCCAGCCAAGGCTGCAACTTCTGGGACCAGCAGGCTCACCCTTCCATAGCAAGGCCTCCATGCAGAGGCAATCACCCTCACCCAAGTATTTCACCAGGGTTCTAAAAATTGTTCTGCCCAGCTCCTCCCCGCAGTGCAGCTGGTGTGTGCACTTGCCATTGGGGGGCCTTGGCACAAAATAGCCTGGTCCAGCTTCACATGGCTTCTCCCCACCCTCTGAGATGCAATGCAGGATCTTGCCACCTGGAGCCACAGATCAACCCACCACCTGAACACTTCCCACAAGGGACAGATGTCAGGAATAAACACCCTACCACAACTACTTCAGCTGGCTTCTACCTGCAAGTGTCACTTGGGGGCCAGCTGGTACCTTCCATTGTGACCACTGCCAACACAACAGCATAGCACTTGGAAACTAGAAGACCATCTTACCACACTGTTACCACTATTGCCCATCTCACCCCACCCCAGCTGCCAGGAACTTGAGAACCTGCTCACTCACTTGGCATGCCTCTATAATAATTGGCATCTGAGAAAGCCACCCAGAGGCCCAAGAATTGGTCTCCCTGAAACCACTAAAAATGGTGTCAGCATATGCTGCCCCTGGACACAAAGACAGGCATGCTTAGCCCACCACCATCACCACCAAAACGTGAGGAAGTACCCATCTGGCATTCCATTTCTCATCAAAACTTTACCACACTCTCCGCAAAGGAGCCCAATGACTCTCCAACAATAGATCCTAACCCAAAAAAATCCTCAAAATCCAGGTAAATAATTCAAAATATAGATTTTAAAGAAGCTTGATGAGATGCAAGAGAAATCTGAACTCCAAAACAAAGAACTCAGAAAATCAATTCAGAACGTGAATGAAAAATGTATACCAATGAGATAGGTATCTTTAAAAAACAAACAAAACCCCAGAAATCCTGGAACTGAAACATTTATTGAAAGAAATATAAAATACATTCAAAAACTTAAAAAAAATAGACTACACCAAGCAGAAGAAAAATAATTCAGAACTTAGAGGCAGGTCTTTTGAAATAATCTAGTTAGACAAAAAAAGAAAAGTACTAAAAATAATGAACAAAGACTTCAAGACACTGGGAATACATAAAGTTACTGAACTTATGAATTATCAGTATTCTCAAGAAGCCAAAAAGATTTTTAAAAGTTGTGAAACCTTATTTACTAGAGAAAGACTCCCAAGTCTGGAAAGCGATTTAGACATCCCAATATGGGAAGCTTAGTGATATCCAAGAAAATGCAATGCAAAAATGACTTTATCACAGCATAGTATAATAAGAATTTCTTAAGTCAAAGTGAAAGAATGAATTCTAAAATCAACATGAGAAAGGCATCTAGTCACCTATAAAATAGTCCCCATCAGACTAACAGTGGACTTCTCAGCAGAAACCTTAAAGGTCAGAAGAGCATGGGATGACAAACTCAAAGTGCTAGGAAAAATGCTGCCAACCAAGAATTTTATACTCAGCAATATTAAGTTTGATAACTGAAAGAGAAATAGTCTTTCCCAGGTAAGTAAGTGCTAGGGGAATTGATCAGCACTAAACCAGTACTACAAGAAATCTTGAAAGAAATCCTAAACTTGGAATGGAAAGAGCAGTATTCACCATCATGAAAACACAGGAAAGTATAAAACTCACTGGTAAAATAATCACACTAAAGAGAAAAAGAAAGGTATCAAAGGACGTCACTACAAAATTCCACCAAATCCCAAAGACAGTCAGAGAAAGAGAAAGAAACAAAGAATTTATAAAACAATTAGAAGACAATTAAAAATATAACAAACAAAACCTCACATATCAAAAATAACCTTAAACATGAGTGGATTAAATACTCCACTTAAAAGAGAGACTGGCTGAATGGCTAATAAAATATGATCTAACTATATGCTGCTTACAAAAAACCTCACTTTATTTGTAAAGACACATACAGACTGAAAATAAAATGGTAGAAAAGATATTCTGCCCAAACAGAAATCAAAAGTGAACAGAAGTAGCTACACTTATATCAGATAAAACAAATTTTAAATCAATGAAACAGTTAAAAAAGACAAATAATTTCATTATATAATGATAAAGGGATCAGTTCAGCAAGAGGATATAACAATTTTATATATATACATGCATATATACCAACACCAGAGCACCCAGATTCATAAAACAATATTACAGGACCTAAAACAGAGATAGGTACAGTTAATAGTAGGGAGTTCAGAGAATCCAGAAATAAAGCCAGATGCTTACAGCCAACAAATCCTTGATAGTCAACAAGATCATACACTGGGGAAAAGAAGCCCTTTTCAATAAATGGTTCTGGGAAAATTGCATTGCCATATGGAGAAGAATGAAACCGGACTCTTGTCTCTCATCATACACAAGAGTCAACTCAAGATGGATTAAATACTTAAACATAAGACCTGCAACTATAACGATACTAAAAGAAGACAAGGAAAAGTCTTCTGGCCATTGGCCTAGGCAAAGAATTCATGACTAAAATCTCAAAAGTATAGGCAACAAAATAAAAAATAGCCAATTGGGCTTCATTAAACTAAAAAGTTTCTCCACAGCAAAAGAAATAACAAACAGAGTGAGCATAAGCGGCAAAAATATTTGCAAACTAAGTATCTAACAGAGGACAAATATCCAGAATATACAAGAAGTTCAAACTCAACAAAAACAACAACAAAACAAAGTGTGCCATTAAAATGTGGGCAAAGGATGTGAATAGCTATTTTCTCAAAAGAAAACATACAAGTGGCCAACAGGTATATGAAAAAAAGGCCAATATCACTAATCATTGGAGAAATGCAAATTAAAACCACTTTGAGATATCTTTATCCCAGTCAGAATAGCTGTTATTAAAAATTGTAAAAAACAATGTTGGTGGGAATATGAAGAAAAGAGAATTCCTATACACTGTTGATGGGAATGAAATTTGTACAATCTTTATGGTAAATGGTATGAAGATTTCTTGAATAACTAAAAATAGAACTATCTTTGATACAGCAATCCTACTACTGGATATCTACCCAAAGGAAAAGACATTAATATATAAAATACATGCACTTGTATATTTTTTCTAGCACTATTCACAATAGAAAAAAATATGGAATCAACCAAAGTGTCCATCAAGAGATGAATGGATAAAGAAAATATTGTATGCATACACTATAGAATACTGTTCAGTCACACAAAAGAATGAAATTGTGTCTTTTTCATCAATCTGGATGGAACCGAATGCCATTATCTTACATAAAACAAATCAGACCCAGAAAGACAATTATCATATGTTCTCACTTATAAGTGGGAGCTAAAAAATGGATATACATGGAAGTAGAGAGTGGTAGGATGGACGATGGAGACTCAGAAGTAAGAGGGAGTGAAAAGAGCATGGATAAGAAGAAATTACTTAATGGGTACAATGTGTTTTATTCTGGTGAGGGATACACTAAAAGTCCTGACTTGATCACTAAGTAATATATGCATGTAAAAACTGCACTTATACCTCAGACATTTATACAGATTTTAAAAATCTGTATATTTTTATATACAGAGAGTTTATTTTTACCTATCTGGTGGTCCTCTGAAGGATCATTTCAAAAGCTTGATGTGTTTTATCTGCCTCAGAGCTACCATAGGATTGAAGCAACTACCTAGGTAGTATTTGTTGAAAGCATTTAAAGGCTTAAGTGTAGTATTACATATTAAGTGTGGTATTAGCTATGAACACCTGAAGCAAAGTATAATAGCTACAACAAAATATAGACTAAGATGCTTAAGAATGAAGAGTCTCGGAAATGAGAAACTTAGTGACTAAGAGTTTTAAAAAGCTTGCATTTTCAAAATGGCAATATTTATCAAAGCAATCTAAAGACATAATGCAATCCCTATTAAAATCCCAACTGTCTTTTTTGCAGAAATGGAAAAGGTAATCCTAAAATCCATATGGAATTGTAAGGGATTTCAAGTAACTAAAACAATCTTCTAAAAGAAAAATGAAGTTGGAAGATGTACTTCTAAATTTCAAAACTTATCACAAAGATACAGTAATTAAAACACCATGATACCAGCATAAGGATAGAAGGGGTGCAGGAAGTGCTCCCTGAAAATATGGCATATTGGCATGCTGAATATTTTAAGCCAAAGGAAATTGAGAAAGACCACAGAAACAGTTTTGTTTTCGTTTGTTATAGAAGTATCAGCTATGAACTTTGTAACAGGTAAGGAAAACATATTACTTTTTCTCCCCTACACAGACATATAAATCAGTAGAATAGAATTAAGAGTCCAGAAATAAACCCATATATCTATAATACTTTCATTTTTGACAATGAGGTCAGTGCCATTCTTCAGAGAAAAAATAGTCTCTTCAACAAATGGTGCTTGAAAAACTGGGCATTCACACACAAAGGAATGAAACTGGACTCACCATATACCATCTACAAAAATTAATTCAAAATAAATCAAAGACCTAAATTTAAGAGTTAAAACTACAAAACTCTTAGAATAAAATAAAGGGTAATCCTTGTGACCTTAGATTTAGCAATGGTTTACTATAATCCCAAAAGTGCAGGCAAAAAAAAAAGATTAATTGGGCCTTATCAAAATTAGAAACTACTGTGCTCCAAAGAACAACATTAAGAAAGTAAAAAGACAATCCACAAAATGGGTTAAACTATTTTCTAAGCATATTGCTGATGTCTGTTTAGATTATAACAGGAACACTTACAACTCAACAACAGAAAGACAACCCAATTTAAAAATGAGCAAAAGACTTGAATAGACATTTCCTCTAAAATGATATCTACATGTTCAGCAAGGACATGAAAAGATGCTCGACATCATTTGTCATTAGAGAAATGCAAATTAAACCCACAATGAGATATCACCTCACACCAATTAAGATGGCTATAATAAAAACATATTTTAAAAAAGAAAAGAACAGGTGTTGGTGAGCATATGGAAAAATGGGAACTTTCATACATTGCTGGTAAGAATGGAAAATGGTGCAGCCACTGTGGAAAATTGTTGGCAGCTCTTCAAAAGTTCAACATAGAATTACCATAAAACCCAGCAGTTCCACTCCTAGTTGTATACTCCAAAGAGTTGAAAGCAAGTGTTCAAACAAAAACTTTTGTATAAGTGTTCAAAGCAGCTGTATTCAAATTAGCCAAAAGGTGACAATAACCCAAATATCCATCAGCTCATGAATGGATAAACAAAATGTGCTATATGCATACAATGGAATATTAGTCACCCATAAAAGAAATGAAACAATGATACATGCTACCAACATGAATGAATCAAAAACATGATGCTAAGTAAGAAAAGGAAGACACAAAGGGCAATATATTTTATTATTTCATTCATATGAAATGTCATAATAGACAGATCCTAGGGTCTAAGGTAATAGGGAACAGAGAATGACTATTTAACGGTTGCCAGGGATTGGAGGGAGGGAGAAATGGGAGTGACTGCTTAATGGGGAAGTTGTTTTCTTTGGGGTGATAAAAATACCCTGGAACTTGATTTTGGTGATGTCGTACAATATTGTAAGTGTACAAAAAGCCACTGAATTATATACCTTAAAATGGTAAAATGGCTAATTTTATATTACATGAATTTCATCTCAATTTCAAAATGTGAAAAGTAATGGGCAGCACAAGATGATTTCATAGCAGAGGTCTGGCAATGCTATGTAATTCCTACCAAACAGGTGGGATACAATGCCATTCTGAAGGAATATGGAGGCAAAGAGAATACTGTAAGCTTGAGAAGAAGGAAAGATTGCTAAAGAATCAACCTTCCTCTAAACTTTCAAAGCAGGGTGGGAAGTCAAAGGGAGTTTGTGGGCCTCAAAGAAGGGGGCAGACATTCAGAAGCAGAGGATGTGGCTTGGCATGGGGCGGGTTTAGCTCTGTTACCACCTTAAGGTAGAGTCATTGTCTGAAACATAAATGGCAAGTAAGTGACTCAAAGCCTAAATGCATGTCATAGATGAAAATGGTTTAGTGCACACAGTTAAACATGAGAAGAATCCACTTAAAATTTGAATTTTGAACTTCTCTTTCAAAATAAAAAAGATGTTATGACAGTGGGTCCCTATTCTTACACATTACAAACTCACAAGAAGCTGGAAAATCACCACCCAGTTGCATTATCTGCCTTCTAGGCATTTGAATTTGAAACACATGATAATATTTATTAACTTCTCTTTAGTTTTTACAGCATTGTAATTCTAAAATAAATTTATCAAGAAGGACCTTTCCAGGAACCTTAAGGATCTACATATTAATTCCAAATTTTTGAGTCATCGTGCATCCCATAGAACCTAAGGTACCCTGAGCTATAGACATCCAGTTTTAATTTTACAAAGCAGTCATCCATTCCTTCTTATGTGATGAGCAGAATTATTCTTTCATAATCCCATTTTAGGAGTTTATAGACCAAACGGGACACATGTACCAGGAAATGTTAATGTGAAAAGATTTATTCAGAAATACGAATTTCCTCTGTTTAAAAAACATAATTTAAAGGAAAGACTTCGTTTTTTCCATCAGTTTTATAATAGAACCGTAGCATATTTTCTTGCCTTCAAAATATCTCGATTTTATATATTTGTAGCTGAATATATTTTTGTTCTGACACAGCTGGAAAAAAGCCTCAATTTAGCAATTTAGATTTAGCAAACAATTTGTGCATAATATGGCCCATTTGCTTTTGGTGTTATTTCATCATGATTTTAGAGCCAAAAATACTGCAATATAAAAATCAGCAATTGAGTATGTGCAGTGACTCCGATGAACTGAATTTTCAATTGTGTTTTGTTTAAAATGTTATCCAGCCTACTTAGAATGTATAATTTCAAAAATGTCATGGCTTAAAAGGTAAGATGCTCCTTACTGGGTCTAATTTCCATTACAAATCAAGAGGACCCAAGCTGTGATATCACTCACAGTCTATGTGAGAGGATCTCAACCCTCTGACCTACCTCCCTCTTCCCCGTTCTTTAGAACACCGAATCAAGGCTCTGCCTAATACATTTATAACTTAATTTGTTTTGAGATTGTATGTCTAGCTTTTATCCAAGTTTCTCAAATGGGAAGCAAATTACACTCTACCCTTCAAGACTCTTGTCCTCTGACTAGAAGAAAGAGCAAGAATCAATTGCACTACAATGAATCAGTGTGAACTTTTCAGGCTCTTTCAGGTGTGGCAAGTGGCTACACTGAAGCTTCACCTTGTTCAAGTTTGGTTCAGCACTAGCAATGATTATCACACACACACACACACACACACACACAAATTGAGAGAGAACTGAGTAAGGAAAGGTGATTTCAGAACCAAGGGCTCCTGCCTTGAGCTTCAGTGAGCATTTGAAGGCTAGCAACCACCTCACCTTACAGCACTTGATTTCTCGCTTTTAGGCTGAGTGTCCTCCTGGTGCCTCCCTGATTGTAGCCCTGCCTTGACTTACTATAGAAGCTGTGTGCACTGCTTGAGAACTCACTCAAGCCTAGAATCTACACCATATGCTTTGGCTTGACGTCTACTTGTAGAGCAAAATCTACCCATTCATCCTCACTCATTCATCTATCTACACATCTGTCCATCCATTCATCCATCCAGCCAGCCATCAAGTATTAACCACCTATTATATGGCAGACTAGGTTGCTAGACATGTGAATCTGAATAAAGTGCTGGTAAATGCCTTCATAATATTTACAACTAAGAGAGGAAAAAAGGGGTCATTAAAGCCTCAACTGCATTTTTTCTCTATGAATGTTTCTGATTTATAAAAGATAAATAAAATTCAATTACACAGAGAACATATAATATTTGGATTGAAAAGCTCTTCTGTGCAATGATATATTGACACACAACATAAAAGAATGGCTTGAAATACAAAAATACCATTGTCATCCAGCAAATGGCACTAAGTTAGAAGAATTTTATTGTATAGCATAATACCAATCTATATACATTATGCTCCCAAATAAAAAACAATTTGATTCCGAAGGTTAAAATATCGTTTCCAAAATAAATTCTTGTTGTAAATTGGGAAAAAAGAAAAAAGCCCCACAAATGAACACAAACTTAACTTTCACCCAAGACTAAAATATGCACTCTGTACCAATTACCTCTCTCCTACAAAAATGCATATATATATATTTTGGAGATGGAGTCTCGCTCTGTTGCCCAGGCTGGAGTGCAGTGGTGAAATCCCGGCTCACTGCAACCTCTGCCTCCTGGGTTCAAGTGATTCTCCTCCCTCAGCCTCCCGAGTAGCTGGGACTACAGGCGCCCGCTACCACACCTGGCTCATTTTTGTATTTTTAGTAGAGACAGGGTTTCACCATGTTGGCCAGGCTGGTCTCAAACTTCTGACCTCAGGTGATCCACCCACCTCGGCCTCCCAAAGTTCTGGGATTACAGGCATGAGCCACTGCGCCCAGCCACAAAAATTCATATTATAAATAAAACTTTCAAAAAAATTATGGATGTTTTATTGCACATCATACAGAATGTTTGCCACTCTCTGAATGGCTTTCAGTCTTTCACCATATTAGCTGTCTAAAATATCTACTCAAACTTGGGTGAAAATAACACTCTGCAGATCTTATCATATCTATGTCAACATAATGGTTGAGGAGTGCCCAGGGTTTTACAAAGGCTCAGGTGTGGAAAGGTAACTTATGAGGAGTATGTGAAAAAAGATTCTATAGACCAAGGGATGCGTGAAACATTTTAATAGGAATAATCAAGGGAAACAGATGGTGAGGATGAAGGAATAAAAGATGAAGGAGAAAAGTATTACCATCCAGGAAGTTGCAGAATAAAGACATGGGGATGAAAAGCAACATACTGCATACAGGGGGCTACAAGCTTCCATGTGTTGCTCAATCAAAAAGTGTGAGCCAGAGATCATGGGAAATGAAGAAGGATACGTAGAGGGTTCAGATATCTGTGAGCCTTTTATTCCAAGCTTGTATCCCCTGGGCTCTAGTGTTCTACTAGATGACAGTAAGCATTCCACAAAAGTAAGCTTCTATGGTCAAATAAACCTGGGTTCTCTCACCAAGCACTCTCACAGTCTGGCTGTCTCCAGAGAGTGGTGTTATATTCACAAAGTTGAATGAGCAGACTGAAAGATAGCTGGTGCATATTAGCAGAAGTTTTCAAAGGAATGTGCTTAGAGTCTGAGCCTGATAAGCCTGCTTCTTACAAGGGTCTTTTCTGAGGTTTAGTTATGGCTTTAACTTTAGGAATATGGACTGAGATTTGCAATATATATTCGATAGTTGTTTTTTAAATGGTAGGTGGATCTGCTTTCACTGGAGCATTTACGACCTTAGAAAATGCAATTTTTTTGTCAAAAGTATTTGACTTACAAGCATCATGTATTTTGGTTTGTCACAATCTGTTGCAAATGCCAAATATCCACATTACCAATTAAGGAATAAGTAACAAAGTATCAAGTAAATATGTTAGTAAAAGGCATTATTAACATATTAAGACACAATAAAAATTTTAACACAATAACATATTTAAAGCAATCAGAATTTGAGGGGGTACTAGAGTGGTGCACTGCACACTGGGGTTACATTGGTGAGCTAAACGGGTTCATTACATAAAAGCACCACTCATATACTTAGCGTTTTTCTATCCTGCTATGAACATTATCTTAAGCATTATTTCCCACACTTTCTTGATAATAAGAATCCGCTAGATTTGTAAAATAGGTTTAGGTTCTCAGGCCCTCCGTTTGAGAGCTGATTCAATATTGTCTGTGAGGGGCCCAGGAATCTGGATTTTTAACAAGAGTCTTATGACCAGACATGTTTGTAAAACACCCACCTAATGGATTTTGCTTAGTAGTAACGTCTATAAAAAAAAAATCAAAATGCAAAGTTTTCCCCCAAAATGTATATAACAGCTTAAAATATATTGAGGTTACATTATATAGGAGATATTTTATAATAAAAATAATTTATTTAGTATGCTGTAGTAGAGGCAAGATTTAAATTAGCTATTTCTCAATTATAACAAGTCATTTTATGCCATTGAATAACCCCTGAATTAATTAACCATAAAATGCTGATAACTAGTTTTCTTTCTACATTTTCTTTTTAAAAGCAAATGAATAAAAATACAAAGATATGATAATTTTATTATTTTATAAATTCCAAAGATTAATTTCCATGTCCAATCTAATTTGTGTGATAATGACATTCTGTCAAGCTTAATTTTTACTCGGAATTTTCAGTTGGCCATGGTATTGGTAGTCATGCTTTTCTTTGTACTTTTCTAGAATTCTTAAAATAGGTGACATTTTAATCCAGAGGTGATGCAGGAAATGTATGTGTGATAAAAGCCATGCGATACGTTCATATAGCTCCCAAAGTACCTTGCAATTCATCTACATGACAGCTGTTATTGAAGCTTAAGATCATTAGCACAGGAAACTTGGCAAGGACACAGGACTGGGTTATAAATATTGGCTTCAGATGTCATTTCAGGACAGAGTTAAATTCTCTTAGGATGTAGTAGCATGGATTATATGAGAAACTCCAGTGGGATCCAAAGTTACTTGCGAGATTAATGAATCAAACGAAAGTAAAAGTAGAAAACATAATTTTAATTCACGTTTTTAATTTTAAAAAATTGTAGTAGAGTTAAAAAGGTTTCATTTTTGTTACTTACACATTGTCTAACATCAGGCAAGTTACTTAACTCCTAGGATTCATTTTCCTCCTGAGTGAAATTGAGTTAGATGTTTTCTTGTTGTTTGTTGTTTGCACAGTGCCTAGCACACACTAAGTTCTTCTCCTTCCTTCCTTTTTCATTCCTTTAACTTCCTTAATATTTCTCTTCTTTTAGTTTAATACTATTAGTGTCATTGTCATTTTCACACATTCAGGGACACATTCCCTTACCTATGTTTTCTAAAGATTTTTCAGTTGTCCTTTAAAGAAGCTGCATTTTAGCTACTAGGTAGCTGTATGTAAAGCAAAAAATTGTATATCAAATCACTTCTCCAGTGACGGTCATTTTGAATAACAAATACTATTTATTCAAACATCTACTCTCAGAATGATTTAAGGCTCTTTATACAATTGCATGCATTCTGATAGGCTAAAAAGTGATAAAAATAGAGAGAGAATGAATGACATAAAGTCAGAGGAAAGTTAATACATCAATGAATGCCATAAAATAATACCTAAGTGGGCTGAAAATATGCCTTTGCATTTCCTATGAACCAACGTATATAATAATTATAAACATTAAAAATAAAAACAATAAATAAAGAATAAGGGAAACATAAGTTATTGTTTCATGAGTTATAGGAAAAAAAATTGTAGCTTTACTTTAACACAAGAAAATGGCCTGTGACAATTTCCAGTGTAACACTTAGTTTTGGTATAGCTTAAAGCACATACTTAACAACTGATTCCAACTTGTGTAACATTAATAATTAAATATTCATCTGAAGAAATTAATATCCTAATGTGTGTGTACAATTAATAAAATCTTTGCAAAATGCATCTGGCAATTCTCATGGTCTAGACATATCTGTTAAAATATACCAGTGTTCCTGGTCCCAACACAATTACCCTTTTATTAAGAAAGGTGGCATGCTATTGAGGAAAATGCTGAGAACTGAAAATGAGGAGATCTGTGTTTTAGCCCCAGACATAACATTAACTTTCTGTGTAACCACTGCCATCTTAGGTTAAGTTTTTTGCCTTTGGTACTGTAAAATGTGAGATTGGTAACAAACAAATTCAGCATCCTCTTCCATCTATAAATTTCAGGGAGTTCTCATTGACTTTAATATTTAAGCAGCAGTACTTCATGCATTTTTAAATATTATTCAATTGCTGTCTTAAACTATTCAGGCTGCTGTAACAAAATACCATAAACTGGATGGCTTATAAACAACAAACATTTATTTCTCACAGTTCTGGAGGCTGAGAAGTCCAAGATCAAGACACCAGCACATTTTGTATCTGGTGAGGGGCTGCTTCCTGATTCAAACATGGCCATCTTTTCATGTATCCTCATATGGGGTAAGGGGTCGGGGATCTCTCTGTGGTCTCTTTTATAAGGGCACTAATCTCATTTATGAGGGCTCCCAAAGACTCTCCATCCTAATATCATTATCACCTTGGGGATTCGAATTTCAACATATAAATTTTGGAGAAAAACATTCAGTCCATTGCAGTTTCTAAAACTGAAGATGAAGATGCCTTTTCAGTTTTCATCAAATACAAATGGGATTTTTTTTTAGAAACAGGAATAATCAATCAACAAATCACTAAATGACTAACAGATATATCTGGATCATGTGACTAAGCAAAATGAGACTGGTTAAAATCACTCATTTCACCTGTGGGTATTCATTATAGTTCCCATTTTAAAATGTGAACATGTAAGTAAATTTCAAAGGTCATACATCTAGTAACGAAACAGGAAAAGTTCCCTTGTCCCCTCGCCAGGCATGCGATGCGGGTGTGGCTTGCTACTTCAGTGCCCCGCTCCTCAAACCTCTAGGGGAGCATACAGATGGGCAGGCTGTGGGGCTCCGCCCCCAGGGCTGAGTCTAGGGGTGAAAGTTTACAGCTCCTGAAGCCCCAGTGGGGTGTGTTACAGAGTGCTCTTTTAGTTTGTGGTCTATAGGCGACTTATGTCAGCTCAATTAGACCCTCTACCTTGTCACAAGGACAGAGGGCTTTCTGTATCCCAGGGTTTCTTGCCTTGGTGTACTGGAAGAATTGGTTCACATGTGGGCTTGAAGAATGAGTGCAAGGTTTTACTGAGTGGAAGTAGCTCTCTGCACATGGGGGAGCCAGAAAGGAGATGGTTTTCCCCTGGAGTTGTGCCACTCAGAGGCGCGGGCTCTCCCGGGCTCTCCTCCAACCACCCCAGCCAAACTCCACGTTGTTCTGCTGGTCAGTAGCCTGCCAGCATGCGGGTGCTGGTGCATCCCTCTGAACATCCTGTGCCTGTGTGTTCCTCTGCTGATGTGCTCCTCTCAATGTCCAGCTGCTTCTTCTCTGCCTTGCTAGGGTCTTGGTTTTTATACACACAGGATGAGGGCATGGTGGGCCAGGGTGGTCTTTGGAAATACAACATTTGGGCATGAAGGCAGGAGTGCCTGTCCTTACCTAGGTCCGTGGGGGTGGAGCCCCAGCCAGGGACCACGCCCTTCCTCTACCTAGCACTTTCCTTCACCCCTTCCATATCATTTAAAGGAGCCACGCTCCTCCCTTCCCAGCACTTCCATATCAGTAAGATGGAGTTTGAGTTTAACTTTTTGACTCCAAAAATGTTCATTTGTTTTCTGAACAAGCGATGCTATTGATGACATTGACAAAGGTTAGGGTTACAGTGAAACAAAACTGATTGATTGATTAGATAGAATAGAAAAAAACATATATATTATTCTAAGCTTTTCCTGCCATCATCTTTTCTGGGGAAAAAAAAGAAATAATATAGTTAGTTATAAAAAAGATCCATGGTTCAGCAGATGCTGGTCATATGTCTTAATTTTGTCACTGCCTTTCAAAATAGAGACACAAAGGGCATAATACTTTCAGACTTCAGTTTCCTCATATATAAAATTGCAGAGATTGATCAAAACTATTTTGATAGAAACTATTTTGATCAATCTCTACATTTCATATATTTTAGGCCAGTTAAACTCTAAGACATTTTTAAATAGTTGTAAAATAGTTATAAATAGAAGAGATACAGAAAGGAAAGGAGAAAGGACTAGTGTAATATTTTTCCAAAATACAGCCAGGCAAGAAATTTTAGACTACCAATGACTCTCTTCCAATATCTTTTTCTTTGTACAAAATATACTTCAAAAAAGCAGATGATGACCCCAGTGTGAGGGAAAGAGATTTAACACCTGTTTCACTCATTTTTGTGTCTTATTATATCACCTTGTGTAGAAATGAGCATAACTGATCATTTTCATTAGGTATTGTAAAATAATAAGGGCTTGCAATTAAAGATATGTACTATAAGTTTTGTAACACATTTTAAAATTAGAGCCAATATAATCATAGAATTTTAAATACAGGATGTAAAATAAATGAACTGCTATATATTTCAACAGATACCTTTACTATCAAAACATGAATCTAAATCATCCGTAATGCTAATCTCTTTTCCAAAGTGTTAGAACAAAAATGCCTGTATTATAGTATCATAGTTAGTTGCTGTACTTTCAAAATATTACATGATTAACAGGTAAATTACATGGTATTGATAGTAACATTTCTTTTTTAAAAAAAATCTTTATTCAGTAATATTCAAGGTAACCAGTACCTGGGAGAATCTCTACTCAAAGAAGTTGTAGAAAGAAACCTGAAAATATTTCATGTCTGTTAGGTTATGAACATTTGCATTTGAAAATGAATATCCTAAAGATTTAAGACCAAAAACAAAACTAAATCAAACAAGTTTCCTTAAGCATCCCCATCAATGATTTTTCAAATGGTAATTAATAGCACCAACCAACATAATTCAGGATTGGAGAATCTATGACTCACAATAAAAGCCTCTTTGGGGTGCCTAGGTTAAGAGAACATACAATTATGTGCAACATGAACTTAAAAGGAGCAATTAGAATGAGTTGCTTTTGACACAGACAATCATTTCTGACATTGAAATCTCAAAACATTTCAGAATCACATATTAAGGGAATGTTCATTTAATTAAAGAAGAATCAGAAGATTCAGATATTTATATTGTGTCAGTTTCATTCACTTTGTAACTAGGGTTGGGAATAAAGCACAAAACTTTAAACTGGACATTCAGATGTCACTGCTAACCACAGACTTACATTCTTTTGCTATTTATACCATTTGTTTACTTTTTGCATTTCCTTAGCTTGGACAGGGACTTTCTGCTTCTAGTCAATTTCACTCTTATTTTTGGCTCATAAATAAATTTTCCAGTACTTCTGGAAAATGTTACATCTAACAATTTTTTTGCAAAGAGATGATGGAAACATTCCTATTGGGATTTAATAAACTGGATGGTGAGAGTTGTCACTACTATCCCAAGAGATACCCACAGTAACCAAAAACATGTTTCCCAATTGTCTCTACGAGGTTGACAGCAGTAATAAAGAATATCTCCTCTCCTTTACCTTATCAGCACTACCATGTGATACGACTATTCTATTCTTTACAACAAAGGGTCTCCAAGGTTAGCCTGGCAACAGCTCAAACATACTCCAGCCCCACTTGAGTTTTTTTAATGATTCATTGAGAATTTCTGTCAATATTGTAGCCTGGAGAACTAAACTCTGCTCTCTGCTAAGTTCAATTAACTCTGGTCTCCTGTCAGTAATCAAATTTTTTTACATTTAATCACATCCATTTTATTTAAAACTAAACTATAGAGTACCATAAGCCTACTATACCTTTCTTTTTTACAAAACCTGCCAAAAGGTAAGGTGATGTTTTGCTTATAATAAGTTATAGCTCTTATGGATTAAACATTCTCCGTTAAAAGGAGTCTAGGACTTAATTTCCAGATCAATACTCATCCAACACTTAATCATTAAGGATGCTTGCCAAGGAAGTCTGCCTTATTCGATTCCCAGTGCTGTTATTGTTTTAACTGGTGATCTTGAATTCACCTACCAACCAGCTAGAAGTAAATTTTTATTTATTTATTTCATGGGTCAGTCAGAAGCAAATTTCCACACCACTGTAGCCAAACTAAAAATGAATATGAAGTTTTAAATACAGCTTGAGGAGGAAGGAAAGGCCATTTCCTTTCAGCAACTCTCAGTTTGGCCCTCACTGTGTTATGACAGATATCATTTGCTTCAATCTGTAGAAAATACTCCTATTATAAAACACTCAGCACCTCCTCAAGACAGAGTACTGAGAAACTGTTTTCCACCAATATTTTTGACAAATGCCCTGTACCTCAAAAGTGGTTTTCTATCACAGTAATTTTCAACTGAAGTCGAAATCTTTAAACACCACAATTACTACTTATTACACAAACATTTTGATTAATAAGATTTTCATGTTATTACAATGGAAATAAATGCCTTGACCACTTTGGTGTCTATCAGTTTTAATGCCTTTTTGCAATCAGGGAAGAACTCATCAACTATTGCTAAAATTGTCTAACGCGTCAGGAAGGGAGCAGGCTAAATAAAGATGATTACTTACCCTTTGAAAATAATCCAAAATAATTCTCAACTAACTGCCTTTTCAGTTTACATAAAGAAATTATGAATATTTCCTTACATTCCTACACTCTCAAATCAATCCTAAATTAAAGAGAAAATAAATTTTACATTAAAAAAAATTTTACAAGAAAAGAGAATATAAATCAATTTCACATGAAAAAAATTTTCATGTTATATTCTAAAAGTTCTATAATTTTACATTTTAACCTAGGATACATTTTGAGTTAATTTTTGTATAAGATGTGAGATTTAGGTTGAGTTTTAAGGCCTGGTGAGCAAATCTGTGACACGACACCAAAAGTATGATTCACAAAAGAAAAAATTTACAAAATGGACTTCATCAAAATTAAAAACATTTGCCCTCCAAAAAGTAATAAATTGGACATCATCAAAATTTAAAATGTTTGCTCTCCAAAACAACCTATAAAGAGGATGAAAATACAAGCTACAGACTGGGAGAAAATATTTGCAAAACACATACCTGACAAATGACTCCTATCTATATTATACAAAGAACTCTCAAAATTCAACATTGAAATACCAATTCAGTCAGAGAATGGGCAAACAAATGAATAGACATTTCACCAAAAAGTATATATGGGTAGTACATGAAAGGTGGAAGACCATGAAAAGATGATCATCACTAGCTTTAGGAAAATGCACATGAAAACCACAATGAGATATCATGGGATATTTTTCAGAATGGGTAAAATCTAAAAAGTTACAACAGAAAATGCTGGTGAGGATGTAGAGAAAACTGCATGTCTCAATCATTGTTGATGGAAATGTAAAATAATACAGTCACTTTGGAAAATAATTTAGTAGTTTCTTCAAAAACAAAGCATACACATACCATACAACCCAGCAATGGTATCTCTATGGATTTTTCTCAGAGGAATGAAAACTTGCATGCCCCCCCAAAAAAAATCTGAACATGATTGCTCATGTCAGCTTCATTTGTAATAACAGCAAAAAGCTGGAAAAAATGAGAATGTCCTTCAGTAAGTCAGTGGTTAAACAAACTGTGGTACATCCATACCATGGAATACCAGTCAATAATAAAATGAAGCAAGCTATTGATACATTCAGCAACTTGTATGGATCTCAGGGCCCTACACTGAGTGAAAAATAAGGCTAATTTAAAAAGGTCACATGCACATAAAGATGGAAATAATAGACACTGGGACTCCAAATGTGTGGAAGGTGGAATGGGGACAGGGGCTTAAGGATTACCTACAGGGTACAATGTTCACTGTTTGGGTAATGGGTACGCTAGAAGCCTAGTCCCCAGCAACATGCAATATACCCATGTAACAAATAAGCAAATGTACACCCTGTATCTATTTTCTAAGTCACATACTGCATGTTTCTACTAATATAACTTTCTCAAAATGAAAACATGATAGAGAAGAAACACAAATTAGCGGTAGCTAGGGATCGAAGATGTTGGAGGGGAGAAGGATGGAGGTGACTACAAAAGAGTAGTATGAGAGATCTTTGTGGTGATGAAATAGTTCTTTATCTTGATTGAGGTAGTGATTATACAAAGCTAGCTACATATGTGATGGAAAGACATAAAAATATATACATGCACATTGCACTGATGCCAAATTCCTGGATTTTATATTGAACTGTAAGTATATAAGATGTAACCATTAAGGGAAACTGGATTGAGAATGCATGGAACCTATCTGTACTATCTTTTCAATTTCAAAATGAATTCATAATTATTTCAAACTGAAAAAATATTTTTCAAGTTTTATCATAATGTCACTTTGCTGCACCAGCCTCTTAAATATACTAATTATTTTTTTAGGTTGAAAGTAACCCCATCAAAGTTACTTCTTGGACTTTTTATGTTATACTTGGCAAGCTTTATTCTAAAGATGAAATTTTAAATGTATTTTGAAAAACTAAGTGTAACAGTGGACCTCTCTCACTTATGTCTGCCTGTATCCATTTCCATTTCTTCTAACAATAGGAAGCTACATTTGGGGAGAGAAGTTATGCTCTGTTTCCTCCCCACACTAAACATGAGCTAGATAGGGCCTTGCTTCCCATCTGCCAGGATTAATACCTAGAACTAGGCTGGCCAATAAAACAACTTTATTCCCTTGACTAGAATGAATGATTTAAGCATGGAAACTGTGATTTACACTGATCAATCTCAGTTCTGAGATTAATTCATGGACCATGAAAGAAAGAGTGCTCTTATTTTTATTTTTTATCATTGATCATTTATTTGTAGATTTGGAGCTTCTGGTCACTTGGAGAGGGTTTGCCTGAGACTTAAACTATCATCATTTCTGAATCAAGGGATCCATCTCTTTGTTTCTTATGTTTTATTTAATTAGTCTGGGTTGGGTCTCTGTCACCTGTATCTCAGGGCCCTGATAAATGTAACAATATATAAAAATAGATATGGAATATATTCTAGTTTCACTTTTTATAGTATTTTCACTTGAAAAACTAAATAATAGATGTCTATGATCCTTATATATAAATGAATTGAGAAAGGAGATAACATAAATATATGAAATTGCTAACATTCAGCTATTTTTGAGCAACAAAAATTATAATCTCATATGCTTCTAACAAATAGTTCAACTTGATTAGTAGTCACTATATATTTAGTCAACTACTCAATTGCTTATAGATATATTTATTTATACCTGCCTTTTTCTGTTAAAACTTGGCATCACCATTTTCTTGAATATTCCAATGATAATTATATTTCTACAGAAAAACATTTGAAGTATCTTCTCTTGGTTACCAGGTTTAAAACAGTGTATTTCAGAAATATTGCTATACATTCTTGCCCATATAAATAAAAATAAAATTAAGGACTTGATTCAGAACAGTATTTGTCACATGATATCACAGTGATAAAAGTTATTTAAATGAATTGCAGAGGCAAATCTTTAAGTCCTCTATTATCATACAGACATGTTTTGAGTTTGTTTACTCCCATTCCAATAGCACAGTATTTTAATTCAAGAATTTTTCTATCATCTGTCAACTTTTGAAAAGAAAAACTAGGTAACAGTTTAAGAGACTATTTTGCATTTTGCGTATGAAAATATTAGCTTCAAGTGAAGATAAAATTATAAAATATTGATTCTATATTTACTGGACTTCATTTGCATTGACAAAATATTCCTAAATGTAGATATTTACTTCAAAAATGAAACTTTACCTATTTGTTTTTAATAATTCCTTTCTTTCTTTCAATGTCTTGACCCCCTGGCCTCTTTCTGTCTCCAAATATGGAGTATCTCAAAATCCAATTGCATCTCTTGCAATTTCATTAAATTTCTTGAAAGCCATTTCCCCCCGGGAAAGACAGGGAAGGAGAATTTTTTAAAAAAAGGAAAATGTGCTCTTGAATAGCAGATCTTTTCTATGGTTCAGACTCATATCCCCATGACAACTTAATTGCCACAGAAAAACAGTAAGAACTTTTATTTCCCTATCATAACATGTATGAAAGTCTTTTCATTTTTATCAGCTGCAATTTGTGTGTGTGTTTAACAACATTTATTATCCAAACTGAAATCCAAAACTAGAATTGATATACACAGAAAGGAAATTTCATTGGACATTATGTATTTTAAACTTTTCATTTTACCAGTGCAAAAAAGAAATAACAGGTAGAATGATTTCATTTTATTGAGGTGAAATCTATGTAACATAAAATTAATCATTTCAAAATATATAATTGAATGGAATTTAATACATTCATAAAGTTAGGCAATCGCCACATCTATCAAGTTCCAAAATATTTTCATCATCCCAAAAGGAAACCTTGCATCCATTGAGCAATCACTCCCCCATCTCCCATTTCTTCCTGTTTCAGTTTCCGGTAAATGGGAACCTGCTTTCTCTCTGTATGAATTTAACTAGTTTGGATATTTCAAATAAATGGAAATATGAAACATGTAACCTGTTGAGTTTGTCTTCCTTCACTTAGCATAATGCTTTCAAGGTTCGTCCATGTTGTAGCATGTATCAGTACTTCACTGTTTTGTGTAGCTGAATAATATGCCATTGTATGTATATATCATACTTTGTTTATCCATTTATCTGGTAACACATGTGGGTTGTTTCTACCATTTAGCTATTATGAAAGTGTTTCCATGAACATTCATGTATAAGTATTTGCTTGAGTATCTGTGTTTTCAACTCTTTAGGGTATATACCTAGGAGAAAAATTCCTAGGTCATATAATAATTCTATCTTTTATGTTTTGAGGAGCTGCCAAACTATTTTCCACAATGGCTTCACTAACAAGGTATGAGGGTCAAAATTTTTGTACATTCTCTCCAACACTTGTTATTTTTCAATAATAATGATGATAAGATGATGTGGGCAATGTAGATAATTACAGCTCTCCTGGTGGGTGTGAAGTCTTATCATATTGTAGTTTTGATGTGCATTTCTGTAATGACCAAATTCTGTTAAAGATATTTGCATGTGTTTGTTGGCCATTTGCGTATCATCTTTGGAGAAATGTCTCTTCAAGCCCTTTGCCATTTTCTAAATTAATTGCTTGTCTTTTTTTTTTTTTTTTAATGAAGTCTTGCTCTGTTGCCCAGGCTGAAGTACAGTGGTGCGATCTCAGCTCACTGCAATTTCTGCCTCCTGGATTCAAGCAGTTCTCCTGTCTCAGCCTCCCAAGTAGCTGGGACTACAGGTGCATGCCACCACACCCAGCTAATTTTTGTATTTTTTTTTTTTTTTAGTAGAAACGGGGTTTCACCATTTTGGTCAGGTGGTCTCGAACTTCTGATTTCAGGTGATCCACCTACCTCAGCCTCCCAAAGTGCTGGGATTACAGGCATGAGCCACCACACCAGGCCAACTGCTTGTCTTTTTGTTGTTGATTTGTAAGAGTTCTTTAGATATTCTGAAATATTAACCTTTATTAGATATATGGTTTAAAGAATTTTCTCCTACTTTTGGATTTTCTCTTCACTTTCTCAATATTGTCCATTGATGCCCAAAAGTTTTAAATTTTGATGAAGTCCAATTTATCTATTTTTTCTTTTGTTGCTTGTATTTTTTCTGTCACATTTAAGCATCCTTTATTAAACCCAAGGTCATGAAGATTTACCACTATGTTTTAGTCTAAGAGTTTTATAGTCTTAGATCTTTCATTTAGGTCATGATCCATTTTCAGTTAATTTTATACATGGTATGAGGTGGGAATTTGCTAGCCTTTTAAGGCACACTTCATTCACATTCAAGCCACTGTATAAATAATTTTGATAAATAGGGTAATTATTTACTGAGAATTGTAGCCCTTAAAATTAAAAATTTTATTAAAGTGGGATTTTGATGCATGTATGGCTCATGAAACCTAAAATTATCTGATCCTACTCTGGAAATATATAATATTCAATTAAGTAGAGGCATGAAACTACTGTGCCTTCCTAATCTGTTTGTGCAGATCACATTAGCACTGACCCACCAGGTTGGAACAGTGACTGGATAATATCTTAGTCTATGATTTCTATGAACATAACCATTGATCTGTTGTATGGTACTCAAATATGGAGCAGGAGTGGTTCATTATTGCAGTTCCTTATAGTCATATAGATTGTAGTTCCTTATAGTGATATAGAGTTTATTTTTTTCTCCTTCTACTTTTATTTTAGATTGTGAGGGTATAATATACACGTTTGACACATGGGTAAATCACTGAGGCTTGGTGAATGAATGATCTCATCACCCAGGTAGTGAGCATAGTACTCAATAGGTAGCCTTCCAACCCACAACCTCTTCCCATTCTTTCCCCACAAATAGTACCCAGTGTCTATTGTTCCTATCTTTGTGTCCATGTATATTCAATGTTTAACTCCCACTTGTAAGTGAGAACATGCAGTATTTGGTTTTCTGTTCCTGTGTTAGTTCACTTAGGATAATGCCCTCCAGCTGATCCCATGTTGCTGCAAAGGACATGGTTTCATTCTTTTGTGGCTGTGTAGAGTTCTATGGCCACATTTTCTTTATCCAGTCCACTGCTGATGGGCATCTTGGTTGATTCCGTATCTTTGCTATTGTTACTAGTGCTGCAATAAACATATGAGTGCATGCATCTTTTCAGAACAATTTATTTTTCTTTGAGTGTGTACACAGTAGTGGAATAGCTGGGTCAAATGGCAGTTCTTTTTTAAGTTCTTTGAGATACATCCACACTGCTTTACACAGTAGCTGAATTAATTTACATTCTTACCAGCAGTGTATATGTATTCCTTTTCTTCTGTAAGCATGCCATCATCTGTTTTTTGACTTTTTAATGATAGTCATTCTGACTGGCATGAGATGGAATCTTACTGTGGTTTTAATTTGCATTTCTCTAATTAGTGATGATTTTCATTCTTATATTTGTTGCCCATGTGCATGTCTTCTTTTATAGAAGTGTCTCTGTTCATGTCCTTTGGACATTTTTAAAGGGCGTTTTTTTCTATTTCTGTTTGTTGAATTAAGTTTTTTATAGATTCGGGATATTATACCTTTGTTAGATTCATAGTTTGTGAATATTTTGTCACATTTTGTATGTTGTCTGTTTACTCTGTTGATAGTTTCTTTTGCTGTGCAGAAGCTCTTTTGTTTAATTAGGTCCTGCTTGTCAATTTTCATTTTTGTTGCAATTGCTTTTGGGGACTCAATCATAAATTACTTCCCAAGGCCAATGTCCAAAATGGTATTTCCTAGGTTTTCTTTTAGGGGTTTTATTGTTTCAGTTCTTACATTTAAGTCTCTAATCCATCTTGAGTTAATTTTTGTATATGATAAAAGGAAGGGGTCCAGTTTCAACCTTCTGCATCTGGCTAGCCAGTTATGCCATCACCATTTATTGCCTAGGGAGTCCTCTCCCCATAGTTTGTTATTATTGACTTTGTCAAAGCTCTGGTGGTTGTGGGTGTCTGGCTATATTTCTGGATTCTCTAGTCTGTTCCATTGGTTTATGCGTCTGTTTTTGTAATGGTACTATGCTGTTTTGGTTACTGTAGCCCTGCAGCATAGTTTGAAGTTGGGTAGTGTGATGCCTCCAGCTTTGTTCTTTTTGCTTAGGATTGCTCTGGTGATTCAGGTTCTTTTTTTAGTTCCATATGAATTTTAGAATAATTTCTTCTAATTTGGTGAATAAAGGCATTGGCAGTTTGATAGAATTATCACTGAATCTGTAAATTGCTTTGGGCAATGTGGCCATTTTAACAATTCTGATTCTTCCTATCCATAAGCATGAAATGTTTTTTTATTTGTTTATGTTGTCTCTGATTTCCTTTTTTTAAGTGAAGACAAGTTTATAAGAGAAGCAAGAAACAAAAGAATGGCTACTCCAGCAGAACAGTCCTGAGGACAGTTAGTTGCCCATTTTTATGGTTATTTCTTAAATATATGCTAAACAAGGTGTGAATTATTCATGCCTCCCCTTTTTAAACCATATAGAGTAACTTCCTGACATTGTCATGGCATTTGTACACTGTCATTGCGCTGGTGGGAGTGTAGCAGTGAGAATGACCATAGGTCACTCTCATCGCCATCTTTGTTTTGGTGGGTTTTAGCCAGCTTCTTTACTGCAATCTGTTTTATCAGCAAGGTCTTTATGACCTGTATCTTGTGCCAACCTCCTATCTCATCCTGAGACTAAGAATTCCTTAACTTACTGGGAATGCAGCCCAGGAGGTCTTAGCCTTATTTAACCCAGCCCATATTCAAGATGGAGTTGCTCTGGTTCAAACACTTCTGATATTTCCCTCCTCCCTTTTATAAGAGAACCCTTAATTGTAAGAGTCACAGAGGACAAAGATCCATCTTTTGTAAATTCTTCATGCTGAATGAAGGTGATGATATTCCTGCTTCACTATTAAGAGTCTCTTGTATTCAGGGTAGGGAGGAGTACAGTCTGAAAGTGTCAGTATGATAAGGGTCATTCATAACCCTTGGGTTCCAAAAAAAGGTGGTATCTGGAAGATTAAGAAGTGTTCAATTTAAGAAAACATTCAGTAAGCTTATCTTGCATTCATATACAAAGAGTACAACAGCAATATATTCCACAACAGTAAAACAAAATAAGCAAAATTATTTTAAGTAAACTAAATAAGAAGGTTTTTCATGAACTGAACAACTGTTGGAACCAAGCTGATAATGTGGTTGCTAGCTGATTCCAATGTGTGCCCAAAATTAGAATACTGATCCAGATTTTTACATTACCTAACAGTGGTTGGTTCAGAGGAATAAGCAGGGTCAGCCTAAATAACAGGAAAAACACCTTAAAAATAACTGAGGAGACTAGAATTTAAAAACAGGTGTAACATAATTCTTGAAACATAATTTTTCCCTCTCCAGTCTCCCAAGTGTCAGATTTACGCAGACAAATCGTGGTAAGATTGATTTGCTTTATTATGCTTGGCCTGATTATTTGTATAAAGTGCAAGAATAATTATTTTTTACATAGGTGTTTAAAATTGGCTTTGATGGAACTCTATAAGTAATCTCAGATAAGACTTTTTTAAAAAGCCAAGCCCAACAATGGCTTTGTGCCATCAAATACTTATGAGTTGGGTAAATTCCTCTCCTCTTGAGGTCCCAAGATAACTTGGGACCCCTGGGCCTGTCTGAAAGCAACATTCTTTATGTACCACAGGCTAGGAACTCTGCACAGGTTCTATGTAGACAAGGTATCAGGCTAGTTTTCCCAGGGGGCTTTCATTGGCTCTATAAGTCAAATTTGATTCGTTAAAGAAAGCACCTCATTCTACTCATACCTTGGTAAAATAACCAATTTCTCCAATTGTGTTCTGTTGCAAAAGAAAACAGATTCTTGCAGGCTGACCATGAGGTCAGGAGTTCGAGATAAGCCTGGCCAACATGGTGAAACCCCATCTCTACTAAAAATATA
Organism: Homo sapiens; assembly: GCF_000001405.40. Classification (NCBI taxonomy): domain Eukaryota; kingdom Metazoa; phylum Chordata; class Mammalia; order Primates; family Hominidae; genus Homo; species Homo sapiens. The sequence continues at coordinate 140,193,805 of NC_000006.12, read as the reverse complement.
AAAATTAGTCAGGCGTGGTGGCACGTGCCTGTAATCCCAGCCATGCAGGAGACTGAGGCAGGAGAATTGCTTGAACACGGGAGGTGAAGGTTACAGTGAGCCAAGATTGTGCCACTGCACTCCAGCCTTGGGAACAGATGAAGGCTCCATTTCAAAAAAAAAGAAAGAAAGAAAAAGAAACAGAAAAAGAAAACAGATTCTTATTGCACTTACGCAAATAACAAATACTGCCATGAGTTAAGAATACTCACAAATAGTTTCCAAATTTTGGAGAAACCAGGTAGAGAGAAATAAATATGCCCCACATTTTGTTCATAGGAGTACATTTTCTATTCAATTGTTAAAAAGCTGTAAATAGCTCAAAAGAACAGGGTTTTCTTGACTTCGCAAAACAAAACAAAGGATCAGCAACACTTTTAGCCAGAAGCTGAAAAGATTACTTCAGTTTTCTATTAGTTTAGCCCATGCAGTTAACTCCTGTGCTGCCTGAGATTCATGAACATTTCAGCTTTCCATGAGTCCTGAAATTTTTCCTCTATTCTAATGTCACAATCTCCAAAGTTATCAGAAATGTGCATTTAAGAGCACCTGTTAGAGTCCTATAGCAGATTATAAACCATCTTTTAAAGAGGATCAAAACAACAATGGTCTGTGGATAACAAAATATCTTAGGGCAGCCTCCATTAAAGCCATGATTGACAAAGAATTTGGGTTATTTCTGTGGCATATAACTATATTACATAACAATTGTAATTATTAATAACATATACTAAGTCATATAAGAATTATAAGTGTTTCTCATAAGTTTGAAACACATAACAATAACATATTCATACAAAAAGCCAAAGACCATTTGATATTTGACAATGGTTCCTGTATGATTCTTATACTAAAAAAGCCAAATTTCACCTTTACATTAGTGTACTATTAATGTTAAACTCAATTCTTAATAAAATCTTATAGACAAATGTATCAAATTTTAATGTCTGACCAAAAGGTAAGATTCTCACAAACCTTCTATAACCCTTTACAAGTTTTTGTTGAAGAGCAGATCAGTGCTCACAAAAAACCTGTTGCACTTTTATTCCAATGTTTAATTTACAGAAAAACTGAATACCCTTTTAACTTTAGCCAATATGTTCACACACAGAATCTCTTTTACAATTAATATTTTTATAAACCTTCTACAACTTGTTTAAACCTTTAGAATATTCCCTATTTCACTTAAAACAATCCTTTTACTCTTTAGTATAGGTAAAAAATCCACATTCCCATGCCTTCTTGTAATTTTTTACAAAAACACATTTCACTTTCCTTACATACTTTGCATGTAACACTGTTTCTATTTCCCAAAGATTACTTAAGTCACGTGAACTAAGACATTATACTTTATACTTTTTCAGACAAAATATTTGATTTGAACACTTATTATTTTTAAACAAATTAATTGAAGCTCTTTTATATCACACACACAACACATATAAACACACAGACAGACAGAAGATCCAGTAGTTGTAATATTTTTCATTTGCCAGTTTCTAAGTTTCTCTTTAAAGCATACGGTTTCTAGGGCCTAATAAGCAGGCACAGCTGGAAGGCAAAGCAGGACTCAGAAATTAAGGGTCCCATTTTTGTAACAAATCCTGGATCCAAAAAAGGGGAATCAGCCCAACTCTGTGGGAGTCTTATCTCTCAGTGGGGAGTGGGGACATTTCCATATTTCCTTGGTGGTCAAGAGCATGCATCTCTGATCCAAACATGCAAGAAGCCTAGTATCCCTCCACAACTGCTATTAGCCATCTCCAAAAGTAATTTTTCTACCTAATTTATTATACACTAAAGCTCTCTCATAATGTGAAATAATTTCTGATACCCACAGAAGTAAAAAACATCAGCTAACACAATACAAAACAGAAGAGAGCCTTGTATTGTGAGGAATCTATTTGCTTCCAATTTCTGGGGTTTTATGAGTCAAACAGATTTTTCCCAAAACAGAGTCTGTGGCACCTCCTCTGTTTTTACCAAGGAGTCCCAAGCTGTTAGAACTTGAATATTCATTTTTAATTAAGCTGGCTTTTAACTCTTTAAAAGGTTTTTTTTTTAATCTCTTATTAACAGACTCTATCCAGTCTAAATAGGCAGCATTTCTATGCTCAGAGAAAGGAAAATTCAAGACAGTTCATGAGGGGAAGAGAATGAACAAATGGTAAAGGTCACACAGATATCAAACCAGAAAAAAACTCATTCCTTAAGCTGGAATATGATCATGGGACATGGGGAGTTTTTCTCTCCCTAAAGGGGGAAACTTGAGAGCTGATGGGACTGCTGGAAAATATCCCTTCCCAACTGATAAGCGGCCACCTGAACTTTTGATTCAGTGTCAGCTTACAATGGGTAGGCCTTTCTCTGGCCTTCCTGAGCTCCTCAATTTCTCCACCCTGCCACAGGCAATACTTTTCTCCCTCCCTTTCCTTTCTCTCTCTGTGCAAAACAATTGAATGAATGGTTAAAAAAAAATCATTATCTCTTGCAAAGTTTTGAGTTATTGGAAAAAGGATTTGTGAGGCCAGTCTTAGGTTGTAGCAAACCTCGTGTGCTTTTTGTGTCTTTCTGTATTGTTCTGTCATAAAAGAGGGGTACCATAGGATAGAATGTAGTCCTAGGATTCCTTGTAACCTGCTGTTCAAGACAGCCCAGAAAATTAGTCAGTTATAAACTTTGCTGCAGGTTCCTGAAAAAAAAATCTGGATGAGGCTCTCCTCTCCTCCTGTTCTATGTCCTTGGGAGCTTGACCTTATAACCACATGGTGGTACTTTCTTTTAGTCTCTGCCTTCTGGAGAACAGGAATTTTGGAATTCATGTCATAGTTAGCTCTAAAAATTATCTTGAGCAGTTAAAAGCCTCTGCAAGCTCCAAACTGGATCTCTAGGCTCCTTCTGAGAAGGGCCATGGAAATTACCCAATGCTGTAGCTCAGCAGCAAAGGCTTCACAATTTTACAATGACAGCCCGGATTCATCTCTGATTTGAGTAATGTTTTATAATTCTCATTGTAGAAATCTTTCAACTCCTTAGTAAGCTGTATTCCTAGGTATTTTATTCTTTTTCTGGCTATGATAAATGGGATCACATTCTTGATTTTGTTCTCAGCATGGACGTTTATGTGGCATAGAAATGCTACTGATTTTTGTACATTGATTTTGTATCCTGAAAGGTTACTGAAGTCAATTATTCGTTCTAGGAGCCATCTGGCAAAACCTACTAGGTGTTCTTGATAGAGAATCTTATTATCTGTGAAGGGAGATTATTTGACTCTCTCTTTTCCTATATAGAGACCTCTTCTTTCTCTTGCATAATTTCTCTGGCTAGGACTTACAGTATGTTGAAGGGAAGCAGTAAGACTGGTTATCCTCGTCTTGTTCCAGTTCTCAAGGGGACTGCTTCCAGATTTTGCCCATTCAGTATGATATTGGCTGTCATTTGTCAAATATAGCTCTTATTATTTTGAAATATTTTTCTTCAATGCCTAATTTGTGCAGGGTTTTTAACACAAAAGTATGCTGAATTGTATTGAAAGCCTTTTCTGCATCTATTGAGATAATCATGTGGTTTTTCTTTTTAATTCTATTAATGTGGTGAATCACATTTATTAATTTGTGTATGCTGAAGCAACCTTGCATCCCAGGAATACAGTCTACTTGATTGTGGTGAATTAACTTTTTGATGTGCTGCTGGATTCATTTTCCTAGTATTTTGTTGCAGAGTTTTGCATCTACGCTCATCAAGGATATGGACCTAAAGCTTCTGTTTTGTTGTTGTGTCTCTGCCAGGTTTTGACATCAGAATGATTCTGGCTTCATAGAATGAATTAGGGAGGAGTCCCTTGTTCTTAATTTTTGGAATAATTTTAGTATGATTGATACTAGCTCTTCTTTGTACATACGGTAGAATTTGACTGTGAATCCAACTGATCTAGGGCATCTTTTGATTGGTAGTTTATTTTATTAGTGACTCAATTTTGGAATGCATTATTGGTTTGTTCAGGATTTCAATTTCTTCCTGGTTCAATCTCGAGAGGCTGTGTTTTGCCAGGAATTTATCCATTTCTTCTAGGTTTTCTAGTTTGTAGCATAGAGATGTCTACAATAGTGCCTGGGAATTTTTGTATTTCTGTGGAGTCAATTGTAATGTTACGTTGGTTTTGCTGATTGTGCTTGTATTAGTTCATTTTCATGCTGCTGATAAAGACATAACCAATTTATAAGGAAATTTATACATGGACTTACAGTTCCACATGATTGGGGAGACCTCACAATCATGGCAGGAGGCAAGAAGGAGCAAGGAACATCTTACATAGATGGTAGCAGGAAAAAAGAGAGGTTTTGCAGGGAAACTCCACCTTATAAAGCCATCAGATCTCATGAGACTTATTCACTATCATGAGAACAGCATGGGAAAGACCTGCCCTCATGATTCAATTACCTCCCACCAGGTACCTCCCACAACATGTGGAAATTCAAGATGAGATTTGGGTGGGAACACAGCCAGGCCATATCATTCAGCCCCTGCCCACCCCCCGCCCCAAATCTCACATCCTCACATTTCAAAACCAATCATGCCTTCCCAACAGTCCCCCAAAGACTTAACTAATTTCAGCATTAACTCAAAAGTCCACAGTCCAAAGTCTCATCCAAGACAAGGCAAGTCTCTTCCACCTACAAGCCTGTAAAATCAAAAGCAGGTTAATTAATTCCTAGATACAGTTAGGGCACAGGCATTGGTAAATACAGTTATTCCAAATGGAAGAAATTGGCCAAAACAAAGGGACTGCAGGCCCCATGCAAGTATGAAATCCATAAGGGAAGTCAAAGCTTAAATCTCCAAAATGATCTCCTTTGACTATATACATGTCTCACATCCAGGTCACACTGATGCAAGAGGTGGATTCCCATGGTCTTATGCAGCTCCACCCCTGTGGCTCTGATGGGTACAGCCTCCCTCCTGGCTGCTATCAAAGGCTGGCATTGTGTATCTGTGGCTTTTTCAGGTGAATGGAGGACAGTGGCCCTCTTCTCACAGCTCCACTAAGCAGTGCCCCAGTAGGGACTCTGTATGGGGACTCCAACCACACATTTCCCTTCTGCACTGCCTTACTAGAGGTTTTCCCTGAGGACCCTGCTCCTGCAGCAAACTTCTGCCTGGGCATCCAGGTATTTCCATGCATTCTCTGAAATCTATGCAGAGGTTCCCAAACCCCAATTCTTGATTTCCATGCAACTGCAGGCTCAATATTATATGGAAGCTCCCCAGGCTTGAGGCTTGCACCCTCAAAAGCCATGGCCCAAGCTCTATGTTGGCCCCTTTCAGCCACGGCTGGAGTGGCTGGGATGCAGGGCACCAAGTCCCTAGGCTCTACACAGCACAGGGACACTGGGCCCAACCCATGAAACCACTTTTTCCTCTGAGGCCTCTGGGCCTGTGATGGGAGGGGCTGCCATGAAGACCTCTGACATGCCCTGGAGACATCTTCCCCATTCTCTTGGCGATCAACATTTGGCTCCCTGTTACTAATGCAAATTTCTGCAGCCAACTTGAACTTTTCCTCAAAAAATGGGATTTTCTTTTCTATCACATTGTCAGGCTGGAAATTTTCTGAACTTTTATGCTCTGCTTCCCTTATAAAACTGAATGCCTTTAGCAGCACCCAAGTCACCTCTTGAATGCTTTTCTGCTTAGAAATTTCTTCTGCCAGATACCCTAAGTCATCTCTGTCAAGTTCAAAGTTCCACAAATCTCTAGGGCAGGAGAAAAATGCTGCTAGACTCTTTGCTAAAATGTAACAAGAGTCACATTTGCTCCAGTTTCCAACAAGTTCCTCATCTCCATCTGAAACTACCTCAGACTGGATTTCCTTGTCTGTATCATTATCAGCATTTTGGTCAAAGCCATTCAACAACTCTCTAGGGAGTTCCAAACTTTCCCACATTTTCCAGTCTTCTTCTGAGCCCTCCAAACTGCTCCAGCTTCTGCCTGTTAACCAGTTCCAAAGCTGCCTCCACATTTTCAGGTATCTTTTCGGCAGCACCCACTCTACTGGTGCCAATTTACTGTATTAGTCCATTGCTGCTGATAAAGACATACCAAGACTGGATAATTTATACAGGAAAAAGGGTTTAATGGACTTACAGTTCCACATGGCTGGGGAGGCATTACAATCATGATGGAAGGCAAGGAAGAGCAAGTGACATCTTACTTGAATGGCAGCAGGCAAAAAGAGAGCTTGTGCAGGGAAACTCTGCCTTATAAAGCCATCAGATTTCATGAGACTTACTCACTATCATGAGAACAGAGTGGGAAAGACCTGCCTCCACGATTCAATTACCTCCCACCAAGTGCCTCCCACAGATGTGGGAATTCAACCTGAGATTTGGGTGGAGACATAGCCAGACCATATCAGTGTTTAATTGGATATTTTCTCTTTTTTCCTTATTAATCTAGCTAGTGGTTTATCAATCTTCTGCAATCTTTAGACAAACCAGCTATTGCATTCTTGAGCTTTTGTGTCAATTTCTGCATCTCAATTTCTTCTGGTTCAGCTTGTATTTTGGTTATTTCTTTTCTTCTGTTAGTTCGGGGGTTGTTCTTATTTTTCTAATTCCTCTAGGTGCAACATTAGGTTGTGAATTTGAGATCTTTCCAATGTTTTGATGTAGGCATTTAGTTCTGCAAACTTTCCTCTTAACACTGCTTCAGCTGTGTTCCAGAGATTTTGGTATGTTGTGTCTGTTTTCATTAGTTTCAAAGAATTTTTTTATTTCTGTGTTAATTTTGATCTTTACCCAAAGTCATTCAGGAGCAGGCTGTTTAACTTTCATGTAATTTTATGGTTTTGACAGATCTTCTTGGTATTGATTTCTTTTTTTATTGAACTGTGGGCTGAGAGTGTGGTTGATATAATTTTGCTTTTTTTGAATTTGTGCAGACTTGTGTTACGGCTGAGCATGTAGCTGATTTTAGATTATGTGCCACATGCAGATGAGAATAATGTATATTTTGTTGTTGGGTGGAGAGTTCTGTATGTCTATTAGGGCCAATTAGTCAAGTATTGAAGTGAAGTCCTGAATATCTTTATTAGTTATCTTTCTTGATGATCTTTCTACTGCCATCAGTGGGATGCTGAAGTCCCCCACTATTATTGTGTGGTTATCTAAATTGCTTCATAGATCTCTAAGAACTTGTTTTATGAATATAGGTGCTCCAATGTTGGGTGAATATATATTTAAGATGTAAGTCTCTTGTTAGATTGGATCTTTTATCATTATGTAATAATGCCCTTCTTTGCCCTATTCGATCACACTGATTTAAACTGTTTTATTTTATGTAATAGCCACCTCTGCTCTTTTTTGTTTTGTTTGCCTGATAGATCTTTCCTCTATCCCTTTACTTTGAGCCTATAAGTGTTATTACTTGTGAGAAAGGTTTCTTGAAGACAGCAGAAATTAGATCTTGCTTCTTTATCCAACTTGCTACTCAATGCCTTTTAAGTATGGCATGTAGCCCATTTATATTCAAGGTCAGTATTCATATGTGAGGATTTAATCCTGTTATGCTGTTAGCTAGTTGTTATGTAGATTTGATTGTATAGTTGTTTTATAATGTCAATGGACTATGTAATTAAGTGTGTTTTTGTGGTGGCAACTATTATTCTTTCATTTCCATGTTTAGCACTTCCTTTAGGACCTCTTGAAAAGCCTCTCTAATGGTAGTGAATTCCCTTAGCATTTGCTTGTCTGACAAGAATTTTGTTTCTCCTTCACTTACGAATCTTAGTTTGGTGGAATATGAAATGCTTGGTTGGAATTTCTTTTCCTTAAGGGTGTCAAAAATAGGCCCCCAATCTCTTCTGGCTTGTAAGGGTTCCTCTGAAAGGTTTACTGTTAGCTCAATGGGTTTCCCCTTCTAAGTGACCTGGCCCTTCTTTCTACCTGCCTTTAAGATTTTCTCTTTCATGTTGACCTTGCAGACTCTGATGACCATGTGTCTTGGGGTAGTCATCTTGTAACAATCTCACAAGGTTTCTCTGAATTTCTTGACTTTGCATGGTGACCTCTATAGTAATATTGGGAAATTTTTCATGGGGACTATATCCATAAATAAGTTTTCCAAATTGCTTGTTCTTTCTCTCTTTCAGGAATGCCAATGATACCTAGATTTGGTCTCTTTTTGGAATCCCGTATTTCTCAAAGGTTTTGTTCATTTTTTAAAAATACTTTTTTTAAAAAAAAAATTTGTCTGCTGTGTTGCTTTGAAGGAGTGGTCTTCAAGTTCTGAGATTCTTTCTCACCTTGATCTATTCTTTTGTTAATGCTTCCAATTGTATTTTGACATTCCTATAGTGACTTTATTTCCAGAAATTCAGTTTGGTTTCTTTTTAAAATGGTTGTGGCATGTTTCAAATCTTGGATCACTTTACTGTTTTCCTTGGATTGGGTTTCTACATCTTCTATTGTATTTTGATGAGCTTTCCTGCCACCCAGATTCTGAATTCTAATTCTGACATTTCAGCCATTTCAATATGGTTAAGACCCAAGGCTGGGAAGCTAGTGTAATCATTTGGAGATAAGAAGACACTGTGGCTTTGTAAGTTGCCAGAGTTCTTGAGTTGATCCTTTCTCATCTGTGAGGGCTGATGTTACTTTATCCTTTAAAGTTGCTGTTTTTCAGATGGGGCTTTTTTTTTTATGTTCCTTATTGTACTTGAGGGTTTGACTATCATACAAGTTGGGTATAGTTAAATGACTTCATTTCAGAGGGCCAAAGCTCAACTCCTCACTCCTGGGATGTATGCTGTAACCCTGGGTGCCTGGAACTGGACCTGTGACTTTGTCTTCTGGTCTCTTGAGGTCAAGTCCCATTTGGGCTGGAGAGGCCAACATGCTCCCAGACCACTGTCAGCAGTACTCCATCAGGAGTGGCAGGGGTGCTGGGGGGAAGCTTTCTGTTGGGGGAAGTGGGGATGGCAGAGGCAGAAAGCACTCTGGTGGTTGGGGAATGGCAGTGGGGTTGTAGACAAACACACCCTGGTGGGAGGCTGTCAGAAAAAGTGCTCCAGTGGGGAAAGCAGGGACACTGCAGGGAGGACATAGTCCATCGGGGCACATAGAGAGCTTTCTATTTCACAAAGTAATTTTCAGCACAATGATTTGTTTGATCCTGCTGCTACCCTTTGAATAGGCAGGGCATGTGCCTTTTCATCATTTTACACATAAGAAAGCTGAATCTTTTCAAAGTTAAATGATATTTCAATGTCACTTGGTAAAAAGTAGCAGATCAGTACTCAAAACTCAGACCTTGGACTCTGGGTCAATATTCCTTTTCTTCCCTGCCTTAACTCTGACAAGACAGTGTGATTCTGGAGCAAATTCATAAAAGTGGTTTTCCTAAAAATTGCTTTAATTCATTACTGAATATCATGTCTAAAAAGTGATAAAAAGCCATAAAGTGCTACTTTCCCCCTAAATGAATGTGCAGCACATATTTATAAGCTTTTAGTACAATAATTTTATAACCAAACAGCTGCTGAAACAGTAAATTTTTATGACCAGTGTCTCAGTTTGTGTTTTCCTCCTAAATATGGTAAAATAAAGTTTTTGTGATACAATTTATCTAGTTCAGACACATTTAATAGAAGCATCAGCAAAAGGATGAGCAACAAAAGGAGAATTCATGAAATAAAATCACACTGGCAGTAGAGTTAAATAAAAACACATGTTGGTTACCTATTATTTTTACACATATCTGTGGTGACACCCTAGGGAAGCTTTCTGAGATTCTTTAAAGAGATCACAGCTAGGACTCTTTTAAAGCTACTTAGAATAGACATCCATCCTTAGCTCAGCATCCAGTTAACACACTAGTTGAACACCTTTCATGTAAGTGGCCCTGTGCTAGATATTATGACAAGATAACAATATGAATAAGACTTAGTCTCGATCTCTAGTTTACAATCAAAGAAGGGTGACATACATATATGCAGCCTTATAGATTATGAAGGAATATTTCATGGCAAGGTAATGAGCTGCCCTATAAGGTAATGAATTTCCTCTCCCTGGAGGTGTTCAAGCACAGGCTGGCCTTCCACTCAATGGCATTGTTATAACAGGGATTGATATGAGGCTAGAGAGTGGCAGTGAATCATTTCTAAGTGCACTTCCAATTTTAACATAAGCCCTAAAATAATATAGTTTACAGTTAAAGCTATAAAATAAACCCCTTCTTAAAGCATTCGTTTGCTGTTGTGTTAGTATTTTTGTTCCTGTTTATGATTTTCTTTATTCATTATTCATATGTGCTTCTGAAACACTTTTATTACTTCTTGAATGAAACATTTTCTGAAAGAGAAAAAGCTCGGCATGTCTTTTGAAATGGTAGTTTCATGCAAGATACATCATGTAGTTATTCCTAGTGACTTTCTTTTGGTTTTTCATTGAACAACTCACTAACATCTGATAAAACAGATTCCACCACCAGAATGCCCTGCAGTTAATGTTTATCACATTATTATTATATACTGGATCAAAGTATTGTATAAAAACTGAAATATGGTGTAATTAGTAGCTGAAAGCCTAACAAATGTAAAATAAATTTTAGGGAAATTAAAAATGTTATTTGGCACTGATTAGTACCATATACAGCATATTAAATTAAATAGCATCCCAATATGGTAACAATGTGTTTTTGGCAAGGTGAAGAGGTTAATTGTGTTGTAAAAGGAATTTCCAGAAGAATGCATCATCTAGTTTACACTGAAACCTCAATTTACTATGGCAGGAGGCCATATTACAGAACTTCACAGATTAGCAAGTAATTGACAAAACATTCAGAAATAATTTTTCTTAATTGTTGGTTGTTCGAGCAGTATATATTATTATATTTAGCACTCCTTATTTAATTTAATAAATTAAGGCGCTCTTTGTTGTAAACTAAAGTTTTCATTACACATTTTTAAGTTAATACACATGAAATTTGCTAAAAGATTTTCATGGTTAAATTTGTTATGGTTGACATAAAACTGCTCAGCCATTTGGAGAAAATGAATGTTTTTAATGTTGTATGCTCGAAAATGAGAATTACTGATTATTATGCATCCTAACAATATTCACTCCTCAAATTAAGAATTTAATACACCTTGATTGTCAGCTATACTAACATACTGAAACTTTTATTAGTGTATGTAAGTGAATTACATTTTTTTCTGCAAATCCATAGGTTTTCTTTCTATTGAAATGTTATATTTTTCCACTTGTCCAGCTTCTAAAGGAATAGAAAAGCCCAGTAAAGACTGATGGATTTCACATAATGACTAACATCTATAAATTACTGCTGTCATATATAACCTCCTTGAAGAATGCATCATCCCTCTGCAAAAAATTCAAAAGTGATGGTTAAAATTTCAAAATATTAAAATACAAATGAAAACATGGCCAAATATTCACGAAGAAAGGGTGATGTCCTAGTCTGCTCAAGCTGCCATAACAAAAAAAATACCAAATGTATTAAATAACAAAAAATTTATTTTCTTAAAGTTCTGATGGCTGGTAAGTTCAAGGTCAAGGTTCTTGTCAACTCAGTTCCTAGTGAGGGCTCACTTCCAGGCTTGCAGACAACCACCTTTTGGCTGTGTCCTTACATGGTAAAGAGAAAGAGAGACAGTAAGCTCTCTGGTGTTTCTTCTTATATGGGCACTAGTCCCTTACAGTAAGTTATCACCAGTTTTGCTGTGATATATATAGAAACAGTGAAAGATTGGGGATGAGTGCCAGGAAAATTAGTTGGGGCCAATATAAGTTGCATCGGCTAAATAAAAACTTTTCAGGCCTGCTCTTATGAGCTGAATGTTTACGTCCTTCCAAAATTCATATGTTGAAACTCTAACCTCTAATGTGATGGCATTTGAAGACGGGACCTTTGGGTGGTAATTAGGGTTGGGTGAGGCTCCATTTAATGTAATCTGCCCAGACCCAGTCTGTCCCTGATACTGGTTAACAGGAATATGTGGCATTTACAGTTATCTGCAGATAAGGGAAAGACTAATAAAAGATTTAAGCAAAACTCAAAATGGTTCTTATATTTAAATTTTAATACATGTAACTCTTTTAAAAGGTGAAGAATGATTAATTCACAGAAATAAAAAATAATCATATCAAATAAGCAGTAGACCAAAATGAGGAAGGAAGATGCCAAAAATTAAGTTACTATTATGGTTCTACTCTTCAATATCAATGTATAATCTTTTGGTTGTTACCAAAGAAAAGTTAGGTCAAAATAGCACAAACTATAAAAGAATTATATTGGCCCACCTAAGTAAAATGTTATGAACTTTTCTATCTATATTCAGAGAAAGCTTGCTTTGGCAGTTCACATTTCTGACCAAAACCCTCTCCTTTCCCCAGTTCTTCCTCCTTGGTATTCACTCCATTCTTAGCAACTTTCTGTCCTTGTGGTCTCACATTGTCTTACAATGTCTCCCAGGCTTCTATTCTTTTTCATTTATGTCACATAGATAAGAGCAAATGTCTCTACCATGGTTCTGTCAGAATAGTGAAAAAGTATATTTTCCAGGAATTTCAGATAATGTTACCCCTCAGTTCCTTGCTCACATTTAGAATATAGGCCCTGAATCAATCACTCTGAACAGAGGAAGAGATGTGGTAGATTATTTTTAGCCAATGAGGCCTTACTTCTGTGGCTGAAGAGGCATCTAGTTTCCTCTGAAATATATGGGTTGCATGGGGAAATGACAAAACCCCAATAAAAAGAAGAATATACTTTTATCAAGAGGAAAGGGGAATGGATGCTGGTGTCTAACAGAAATGTACATAACTGTGTCAAACATTTCTACCTTCTTACTAATCGTCTCGTCTTTTAAGTAATTAATAGAAAAATCATGTGTGTAAAAATCAGTCTACAAAACTACTAAGCCAATTCTCATTCCTTCCATGAAGAGCCTCATCATCAAATGTGTTTATTACAAGAAGCTGCCTTCTCTCTTTCTCCTGCCAATTTAGAGTTCCAACATTCATGGAAAATGACCCAAGAAGTCACTGAACACAATCCCTTTGATAATGTACTCTACTGGTTAATACTTAAAAAATAATCTCAAATGTAAATGGCTTTCTATCCAATAGTAGAATGAGATAATAATGCATACAGCCCCACAACTAATTAAATTATATTCTACAATTCTCTTACCTTTCCAAAGCAAACCACATGCTTCAGTTCCTCAGTTTTCGGTTCTCTGTTTTTCTAATTGGGCCCCTGAGCTAATTAGTATGAGTCCAAATATAAGTCAGTGGGTACGTAAAATATGTGAATAGATGAACAGGTACAAATTATTAACCTGGCATAAGGGTGTTTGTGACTTCAGATTCTCCATGCAAAAGCATATATAATAAGGCTTCACTAAGTAGAGAAGAGGTCATTGCACAAATTAGAGCTGTGCTGGATATTTTCCATTTGTTCCTCCAGATTCACTGCCTTCATTTCTGCACCCTGGCCTGTGTTCCAGTACCTCATCTGTATAGACTGAATCTATTCTTTTGCTCTTCTGATTCCCGGTTGGGTTTGGCCATTAAAAGGCACCAGCAGGAAATAAGTAAGGACGTAGAGAATAATGTCATAGAAATTCTTTACCCAGCTCTCTCTCCTCTAGTAATTCGCCATGGGTCGGCTGTGTCCCTCTATACAATTTCACTGCTCTAATTAACAGGCCTTTCTCATAGAGCTATTCTGGTTCCAGTAACTCTTCCTGTCTCAGTTATTTCAAAGCTAGGATTAGGGGCTTCCTATTCTGGCTAGCCCAAGGGCTGGAATGCTGGATTCCTTAAGTCATGCACACATTTCATAGTCCACTAACTAAACTCCTTCGACCCACCTGGTAGAATGTGCCATCCACTTCCTGTCAAGACCATGAATGACACCAAAGGTCAGTTAGGATATAGGAACAACATGGGAAACAGTGAGTTGTACTTAGCAAAAAGTGGGACTGGCCTAACTAAACTAGACAGAAATATTAAGGAAAGTGAAAAGTAAAGTGGAATCACCAGGAGAAGGGCAGTTAATAAAGGCCCCAAATCCAGAGGACTTTAGAGTTTGATTAATAAGAAAAAAAAAATTAGAAAAGTTTTATAAGTATAATCAGAGCACGTTGAAAGTACAATTTCATTATATTCCTTTTGTTTTTTGTTTGTTTCTTGGCTTGTTTGTTTTGAGACAGCGTTTTGCTCTTGTTGCCCCAGCTGGAGTGCAATGGTATGCTCTCGGCCCACGGCAAACTCCACTTCCTGGGTTCAAGCTATTCTCCTGCCTCGGCCTCCCAAGTAGCTGGGGTTATAGGCACGTGCTACCACGCCCAGCTAATTTTGTATTTTTAGTAGAGGCAAGGTTTCATCATGTTGGTCAGGCTGGTCTTGAACTCCTGACCTCAAGTGATCTGCCCACCTCATCCTTCCAAAGTGCTGGGATTACAGGCATAAGCCACTGTGCCCAGCCTATTCCTTTTGTTTTTTACAGTAAAATGGTGCTGAAAAGAATGAAGGATTCAAAGATAATTCAGAGAATCCTAAAGACATCTGGGCAAAAACTGATACAAGCCTGAGTCATGAGGCTGACAAAAAGTAAAGATGAATCACAAGGGACACATGGGATCTCTTAATTATAGAGAATAAGAAACATGAGGGGATGGGATTTATAGGGTAATCATATAATTTATCCAAAGCAGAACACTTTTGGAAGTGATTTTTAAAAATTCCATTAATATTTCAGGTAAGAAAATAGGTATATTCCAGGATGGTTTCCATCAAACAGAGATATATAGTCAGTTTAGGAATAAACCATTTTTAGATTATAAACCTGAATTCTTCAGAAATAGATTTGATTTTTGTGCAATTGAGAAATTGAGCAATAAAGTAAAGTATGTGGGAGTTGGGAAAAGAGATAAAAGGGCCATTTTTTTTGGACATAAGATTGGAAATTCCCAGCTCAAAGAGCATTTGATAGTACAAGGCCAAACTAATGGTCAGTTGAGAATATGAGACAAGAAATAGAAATTGAAATCTTGTCAACATAAACAATGAATCTGCTCTACCACAGAGGTATTTTCTCTGGTAGAAACTCTCTCCTTCTTAACTATTTATGTCTGTGAATTATTTTCTCCACTGCAATCTAAGATTCTTTGGGGCAGTGCCAGCTTCTAATTCGCTTTTGTAAACCATTAGGTTTAGCATAATGCTGCATATGGAAAAGATGCTAATAAATACTTGTTGAGTTATAGATGTGTTTTACTTAGGCCACCTAAATAGTGCATCTGTTACTGTGTCTCTGTCCTGCCATGGCTTTGCCATGCCTCATCCTTCACCTAAACAAAGCCTGCTACTATTCAATATGCTTTGCCATAGAAATAAAGAAGAGTCTAAGAATTAATGTCAGCTAGGGACTGAGCTATAATAAGATTCCCGTGTTGCTTGAAAGTGAGCTGGAGGCCGGGTGCAATAGATCACACCTGTAATTCCAGCACTTTGGGACAGCCCAGGAGTTGGAGACCAGCCTAGGCAACACGGCAAGGCCCCCATCTTTACAAAATTTTTTTTTTAATTAGTCAGGTGTGGTGGTGTGCACCTGTAGTCCCAGGTAAAAAGGAGGAGGCTGAGGTCGGAGGATTGTTTGGGCCCAAGAGGCCAAGGCTGTAGTGAGTTCTGATTGTGCCACTGCATTCCAGCTTGGGTGACAGAGAAAGACCCTGTCTCAAAAAAAAAGAAAAAAGGAAAGTGAGCCAAAATATAAATTAATTTAACTGTGTCGCACATAAAGGTCTCATGTCTTTACTGAGCAATGGAGTAGACAAAGGTTTTGTTGTGACACTGATTAAGTAGTGTTACATATTTATATGTGATATTTTTAAAAATTTTTTATTTTTGAGGAGATATTTTTGAGGTGTTGGAAAATATTCTTTTTTATTTTAATAAGATAAATGCACTGAGCACAGTGGCTCACGCCTGTAATCCCAGCACTTTGGAAGGCCCAGGCGTGCGGATCACCCAAGGTCAGGAGTTCAAGACCAGCCTAGCCAACATGGTGAAACCCTGTCTCTACAAAAATGCAAAAATTAGTCAAGCATGATGGTGATGCCTGTAGTCTCAGCTACTCAAGAGGCTGATGCAGGAGAATCGCTTGAACCTGGGAGGCAGAGGTTACAGTGAACCAAGATCACACCATTCCACTCCAGCCTGGGTGAAAGAGCAAGACTCTGTCTCAAAAATAAATAAATACATACATACATACATACATACATACATACATACATACATAAAATAAAAATAAATGGAGGAACTTTTTAAGTATTAATAACACTTTGATAACCCAGGTCAGTGTCTGACCTCTAACAAAGTGAACACCAGCGGGCTACTTACTCTCATGTTTTTAGCAATTGGTTTTATAGATATAAGTAATGTCTTTCCCATTCATTTTACTTTTTTAAAAGCAGGGGCCATTCCTTTATTTGCCATTAAAACCTAATTCCCTGTTCTGTATCTAACTGGCTTCTGTAGCCAATAAACGTGAAGTACATCCTGATAGATGATGTTATTCCTTATCTGGCAAAAATGTAGCAAGTGTTTGAAATGTTGCTAGGTGAAAAGCATGAGATATGGATTTTGAGGGTCAGGAATTACAAAAATAAATAAAACATATTCCCTGACCTCACAGAGTTATAAATTGTTAACGGTGACTTACCTGTGTGATTGTTTTCCCACAACACTTTATGACAGAAATGGAAATGTCACAAATGCTGTAGAGTCTCTTCGTCTCTCTCCTGCCCTTTTTCCTTCCTTGTATTTAAGATATCTATTTTCAGAGCATGTCAATATTGAATATTCATTAATTTTCAAAGTCCTGGGTTTTTGCCAGTTTAGATTTAGTTGACGTTCCATTACCCTGTTGAACAGATTTCATGGCTCTCTAATCAAATTAGCTCACTTCTAAACACAAACATTTTTATAAGACACTTGCCCAAAGCAATTGTGACTTAGCTCTCATCTTATTTTTTAAATAAAAAATTGAACAGCGGGTTATTAAGTTCAGCACATCACCTGCTGTGCAAAGAGACCAACACACATGAGTTGCAGCCAATCTTCCTACAGCATTTCTCACACACACTGTAGATCAGAGTTGTTACACCACTAATATTCAAAGCCCCCTGGATTTCAATTATACTTTATTTATTATCTTAGCTGCTCCACCATTTGCAATGCACAGTAATCTTCTACACATTTGCTGCCTTCACCTTAATGGTTGTGAAGTATCTGCTATGATGCATTTTGTCATTTAATATTAGGTTTACTATGCAAAACACAGCTAAATCTTGACAGGCCCCATAAAAACTCATCCTAAATGAACCATTATATTGTATGCTGTCAATGTAGACTAAAAAAAATACAGTGCCACTCCACAAAGCTTGCAGAAGCAGCAGAAAATAGTGAGTGGTGTTAGTTCCAAAAAGAGCCTACAGCTACATATTATGTGCTTGACAGGATTTATTGTTATTATAAACAACCAATCAGGATACTGGGTGAGCATAACTGGGAAAATGACAACAATTAAAATTTAATTCAGTTCAGAAAGTAGTTTTTGAATTCTTACAGAGGATTAAATTTTTAACAAGGTCTGGATTCTGCCCTCCACAAGTTTGGCAAATGTAGAGGGAGAAAAAGAGGTTCCCATCTGACCATAAACAAGGCAAACTGTAACACAGGGTGAAACAGACCCATAAATACAAGACTGCGGCAGGCCCAAGTAGTGGCAATTAATTGCAGACCCCAGGGCTATTGGTGAGTGGTGTGCTCATGATTCCTGAGGCCTGTTCATCTTTTCAAGGGTTCCAAAATGCAGGGCTGTGGACCTATTATGTTGGAATCATGGAGAGCAGTAGGTTCTGGGATCCTTGGCACTTGACAAGACACTGTAGGCACAAAGGTGGTTTGCTATCTAGTCTGTGTCCAAATCTCCATGAGAGTCATAAGTAAACAGATTGACCTGCCCTGTCCAAGAGCTGCTTACATCCCAGAGTACAGTATATACTTTAAGAAACATGCTGGGTGAATCAGATGTTTAGCTGGTCATTGAAGGCACAACTGTGCTGCTGAGACTTGCCAGATGTTGGAGATCCTACCACCTCACAGTCACCATGATGGCATATTCTCTGTTCCTGACAATCCCCAGCTCAATAAAATTCATTCACTAGTCTCCCACCCTTCAGTAAGCACGTTTGTGCCCGAGCTAGCAACTACATCATTGAAGTACAAGTGCTGCATTACTTCTTTAGCTCTGCCCCAATAAGCATCTCATCTCCTCCAGATAACTCAGCATCCTAAAGCATAAAAAGGAGCTGGTTCAAAGTTATCAATACCAAAAATCATCTTTCTCTATATGACATATATGTGATACATATCTTATTACATTTACATACAGTAGACTTAAAAATAATGAGGCTATGTATACTGTTTTCCCTAGAAAACAAAATTGAACCCCTATAGGGTAACCCATGGAAATCTAATGATAGTCTTTTGTAGATAATGACATAGTCTTTAATGCCATACCTTAAAAAGTGAATCTTTTTTTTTTTTTTTTTTTTTTTTGAGACAAGGTCTGGCTCTACGGCCCAGGCATGATCTCAGCTCATTGCAACCTCCATCTCCCAGGCTCTAGCCATCCTTCCACCTCAGCCTCCCGAGTAGCTGGGACTATGGGCACACACCACCACCCCCAGCTAATTTTTTTATTTTTAGTAGAGATGGGGTTTCATCATGTTGGCCAGCCTGGTCTTAAACTCAAGAGCTCCAGTGACCTGCCTGCCTCAGCCTCCCAAAGTGCTGAGATTACAGGTGTAAGCCACTGCACCTGGCCAAAAATGTTATTCTTATAGTGACATATTTACATATTAAGTGTAAAGCTCTATTCAGCAATCTGGTCTGGTGAGTCAGGGACTCTAAAATTTAGTTTGATCTAAGTGACTTGAGGATTGCGCCATTTGCTACAGATTTAACCCACATTCTGCCTTCAAGGCATATTCTGTGGTCATCACGTAGTTGCTTACTAATACTTGGCTCATGGCTTTTAACAGGCAGATTCCAAACCAACAATGGTTGGTTGTATCTTCTATTTCTTGTTTATTTGTGACTACATATTAACAGTCTTCCTGAAAAAAAAATGCTAGATAAAATAAAAATAAACATGCGTTTTAAGTAAATAGAAAAAGGTAAATAATCTCAACATTTTTGATCAAAAATTAAAGGGTTTTAGGATGCCAAGCTGGGAAGCTGCACTGAAGCCACCACAGTCTCGGGATACTTACTGTTCCAATAATCTAGAATCTTGAATGTTAGGAGCAAAGCCAGAGAAGAAAGATAAGACATCGTGGTCCAAACAGACAGTTTATTCAATACCACCTGAATAAAGTTGGAGCATTGAAAGGCCTTCAAGCTCAGTGTGAAGATGGACTAAGGAAAATCCATCCTCCAGGAAGGAGATGTCACAGGAAACTTATCTGTCTTAGAAAGGACTCTTGGTGGAAAAATATAATAAAATAGAAAAAATCTGCTCTAAAAATGTGTAACTCAGGCCTGCCTTTACACTGATAGGGATTTGAATTTATAGCTCTTGCAATTAATTAAATCTCAAGTTAAACAATTAAGTTGGTCCTGTGTTGGTAGGCTCCAAAGTCCTCTCTATAAGGATTCATAACCACTGAGACTACATGCAGCACAAAAAGACAAACCCCAACCAGACATGAACTCACAATACAGAAAGAACTATGCCAATGAGAGGTGTAGTGAGCAGAAAGAACATATGATTGAATTAGACAAGCAAGGAGTTTAGCTATTCCAACTACCAAATGTGCATTTTGGAGTAAGTGCATTTGATTTTTCTTTTTTAAAATAAATGAATTTAGAGCATGAATAAGACAAAAGGTATTTTCAAGCAAAATTGGAAATGCTTTTAAAAGAATAAAACAGAATCTTTGTATAAGAGCATATAAAATTTACAGGCCCATATCCACGTAAACCCCACTTAGTTTTTAAGAAAAAAAACCTTTGTAGAACCTTAGAGGATCCTTTTATGATTCTTAACAATCAAGATCTTTCCCCCTCACCATTGTAACCACTACCTTGACTTATAGAATAATTATTCCCTTAATTTACTCACAGTTTTCTTAATATAATATTTAGCTTTGTTTATATCTAAATTCTACATACACAGAACTATACTTTATTCATTTGGTTATTCTTATTTTGCTCAAAATTAGTCTTTCTGATATTCACAATTACAGCTGTAATACACTCACTTTTATTATTATGTGGTAATTCATTTGTGTATATACACACACACGCACATACGCTATGATCAACATTTAATTCTCGTGTTAATGACTGAAACAGAATTCCAGGAGTAGAAATATAAACATTGGAAGTATTTAATTAAAATTACTACTAAATAATTAGAAGTAATGTTAAACAGAAGATTTAATATATAAAAACAGAGAATTGTTGCATTCAAGGATAGATCAACAGAAATTATGTAAAATGCAGCAGAGAGAAACATGATAAAGGTTAAAAGCTCTACAGGATAGAATGAAAGGGTATAACATATTGATGTGGTTTGGCAGTGTCCCCACACAAATCTCATTCTGAATTCCCATGTCATGGGAGGGACCTGGTGCCAGGTGATTGAATCATAAGGATGGGTCTTTCCCGTGCTGTTCTCGTGGTTAATAAGTCTCAGGAGATCTGATGGTTTTTTTTTTGTTTTTTTTTTTGAGACGGAGTCTCTCTCTGTCACCCAGGCTAGAGTGCAGTGGCACGATCTCAGCTCACTGCAAGCTCCGCCTCCCGTGAACTGCAAGTTCACGCCATTCTCCTGCCTCAGCATCCTGAGTAGCTGTGACTACAGGCGCCTGCCACCACACCCGGCTAATTTTTTGTATTTTTAGTAGAGACGGGTTTTCACTGTGTTAGCCAGGATGGTCTCAATCTCTTGACCTCGTGATCCACCCACCTCAGCCTCCCAAAGTGCTAGGATTACAGGCTTGAGCCCCCATGCCTGGCCAATCTGATGATTTTAAAAGGGGGGACCAGGCACAGTGGCTCAAGCCTGAAATCCCAGCTCTTTGGGAGGCTGAGGCAGGCAGATCACATGGAGTTCAAGACCAACCTGGCCAATATGGTGAAACCTCGTCTCTACTAAAAATACAAAAATTAGCCGGGCATGATGGCGTGTGCCTATAGCCCCAGCTACTTGGGAGGCTGAGGCAGAAGAATCACTTGAACCCAGGAGGCAGAGGTTGCAGTGAGCCAAGACTGCAGCAGTGCACACTCCAGCCTGGGCAACAGAGCAAGACCCCATCTCAAAAAAAAAAAAAAAAAAAGGGTGGGGGAGTTTCCCTGCACAAATTCTCTTCTCTTGTTTGCCACCATGGGAAACATGCTTTCACCTTCCACCATGATTGTGAGGCCTCCTCAGCCACATGGAACTGTAAGTCCAATAAACCTCTTTCTTCTGTAAATTGCCCAGTCTCAGGTATGTCTTCATCAGCAACATGAAGATGGACTAATACAGTAAATTGGTACCAGTAGAGCAGGGTGCTACTGAAAAGATACCTGAAAATGTGGAAGTGATTTTGGAACTGGGTAACAGGCAGAGACTGGAACAGTTTGGAGGGCTCAGAAGACAGGAAAATGTGGTAAAGCTTAGAACTCCCTAGAGACTTGCTGAATGGCTTTGACCAAAATGCTGATAATGATATGGACAATAAAATCCAGGCTGAGGTGGCCTCAGATAGAGATGAGGAACTTGTTGGGAACTGGAGCAAAGGTGATCCTTGTTATGTTTTAGCAAAGAGACTGGTGGCATATTGCCCCTGCCCTAAAGATTTGTGGAACTTTGAACTTCAGGGAGATGATTTAGGGTATATGGCAGAATAAATTTCTAAGCAAAAAAGCATTCAAGAGGTGACTTGGGTGCTGTTAAAGGCATTCTGTTTTAAAAAGGAAACACGGCATAAAAGTTTGGAAAACTTGCAGCCTGACAATGCCGTAGCAAAGAAAATCCTATTTTCTGAGAAGAAATTCAAGCTTCAAGCTGGCTGCATAAATTTGCATAAGTAACAAGGAGCTGAATGTTAATCACCAAGACAATGAGGAAAATGTCTCCAGGAAATGTCAGAGACCTTTTCAGTAGCCCCTTTCATTACAGGCCCAGAAGTTTAGAAAGAAAAAATGGTTTCATGGACTGGGCCCAGGGTCCCTCTGCTGTGTACAGTCTAAGGACTTGGTGTCCTGCATCCCAGTCGCTCCAGCCATGACTAAAAGAGTCAAAGTACAGCTCAGGCTGTTGCTTCAGAGGGTGGAAGCCCCAAGCCTTGGCAGCTTCCACATGGTGTTGAGGCTGTGGGTGCACAAAAGTCAAGAATTGAGGTTTGGGAACCTCCGCCTAGTTTTCACAGGATGTATGTATACACCTGAATGTCCAGGTAGAAGCTTGCTGCAGGGGCATGGCTGTCATGGAGAACATCTGCTAGGGTGGTACAGAAGGGAAATGTGGGGTCAGAACCCCCACACGGAGTCCCTACTGTGGCACTGCCTAGTGGAGCTGTGAGAAGAAGGCCACCATCCTCCAGACCCCAGAATGATAGATCCACTGACAGCTTGCACCATGTGCCTGGAAAAGCCACAGACACTGAACACCAGCCTGTGAAAGCAGCCGGGAGGGAGGCTTTACCCTGCAGAATCACAGGGGTGGAGCTACACAAGACCATGGGAACCCACCTCTTGCATTAGCATGACCCGGATGCAAAACATGGAGTCAAAGGAGATCATTTTGGAGCTTTAAGATTTGACTGCCCTGATGGATTTCAGACTTGCATGAGGCCTGTAGCCCCTTTGTTTTGGCTAATTTCTCCCATGTAGAATGGCTGTATTTACCCAATGCCTATATCCCCATTGTATCCAGGAAGTAACTTACTTGCTTTTGATTTTACAGGCTCGTAGGTGGAAGGGACTTGCCTTGTCTCAGATGAGACTCTGTACTGTGGACTTTTGAGTTAATGCTGAAATGAGTTAAGACTTTGGGGGACTGGTGGGAAGGGATGATTGGTTTGGAAATGGGAGGACAGGAGATTTGGGAGGGGCCAGGGGTGTAATGATGTGGCCTGGCAGTATCATCACCCAAATCTTGAATTCCCATGTGTTTTGGGAGGAGGAACCCAGTGGGAGGTGAATGAATCATGGGGGTGAGTCTCCTGTGATATTCTCATGATAGTTAATAAGTCTCAGGAAATCTGATGGTTTTAAAAAGACAAGTTTCCCTGCACAAACTCTCTTCTCTTGTCTACCGCCACGTGAAACATGCCTTTCACCTTCCACCATGATTGTGAGGCCTCCCCAGCCACATGGAACTGTAAGTCCATTAAACCTCTTTCTTTTGTAAATTGCCCAGTCTCAGGTATGTCTTTATCAGCAGCATGAAAATAAACTAATACACATATATTTAATCAGATATCTACAGAGATAGAACAGAGATAATGGGGACTATACAGACTATTTTAAAGTGTTTCCCAGAAATTAAAAAATGAATATTTAGATTAAAATGCACAGCAAACCTCAAGAAGAAAATGTCATTATCATAATATATGAGGAAAAACAAATTATGTCAAAAATAAACCCAGCTCAAAGAAAATATTTCAGTAAAATTCAGAAAGAAAAAGGTGAAATAAAACATCTTAGGTGAGATATAAAACAGATTACCTACAAGGAAACACAAATTAAAATGGCAGAGGAGTTCTCAACAACAACAATCAAAGATATGAGATAATAATACAATATCTTCAAAATTGATAGAGAAAAGCAAATCAGAATTTTAAAGCCAAGCATATTATCTTTCAAGAGTGAAAGTAAAATAAAAATATTTTCAGATAAGGAAACAAGGATCTTGCCAACAACAGAATCTTGCTAATGGGAATTCTAAAGGAAATAATTTAAAAACAAAGACAATTATCCCAGAAGGAGGATCTGAGTAGCAAGAAGAAATGGTGAGAAATATATATTCTCATATATTTTGTCAATACAAATGGTTATTTAGTATATAAAATAATATCAATGTTAAATTTATGAGATACTCAAAGAGATTAAAAGCCCCTTCAAGATTAACACATACAATATGTGGAGAGTATAGTTAGAATTCAAGAATTTTCTAATATTTTCATTACTTAGGAAGAGTGTGAACTTAAGCTTTTAGTTAATTTTGTCTAAATTATAATAGTAAACCTTCCAAACTAAAGTTAGTTTAAGGGAATTATAATAAGTGACAACAGTAGCAGCACTAGCAACGATAAAAACCCCAAAAAGGAAGAAAGTGAAATAAAATGATCAAAGAAGTATGCCAACTGAATATTGTAAAATAATTCAATAATGTATCAGATATCATAATAAAAGTAAATCGACTCAGGCATCAATAAGCAAAGATGATCAGATTGTAATTAAAAACAGAAAATTCTTTCCTGTGCTATTTATAAATTCCTCTTAAAAATCACAAGTTTTTAAGTAAAAGAGTAAAAATTATATAGCAATGAACACTAAAGAAAATAATGCAGAAATAGTTATAGTGTGGCATCAGGAGGAATACTAGAGTCTCAATAAATAATGTAAAAGATGTGTTCACCAGAAGTAAAAACATTCTAAACTTATCTGAAGAAATGACATAGGCTCAAAATATATAAAGCAAAAACTGACACAATATAAAGATTTAATTGATTTACCATTTTAGTGAGAGAATTTAACATTCTTCTTCTAGTAATCAAAATTTGAAGCAAACAAAGAATTAGTGACAATTCAGAAGATTTGACAACATAATTAGGTAGCTTGGTATAATGGACATACATATATACAGAACCCTATAAAATTGGCATTCCTCTTCAACATATACAGAACGCTTATGAAAACTTATAATCTACTAGAACATATGGTAAGTTCTGTATCATACAGACCGTGATTTTTGACAACAGAAGAATTAAAGTGAAAAATCCTCACCATTGATATCGTATATAGCAATGGCAAATATCAAATAGAATTTGACAACAAGTTCTTAACAGAGGGCATACTTTTGGATATTTTAGAACATTTTCCCAAAAAACAGTAGTCAGCAAATTAATCATAATGAAAACTTGAAAAAATACAAAAATCAATGAAACTACAAATATTATATATGAAAATTTGTGGGGCAGGGTGACTTCAAAAATAAATACAAAGCTTAAATGTTTCTATTAGAAAGGGTAAGGCTGAAAAAGTATTCATTAAATATCTGTCTTACGAATTATTTTACATGACACCCCAAACTAATCCTAGTGTATTAATGCCAGTTTCCATTTTATGATCTCAAGTTCCTCATCCTGGTTAGACTTAGCCTATACTCAAACTATTTCCTGCTGATCTGAGATTTTCATCAATGAATTCTGTCACACCCCTTCACAAGACTTCATAGCCCAACCTTCACCCAGCTGTACAGTCTCAGCCTTTTACTTTACACAATCAGATATATTAATTGTTTGTAAAATAAATCTATCATTTTCTTCCCAAAACTTGCATCTATATCACCCTGTCTTGGACCTTAATAATCTAGTAGCATCCCTGTCAGCACTATAGAAACAAATCATCTTCCAGGGAACATAAGTCCATACACAGATAAAGAAATGTACCACCTAAATTTGCATGTGTTCATTTTACTGAAGATATCTTAATCTTGAGGCTTTTAGTTCAGACATTTTATTTGTGGCGATAAAAAAAAGGACATCTTTCTTGTCAACAAGAAAAATGAGAATGCTGCCTGAGATTACCACACACACATATACCTTATATAAGTTAGAACCTGAACTGTCACCTTTTCACATTTTTGTCAACCATGTCACCTTTGTGCTAGCAAGTTAATAAACCTTTTTCACTATGCTGTAGCTGTGGACGACAAGCTAGAGAGTTTGTTTTGTTTTGTTTTGTATTTTACAATTCTCTGAGGAAATAAAGCTGGTACACTAAGTAGCTCCATAAAGCCCACAGTAACTCTCTCCAAGATGAGTTTGTCTGAGGAAATATAACCACATCCCTTGCTCAAGTTAAATGTTACATTCAGTCTTTTATGGAAATCTAGACACATTATTGGTGAGGACATTTTGTTGTGATGTGCAGCCATGTATGTCAACTATTGTTCCTTTAAGAGGATATGTTACACATAAACAAAAGAAGAGTCACCTTCTATGAGCCCCAGAAATATGTATTCTACATTTAATGATAGCTTATATTTACAGACCAGCTGCAATGGAGGAGGCATCATTTTCAGTATTTTGCGTGTATTAATTTTATTTACTCCTGAAAGTAATTCTATGATATAAGTTCTATCATTATCTGTATCTTACAGGTGAGGAAATTGAGGCACAAAATGGTTAAGTAACATGTCAAATGTAAGTAAAAAGTGAAAGGTCAAGATTTGAGTTCAAACAGGCTTCAGAACCTGTATTTTGAAACTTGTTATTCCAATTTCCATTTAAGTTTCTGAGGGCATCCTAATTGTCAACAGTGAAATATATTAATGGATATATACTTTGCAAATATTTTCTCCCATTCTGTGTATTTTCTTTTTACTCTTTTGGTAGTGTTCTTTGAAGTACAAAATTTTTTAATCTTTTTAAATTTTATTTTTTTAACTGACAATTAATTGTACATATTGTATATTCATAGGGTATATAGTGATGATTCCACACATATAATGTATAGTGATCAGATCAGGGTAATTAGCATATCCATTATCTCAAACATGTATCATTTCTTTGTGTTGGGAACATTCAATATTCTCCTTCTAGCTTTTTGAAACCATATAATGTGTTATTGTAAACTTCATTGACTACAGTCATCCTTGACAAACGATTAATATCCAGAACATATAGAAACTCTTACAACTCAACAGCAGCAAAACAACCCAATTCAAAAATGGACAAAGGATCTGAGCAAATATTTTTCCAAAAGAGATACACAAATACGCACATGATAAGATGTTCAATATCATGAGTCATAATGAAAATGTAAATCAAAACTACAATGAGATAAAGCTTCCTACTTATTAGGAAGGCTATAATACAATAACAACTACAACAAATATATAAAACAATAAGTGTAAACAAAGATATAGAGAAATCGGAGCCCTCCTAAATAGCTGGTGGTAAAGTAAATGATGCAGCCATTGTGGAAAAGTTTGGTGGTTCCTCAAAAAGCTGAACATAGGATTTCCATATGAGCTATCTATTCCACTCCAAGATATATACCCACAGAATGGAAAACAGGGATTCAAGTAATTGTACACCAGTGTTCACAGTAGCATTATTGACAATGCCCAAAAGGTGGAAACAACCCAAGTGTTCAATAAAAGGTGAATGGATAAACAAAATGTACTGTGTGTACACACACAGACACGCAGACACACACAATGAAAGATTGGCCATTAAAAGCCATGAGGGATACATGCTGCAACATAAATGAACCTTGAAAACATGCTAATTAAAATGATCCAGACATCAGTGGACAAATATTATATGATTCCACATATATTGGGTATCTAGAATAGGTATATTCATAGAGACATAAAGTAAAACGGAGGTTACCAGGTGTCACGGGGAGCAGGGAATGGAGAGAACTGTTCAATGGGCCCAGGGTTTCTTTAGTAGTAATGAAAATGTTTTGGAATTAGATAGTGGTGGTGGTGGTGTAAATATACTAAAAACTTTATTGTACAACTTTAAAATAGTAACTTTAATGTTAATCATAGTTTACTATGATTTAATTTGAAAGTTTAATTAAAAAACAAGGAAATGATAAAAAATAGAGATATTAATGAGCTATGTAAGGTATACAAAAGCTTCTGAGATTCATCCAATATTACTACCACCCACCTTGTCCCAATCACTTCCTCCATGACTGTATGTTCATCCTAAGCCACATATTATCTGTCTTTACTGGTATTAGGAATCTAACTGCTCAGAGTTAAGAATCACCATTACGTAAACCACTATATTTTATTGATTTCACTAACTATATTCTGAGTAGCATATGAATAAACGGCCGAGCTTTGAAATGAGACTCTTTAAGTTCAAATCTAGCTCTACATGTTCCAGCATAATTTGGGGCATAATAGCCTCACTAAGCATCAATTTCCTCTTTTGTAAAATAGTGATATTAATAGTACTGACTCCACAGAGTTGTGATGAATAAATTAGATAAGATACAGAAAGAAACTCAATAAATTTTATGTGACTCATTAAATGTCTAACACGTTAAAAAATTAATAGTTCAGGCATGCAATTGCTGAATGATTAGCAAAGATTACACGATGACAAAGATTTCAGAAAATAATTCACATTAAAGTGATTTACTGTTTAAATTTCTTTTAGGATATCTAAACTCTTATATTCATCTTGAGTACATTTATCGTAGGAAGCCAGTATGATTTTCTCATTTGTTAGGTTTCAGACATCATATTTTAGTGTTTCATACATCTTAATATATTCCAGAAAGCCCAAGAGAAATTGTTGAAAGTTCAAAGAAACCAAATGCAATAATAGAGAGTGATTCTTATAAAGTACTAAGGAAAGAAGGATTATTGAATCAGTATCACCCTGACTGTGCCCTATGATTCCAGTGAAGCTTTGATGAAAACATAAAACAATACACCCTACAGAAGTTACAAATGCTCTGGGAAGAGACTAGAATCAGGAAGTATCAGAAATCCTCTGAGGGTATCTGCATTTACACAATTTGCAAAACAAACAGTTTATCTGAGAAATTTCAGTAGCTTAGCCAAACTGATTCAATGCAATTTCCACTGTCCTAATAAACACAAATTAGTCAGGAGCAAATCTGTGATGTGAGAAAATGATAGGCATCTATCTATGTTTCGAAGAAGATTTCTTTTCAAGCAAAGGTATGGCTTAGAGGTGCTCCTGCTAACACACATTTTAGATTAATGTTGAATGGCTAAATGAAGACAAAGCCAAAATCATTATGAATAGAATGAGAAAGTAGTAATATAATACAGATTGAATTTTAAATATAATCTAAATATTTTTAAAAAACAATTTTTAACAAGTTGATTTTTAATTTAATAATGCAGGTAATACAGGAACAATACTTTCTCAGCACCTTCAACAGTTAGATTTCTGCAGTATCTAATGAAGATTGGTGGTACAAAATGGTACTTACGGGTGCTTATTTTCACCTAAGGGCCATGGAAGAGTCAGCTATTTGAAGAATACTTTGTTTTTTTGTAATATTTTCATTTTCTTAAATCTCTAAACTCCCTATATGCTTGATTATTTCTTGATCAACATTGACTTATCCTATTAATTGTACTCGATTTTGAAATTTTCCTTTCTTTTTTTTTTATTATTATTATACTTTAAGTTTTAGGGTACATGTGCACAATGTGCTGGTTAGTTACATATGTATACATGTGCCATGCTGGTGTGCTGAACCCATTAACTCGTCATTTAGCATTATGTATATCTCCTAATGCTATCCCTCCCCCCTCCCTCCACCCCACAACAGTCCCCAGAGTGTGATGTTCCCCTTCCTGTGTCCATGTGTTCTCATTATCCCACCTATGAGTGAGAACATGCAGTGTTTGGTTTTTTGTCCTTGCAATAGTTTACTGAGAATGATGATTTTCAATTTCATCCATGTCCCCACAAAGGACATGAACTCATCCTTTTTTATGGCTGCATAGTATTCCATGGTGTATATGTGCCACATTTTCTTAATCCAGTCTATCATTGTTGGACATTTGGGTTGGTTCCAAGTCTTTGCTATTGTGAATAGTGCCACAATAAACATACGTGTGCATGGGTCTTTATAGGAGCATGATTTATAGTCCTTTTGGTATATATCCAGTAATGGGATGGCTGGGTCAAATGGTATTTCTAGTTCTAGATCCCTGAAGAATCACCACACTGACTTCCACAGTGGTTGAACTAGTTTACAGTCCCACCAACAGTGTAAAAGTATTCCTATTTCTCCAAATCCTCTCCAGAACCTGTTGTTTCCTGACTTTTTAATGATTGCCATTCTAACTGGTGTGAGATGGTATCTCATTGTGGTTTTGATTTGCATTTCTCTGATGGCCAGTGATGATGAGCATTTTTTCATGTGTTTTTTGGCTGCATAAATGTCTTCTTTTGAGAAGTGTCTGTTCATATCCTTTGCCCACTTTTTGATGGAGTTGTTTTTTTTTTCCTTGTAAATTTGTTTGAGTTCATTGTAGATTCTGGATATTAGCCCTTTGTCAGATGAGTAGGTTGTGAAAATTTTCTACCGTTTTGTGGGTTGCCTGTTCACTCTGATGGTAGTTTCTTTTGCTGTGCAGAAGATCTTTAGTTTAATTAGATCCCATTTGTCAATTTTGGCTTTTGTTTCTATTGCTTCTGGTGTTTTAGACATAAAGTCCTTGCCCATGCCTATGTCCTGAATGGTAATGCCTAGGTTTTCTTCTAGGGTTTTTATGGTTTTAGGTCTAACGTTTAAGTCTTTAATCCATCTGGAATTAATTTTTGTATAAGGTGTAAGGAAGGGATCCAGTTTCAGCTTTCTACATAGGGTTAGCCACTTTTGCCAGCACCATTTATTAAATAGGGAATCCTTTCCCCATTGCTTGTTTTTCTCAGGTTTGTCAAAGATCAGATAGTTGTAGATATGAGGCGTTATTTCTGAGGGCTCTGTTCTGTTCCATTGATCTATATCTCTGTTTTGGTACCAGTACCATGCTGTTTTGGTTACTGTAGCCTTGTAGTATAGTTTGAAGTCAGGTAGTGTGATGCCTCCAGCTTTGTTGTTTTGGCTTAGGACTGACTTGGCGATGCGGGCTCTTTTTTGGTTCCATATGAACTTTAAAGTAGTTTTTTCCAATTCTGTGAAGAAAGTCATTGGTAGCTTGATGGGGATGGCATTGAATCTATAAATTACCTTGGGCAGTATGGCCATTTTCACGATATTGATTCTTCCTACCCATGAGCATGGAATGTTCTTCCATTTGTTTGTATCCTCTTTTATTTCACTGAGCAGTGGTTTGTAGTTCTCCTTGAAGAGGTCCTTCACATCCCTTGTAAGTTGGATTCCTAAGTATTTTATTCTCTTTTAAGCAATTGTGAATGGGTGTTCACTCATGATTTGGCTCTCTGTTTGTCTGTTATTGGTGTGTAAGAATGCTTGTGATTTTTGTACACTGATTTTGTATCCTGAGACTTTGCTGAAGTTGCTTATCAGCTTAAGGAGATTTTCCCAATGAGAACAAAGACACAACATACCAGAATCTCTGGGACGCATTCAAAGCAGTGTGTAGAGGGAAATTTATAGCACTAAATGCCCACAAGAGAAAGCAGGAAATATCCAAAATTGACACCCTAACATCACAATTAAAAGAACTAGAAAAGCAAGAGCAAACACATTCAAAAGCTAGCAGAAGGCAAGAAATAACTAAAATCAGAGCAGAACTGAAGGAAATAGAGACAAAAAAAAAACCCTTCAAAAAATTAATGAATCCAGGAGCTGATTTTTGGCAAGGATCAACAAAATTGATAGACCGCTAGCAAGACTAATCAAGAAAAAAAGAGAGAAGAATCAAATAGACGCAATAAAAAATGATAAAGGGGATATCACCACCGATCCCACAGAAATACAAACTACCATCAGAGAATACTACAAACACCTCTACGCAAATAAACTAGAAAATCTAGAAGAAATGGATAAATTCCTCGACACATACACTCTCCCAAGACTAAACCAGGAAGAAGTTGAATCTCTGAATAGACCAATAACAGGATCTGAAATTGTGGCAATAATCAATAGCTTACAAACCAAAAAGAGTCCAGGACCAGATGGATTCACAGCCGAATTCTATCAGAGGTACAAGGAGGAATTGGTACCATTCCTTCTGAAACTATTCCAATCAATAGAAAAAGAGGGAATCCTCCCTAACTCATTTTATGAGGCCAGCATCATCCTGATACCAAAGCCGGGCAGAGACACAAACAAAAAAGAGAATTTTCGACCAATATCCTTGATGAACATTGATGCAAAAATCCTCAATAAAATACTAGCAAACTGAATCCAGCAGCACATCAAAAAGCTTATCCACCATTATCAAATGGGCTTCATCCCTGAAATTTTCCTTTCTTATAAATTTTTGAGAAGTGAAAGTTTTCTTCTTTTATAATGTGAAGTATATCTAGATAGGACTTTTTCTTTGATGTTTCAGGCCTGAGTGGAATAATAGCTAAACTTTAATTCTTAAATTGTAAAGTTATTCTGGTTAATGTTATAAATATTAGCACAAAGATTAGAATATGGATAATAAGATAATCTCCATCATTGCAGCTTAAATTATTACTCATGGATATGTAAGGTTATATGGGTATAAGGCTCAAAAAGGATTTAAAGTCCTCACAGTATTTTAGCACTGTGCTACATAATATTCATATTAATTGTCCAACAATGTTTTGCAAAACATTGTTTTACAATGTCCTATTTATTTAACATTTTTAAATAATTATTATTTATTTAAATTAAAATATCCTATTTTAATTATTGATTATGAAAGCAGATGATTTATGTATATTATTTAAGATAAATATGCCCAATAATATTTATACATAAATTATCCACTTTCATAATCATCAATAAATGTGGAAATAATAAATACACATTTATATATACCCAACTAACAGAATTTCGGCATGTAAAGCACTTGAGGAGATTTTCATTTTAAGTTACAGCTGGAAATCTTATTTATAATTGAAAGAATTACAAGATATTAACCTATAAGATTTGAGCAAAATGCAGATGGCGTATTTCAATGACTACTTTTTAATGCTGTTTAAACATGATCTAACATAATTATATGACTATTGTTCACAAACAGGTTCAGAGGTACCAAAAATTAAAGCAGAACATGCATTTGGTCTTCAGCTTTCCAAATGCTGAATCTGAGACCAAAGCACCAGAGCATCTATTTGATAAGCCCTAAATCCAAAGCCAAACTTCTGTGTAAATGTAGCCGGCAGATAAAATACTGGTATTCGTAAATATCTGAACTAGTATTTTATTAAGTATATTTTAGCTTCCTTTTTCTCTTTCTCCCCCCCCCCTTCTTTTTAATCCTCTCTTTCCCTCCTTTCCTAAGCAATTCCATTCTACAGCTATCACGTGGTATACAAAAAGCAGGTGTCTGTAGTGGTGATTGGGGAGAAATAGCTGCAGCATCTATACTCAGGTGGTCAGAGTCCAGTCAAGATGAGTAGGACATCCTTCTGGAGAATGATCTAGCAGGGAGTCAGAGTCCAAGAGACCAAAGAGAATGTCCTACTAAAAGAACAGCCTGCATGGGCCTCAGATAAAGACATCCATGCAGGGGAAGACTTAGCATGACGAGTTACAGTCTAAGAGGGTGAGGAGGATATCTGTCAAAGGAGTGCACTTGTGAAGGGTATCAGAGCCCAGACAGGGTGAAGATGGCATCAGTATCAGCAGCAGAAGAGGATATTTTATGGGGAGTCAGAGCCCAAGACAGGCAAGAATAGCACCCACATGGCACCTGAGGGTAGCCAAGAAAGCTAAAGCTCATGAAGGTAAAAAGGGCCTCCCGCGAGCTCCACAACTTCACAATTTCAAGGTTCTAATACAAATTGGAATGTTTATTTGAACACCACTTAAAGCATGTCCCTTTGCAAGACTTCATAAGTAAACTTCTTTTTCTATTAAAAAAAAGATAGATGATGGATAAAGGGTTGGATAGATGGATGAACTGATGGATGCAGACAAATAGATGACTGAGAGATACAGAGGACAGATGAATAAATATAGATGATTGATATGTATAAATGACTGATACAGATATAGATTATAGATTTGGAGAGATGGTTAGATGTAAATCACAGATCAAGTAAACCTGTTTCATTAAAAAATATGCAGACACTCTGATACACTACAATGTGCTCTGCCATAAGGCATGCTCAGTTATTCCATAGGAATGAACAACCAGGTCACTCCTGGTTCCATCAATTAATGTTTACATAATAGATCTGTTTCCATCATTTTAGGAAATGCGTCTCTCTTTTCTTTTATATTGTTTATGCTACAAACTTCCACAAATGTTTTCTTCAAAAAAAAAAAACAAAAAACCTACAGAATGGATGATTCAAGGAGGAAACAAGAGACCAAAGTCTACCATTCTAATTTGTGTTCATTGTGTGATTCTAGAGAACAACCTTAGCCTCCCTTTAAGTTTTCTCATGTGTACAATTGATTTACATGGTATTTTTCTTCTTTCCTAGTATGTGTGGAAGTGCTAAGGAGTCACGATTTCCTTGGAGAATATGGTTTGGCTCTATGTTCCCACCCAAATCTCATATTGAATTGTAATTCCCAATGTTGGGGGAGGGACCTGTTGGGAGATTATTGGATCATGGGGGTGGATTTACCCACTGTTGTTCTTGTGATAGTGAGTGAGTTCTCGTGAGATCTGGTTGTTTAAAAGTGACTAGCACATCACTCCTTCACTCTCTCTCTCTCCTACCACCATCTGAAGATGTGCTTGCTTCCCCTTCACCCTTCTGCCATGATTGTAAGTTTCCTGAGGTCTCCCAACCATGCTTACTGTACAGCCTGTGGAACTGTGAGTCAATTAAACCTCTTTTCTTTATAATTTACCCAGTCTCAGGTAGTTCTTTATAGCAATGTGAGAACAAACTAATACAGAGAGATCTTGGCACTGGATGTATATACTTCCTATGCACAATAATACATAACTTGGGGAAGGATTTTTGCCACTGTGGAGACTATCAACTCTGGAATGATGAGGCAGTTAAACTAAAATCCAGAGACCAGCCAATTCCCAATGTCACTGGTGAATATTCATAGCTTCCATAACTTTGTTAAATAAGCAGAAAAATAAAATTTGATGAACAGAAATGTTGATAAGTTGTCTATGGTTATACCACCCTGAACACAGCTAATCTTGGAAGCTAAGCAGGGTGAAGCCTGGTTAGTAGTTGGATGGGAGAAATGGTAACAAGTTATGATTCACACCACTCTCTGATTTTTTCTTAAATCACCTTTCTAATGTCAAATACAATTCATATGGATTACACAAATTGCATGGGATTTTTATCTAAAGCAATTGTGTAACAATTGATTTTTTGCTGCATTAATGGCTTTTCTATATTAATGTTATAGCTTCTTCCAATTTAAGTTTGAAGTTAGGCAACTATAAATAAGGGTTTAAAATGTTCAGGTCATTAGAATAGAAATGTCCTGGAATGGCAATTACACCATGCCAAGTACTCACTGTAGGAGTTGCCCTGTGGTAATTAGCGGGCAAGACACAGCCCATATATACAATGCTTTTTCAAGCTGACAAAGTCTTCAATAAAAATTAAGGCTAGGTATGGTGGCTCAGGCCTGTAATCCTAGCACTTTGGGAGGTCTAGGCGGGAAATTCACTTGAGCCCCTGAGTTCAAGAACAGCCTGGGCAATGTGGTGAAACCTCATCTCTACAAAAACTAAAAAATTTAGCCAGGCACATTGGTGCACACCTGTAGTCTCAGCTACTTGGGAGGCTGAGGCAGGAGGATCCCTTGAGCCTGGGAGTTTGAGGCTGTGGTTAGCCATGGTTGTGCCACTGCACTCCATCCTGGAAGGCAGAATTAGACATTGTCTCAAAAAAATATATATTGAACTAGACTTCTGACAGAGGAGGCATAAACTCTTCAGCTCAGTCAAACCCTCACCCCTACCTGTTATTTTCCCAGATCTAATTCATACATTTATATACTGACCTGACTCTGATAGTGGTCACAGTTTGCTCTGATAGATATCACAGTTAGATATCTGATAGATATCACAGTTTGCTCATGATTTAAAACAACTGCCAGAGTGACAAAACTTAGTAAAATATAAGAAATTAGGAATGCTGCTAAAATGACTTGAGTAATTTGAAACTATAGTAGCTCACCCTCATCTGTGGGGAATATGTTCCAAGACCCTCTGGGGATGCCTAAAACCACAGATTGTACTGAACCCTATGTATACTATTTTTTGGTTTTTTGTTTGTTTGTTTGTTTGTTTGTTTGTTTTGAGACAGAGTCTCGCTCTGTCCCCCAGGCTGGAGTGAAGTGGCCCTATCTCAGCTCACTGCAGCCTCCACTTCCTGGGCTCAAGTGATTCTCCTGCCTCAGCCTCCCGAGTAGCTGGGATTACAGCCAACCACCACCACGCCCAGCTAATTTTTGTATTTTTAGTAGAGACGGGGTTTTGCCATGTTGGACAGGCTGGTCTCAAACTCCTGACCTCATGATACACCCACCTCGGCCTCCCAAAGTGTTGGGATTATGGGCGTGAGCCCAGCCTATATACAACATGTTTTTTTCTTTTTTTTTTTTTAACTTTTATTTTAAGCTCAAGGGTACAAACGCAGGTTTGTTACATAGGTAAACTTGTGTTATCGGGGTTTATTTTGCAGATTATTTCATCACACATGTATTAAGCCTAGTACCCACTAGTTATTCTTCCTGATCCTCTTCTTCCTCCCACCCTCCACCCTCGGAAAAGCCCCAGTGTGTGTTGTTCCCCTCTATGTGCCCATGTGTTCTCAACATTTAGCTCCCCCTTATAATTGAGAACATGTGGTATTTGGTTTTCTGTTCCTGTGTTAATTTGCTAAGGATAATGGCCTCCAATCCCATCCATGTCCCAGCAAAGGACATAATCTCATTCTCTTTTATGACTGCATAGTATTCCATGATGGATACATACCACATATTCTTTATCCAGTCTATCACTAATGGGCATTTAGGTTGACTGAATGTCTTTGCTATAGTGAATAGTGCTGCAATGAACATAAGTGTGCATGTATCTTTACAATAGAATGATTTATATTCCTTTGGGTATGTGCCCAGTAATGGGATTGCTGGGTTAAATGGTATTTCTGTCTTTAGGTCTTTGCAGAATCTCCACACTGTCTTCCACAATGGCTGAGCTAGTTTACACTCCCACCATAGCGTTACATACACTATGTTTTTTCCTTATTAAGTCAAGAATTTCACCTTTCACTTAAAAAAGAACTTCAGGGCTTCTCTTTGGCATCACTACTCTTGCTTTTTGGGGCCATTATTAAGTAAAATAAGTGTTACTTGAACACAACCAATGTGATACTGCCACAGTTGATCCCGTAACAGACAGCTACTAGGTGACTACGGGACGGGAAGTGTATACAGCGTGGATATGCTGGACAAAAGGATGATTAATGTCCCAGGTGGGACAGAGCTGGATGCCATGAGATTCTATCATGCTATTCACAATGGCATGCAATTTCAAATGTATGAATTGCTTAATTCTGGAATTTTTCATTTAACATTTTTGAACCATGGTTAACCGTGGGTAATTGAAACCACGGAAAGTGAAACCATGGATAAAAGGTAACTACTGTATGTTTTCAAGCATATCCCTAAGAAGTTGACAGTTATATTCACTAATTACTGAATCATAAAAGAACTAGTGCATGAGAAAATAATATGGTTATGTGTTACTCTTGCCAGACATCTATACTCACTCTATATGAAAGTATCTATATTTTTAGCCAATAGGATTGTTATAAAAGCAAAAGGTTAATTTAGCTGCCTCCAAGTCAAAGTCAGTGGCAGATGCTAACTGCCTCATTTTCAATGATATCTGCTAAAAGAAATAGAGCTGACACTGCATAATTTGATTCATAGAGCCTTAATTACAGGATATAAAATGTTCTGTAAATGAGCTATTATGCATTTTCCATTTTGTTAGTTATTTCAGTGAATAAAAACTTCAAAACAGCAAATTTTTAGTTAACACACAAGTTAGATTTGCTGGGAAACAGTATTATCTAAAGAGTAATGCACTGATTTGTGAGCCCCAAATTCTGAATCCTTTTAGTTCTATGGACTTTCTACATGATCTCAGGCAAGCCTCCTCTCAGCACATGAGTCTTTGCAGCTTATAAAATGAAGACTAATACCCACTTCAGAGTAATCCACTGACCATGGAGATTTAAAAATCTGATTCATAAAGGACAATAAGCTTTTTGGAAGCAAATAAAAGGCAAAACAAATACAAGTTTTATTGTTATTGCTATAAATTCTGTTATTATATTGGTTGATACTTTTCTCAATGACAGATTTAAGCAAGAGATTCTTATTTGGAAAAAACTGTATCCATGTTAAAATTCCATTTTCTTGCTAAGTTAACCATCAAAAAGACCCATTTTTTTCTGCAATTGTACATTCTTTGAGTTCTGTTGAATTACTGATAAAGAAAAATTCTCTTTTTTTATCTCTTTTTTTTCCTCACGCTTGGGAATATCTTATTATAAATGCCATTGCATATACTACCCTTCAAAGTAAAAAGAAAAAAAAGAAAGAAAGAAAAAAACCTCCCAAACCAAACTAGGGCATAATTTAAATGAGATTACTTAGGCTATAAATACCATCAAAATATGTTTTTGTTTTCATTTGCTACATGAAATTGCACAGTATATAACTCAATACATTCTGCTTCTAAATTACTGCAAATGGAAGGTAGTGGTTTTTTTACAGAAAAAGTAAACAAAAGCTTTAAAACCTAGCTTATCCAGACAAATAACCTGAGTGGAGAGGAAGGTGGCTGTGTTATAATGTTGGAATGTGGTATGCATGAAGCTTTCCTTATACCAAATACCCTATATCAGCTCATTATCAAGATTGATCATAAATGCAGTATTATGTGTTGCTTAATGACTGGAATACATTCTGAGAAATGTGTCCTTAGGTGATTCTGTTATTGTGTGAACATCACAGATTATA
Source organism: Homo sapiens (assembly GCF_000001405.40). Taxonomy (NCBI): domain Eukaryota; kingdom Metazoa; phylum Chordata; class Mammalia; order Primates; family Hominidae; genus Homo; species Homo sapiens. Next base: position 140,154,806 of record NC_000006.12, on the reverse strand, counting down.
CCAATGTAGATGGTGTGGCCTACTACACACCTAAGCTATAAGGTATAGCCTATTGCTCCTAGGCTACAAATCTGCACAGCATGTTACTGTGATAAATACTGTAGGCAATTATAATACATGGTAAGTATTTGTGTATCTAAACATAGATAAGGTCGAGTAAAATATGATATTATAATCTTATGGGACTACTGTCCTCTGTGCGGCCTGTCATTGACTGAAACATCATTATGTGGTGCATGATTATGGTCGCAGCTGCTGAGGCTCTGAAGTTTACTATATTTTTAGACCTGGTTTTCTGTCTTTTTTCTTTTTATTGGCTTATCACAATGAAAGATCATTAAAATTTCATGTCATAAAAATTCCTCCACAGTATTGGTACAGAATTAACATTTAAAAGTCTAAGGCATATATTACATTATAAAATGAGTAAAATGGTGGTATATCATAATTCACCCCCACAAATGTCTACCTTTGACATTCAGGAAAAGAGCAAATTAATTTTATTGTTGGAGAGTCCTGGATATTTCATGCTATCATTTGATGTGTACATGTAAATAAATTCTTAGGAGGAAATGAGGAAGGGCAAATAATATAGTAGTGATAGACAATAATAATCATTTCAGCAAGTGGATCAAGCTGAGTACATATTTAAGTCATTCAGTTCTTCCCTTTGTCTCCTCACTGTTTTTCCTTTCATCTGTACTTATAGACTAACAAGAGCCCTCAAAAATCATCTCATCAAATCTACAATGAGATAATATAATCAGTATAATTCCAAGAGTCAGCATCCAATAATAAAATCTGCCAGTAAGTACATTCATTGTTTCAGCAGCTTGACTCATGGAATGGTTTTCCACATGTGACCTCTGAGAACTCTCATTGTAACATTGTAATTTAAGGACACCAGCTCACTTCTCCTTTCATGGTCATACTTACTCTTATCTCTGTTATGGGCTTAACCGTGCTCCTCCCACCAAAAAAAAAAAAATCATGTTGAAGTTCTAAATCCTAGTACCTCAAAATGTAATCACAGTTGGTGGTTAGCACTTTAAAGAGGTAACTAAATTAAAATGAAGTCTTAGGGTAGGCCCTAATCCAATATGACTGTGTCTTTATAAGAGGAGACTGAGACACACACACACATACACACACACACACAGAAAGGCCAAAAACTTGCATGCTCAAAGAGACAACCATGTCAACACACAGCAAGAAGATCGCCATCTATAAGCCAAACACAAACAGAGGCTTCAGAAAAAAATCTCCTTGATCTCAGACTTCCAGACTCCAGAGCTGTGACAAAATAAATTTCTGTTGTTTTATCCATGCAGTCTGTGGTATTTTGTTATGACATCCCTAGCAAACGAATACAATATCTTACAGCCAATTCTGTGTGTATATGTGGGTGCTTGTCCCACCGGGAATATTATTGGTATAATGGGGTGTCTATTAAAGCAGAGAGTCAATGAGATTAAGCAATTCTTTGAAAGGTGTCCACAAAATTATATTACCTGATGTCTAAGAGTAAAGGACCACAAGTCAACTTGAAATGAACCTCCTATGAAAGACTCTATTAGCCAAATTATGATAAGAAGAAATCTATTATTCAAAGGGAAAACACTTTTGTTTTCTTTTAGTACTTTGGCAAAATATGACCCTCCCCTTAGCATGTATAGTTGGTCACTAGTGAGTAGGTAAATAGGTGTCTAGGACTTCTGGGTAGGAAGAGACCAACATCCTAATTCTCACACAGGTCTATGGCACTTTGACTTTGGACTTTCCAGCCTCTAGAACCATGAGGAAAAAAATTGTTATTTAAGCCACCCAGTCTATAGTACTTTTTTTTTTTTTTGAGATGGAGTTTCGTTCTTGTTGCCCAGGCTGGAGTGCAACGGCGTGATCTCCACTCACCACAACCTCTGCCTCCTGGGGTCAAGTGATTCTCCTGCCTTAGCCTCCCAAGTAGCTGGGATCACAGGCATGCTCCACCACACCTGGCTAATTTTGTATTTTTAGTAGAGATGAGGTTTCTCCATTTTTAATAGCAATCCAAACTGCCCATGACAGGGCCCAAGAATGCAAACAAATGCTGCTCAAAATGTTCCCTAACTAGAAATGAGATCTAATTTCTAAACTCATAATTATATCCATTTATTCACATATTGCTGTCTTTCTTGCTCTCTATTCTTCTGTTTTTTGTCTGAAATGTTATTTATGAGAAATTTTTTAAAATATATTAATATTCAATAAAACTACTATGCATTATCATCCGTTTTCAGCAAAAAAAGTCAATTTCAATAAAATTTAGAGAAACAAAACTTTATATATTCTTGGTGTTTTTGGCCACTTCATGGTAAAGTTCACTTTCACTTTATCCCTTAGATGTCTAACTTAAGTCCCACAACACTTCTGCATATCTGTGCAAGACTTGGTGTGTGTTTCTGTATGTCAGTTTGGTTTTCAGCAGAGAAAATTAACGTTCATTCATCATCCTTTGTCTAGCAAGTTACTTGGAATTACTCTTAAACTTGGTCATCTGTTTAAAAATTCTTCACTATTTTTCTCATAGTTTGTTTTCCCATCTGTCACTTCGGTGAGCATCTAATAAGTAATTTCTAAGTATAGATTCTGTTAGTTTTGAGATTCCACCAATGAATATAGTGTGTTATCACCCAATTAGATAATCTCTTAATGCTTATATTTAATTTCCAAAGTTAAAAAACCAAGTTACCTATCATTAATATAATTCATAATAGATGCCTAGTGAATTTTGGTTTATTTTTAGTGTTTATATTTTGATTACATAATATCATGCTTAAATGTAAGGCATTCTTTACAGAAGATTCTTTTTGATGGTTAGGTTGTGATGACACTTGACCATACTTTATCATTACCCATCTTTAATTTGAGAATGTCTCCTGCCCTTGTAATGTTCCCATTTAAGTTTCCATATGCAGCCTTATTCTTTTTGATATTTGTAGAATATTTCTGAATTATGTTAGCTTTTCTCTTAATAACTATCACCCCTTCTACTTTGTTTCAAAACATATTAATTATTTTCATATAGGTTGTTAATGTTAAAATATTGTAGTTCCAGAATAGAATTTAGGCAAAAGAGATCCATGTCCACTCTGGATGTGATCATCTAATCTAATAAACATCTCCCTCACTGACATTTTGTAGTCACTGTGTTTAGGTTTAATTTTGTAGGAGCACAACTCTTTGTGCTACTGCATTTAACAAAGAAACCCAGTATATAAGGCATTAATAAAAGAGCTGTTCTCATTAACAGCTGTTCCTGCACACTTGACACTTTTGATAATAATAAGATGGCAAGAAAAATTCAAACGATCTTCAGAGCATGATTTCAAAATCTTTGCTCTTGAGGCTGCCCTAAATCCTGATATGGAATCATGCTGTACCTGTTTCATGCAGAGCCACTGAAAAATCAAGTGGTTATAACCCCAAATTACCCAAAGCAAAAAAAGAGATGAAATTCTCAATGCTGAAACAAGTAGGATCCTCACATAAAACAAAATAAAATGAAATTTTGAAAAATTATCGCTCTATATTTTATTATCCTACATATGATATTATGCTGGTTAATTGATAAGCATCTTTCAAGAATATATCAAAAGCTTTATTAAAGTCATTGTAGATTAAATTTATCTAGTGATTAATGATATTCAACCAGACTTGATCTTTGCAAAAGCATACTGATTATCATAATTTTTAAAAATTTAAAAATAGTCTTAATAGTGTCAATTTCTCACTAGAAATAGGATCTTTCAATACGTAAGATCTAACTCTGTTTCTTCACCCTTTTCACAATTCTCAGGATGGTATAAAAGGTGGTGAATATGTTGTAATTTTAATATAAAAAATGTATATGATTTTAGGCTGGATTAAGCAAATGAGGAATTTAGTGTCACCTTACTTAGAGCTTCTTAATCTTTGGACACTGCCCCTTTTCACCAGTTTCATTATTCATTAAATATGTTGCCCTGCCAAGGGCATTCTAAGAAACATGAACTCTAGCAATAACAAAGTACATATTTGTTAGGTCCACCACCCCAAACTGAAAAATTTAAATAAAGAAAGCTCAGAGAAGACATTTTTAAAAATTAACTTTATATCAGCTCTCCAGGATTTAGAGCTCTTTCTTAGACAAATTCTTAGGAATTCTCATTGGAATTTCATTTAATAGATCTATCCACTCAGGGCAAAATTAATTTTTTTAGGTTAAAATTCAAACCATTTTATATATTTAAAATCACATTTTTAAGTAATTGATACATTGGCAAATTCTTTTAAATGATAATTCAGATATTTATATATGGAGTTTATCTTTGGAATTTATGCATAAAGATAGTGAAGTCAAGCCTGGTAAAATATTCTCCCTATACAAATACAAAATAGCTACAAAAAAAGTACCACTAAAAATAATATACCTAATTTGCCAAAAACTCAAAACAAGGAAACATAAAACGATACTAAAAGTTTTGCATGACATGGCTCTGAATTTTCTTTGCCCCAAAATCATAATGCTGAATCTAAATGATCGTCAGAATTCTTGTAATACATACAAATTACCCTACCTGACTAGCAGGAAGTAAACATGGCTTTTAAGCAACCAACTCCTGGGGACAAGTTTCTCTGACTTAAGTACAAGCTACAAAGTATCAAACTGAATTAAAGAAATGCTTCTAAGGCATACCCCACATCGTGAAACACTACATCACTGCCTACTCCAAGCCCTAGCTCCAGTACGGGAAGTGAACCATGACAGGAAATTTAACATCTACAGGAAAAGTAGAAACACAATTCTTCTAAGGTTTTATATAACTCCAACTAAGGTCATCTCTTCCTTGCCATTAACTTCCTGAACGCCTGTAATCCCAGCACTTTGGGAGGCCGAGGCGGGCGGATCACGAGGTCAGGAGATCGAGACCATCCCGGCTAAAACGGTGAAACCCTGTCTCTACTAAAAATACAAAAAACTAGCCGGGCGTAGTGGCGGGCGCCTGTAGTCCCAGCTACTTGGGAGGCTGAGGCAGGAGAATGGCGTGAATCCGGGAGGCGGAGCTTGCAGTGAGCCGAGATCGCGCCACTGCACTCCAGCCTGGGCGACAGAGCGAGACTCCGTCTCAAAAACAAAAAAAAAAAAAAAAAAAAAACTTCCTGAAACAGAAGATATACTTAAATCCTCACACCCTAAGGAGAAGATAGATCTCAAGAAAGAGGGGATGGACTCAAGATAATTTACTCCCCACAATATTAGAAAAATGCAGCTGCCAGTACTAAACATTCTCGCAGAAAAAGAGAGAAAAAACAATTAGAGGAAAATGCATCACGTAAAGCAAAGAAAAAAAAAACTGAAACATCAACAACAAACAAAACCAAAGAATAGAAAAGAATCTCTGAAAATTACAACTAAGACTAGGAAAAAACTTACTCTGACCATATATTTGATTTTTTTAAACAGTGAAAGAGTTTTTAAAAAAAAAAAAAAGCCCTACACTTTGAGATAAAGAAACAAACTGAAGACAAATCAAAACTATGCCAGAGATAGGAAATACGAAAATTGCAAGGAGCAGAATATAGGTTACTAAAGATAATAAATTAACTGACATACATAAAATTAAATATGCAAGTAAATTCAGAGGGGGGAAAGGCACACATCACAGACAGCCATATATTTGAGTAGACTCTCGTATTTCCACACAATGTTTCTTATGCTAAATGTTACTTGCATGGTGAGATTTTATAAATATTTATTTAGGTATAATTGACATAAAATAAAAACACATTTTGAAGGGACACTTTAATGTTCTGACCTATGAATATATGCATTAAACCATCAGCACAATTATTAATAAAATAGGAATCATGGCTGCACTTCTGTTGCTCTCAGCCTCATGAGGGAGGGCTGTGATTAGGGACTAACGCAGACCCTTAGCACGGTGTAGCTGCCTCATGGAAAAGTGGCAGACTGTTTTCCATGCAGGTTCCCGCCCCTCCTACTCCTTGCCGGGCAGGGCCTCGCCACCTGGCACCCCAGCCACCCCCTTACCTCACCCCCAACCCAGGATCACCGGCTGCAGCTCTGTACTTGCCTAGAACTGAGAGGTGACATCGTGGTGGCAGCCCTCGCAGCCCTCGCTCACTCTTGGCGCCTCCTCGGCCTCGGCGCCCACTCTGGCCGCACTTGAGAAGCCCCTCAGCCCGCCGCTGCACTGTGGGAGCCCCTTCCTGGGATGGCCGAGGCCGGAGCCGGCTCCCTCAGCCTGCGGGGAGGTGTGGAGGGAGAGGCGCGGGCGGGAACCGGGGCTGCACACTGCGCTTGCGCGCCAGCGCGAGTTCCGGGTGGGCGTGGTCTCGACGGCCCCTCACTCGGAGCAGCTGGCCCGCCCGCAAGCCCCGGGCAGTGAGGGGCTCAGCACCTGGGCCAGCAGCTGCGGAGGGTGCGCCGGGTCCCCCAGCAGTGCTGGCCCACTGGCGCTGCGCTCGATTTCTCGCCGGGCCTTAGCTGCCTCCCCCGGGGGCAGAGCTCCGGATATGCAGCCTGCCATGCCTGAGTCTCCCCACCCCGGCCGTGGGCTCCTGCGCCGCCTGAGTCTTCCCGAGGAGCGCCGCGCCCTGCTCCGCGGCACCCGGTCCCATCCACCGCCCAATGGCTGAGGAGTGCCGGCGCACGGCGCGCGACTGGCAGGTCAGTTCCACCTGTGGTCCGGTGCGAGATCCACTGGGTGAAGCCAGCTGGGCTCCTGAGTCTAGTGGGGACTTGGAGAATCTTTATGTCTAGCTAAGGGATTGTGAATGCACCAATCGGCACTCTGTATCTAGCTCAAGGTGTGTAAATGCACCAACCAGCACTCTGTGTCTAGCTCAAGGTTTGTAAATGCACTAATCAGCGCTCTGTGTCTAGCTAATCTGGTGGGGACTTGGAGAATCTTTATGTCTAGCCAAGGGATTGTGAATGCACCAGTCGGCATTCTGTATTTAGCTCAAGGTTTGTAAATGCACCAATCAGCACTCCTAATCTTTGCTTTGTCTTTTCATTCTCTGAACATGTTATATCAGCTGTGAATTTGAGATTGTGTTAAGTGCTTTTGCTGTATCTACTGTAGTGATCATATGTTTTTCTTTAGTTTGTTGACATATTGATTATATTGACTGATTTTTGAATATAAAACTACCCTCGAATTCCTGAGATAAACTCCATATTGTTATGCTGTCATATTTTTACATAATACTATGTTTAATTGTTAAGTTTTCATTAAGAATTGCTTACACTTATATTCATGAAAGCTATTAGTCTGTAGTTATTTTTTTCTTGTGGTGTCTTTGGGTTTGGGAATTGAGGTAATGCTGGCTTCAGAAAATGTGTTGACTAAGTATTAACTTCTTTTAAATTTTCTGGAAACATTTGTTTAGGTATTATTTCTTCTTTAAACGTCTAGAAGAATTCACCAATGAAGTGATGGGAGCCTGGAGTTTGTGGAAAAGTTTGCAATTATAAATACAATGAATGGATATAGTACTCTTCAGAATATTTTTTAACATAGAGAAGACTTTATTTATTGTACGAGTATTGAGAGTTTGTGTCTTTCAAGAAATTTGTCCATTTCATCTAAGTTGTTGAATTTATGGCCATAAAGTTATTAAGAATATTCTTTTATTATCCTTTTAATAGCTTGTAGAATTTGTATTGATGCCACCTCTCTCAATCCTGGTATGGATAATTTGTGTCTTCCTTCTTCATATCCTGTTTAGCCTGGCTAGATAGAGGTTTATCCATTTTATTGATTATTTCACAGAATTGCTGTTACATTGATTTCATTATTGTTTTTACTGTTTTCTATTTCATTGATTTCTGCCTTTATTATTGTTTTCTTTCTCTGATTAATTTGGGTTCAATTTGCTTTTCTAGTTTCTCAAGGATAATGCTATGGACACTAATTTGAGACTTTTTTTATTTCTACTATAGGATTTTTGTGGTTATAATTTCCACCTAGTTACTGCATTCGTAGCATGCCTTAATTTTCATGTGTCATGCTTGCATTTTCATATACTTAAAAACATTTTTCTTCTTTGAAATACCTGTTAGATTGAAGTTTGTTATTTAGCTTCCAAATATTTCTGGATTTCACAGATATTTTTCTGTTGTTGATTTATAATTTAATGTTCTATGGTTAGGGAATATATTTTGTATAAATGGGCTCTTTAAGTTTATGACACTCATTTTATGGCCCAGAATATATCTATCTTCATAAAAGCTTTGCATTTGTTTGAAAAGAATGTTGAGGTATACATTTTCCACAGATGAACCACTCAGACAAAACAATATAAAACTCTTGACTCCCAAGCTCTCAATATAAATCTGATTGGATATAGAGGCAAAGAATAAATTGATACATAAAATGTATCAATTAAATTATATAAAAATGTACAAAGAACCACTTGTAAATTGTTTCAACTTGTTTATAATTGGCAATGCTTTTTTTGCAAGAAAAAATAGTTTTGAAGAGATTAATGAAATTAAATAGTACAACCTATGAAAACATTTAACACAGTATATTCCACTTAACTATTACTTCTTTATTTACAGAATAGAAATGACAGAAAAATAATATAGTAATTAATATAACCTTATAAATACTATAAATTATAAAATTTATATCTCTGCTAAACCTTATTGATACAGGAGTTAAGAATAAATAACCTAGGCAGATAGTAAGTGTATGGGAGTCCTTGGTAAGGCTTTTCTTTTTAATGAAAAGCAGCCCCAAATTATTTTCCTTTCTAACAAAGAGCAGCCTGTAAAATCGAGCTCCAGACATAGATACCAGCAGTTGTGCCAATCGTGCTCAAGATGGTGGCTCCCTCTTCCCTTCTGTTTGTCAGCAGCATGTACAGTAAGAAGCAGACAAGATGGCACCTATCAATTGGAAAGGCCATTTGCATAGTAAGATTAGGGTGGGGCACCAGCCTTCCCCTCCCACTATGTAGATATCATACCTGATCAGACCAATCCAGCCTGCCTTTAAAATCTGCTGTGGTCTGCTGCCTCCCCACTTTTCGGACGTCTCTCTCTCCCCCAAAAGGAGTTGCTCTCTTCTTTCCTTTCTTCTATTAAACTTTCCACTCCTTAACCCACCCACGTGTCCATGTCCTGAATTCTTTTTTGGCGAGCAACAATGAACCCCAGGGTATATTCCCCAGACAGAGTAGCCATTTCATTATGTTAAGGATATGTGAATAAGTATGTAAAATTATAATTATACAGTGGTCTTATATAATTACTTTTCAGACAATTAACTACAGAGAACCATGCATTGCATGTTTAGAAAATAAATTTAACATGAGTATATTGCCAAATAATTCTTATTGCAAACAAATTTTAGAAAGAAAATTGTATGTTTAGATTTATTTTTTAAAATACCAATAACAGTACAATTGGCAAAGTAAATTGCAAAAATCTTGTGAATTGATGATAAATATTAACAAATCATTTAAGAAATTAGTTTTCTTTCCTTCCTCCCCATTTTTATAGTATTTGACTTGTTTAAATGGTACATTTTTAAATGAAAGGGAAGTAAAAAAATAGTAATATAATAATAATTTGCAAAATTAAGAAAGTAAAACAGTAGGGATCCTGTTGATGGCTGCAACAAATTATTTTAGGAAGCTTTATTATTTGGAATTACTTTCAGCAAGGAAAGATTCAAATCTCAAAGCCTCAACTAATGAGAAGATTTTTGTTTATTGATTTTCTCCTCCTTATAAACAGTGATCAAAATTTTATTCAAAAAAAGAGACTGATAGCTCCCTGGAGATTGCGTATTGGGGAATTAGAGTTAACCATTAAGTAACATTTTCTTGAATAGTTAAGGATTTTTGAGAACAGAATGAGAGTTACCATGGGTACAATAATCACGAAAAGAGTCTGATAGCTCTCTGGAGATCACATACAGGGAAATAAACATTGTTATTAAGCAACATTTTGTTAGATGTTTAACAATATTTGAGAAAAGAGTAAGAATTACCATGGGTACCAAATTTGATACATATTCCAATGGATATTGAAACAAAAACCTAATAATCATTAAAATGTCTTTAAAGATTATTTAGGACTTCTGGTTTTAATTCTGACATGGAAAGAACTTAGAAGTTGTCACTCCTGTCTTTACAAGAGTCCAACTGAACAAAGTGAAATTTATCACTTCACTTAGACCCATCAGAAAAGTGAGATGGTGGCAAGGCAAATTGTCACCCCAAAATTTGGAGAGTCAGATGAGTAAAGAGAATCACAGTACAGATCAGCTTATATAGAGCAAAAGCAAGCAAAAGCAGATGGAGCCGTAAACTGGTGAGAACTCTTAAATAACAATGTTGACAAATTATTGGAGGGTGAGTGTGAGATAATATGAGAATGAGAAACTCCTTGGGGCTGTAGACTTAGGGAGAAACCCTAAGAAACTTTCATAAATTTAAATTCCAAAAACCCCAACAGATTTTCGCAGTGAAGAACATAGAAAAAAAAAATCCCTTGTTTTTCTGATGGGGAGAAGAAGTAACCATTTTGAAATAGGCCCAGAGTATTCCAAATAACACAGATAAGCCTACTTTCCAGGGTAACAGATGTTACCAGAGCCTTATCCCACTTGACAGATGGTACTTCCTTCATCACCTTCTAACTTTTCTATCTCCCTACTGGAGAATGGGAGGGAAACTAAGAAATACTTGTGAAAGTCATAAACTAGGGACACAGGCCCACTAAAAGAATAATATTTAATTATAAAATTATTTCTCTCCTCCATATCATATCAATAGGAGTCCAAGAGATAACAGAGGATCATAGCTCAAAGAGCTGCAAGGAGCCCAATACCCTTTGAGAAGCAGTACGAAGGTAAGCCCCAAAGTCAAGAAGGGAGACAAAAATGAGAACACTAGAGGAATTTGGAAACTTTAGCCTCCATAGCCATTGCAACATGAAATCTTATTTTTCTTATTCATAATTGATCTAATGGGTGACTATTCAAAGTAATAATAGTAACAATTTGTTGGGTGATTACAGCATGTGGATAAGTAAAGTAAATGATGGAAATGTTCTAAGACACAGGAGGTAGGAAATGGTATATACTTTGTTATAAGGTACCTGCACCAAGTGTAAAGCATTATAGCGTTTAAAAGTAGGCTCTAATTACTTGTAAATATGTATTTCAAATTCTAGAAAAACTACTAAAATTTTTTAAAGAATAATTGATATGCTAAGAGATGAGAACAGATAGAATTATATGAAATGTTCAATTTATACAGAAGTGGCAGCAAAAGAACAGAAGGAAAAAATATCAAAGAATAAGTGTAATAAACAGAAAATGATTACAAACAAAGTAGCTATTAATCCAACTATATCAATCATTGCTTTAAATGGAATGGTTTCAATATTACTCAGGTTTCTTGTCATCATTACTGTCCTTCACCTCCACCAATCAGAGTTACATTGCTAGCAAGTAGCATTGCTTCAGTGCTAAAGTATTATTTGAAAGCACGTTTCTTGATTATCTGGGCTGGCATTTTCCTCTAAACATAACTTGTAACGATGTCAAGAAAAGATCTCAGGAAATTGTATTTCAATCTTGGTAATGTCTGGATTTGCTAATGATAAATATGGCCTCTTCCTTAATACAAAATCCTTGGATTGGCTTGGGGTTGTGCAGCACATTCACATTATCTCCTGAAATATCAAGGGACAGGTACACTTTCTGGAATGGCTTTCATAATATTTCAGTGCATAATACTTCAGTGTAACTGAGTGTTCACATTTGTCTTATATTTATAATCCTACATAATGTTAATAAACAAATAATCTTGAAACATTAAGCTGAATGCCTTATTGGTGTGCTATCAATGAATAACTACAACAAGATGACATTAAAGTTTAAGTTGTTCCCAAATACTAACAGATAAAATGAAAGCAAAAAGGTCCTCCCAAGAAATCAAATACCATCTTCAAGGAACGGAGGGGGTATCTATCATGTGGGCATTGAACTCTGGAGTGCATAGTGCCATTCTTATGCTAAGTGAAATATCTTCGGTACAATTTCATATTATTGTTTTTGACCACCCAGTGCCTCTTCTCTCTTCAAAAGATAGACCCTAACTTACCTTACCACAAACACTAGCATGGTTTGGCATTAATGATAACCCATATCCCTCTCCATGGTTTGGTCTAAAGATAGATATATAACAAAGGTACGCCACTGGCTGTCTCCAAGATCTTTCTGCTGGAATTTTAAGTCATCATGAAAGAATTTTTCATTCCTTCATTGTCACGACCATATAAAATATGACACCAGAGCTGATAAATGTTGGAGCCTTACTATATAGGAAAGCCTGAAAGAATTAAATTGACACACTGGGAGATAAAGAGATGAGAGGTAAAGACATTGCTTTTGTTGCATCCTGAGTTCCTAAGATCCCAGGAGCTATGCTCAATTCTGCAACTTTTCCTCTTGCCCTGTGAGCTACCACAATATTTTTAGATAGATGGATAGACTGACAAAACATAGATGATAGGTAGATAGATAGGTAGGTATATAGATAGATAGACATACAGACATAACATATATGCCTATTTGACATAATATTGAGGAATATTGTTTGAGTTGGAGTTCAGGCATACACAACTAAAAGAGTATTTACTTCAAGGGTTATGAATGAATAACCATAACAACTAGATTGTCTTTCTTATATTAGCACTGTGTAAGTAAGGGATGTTGAGGGAAACTGTAAATAAATGGGGATCCTACTTCTAAAGAATCCTCCTCTTTGTTAGGAACATAAAAGAACATGTATAAAACAAAAGATAATATAACTTAGAATATACCAAAGAGCTGTTGTATGAGGAAATGTAAACTTCTCAGGTTGAAAAAGACTTAGTGAGACTGACATCTCAATAAGCATTTTGGCAGTGTAAGTTTTAAGACCTGCATAATAGTCCATTATATTAAGTGTTGTACCATGATTTGGTAAATCATTTCCTCATTCCATATATTTTGGTTGCATTCTCTATATTTCAGGGTTTCTCTACTTCAGCATTATTGACATTTGGGGCTAATTCTTTGTTGTGGGGGCTGCCCTGTACATTGTAGGAAGATATTAATAGCAGCATCACTAGCCTTTACCCACTAGATGCCAATAGCACAACCAGGTATGACAAATATATCTCCAGAAATTGCAATAAACCCCTTAAGGACAAAATCACTCCTGGTTGAAAAACCACTACTTTATTACAAATACATTTTTATTGTTATCCTGATTATAAAAGTAATAATTGTTTATTGAAAAATATATATAAAATACACAAAAATAAAACAAAATAAAAATCATCACTATTTTATTTTATCCAGATGTAGTTACTTAAAAGATTTGGTTACATTTCAGTACACTTTGTTTTGTCTGATATAAAATTTAAATAATATACTAAAATTAAAATTTAGCATCCTATAACTTTTTTAATATTTCATAGAATTTCCCCCATGTCATTGAATATTCTTTAAATATATGGTTTTCAATGGCTTGTAGTGTCCAGTCGCATTGCAAGTTCCTTTTTTTCTCTCAATTTAGGGCAACTCTCCTGAGCCCAAGTCAAATTTTAGGAGATAAATATAATGAGCTCTTTGTCTAATACTAAAGTGATTATGAACAAAGACCTTTTTATCATCTAAGAATATATGGAGCCAACCTGCTGGTCCTGCAGTGATTCAGTATACACTTAATCTTTCAGTCTTCTGATTTTCATACTATTCTGTGAGGTAAATTTCATGTACAAATATTTTAAATCCAAGGACATTTAACTAATTTATTTAACAGAAGAATTTATACCAGCTTAAAAATAATTATGAAATAACTTTTAAATATTTACTGCACTGTTTTATTTTATTTTATTTTATTTCATTTCATTTTATTTTATTTTTTTGAGACGGAGTCTCGCTCTGTCGCCCAGGCTGGAGTGCAGTGGCACGATCTCGGCTCACTGCAAGCTCCGCCTCCCGGGTTCATGCTGTTCTCCTGCCTCAGACTCCCGAGTAGTTGGGACTACAGGCGCCCGCCACCACGCCAGGCTAATTTTTTGTATTTTTTTTTTAATAGAGACGGGGTTTCACCGTTTTAGCCAGGATGGTCTCGATTTCCTGACCTCGTGACCCGCCCGCCTCGGCCTCCCAAAGTGCTGGGATTACAGGCATGAGCCACCGCGCCCGGCCTACTGCACTGTTTTACGTGCTACAGATGTATCAAGCAATTTAACCCCAATTCCTACTGTGCTTAAAATAAATAAGACGTGCCTATAGGTAAGTACAATGTATAATGTAATGTGACAGGAATGAAGAAAGATATGCAAAATGCAATGAAAATTCAGAAGGAGGAAAAAGTACAGTTGGAGAGATCAGGATAGTCCTGGTTGAGGAAGCAGCATTTACGGCACACAGGAAATAATAGAATTCTGACATGCCAAGCAAGGTAAGGAAAAGGAGGGCATTTCTAGCAAAAGAAATGCCTTGGATATGGTAGAAGGACACTACCTAAGATTGGAGGGCAGTGAAAAGGTCTGGAATTCTAGATTAAGATATGTGGGATGAAGAAAGATGGAGTAGAGAGGCAGAGAAAGAATTGGGAAAGAAAAGGAGTAGACATTAATGAGACCCTACTCTCATCAGGTACTGTGATTTAAGCTTTACTTACATCATTTTAGTGCTACAATGTTTCCATGTTAAATATTCTAAGTCCAAGACACATGGCCCACCCAGTTACTTAATGGTAGAAATGGTGACATAGCTAACAAACGGTGGTGACGAGACTAAAACTGAATGTTTGTGCCCATCCTATTGCCTTAAATTGTGCTATGCTACCTTCAAATGCCATATATTTTCTTAATTACATGAAGCCTAAATAAACCTACAAACCTTCTTTCTCAAGCTTTTCCCTCTTAATCTGAATCCACCAATGCTCAGAAATCTCTGGACATCTTTTGGTTTTCACCATCATGATGTATGCATTTATGTATACACCTCAACCGTCTCTCCCCATCCCACTTCCTATAATGTGGTAAGTTTCTTGACAGCCAAGACAGTATCTTCATCATCTCTGCAGCTTCAATGCCTGGAACAGAGTAAGTGCTTCAAAATATTCATCAGTTAGACAAAACTGAATCCAAGCAGGATTACTGAGACTAGAATTTCCATCTTTTCAAAAATTGTTGTCAATCTGCCTTTCTTTCAAAGTATTTGTAAAAATTGAGGAAATGCCTTTATTCCCTTCTTGGCTCCATGAATGTTTCTACTGGGTCCTGGTTTAGTAGAGGCCCTCAATTATAAAGAAAACTTGCTGATAGCATGTTGCATATGGGAGTGAGGGTGTTAAGTTTGCTTTAATGTTGTGCTTAAAATTGGATTGATTTTTGTACTAATAGTGTAATTTCCAGGTATTTGTTTTAATAACAAACGGTACTTGAAATGACTGCTATTCAGCAGTAAGTTTATAGCTAATTAGAGGAGCTTCTCACTGATGCACGTTAATGAGTGGGAGAGCTATTACTGATCAGAGTGTGAAAGTTTCAAGGATACCATCATAAAATGTAGTTTGCTTAGTTCTGTAAATATATGTTGTTTACTTTATTTACAACGGCACATAGATTACTCAAGTGCATAATACGCTGGTATATTAGGTGAAATAAAATCTCACTAACGTGAGCTCACCAAAGTGCTCTGTTATTAAACTTTTATTAAGGACTGAGATAAAACAATTCTCTTTGGAGTAGGAATTAGAGTGCCTGCTGATAATCACTGAAGTGAAGGAGGAAGAGACAATAAGAGAGACAGCCACGTTCTCAAGGAAACGCCATTGTGCTCTGACCTTGCCCTTACCATTCCCAGGGGACTTCAGGTCACTTCACATAAATGGATAACAGAGCAGCTAAATGTCCTGGAGTGAGTGCCCCAGTGTGTGAAGATACAAAGGCCACTCCTGGGATGGGTATCTCAATGTAGGGTTTGTTGTTAGGACAGAAAGCAGCCTCAGAGCCAGAGTGCCAACTATAGCCTTCCACAATGTGATGTGAGATTAAAAGAAAGACACATAGTCCCCAGCTTCCGAGGGGCTGGCAGTGAGGTAGACAGACAGTGAACAATGGCGAAGGCAGGCATGCTGAGGAGGAGCTCAAACTGGACTGTCTACTTAGAGGGGAGCTGAAACCTGGGAAGGTGAAAGGAAAGAGATTATTTTTTAATAACCAAAATACATAGCCATGGCATTAGCCAAAACAAAGAGAGGAAATTCCAATGAAGTAATTGTTTTCACTCCAGTGGTTCATTTTCTTTTTGACTGGGAGTGATCTGGCTGAATCAATTAGGTGTTTCAGCTTTGAGCAAACATGAAGATATGTTCAAATTTCTTAATCAAATATCCAAAGCCAGGTGCGGTGGCTCACACCTGTAATCCCAGCACTTCGGGAGGCCAAGGTGGGCGGATCACCTGAGGTCAGGAGTTAGAGACTAGCCTGGCCAGCATGGTGAAACCCCGTCTCTACTAAAAGTACAAAAATTAGCTGGGCGTGGTGGCCGGCGCCTGTAATCCCCATCTACTCAGGAGGCTGAGGCATGAAAATAGCTTGAACTCTGGAGGCGGAGGTTGCAGTGAGCCGAGATCGTGCCACTGTACTCCAGCCTGGGCGACAAGAGCGAGACTCCATCTCAAAAAAATAAAAATAAAAATAAAATAAAATATCCAAATGAAAACTTTCACACAAGTAGAAAGTTTATTTTTTATGACATCTTCGTATTTATTTCTTACATATCATATGTGAAAAGCAGCTCCTTTGCTGAAAATCTAGTCCATCCAAGAATGCATCATCATCTCTGACCAAAAACAATGGCTGGTGGTAAGGCCGTACTGAGAAAAAAGAAAAAAATGTTGAAGCTGAATAACCCTGAGCTTAAGATTTGATTTTGTCATCTACTGGCTGTGTGATCCTCAGCAAGTTACCAAGGCTCTCTGACCTGTAGATACCTCATATATTTATTTAGGGTAGTAATGTGGACAGCTAGATGTTGTTAGGAGGATTGAGATAGCACACTTCAAGAAGAGTATCTTGTACAGAAAAATACACTCAAATAAATAATATCTATTGATATTATCATTATCAAGTCATTAAGTTGTATTTTTAAATCAAATGAACTAAAATATAGAAATAGATCTATTACAAAAGAGAATTAAAATTTCACACTTAATACATGAACAGTCAATGAAAAATAGGATGCACTTGGGTAAACAATTAATACTGTTATACCATATAATTTTGTACCAATAATTTGGAAAGACAGTTAAAATAGTAATTAAATTAGTTTTTATTTAGATTGCCTTTTGTTTGTTCAGTTATCAAAAGCTTTAAAAGACTCTGAGTGTTTTCAGAATGACATCAGCTAATAGTCCAGTTAGAAATTTCGGTATTCCCTTTCCCTGCTCCCCAAGCTCACTGACCTCAGGTGTTCATGCATCTATTCAGTAAATAATTATTGAGCACTGTTCTTGCTACAAATATAAAACTGGGCTTCATGAAGTTTATTGATTGGTGGAGAGAAAGATAAAAAAGTAACAGTTAACTATGTAGTTACAAATATTGGGAAGTGTTTTGAAAGAAAGTGTGAGAAGTGGGCTTAGTGAAGAAAAAGCCAATCCCAGAGTGAATAATAAGCAGAGTGGCTGAAAATGAAATCAAAATTGTAAAAATATTCAATTAAGTCAGCACTTTATAGGCCAAAGCAATTATTTTTAATATGTTTTATTTTTAATTATTATGGTATATAATATTTGTATATATTTATTGGATACATGTGATGTTTTGATACTGTCATATAATGTGTAATGATCAAATCAGGGTAACTGAACTATGCAACCCCTCCAGCATTTATCATTTCTTTGTGTTCAGAATATTCCAATTCTACACTTTAATTATTTAAAAATAAACAATAAATTATTGTTTACTATAATCACTGTATTGTGCTACTGAATAATAGACTTTATTCATTCTAACTCTCATTTGTACCAATTAACCTTCCCCACTTTATCCTCCACTCATTGCTACCCTTTCAGCCTCTGGTATCCATCATTCTGCTATCTTCATTAATTCATATATATTTTTTTTTTTAGCTCCCACGTATTAGTGATAACATGGGAGAACAGAAAACATTGTCTTTCTGTGGCTGGATAATTTTACTTAACACAATGAACCCCAGTTCCATCCATGTGGCTGCAAATGACAGGATTTTATTCTTTTTACAGCTGAATAATATTCTACTGTGTATATGTACCATACTTTATCCATTTATCCTTTGATGGGCACTTAGGTTGATCCATATCTTAGCTATTGTGAATACTAGTGCAATAAACGTCAGAGTGCAGATGTCTCTTCAATAGACTGATTTCCTTTCTTTTGGGTATATACTCAGCAGTAGGACTGCTGTATCACATGGTAGTTCTATTTTTAGTTTTTTGTTTTTTTTTTTTTGGAAACTCCATACTGTTCTCCATAGTAGCCGTACTAATTTACACTCCCACCAACAGTGTATGTGGGTTCCCCTTTCTCCACATCCTCACCAGCTTGTTACAGACTGTCTTTGGAATAAAAGCCATTTTAACAGGGGAGAAATGATATCTCATTGTAGTTTTGATTATCATTTCTCTGATTTGTGATGAAGAGCATTTTTTTATTATACCTGTTGACCATATATATGTCTTCTTTTTTAAAAAAAATGTCTATTCAGATCTTTTGCCCATTTTTAACCAGATTGTTTTTCTACTATTGAGTTGTTTGAGCTCTTTATACATTCTGGTTCTTAATCCCTTGTCAGATGGTTAGTTTGCAAATATTTTCTTCTAATCTGTGAGTTGTCTCTTTATTTTATTAATTGTTTCCTTTGCTATGCAGAAGCTTTTTATCTTGATGTGATCTCTGTTGTCCATTTTCACTTTCATCACCTGTGCCTTCAAGGTGTTACTTAAGAAATCTTTGCCTAGCTGAATACCCTGGAATGACTCCCAAATGTGTTTTTTCTAGTAGTTTCACAGTTTCACATCTGAGATTTGAGCCTTTAATCCATTTTGAGTTGATTTTTATATATGGTGAGAAATAATCTAGTTTCATTCTTTTGCATATGGATATCCAGTTTTCCCAACACCATTTGTTGAAGACTGTCCTTTCTCCAATGTATGTTCTTGGCACCTTTATCAAAAACAAGTTGGTAGAAAGGCATGAATTGATTTTGGGGTTTTTTAATTCTGTTCCATTGGTCTTTGTGTCTGTTTTTATGCCAGTACCATGCTGTTTTTGTTACTATAGCTTTGTAGTATAATTCGAAGTCAGATAATGTGATTTTTCCAGTTTTGTTATTTTTGCTCAGGGTGGCTTTGGTAATTCTGGATCTTTTGTGGTTTCATATAAATGTTAAGTTTTTTTGTGAAGAATGTCATTGATATTTTGATAGGGATTGCATTGAATCTGTAGATTGCTTTGGGTAGTATGAACATTTAAACAATATTGATGCTTCCAATCCATGAACATGGGCTATCTTTTCATTTTTTGTGTCTTCTTCAATTTATTTTATCAATGTTTTATAGTTTTAATTGAAAAGATCTTTCCCTTCTTTTGTTAATTTTTAGATATTTTATTTGTAGCCATTGTAAATGGAATTACTTTCTTGGTTTTTTTTTCAAATTGTTTGCTATTGGCATATAGAAATGCTACTAATTTTTTGTGTGTTGATTTTGTAAACTGAACGTTTACTGAATTTATTTGCCAGTTCTAATAGTTTTTTGGTAATGTCTGCATTTTTCTAAATATAAGATGATATCATCTGCTATCCAGGATAATTTGACTTCTTCCTTTCTAATTGACTTCTTCCTTTCTAATTTGAATGCTTTTTATTTATTTCTCTTGTCTCATTGCTCTGGCTAGAACGTTCAGTACTATGTTGAATAAAAGTGATAAAAGTCAGCATCCTTGTCTTGTTCTAGATCTTAGAAGATAGGTTTTCAGTTTTCCCCTGTTCAGTATGATACTAGGTGTGGGTTTGTTGTATGTGGTTTATGCTTTCTGAGATGGCAAGCAGTGAGAATATTTCAACTGGGAAAGAATTTTGAGTGGGAACTTTTCAAATTATCATTCTGGCTGCTGAGTAGAGAGTGGATTAGAGAGGAGAAAGGGAGAAAGTTGGCAGAACCTGTGTGGAGGGCACTGCAATAATCCAGATGGTGATTTTGGCTAGGACAGTGGCAGCAAATCAGAGAGGTGCAGGCCCACACATAGACATATTTCACAGAAAAAGTTGGCAGGAATTGCTAAAGCATGGCATGTGTTGGGAAAGAAGATGCAGGAATCAAGGCTGACTGCCAGGCCCCATCCCTGTGTGGTATCAGCCTTGGCATTTTCTTCCCAGGCCAGTGTCTCAGTCTCCAGATTTCCCTGATCACTTTCTCATCCCTTTCTCCAACTGCCATACCTACTTTACAATTATGTCCCCTGCCTCCTTTCCTCAGGAATCTACTTATGTATGCAATATAGTTAACTCTATTTGTACCAGAAACACTTAGTCATTTACTGAGTGTTTCCTTCAATTTTAGGAATAGTATTCCAAGATTTAAACTGATGAAAAGACAAAGGCATTATAAGCAGGTGATGCATAGGTATTTTAGATGATTAGTTTATTTGAATCCGGCTCATATCGTAGCATTCCAAACACTTCCAAGTTATATTTCAAAAAACATGTTTCTTAAAAGATTAGCTTATCCTCATGAATATATTATTTTCCATCTACTTTCTCCTTAATGCACTGCCATCATTATTTAACAGAAGCTTCCTACCTGAAGTTATCTACAATCTCCTATATTTTCTGTTCTAATGTACACATATACTATTATAAATTTCTTTCTAAACACTGCTTTCTCTGCATTCTACAAAAATTGACAAATTGTATTTTCATTTCCTTGATGATTAAAATTCACCATTTTTTCATATATACCTTTTGACCATTTATGTCTTCTTTGGAGAAATGTCTATTCATGTCCTTTGCCCATTTTAAAATAAAAGTATTTGTTTTTCACTGCTGAGTTGTTTGAGTGGCCTGTATATATTGGATATTAGTCCCCTATCAGATGAGTAATTTGCAAATATTTTTCTCCCATTCAAAATGTTGCCTCTTTAGGCTGTTGATTGTTTATTTTGCTGTGCAGAAGCTTTTAAACTTAATATAGTCCCGTTTGTCTGTTTTTTATTTTCTTGCCTGTGCTATTGAGATCTTAACCGTAAAATTTTTGCCTATATCAATGTCCTGAAGAATTTTACGTTTGTTTTCTTCCAGTAGTTTTACAGTTTCAGGTCTTACCTTTAAGTCCTTAATCTATCTTGGGTTGACTTTTGAATATGGTGAAATATAGGTATGCAGTTTTATTCTTCTGCATGTGGTTATCCAGTTTCTCCAGCACCATTTACTGAAGAGAGTGTTATTTCCCCAATGTATGTCCTTGAAAGCTTTGTTGAAGATCAATTGGCTGAAAATATGTGGTTTTACTTCTGGACTCTCTATACTGTCTCATTAGTGTATGTGTCTATTTTTATACCAATACGATGGTGTTTTGTAATATGTTTTGGAAGTCACAGAGTATAATGCCTCCAGATCTGTTCTATTTGCTCAAGGTTGCTTTGGCTATTCAGGCTCATTTATTGGTATTACAAGAATTTTAGAATTTTTTTTCCTATTTCTGTGAAAAATGTTGTTAGAATTTTGATAGGGCTTTCATGAAATCTATATATTGCTTTGGGCAATATGGCCACTTTAATAATATTAATGCTTCCAACTCATTAACATGAGTTCATGAGTTTCATTTATGTCCTCTTTAATTTATTTCATCCACGTTTTATAGATTTTCTTATAGACATCTTGCAGCTATTGGCTAAATTTATTCCTAGGAATTTTACTTAATGTTATAACTATTGTAAATGTGATCACCTTCTTTCTTTCTTTCTAGGGCACTTCATTATTGGTATATAGAAATGCTACTTATTTTTGAATATTAATTGTGTATCCTGCAAACTTACTGAATTTTTTTGTCAGTTATAAAAAATTTTTGATGGAGTCATTGGTTATATATATATATATATATATATATATATATATATATATATATATAAATTATGTCATCTGAAAGGAGGGACAATTGACATTCTCTTTTCCAATTTGGATGCTTTATATTTTTTTCTCTTATCTCATTGCTGTGACTAAGACCCAGTACTCTGCTAAATAGTAGTAGTGAAAATGGGCATTTTTGTGTTCTTCCACTTCTTAGGCTTTCAACTTTTCTTCAACTCAATACAGTATTGGTTGTAGGATTTTCATAGATGGCCTTTACTATTTTTAGGTATGGTCCTTCTATGCCTACTTTGTTGACAGTTTTTATCATGAAAGGGTTTAGAATATTGTCAAATGCTTTATCTGCATCTATTGAGATGATCATATATGGTTTCTGTTCTTCATTCTGTTGATATGACATATTATGTTTATTAATTTGCATATATGGAACCATCATTGCATCCCTGGTATAAATTCCACTTGATTGTGGTGTATTATCTTTTTGATGTGCTGTGGGATTCAGTTGGATAGTATTTGGTGGGGGATTTTTATGTCTGTGCTCATCAGGGATATTGTTGTTGTGTCCTTGTCTGGTTTTGATATCAGGGTAATGCTGGCCTTGTAGAATGGGTTGTGTAGAGTTCCCTTCTCTTCAATTTTTTGGAATAGTTTCAGAAGGATGGGTGTAAGTCCTTCTTTATACATTCCACAGAATTATATTGTGAATCCATCTATGCCTAGGGTTTTCTTTACTTGTTTAGAGGAATTTGTTCATTTTCCCCAGGTTTTCCAATTTACTACTGTATAGTTTGTCATAATAGTCTCTGATGATCTTTTGCATTTCTGTGTTGTCCTTTTTCATTTGTGATTTTATTTGGGTCGTCCCTCTTCTTTCCTAGATCAATCAAGCTGGTTTATCACTTTTGCTTAACTTTTTGAACCCCAACTTTTTGTTTCATTGATCCTTTGTGTTGCTTCTTTGTTTCTATTTTGTTTACTTCTGCTCTGATCTTTATTATTTCTTTTCTTCTGCTAATTTGGGTTTTGGTTTGTTTTTTTAATTTTCTAGTACATTGAGGTGCATTATTAGATTGTTTATTTGAATTCTTTCTGTTTTTCTAGATGCAGGCATTTATTACTATAAAATTCCCTCTTGGCACTGCTTTTGCTATACCCCATTGGTTTTGATATGTTGTTTCCATTTTTATTTATTTAAAGAATTTTTTAATTTCCATCTTTATTTATTTATTTACCTGGTTATTCCTGAGCATGTTGTTTAATTTCCATGTATTTGTACTGATTCCAAAGCTCCTCTTGGTAGTGATTTTTAGATTTATTCCATTATGATCTGAGAAGATACTTGATATGATTTTGATTTTTTAAAATTTGTTGAGACTTGTGTTGTGGCCTAACATACGGTTAATCTTGGAGAATGTACCATATGCTAATTAGAAGAATGTGTATTGTGCAATTGGTGGATAAAATAATCTGTAAATGTCTCTTAGGTCCATTTGTTCTAAAGTCCAGTTCAAATCCAATATTTCTTTGTTGATTTTCCGTCTAGAAGATATGTCTAATGCTGAAAGCAGGGTTTTGAAGTTCCCTATTTTTATTGTATTGGAGTCTATCTTTTTCTTTTGATCTAGTAATTTGTTTTATTTATCTGGGTGCTCTAGTGTTGGGTGCATATATATTTTAGAATTGTATCCTCTTGTTGGAGTGATACCTTTATAATTATGTAATAACCTTCTTTGTCTTTTCATACTGTTTTTGACATAAAGTGTGTTTTATTTGATATAAGTATAGTTTCTCATATTCACTTTTGGTTTTCATTTGCATGAAATATCCTTCTGCATTCCCTTACTTCCAGTCTATATGTGTCTTTACAGGTAAGTATGTTTCTTATATGAAGCATAGAGTTGAATCATTTTTTTAATCAATTTAGCCAGTCTGTATCTTTTAAGTGGAAAATTTAATCGATTTATATTCAAGGTTATTATTGATATCTAAGGTTTACTTCCGGTTATATTCTTAGTTGTTTTCTGGCTGTTTTGTATATTCTTTATTCCTTTTCCTCTTATGGCTTGTCCTTGTGTTTTGCTGGTTTTCTGTGTTGGCAACATTTGAGTCTTTTCCTTATTTGTGTGTTTGCATTACAAGTGAGTTTTATACATATGCATTTTCATGATGGCACCATCCTTTTGCTTCCAGGTTTTGGACTCCCCTGAGTATTTCTTGTAAAGCTGGTCTGGTGGTGATGAATTCCCTCTGTATTTGCTTGTCTGGGAAAAACTTTTTTTCTGCTTCATGTATATAGGAGAATTTTGCTGGATATAGTATCTTTGGGTGGCAGTGTTTTTTTGTTTTCCAGCATTTTGAATACATCATCCTATTCTCTTCTGGCCTTAAGGTTTTTGCTCATAAGTCTGCTGTTAGTCTGATGAGGTCTCCTTTGTAGGTGACTAGACACTTTTCTCTTGCTTTCCAGAATTTTATTTTGTCATTGACATTAGACAGTTTGGCTATAATGTGGAGAAGAACTTTTACACTGTATTTGTTTGGGGATTAGTGGGACTCCTATATCTGGATGTCTACCTCTCTTGCTGGACTTGGGAAATTTTTTTTATTTTATTAAATAGGATTTCAAACATTTTCTATTTGCCTTCAGGGTTATCAATAATTTATATATTTGGTTGCTGTGTGGTATACCATATATCATGAAAGTTTTATTTATTCTTTTCTATTATTTTTTATTTCTTTGTGTCTGACTGGGTTATTTCAAAAAATCTGTCTTTATATTCTGAGATTCTTTCTTTTGCTTGATCTAATATATTGTTGAAGTTTTTAATTGTATTTTATATTTTATTCAAGGAATTCTTCAATTCCAGAAGTTCTATTTTGTTCTTTTTTTATGATATCTACCTCTTTGCTAAATTTTTTACTAATGTTCTGAATTCTTTTTTCTGATTTTTTAAAATTATCTTGTATCTCACTGTGCTTCTTTAGTATCATAATTTTATATTCTTTTTCCAGAATTTTACGAATTTCATTTTTATTGGAATCTGTGGTTGAGGAATTATTGCATTCTTTTGGAGGTATCATATTTTCTTGGTTTTTTATGTTTCTAGTGTCTTCACACTGAAATCTGTACATCTGGTGTGACAGTCACTTCTTCCAATTTTTAAAATTTGCTTTCATATGGGATGAGTTTTTCCTGAAGAGGTATCAGTGGTGTTGGCTGGGTAGAGCCCTTTGGCTTTGATTCTGAGTGCATGCTGCTGTGTAGTTTCTGTATGATTTCTTTGAACGTAAACAATGTGAGTGGTATTTGTGATTTTCTAGATGGCTTGAGGTGTGTCTATTAGTGGAGGCTATGATGAAGTTTTCTCGGAGACACAGGCTCAAAGTAGGCCAGTCTTAGGGCCCCAGTGATAAAAGTAGTGGATTGAGCATGCCTTTTCATGGGCCCCAGACTGGCATACACTAACACTGGTGATAGCACAACCAGGTGGGCTATGTATTATTGTGTTATTCCAATGCTTAGAAGACAGGCTTTCAACTTTTCTTCATCTCGATACAGTATTGGTTGTGGGATTGTCATAGAAGATCTTCATTATTTTTAGGTATGGTCCTCCATACTCCATACTCCACACTCCACACTCCATACTCCATACTCCATATCTGAGTAGCTTGCTCAGATGCCAGTAGTAGCAGCAGTGAACTGGCTGGAAGAGTGAGTTCTCAGCTCCCTAGGCAGCTAGCGTGGTATGAGCAATCCACAGCAACAGTTGTGGGACAACTCTGTGGGTCCCAAGCAGTGCTTCCTGATATTGGCAGTGGCTGTGAAGCAGGGTTGCCATCCACAACCCAAGACATTCAGCTTTTAGTCTCTTCTGCTCTTGGTGGCAGCAGTGCTACAGTGCCATGCAGAGGAGGTGTCCCACCCTTCAGAGGGGAGAAGGGACTCACACCTTGCACATGAGCTAGAGCACAGAGTCCGTGCCACCAATTGGGGCATGGTTGCCACTCACAGCCTCAGACAGGTAGCCCTCTGCCTCATCCAACCCAGCCCCTGGTGACAGCAGCAGTAGCTGTAGCTGCAATGAGATGAGAGGGAAAGAGATCATGCTCTCTACTCAAAAGCCAGAGCACAGAGGCTGTTCCATCAGTTGGGGTGAGGTCATTGCCACCAACCCCATATAGTCAGATCTCAGGCTTACCTGTCTGGTTCCCAGTGGCAGCAACTGCTATGGCAGTATGCAGAGTGGGAAGGGGAATTTCCCTCACCACTCCTAAGCCAAAGCATAAGGGTTTTTGCCACTCTGGGGACACAGTCACTTGTCAGAGCCTCATATAGGAAGCCCTCAGGCTCTGGAAAGTGCGTGCCTTAATTTTCTTTGGGGGGGATGCGTGTGAGCTTTCTATCATCTTATTATTAAATATTATCTTTTTTTTTTTTTTTTTTTTTTGAGACAGAGTCTCGCTCTGTCACCCAGGCCGGACTGCGGACTGCAGTGGCGCAATCTCGGCTCACTGCAAGCTCCGCTTCCCGGGTTCACGCCATTCTCCTGCCTCAGCCTCCCGAGTAGCTGGGACTACAGGTGCCCGCCACCGCGCCCGGCTAATTTTTTGTATTTTTAGTAGAGACGGGGTTTCACCTTGTTAGCCAGGATGGTCTCGATCTCCTGACGTCATGATCCACCCACCTCGGCCTCCCAAAGTGCTGGGATTACAGGCGTGAGCCACCGCGCCCGGCCCTAAATATTATCTTAAAATTAAATATTAGCTGTTACTTTCACAAATTTTTCTAGTTTTTCACCACTATTTGAGACCAAAAAAAGGCTAGAGGGTATAGAATCTGGGAAATGTCTCTCCCTCAGGTAGGATAGAGTTCCGTTTTTTTGTTTTTTTGCTTTTTTCTGGAGTAGGCCTTTACTATAAAAAATGCTCTGAGCTTATTTCACAATGGTTACTTTTCCCCTCTCCTGCCAGAGTCATGAAGGAATTTATTTTGACTCTTTACCTTGAGAACCTGGTGAGATTTCTAGAGGAAACCAGGGAAATGTGATACCCCAGGAGTTTCTTACTCTCAGGCTGGTCCGCTCAGCTTCCTCAATTTGTCAAATTTCCCATTTAAGTCTCCCTACCAGATTATGGCTCCAGTGGGTTCTGCTTCAGGTAATAGAGCATCTTTCACTTTCTGTATTCACCTAACTCTCCAGCTTTTGGGGTGACAATTTTTGCCCTGTAAACTTCACGAAAAATTAGTCAAAGAAAGTTGGTGCTTTCATTTTGTTCAACCTTTTTCTTGTTTTAAGAATGGGGATGATGACTCGCATGTTGGACCTAAAGCAAAAAGTGCCTAATTTTCACTTATTTTGTTCAAGAACTATAAAACATTTGACAAAGTCGATCACATTTCCCTTTTGAAATTCTTTTCTCTTCTGTCTTCTCTGTCATCATTTATTGCAGCTTTCTCCCTCCTTCACATCAGTCCGTTATCAGTATTGCTTTTTCACTTTAGTCTGATTTTTCCATGATAGAATCCCTTGTTGTTCTTAGATTCTGTTACTATCACCCTATAATCTTACAGTGCTTAGCTTTAGCATTATGGATGTGATGCAAAGAGATTAAAATCTATATGGTCATCTCAGATATGATCGCAATATTTTTGTTTTTAATTGTGTTTTGGACTCCTGCTAACGGTGGTACCAAAGACTTTTCAGAAAAAAGATGTCAAAAATTGAACTTACAATTGTATTCCAATTTCTATTTATCTTTCTTCATCTCCCATTTTAGTGGATACCACAACCATTCATCAAACAACCAAATGGTTAAACTTGAATCCTCAATCTCTCTCCAGTGATATTAATTTAAACTCATTCACATTTTGTATAACTCTGCCATATCTACTGGCATAGATTTTGTTCAGTACTTCATTATTTCTGTTATTTCTTACCCAGACTATGATAATAGATTCTAAATAATCTCTTTGTCCATTCAACATCTGTACTTCCATAATGCTATCAAATTCAGTTTCAAACATAATCTGACTGTTATTCTTCTGCCTAAATCTTTCAATGGCTTTGACGACTTTAACATAAAGGGAACATTCTTAAACATGGTATCAGGGCCCTTAAGTTTTCTTGCTGGCCTAACTCCCTAGTCCTACCTCATGCCATTTTTCTAAATATATGATTTAGTCCTTTTGAACCACTTGCAATTTACCCATTTACACCATATTTTAACATATTTTTCTCCTTGTCTTTAATGCTGTTCTCTTACTTTTTCTTTAATGACTTCACCTGAATGTTTAAGACCAAGTGCAAGCATCACCTCCTCTTTGTATATATTCGTCTATCCTTTCCCCACATTGTTCTTCCTGCCACACCCATCCTACCTTAGTGAGCCTTCTTTGTGCTCTGTTTTAGAACTTTCAGACGTAGCATGAAATAATATGGTATCCTGGATTGGATCCTGAAACAGAAAAAAGAAAAGAAATGCTAAAATTCAAAAAAAGTTTGGAGTTTAGTTAATAGCAATGTACCAATGTGTGTTTCCTGGTTTTGACAAATGTACCATGGAAACATAAGATAGTAACATAAGGAGATTTCATACCTAAAACTGGTGAGCAATATATGGGAACTGTCTGTACTATCTTTGTATTATCTAAATGTATTTCAAAACAAAATATTTATTTAAAATATTCACAGAAAAAAAAACTGCATTTACATCTCTCATAGCAATTACCATACTACTTGAATCACCTGGGGTATGCTACTGAACTTATTTCTCTAGCCTGTTTACTTTTCTATAAAACCAGATTAAAAATAGCAAATGTACCCATAAAAAGGTATCTATAATACTTTTGTGACTATTAAATCAGAGCAGCCATGTGAGAGACTTAGCACAGTGTCTTGCACCTAGTAGGCCCTTGTTTATCATTAACTATTACTATTACTATTAAAGAAATAATTGATTTTTCATATCTGTCAGTTCCAGTAGACTTTGAGCTGCTTATTTGGCTGGTATGGTATCTGTCCAACAGAAAATACTCAGTAAATATTTGTGGAACAAATATTGAATGAAAGTATACATTTTAATATTTTTCCTCTTTTCCTAGATATGCTTCTCATAACATGACAGAAATAAATGCCCTGCCAGTTGGTTTACCTCAGTGATCAGAATTCACTATAATATCACCGTTGCTTGCTCTCTTACTGAACTTTTCTCCACCTCAGACCTTGAAAGAAACTGCATTTCATCTATCATCCTAGAATTCATGCCCTCTATTTATTCCACTGCACAAAGGAAATCTAAACGACAGAGTATATTTTTTCAGCCAACACATCTTTCAAAAGTCAAAACTCTCCTTCTATTGAATTTCTAGCTTTATGCTCAATCGGAATTCACAATTTTCCCCTACATAGAGTTGTTTTTTTTTTTAACGTGTTGGACAGTCTTCAAAATTAAAATGGATAAGTTGTAGCTATGAAGTATCTAGATAATCTGCAGTTATAAAATTTGCAAAGCAGAAAAAAAATTAACCATTCAGAATTAATTTAATAAAGTCATTGAATATCAAGTTAAAAAGAAATTTAAATTACATATAATCTGTTAAATTACTTACCTAAGGCACACAAGCAATTACTGCTTTCAAAGGCATTATTTCTTTTATTGTTCTGAATTCCCCCTATCATTATGGATGATGGAGACTATATTATATTTATTTTATTTTGTGTTTATTTTTAAGATACCAGCATAACCATCATTTCTCCTGGAAAGTTTTCACACACACCTGCACATCTCCATGGGTACACAGATACACACACACACACACACCAAACAGGCACACACACACACAAGACTTGATCTCCTTCTATGTCCTCCCACCCATGATGCCGCTGTCACTCCCCATCAAGGCATTTATTACACTTATTTCAATTTCAAGTTTGTTTGTCTTACCTGCTAGACTTTGAACTCCGTGGTCAGATAACCATGTCTATCTGGTTTTTCATTGTATTTCTAGTTCTAAACACAAGGACAATTGCTAAATTCAACACTGGAGTGAATGAAAAATTTTTAAATATTGGCAAAGCTGAATACCTGTCCCCAAATATGTATTATTTTTAAGTTAAGTTCAACTTGATTTTATAAAAATGGGTATTTGTATTTTTTATCATATATTACATGATCTCAAAAACAAGTATGCACAAAAACATCCAAAATTTGCTATTCCACCCTTATTTCCAACCTCTCTTATTTTAATTCATCTCAGACATTTGGTCCAGATTGCAGAAAAATGTTTGGCATAGACCTTTTCTTTCACTGAGGTAATTCTACGAACTGGTAAGGTAAAAAGATACTATCATTTGAAAAATTGCTGTAACAAAGATAAGCTACTTCCTTTTTTATTTCCAACCAGTGAACCCAAATTTAGACATAATTTACTTGCCGAATATATTTTATCCCTAAGAATTATAAGAAAGTGAAGAAACTGCTTCTTTGAATAAATTTATAAATAAAATAAAATCCTTTAAAACAGGAAAATCTTCCAAAATTTATCCAGTGAGTGACACTATGTTATTATATAGTATTTTGCACTAGAAATACTGTGATTGTGACAGGTTTTTCATATATGCAAGGATGGGAGAAATGCCATTCTGAAGTATTCATGCTGAATATGCTTTGTATGACTGCAGATTCTTCCAAAGCTTGCTATGAGTTCTGACTTATTCTGGTTTTGACTACTTCATTACCTTCATATATTGGCCAAAATCTTCAACCATATCCCTAAAATCAACCTCCAGTACAGCCTGATATTTGCATATAAACCATAGACATTAAAATGCTGGTAGTATCATAAAAGAAACATTTCTTTCTACTCAATAGCAGTGATGACAAGATAAAACCCTAGAGCACCTGTATATTTTTCTCCAAGCTAAATATAACCCCAATATGTTGAGAGGATGAATTGGTCTTGATTTCCCTCAGCATTCTGACACCTTTCTACAAGTATTTATAATACTGCCAGTAATTATTCATATATAGACTGAGTTCCCTTCTGGATTAGATGTCTTTGCATGTAGAGTTTATATCTAATCTGCCTACACGTTTCCAGCTTCTAGAACAATGCTCAAAACAAAGGAAGTTTTCAATAAATGCTTCTTGAATGAGTATCTATTGTAATCCCAATAATGACTCCTAACTACTATACTAATTTTGTAACAATAATGTACCATAATTACTTCAGCTTTTGATTAACTGTAACTCACAATGTATCATTTCTGTTTGATCAATTACCTTTCATCTTCGCTTTTTGTCAGGGCCTTTCTTCTTGAACAGCCTACTCTTCATGTGTTGCCATTCTCCTGCTATAAGATAATTAGGCGGATGAAACCAAGACTAGATCATTGGATCAGATAAGTCCAGTGCTGGTTTTTAGGATATATGGTGAAAATAATTTCATAATAAAATAAAAATTCGTCCCTAAATGAGTAATACAAATTTTTCTGACAATCTTTATAAATCATCGAAGGAAAAAAAGGGCAAAAATTCCTTAAGCAGAAAAGGGGTAAATACACTAAGCCAATCAAGATTGAAGAATTCTTTTTTTTCTAATCTTGAAAAAAAAATCACTCTCTACCCCAAGGTAATTTGTATGTTACTTTTATTTGCTTTTTTTCTCCATAACTGTAAGTTGCTAAGGTCCCTTTTGGTCACCAAGAAGAAGCAAATGCTGTCCTTTCACTATAAATCTCCTTGGAACAGATTAGGGAACAAAAAAGGTAATAATCCTTGCACTCTTAGAAGTGATATGCTAGTGAGAAAAGAAACAAACAAGAAAGACTAAGAATAATTTATACGGTAGAATAGTAAAATAAATTTTGGGGTGCCTGAAGATTATACAATTTTGGAAAACCTCTTTAAGAAAAATAATTCAAACTGGTGGCTCTTCCTCTTCTGTTTCTTATCCTCTTACCTGCCTTTCCTAAACAATTTTGTCTAAATCATTAGGTGGAGCTGAGCAAGGTAAAAGATTATGCACAAGAAGAGTAGAGTAGGAAGAAAGGTAATAGTAATACTCAAAAGCAATGAGCACATCTAGTGCAGAGACATTAGTTTCTAAATATTTTTTTCCACAATAAGGAGTCAGGGCTCCATAAAGAAATGGAGGCTGGGAGCGGTGGCTCATGCCTGTAATCCCAGCACTTTGGGAGGCCAAGAAGTGTGGATCACCTGAGGCCAGGAGTTCAAGACCAGCCTGGCCAACATAGCAAAACGCTGTCTCTACTAAAAATACATTAAAATTAGCCAGGCATGGTGGCACGCACCTGTAGTCCCAGCTACTTGGGAGAGTGAGGCAGGAGAATAGCTTGAACCTGGGAGGCAGAGGTTGCAGTGAGCTGAGACCATGCAACTCCACTCCAGCCTGAGCTGACTCTGTCTCAAAAAAAAAAAAAAAGAAAAGAAAAAGAAAGAAAGAAATGGATAATTCTAAGCTAATAAGGCAGGGAAAAAATAGAAAATGAGCCTGGAATATCTCATTGTACAAGAAACTAAACAAGTGCTCAAAGAATAATGAGGACAAGAAAGATGAAAAGAAGCCAGTGAAACGTGGCTCTCACTGGCCAGATATTGGGCAATTCAAGCACCAAAACAAATAATAATAATATAGGAATATAACCCATTATATGAAAAAGCATGAGTCCATATAGCTTAAACAAATTAATTGAAATATTGATGAGGAATGGGTCTTAAATTATCTCTTCAAAAATATTTATTCATTACTAAGAGAAAAGATTAACTTTACATGAAGGACCCTGGTAGACACTATCTTAAGTAATCAACATTAATATCATCAGTAATGAGACAAAATACAATTGTGCCTGCATGATAGTACCCAATGAGAATAAGGTCACTACTGTGACATTGCTGTCAAGGCCTCTTAGTCACAATGGAATTACAAAGAAACCTCAGACAAATGTAACTTGAGTAACATTCTACAAAATGGATGCTCTGTGATTTTCAAAAGTGCCAAGATTCTTAAATTAAAATTATAAAAACCAAAAGATGAGCAATTATTACAGATGGAAGGAGATTGAAAGACATATGATAAATAAATGAAACAAAATCCTAAACTAGATCCTTTTGCTGTCAAAGTCGTTATTGGGATAATGGGTAAAATAAGGGAAGTTTGAAGATTAGATGGTAGTAATGCATTGATGTTAATTTCTGATTTTGACCATTGCATCATGACTATGTAGGAAAATGTTTTCTTATGTAAGAAATACATATGAAAGTATTTGAGGATAATGTAGCATAATGTCAATAACTCAAAGGATTCAGGAAAAATAAGTTATTTGTGCACTACTTGCAACTTTGCATATATCTGAGTTTTTTAAAACAGGAAATTTTAGAAAAATTTAAAAACACAAAAGTAGTTATGAAAGAGAAAATTTAGAAACTAAAAGTAATCAAAGATACTGTAATAAAAACTAGAATGGTTTCATAATTAACTGTCTAATATATCTCAAATTAACTGTCTAATATATCTCTGTAACACTTTTTTTCTACATGTTTTACCTTTATATACTTTTACTGTCCCATTACCTAACAATCTTTATGTAATTTTCTATGAGAGGATAGACATATCAATCTTTCTTCCAATAAAGTAGATCTTTTTTAAAAAAAATAGTTGAGAAGAAGAAATCGATTTTAGTTTGAGCTTTTTAAATTATACTTTAAGTTATAGGATACATGTGCACAACGTGCACATTTGTTACATAGGTATACATATGCCATGTTGGTTTGCTGCACCCACCAACTCATCATTTACATTAAGTATTTCTCCTAATGCTATCCCTCCCCCAGACCCCCACTCCCTGAGAGGCCATGGTGTGTGATGTTCCCTGCCCTGTGTCCAAGTGTCCTCATTGTTCAGTTCCCACCTATGAGTGAGAACATGCGGTGTTTGGTTTTCTGTCCTTGTGATAGTTTGCTGAGAATGATGGTTTCCAGCTTCATCCATGTCCCTGCAAAGGACATGAACTCATCCTTTTTTATGGCTGCATAGTATTCCATGGTGTATATGTGCCACATTTTCTTAATCCAGACTATTATTGATGGACATTTGGGTTGGTTCCAAGTCTTTGCTATTGTGAATAGTGCTGCAATACACATACATGTGCATATGTCTTTATATTAACATGATTTATAATCCTTTGGGTATATACCCAGTAACGGGATGGCTGGGTCAAATGGTATTTCTAGCTCTAGATCCTTGAGGAATCACCACACTATCTTCCACAGTGGTTGAACTAATTTACACTCCCACCTACAGTGTAAAAGCATTCCTATTTCTCCACATCCTCTCCAGCACCTGTTGTTTCCTGACTTGTTAATGATTGCCATTCTAACTGGCATGAGATGGTATCTCATTGTGGTTTTGATTTGCATTTCTCTGATGGCCAGTGATGATGAGCATTTTTTCATGTGTCTGTTGGCTGCACAAATGTCTTCTTTCGAGAAGTGTCTGTTTATATCCTTTGCTCACTTTTCGATGGGGTTGTTTTTTTCTTGTAAATTTGTTTAAGTTCTTTGTAGATTTTGGTATTAGCCCTTTGTCAGATGGGTAGATTGCAAAAATTTTCTCCCATTCTGTAGGTTGCCTATTCACTCTGACAGTAGTTTCTTTTGCAGTGCAGAAGCTCTTTAGTTTCATTAGATCCCATTTGTCTATTTTGGCTTTTGTTGTCACTGCTTTTGGTGTTTTAGTCATAAATTCCTTGCCCATTCCTATGTCCTGAATGGTATTGCCTAGCTTTTCTTCCAGGGTTTTTATGGTTTTAGGTCTAACATTTAAGTCTTTAATCTATCTTGAATTAATTTTTTTGTAAGGTGTAAGGAAGGGATCCAGTTTCAGCTTTCTACATATAGCTAGCCAGTTTTCCTAGCACCATTTATTAAATAGGGAATCCTTTTGCCATTTCTTGTTTTTGTCAGGTTTGTCAAAGATCAGATGGTTGTAGTTGTGTAGTGTTATTTCTGAGGCCTCTGTTCTGTTCCATTAGTCTATATATCTGTTTTGGTACCAGTACCATGCTGTTTTGGTTACTGTAGCTTTGTAGTATAGTTTGAAGTCAGGTAGCGTGATGCTTCCAGCTCTGTTCTTTTTGCTTAGGATTGTCTTGGAAATGTGGGCTCTTTTTTGGTTCCATATGAACTTTAAAGTAGTTTTTTCCAATTCTGTGAAGAGAGTGATTGGTAGATTGATGGGGATGGCATGGAATCTATAAATTACCTTGGGCAGTATGGTCATTTTCATTTTCACGATATTGATTCTTCCTATCCATGAGCATGGAATGTTCTTCCATTTGTTTGTGTCCTCTTTTATTTCGTTGAGCAGTGGTTTGTAGTTCTCCTTGAAGAGGTCCTTCACCTCCCTGGTAAGTTGGATTCCTAGTATTTTATTCTCTTTCTAGCAATTGTGAATGGGAGTTCACTCATGATTTGGCTCTCTGTTTGTCTGTTATTGGTGTATAGGAATGCTTGTGATTTTTGCACATTGATTTTGTGTCCTGAGACTTTGCTGAAGTTGCTTATCAGCTTAAGGAGATTTGGGGCTGAGACAATGGGGGTTTTCTAAATATACAATCATGTCATCTGCAAACAGGGACAATTTGACTTCCTCTTTTCCTAATTGAATACCCTTTTTTTCCTTCTCCTGCCTGATTGCCCTGGCCAGAACTTCCAATACTATGTTGAATAGGAGTGGTGAGAGAGGGCATCCCTGTCTTGTGCCAGTTTTCAAAAGGAATACTTCCAGTTTTTGCCCATTCAGTATGATATTGGCTGTGGGTTTGTCATAAATAGCTGTTATTACTTTGAGATACATTCCATCGATACCTTGTTTATTGAGAGTTTTTAGCATGAAGGGTTGTTGAATTTTGTCGAAGGCCTTTTCTGCATCAATGGAGATAATCATGTGGTTTTTGTCATTGGTTCTGTTTATGTGACGGATTACGTGTATTGATTTGCATATGTTGAACCAGTCTTGCATCCCAGGGATGAAGCCAACCTGATTTTGGTGGATAAGCTTTTTGATGTGCTGCTGGATTCAGTTTGCCAGGATTTTATTGAGGATTTTCGCATCAATGTTCATCAGGGCTTTTGGTCTAAAATTCTCTTTTTTGTTGGGTCTCTGCCAGGCTTTGGTATCAGGATGATGCTGGCCTCATAAAATGAGTTAGGGAGGATTCCTTCTTTTTCTATTGACTGGAATAGTTTCAGAAGGAACGGTACCAGCTCCTCCTTCTTACCTCTAGTAGAATTCAGCTGTGAATCCATCTGGATAAATTCCTGGACACTTACACCCTCCCAAGACTAAACCAAGAAGAAGCTGAATCTCTGAATAGACCAATAACAGGCTCTGAAATTGAGGCAATAATTAATAGCCTACCAACCAAAAAAAGTCCAGGAATTTATCCTAGATTTTCTTCTAGATTTTCCAGTTTATTTGCATAGAGGTGTTTATAGTATTCTCTGATGGTAGTTTGTATTTCTGTGGGATCGGTGGTGATATCCCCTTTATCATTTTTTATTGTGTCTATTTGATTCTCCTCTGTTTTCTTCTTTATTAGTCTTGCTAGCAGTCTATCAATTTTGTTGATCTTTTCAGAAAACCAGCTCCTGGATTCATTGATTTTTTGAAAGGTTTTTTTGTCTGTCTCCTTCAGTTCTTCTCTGATCTTTGTTATTTCTTGCCTTCTGCTAGCTTTTGAATGTGTTTGCTCTTGCTTGTCTAGTTCTTTTAATTGTGATGTTAGGGTGTCAATTTTAGATCTTTCCTGCTTTCTCTTGTGGGCATTTAGTGCTATAAATTTTCCTCTACACACTGCTTTTAATGTGTCCCAGAGATTCTCGTACATTGTGTCTTTGTTCACACTGGTTTCAAACAACATCTTTATTTCTGCCTTCATTTCATTATTTACCCAGTAGCCATTCAGGAGAAGGTTGTTCAATTTCCATGTAGTTTTGCAGTTTTGAGTGAGTTTCTTAATCCAGAATTCTAATTTGATTGCACTGTTGTCTGAAAGACAGTTTGTTGTGATTTCTTTTCTTTTACATTTGCTGAGGTGTGCTTTACTGCCAATTTTGTGTTCTATTTTAGAATAAGTGTGATGTGGTGCTGAGAAGAATGTATATTCTGTTGATTTAGGGTGGAGAGTTCTGTCAATGTCTATTAGGTCTGCTTGGTGCAGAGCTGAGTTCAAGTCCTGGATATCCTTGTTAACCTTCTGTCTCAATCTGTCTAATATTGACAGTGGGGTGTTAAAGTCTCCCATTATTATTGTGTGGGAGTCTAAGTCTCTTTGTAGTTTCTAAGGACTTGCTTTTTGAATCTGGGTGCTCCTGTATTGGGTGCATATATATTTAGGATAGCTAGCTCTTCTTGTTGAATTGATCCCTTTACCATTATGAAATGGCCTTCTTTGTCTCTTTTGATCTTTGTTGGTTTAAAGTCTGTTTTATAACAGAGACTAGGATTGCAACTCCTGCTTTTTTTTTGCTTTCTATTTGCTTGGTAGATCTTCCTCTATCCCTTTATTTTGAGCCTATGTGTGTCTCTGCACATGAGATGGGTCTCCTGAATACAGCACACTGATGGGTCTTGACTCTTTATCCAATTTGCCAGTCTGTATCTTTTAATTGGGGCATTTAGCCCATTTACATTTAAGGTTAATATTGTTATGTGTGAATTTGATCCTGTCATTATGATGTTCGCTGTTTATTTTGCCCATTAATTGATGCAGTTTCTTCATAGCATTGGTGGCCTTTACAATTTGCAATGTTTTTGCAGTGGCTGATACCAGTTGTTCCTTTCCATGTTTAGTGCTTACTTCAGGAGCTCTTGTAAGGCAGGCCTGGTGGTAAAAAAATCTCTCAGCATTTGCTTGTCTGTAAAGGATTTTATTTCTCTTTCACTTATGAAGCTTAGTTTGGCTGGATATGAAATTCTGGGTTGAAACTTCTCTTCTTTAAGAATGTTGAAATTGGCCCCCACTCTCTTCTGGCTTGTAGAGTTTCTGCTGAGAGATCCGCCATTAGTCTGATGGGCTTCCTTTTGTGGGTAACTCGACCTTTCTCTCTGGCTGCTCTTTACATTTTTTCCTTCATTTCTACCTTAGTGAATCTGATAATTATGTGTCTTGGGTTGCTCTTCTCGAGGAGTACCTTCGTGGTGTTCTCTGTGTTTCCTGAATTTGAATGTTGGCCTGCCTTGCTAGGTTGGGGAAGTTCCCCTGGATGATATCCTGAAGACTGTTTTTCAACTTGGTTCCATTCTCCCCATTGCTTTCAGGTACACCAATCAAACGTAGATTTTGTCTTTTCACATAGTCCCATATTTCTTGGAGGCTTTGTTTGTTTCTTTTTACCCTTTTTTTTTCTAAACTTGTCTTCTCACTTTATTTCATTAATTTGATATTCAATCACTGATACTCTTTCTTCCACTTGATCAAATCAGCTATTGAAGCTTGTGCATGCATCATGAAGTTCTCTTGCCATGGTTTTCAGCTCCATCAGGTCATTTAAGGTCTTCTCTACACTGTTTATTCTAGTTAGCCATTCATCTAACCTTTTTTCAAGGTTTTTAGCTTCCTTGTAATGGGTTAGAACATGCTTCTTTAGCTAGGAGAAGTTTGGTATTACCAACCTTCTGAAGCCTACTTCTGTCAACTCATCAAAGTCATTCTCCCTCTAGCTTTGTTCCTTTGCTGGCAAGGAGCTGTGATCCTTTGGAGGAGAAGAGGCACTCTGGTTTTTAGAATTTTCAGCTTTTCTGCTCTGGTTTCTCCCCATCTTTGTGGTTTTATCTACCTTTGATCTTTGATGCTGGTGACCTACAGATGGGGTTTTGGTGTAGATGTCCTTTTCATTGATGTTGATGCTATTCCTTTCTGTTTGTTAGTTTTCCTTCTAATAGTCAGGTCCCTCAGCTGCAGATCTGTTGGAGTTTGCTGGAGGTCCACTCCATACCCTGTTTGCATGGGTATCACCAGTGGTGGCTGCAGAACAGCAAATATTGCAGAACAGCAAATATTGCTGCCTGATCCTTCCTCTGGAAGCTTCATCCCAGAGGGGCACCCACCTGTATGAGGTGTCTGTCGGCCCCTACTGGGAGGTGTCTCCCAGTTAGGCTACACAGGGGTCAGGGACCCAATTGAGGAGCCAGTCTGTCTGTTCTCAGAGCTCAGACGCCATGCTGGGAGAACCACTGCTCTCTTCAGAGCTGTCAGACAGGGACGTTTAAGTCTGCAGAAGTTTCTGCTGCCTTTTGTTCAGGTATGCCCTGCCCACAGAGGTGGTGTCTATAGAGGCAGTAGGCCTTGTTGAGCTGCAGTGGGCTCTGCCCCAGTTCAAGCTTCCCGGCCACTTTGTTTACCTACTCAAGCCTCAGCAATGGTGGATGCCCCTCCCCTAGACAGGCTGCAGCCTTGCTGGTAAATCTCAGACTTCTGCAGTAGCAGTGAGCAAGGCTCTGTGGGCATTGGACCTGCCGAACCAGGCATGGGAGAAAATCTCCTGGTCTGCCAGTTGCTAAGACTGTGGGAAAAGTGCAGTATTTGGGCGTGAGTGTCCCATTCTTCCAGGTAGTCTGTCACAGCTTCCCTTGGCTAGGAAAGGGAAATCCCTTGACCCCTTGCATTTCTCAGGTGAGGCAATGCCCCGCCCTGCTTTGGCTTGCCCTCCGTGGGCTGCACCCACTGTCCAACCAGTCCCAGTGAAATGAACCAGGTACCTCAGTTGTAAATGCAGAAATCACCTGTCTTCTGCATCGATCACGCTGGGAGCTGCAGACTGGAGCTGTTCCTATTCAGCCATCTTGGAATGGAAACCTAGTTTGAGTTTCTTACAGCATCAAAAGTTGTGGATAACTAGCACTCATTGTGAAAAACTAGAATTATTTTATATTTTAAAGTTACAAGTTTTCTTTTCTGGAGTAAATTCTTGGCTTTCTATTACATTTGCATTTTGGTATGATGAATAATTTTGAAAAAGTCACATACAAATTTAACCTGAAATTAACACATACACAGGCAATTTAAGTGCATTTTGAAATTGCTTCTACATTCTAATAACTGCAGATTGTATAATCAAGTTACTCCTTTTTCACATTGACTCACTAATTGGTATACATTAGATTTTGGTCACTAGAAATCATTTATCTTTAGGCCAGTTTACTATGTGGGTGGCATTCTAGAAATCCACTCTGTTCGGGACAATTAGACTTCAACAAGACAAAATATGTCACTTGCTAAAATACAATCTCATACGTTGGGGTACATTCAACACACATATTCTCATGCAAATGTATGACTCTTTCTAGTCTCACTACAGATCTGTGCACTAAAGCACAGAGATTAGTCAACTCTATTTTGTGTAATTCCCAACAGTAAAAAAGTATGGTGTATCTATAATTGCTTTACTGGATATACTTCTATAATTCTGGGAAAACAACTCTTCATTTTTTCCTAGGTATTCAGGAGAAACAAAGACATTTAATTATAATTTTACCTACCTAATGATGGGAATAATTTCTAACAGATCAATTTCTTGCTCTGTGCTTTTAAATATTGCTTTTCTCTCACTGCTAACATGCCCCCAGTGCCAGTTGCTGAAGGGAACATTCACTTCATAGAATAACTTGTGAACTCGCACCTTTGACTTACAATGATGAGTAGATGGGCACAATCACTGGTAGCAGTATACTGGGGGGCTAGTCATACACCAGGGTGTGTAGCAATAACATAACTTAAATGAAATTGACTGTTTAAGCTAATTAATTGTATCCTATTAATCCCAAACTACATGTACCCAACTCAACTTCCTCTTGGCCTGATTCTCCCAATCCCAGAGACATTCTGGCACTACTTGAAATTAGGATGAGTTTGATGGAAGGGAAATATTTAAGAAATGTCTTTATTGCTCCCCCCAATAAATAAATAACCAAACAAATTAGATCTTAAGATAGAATAAAGGGAAGGCAGAATGAATGCTGTGGTTTGAGTTATTACCCAGAATCCTTGTGTTGAAAATTTGGTCATTGGTGTGGTGGTGCTGGGAGACAAGGCCTTTAAAAGGTGATTAGGTGGTTACAAGGAATGAATGCTACTCTTAGGAGATTGGGTTAGTTCTGGTGGGAGTGAGTTCTCATTCTCTCAGGACTGGATTAACTACCTCATTGGTGCCCCTTTCGCATCTGCCTGCTTTCTCTTCTCCTCTGCCATGTTATGATGTAATTCAAACCCTCACCAGAGGCTACAGCCATACTCTTAAGACTGCCCAGTTTCCACAACCATGAGCCAAATAAACTTGTTTCTTTTATAAATACACAGTCTCATGTATTCTGTTACAGCAAGGTAAGCAAAATAAGGTAGTGGAGATAATAACAGACTATCAGAAATGATAATATATGTGGTTTTGAAAAAAAGATGTATATAATAGAAGAAACAAAGGATTAATAAAACAGTGGAAATATCCTTCAAGGGAAATGTTAGTTCCAGAAGCACACATCTATACTCTCTTAGTAAGACATAGGATTTAAAAAATAGGGTTAAGAGTTCTGCGAGAAGGGGAGATACTGGAGATGTTCTACTAAAATTTTGGAAAACATATAATTCTATCTTTATACAAACTCTCTCAGAGAAAAGAAAAATGGGGAATAATCACCAAATGATTTTATGCATGAACATGGAATCAAAAATTTTAAACCAGTTTTGGCAAAAGTATCTATTGATTTATTTTAAAAATACATCATGACTAAGATTTGTCCAATGAATACAAAATGTTTTAGAGATAAGAATATCGACACAATTGACCACATTAGCAGATTAAAGCAGAAAAATATCTCAATAGATATTTTCAATTTATTTGTTTTAAAAATCAAAACCTATTCATAATTAGTCTTAGAAAATGAGATACAGAAACAAAAGTGAATCTGATAAAGACTATCCAAAATCAATGGCTAAAATACATGTAAAGAAGAGTTCTCAGAAACATTGCTTTTAAAATCAGGATCAAAACAGACATCATCACTACATAATCCAGCATTGGCTATGAGACTCTTGCTGGTACAAGATTGTATTAATAAGAAATTAGGGAAAAAGTAATAAACTGCCATTACTTGAGGATGGCAACAGAAAAACAACAAGAATTAATACTAGTTGAATAACACTGGTGAATAGAAGATCAATTTATAATTTCTATTCCAAAGCAATAAGTGTCATAAAGGATATCATTTGCAATAGCACAAAAATAGGGCATATTGAAGACATTTAGTTGAAATATAGAGAAAAAGTAAAAAGTTTTATTGAAAGACAAAAATCTATAAGCTGAAAAGTAAACTATACTCATGGGTAAGAAGATCAAGTTTAAAAAAAAAAAGAAAAAAGTAAAAAGTCAGCTTTTCCTAAATCTATCCATTCATTGTAATTTTTACTAAATTCTAAGTAAGATTTTGATTAGTAATTGACAAGTTAATGTTTAAAATTATGTATATAATTTAAATTTTTCTGATAACCCATGAGATGATTTCAACACTTATTTGAACCAAGATTGCAAAGTTAGTAAAGAAATAAATAAAGAGAACAATATTACAAAACGGAGTACTCTGAAAGTGAATCACATATGACAGGATTTGAAAATTTAGATTAATTATTCAATAAATGATTCTGGGACAAACGGTTATTCATAATGAAAAAATAAAAGTCACATTTCATATCATGTACAAAAATCAATTGAGGTAAAACAAATTTTTTAAAGTACAACTTTAAAACTTTTGGAGGATATTAAAGAAAATATATTTATAACATTGTGATATGTTAGAATTTTTAATCAACTCCCCCAAAACAAAAATCATAAAGAAAAAGATGGACAAATTTGTCTACAATAAAAATAAAAATTGCTATACATCAAAAGGCACTAAAACATGAAAACACAATCTACAGACCAAAATAGATTGGTATGCAATATAGAAATTAATACAAGCAAATATAAAAGAAAATGATTGAAGATAGGGCAGTTGATACATAGAGCAATTCACCAAAGATGAAACCTACAAAACCAATTAATGTTGAACAGATGCTCAACCATCTTGATAATCATGAAAAGACAAATTGACATAGCAAGATATTACATATGCAATCATAATGACAACATTTTAAACATCAGACAATACCAAGAGATGGTGGATGGTGAGTACATACAAAAATTTACACAGTTGGTAGTGGTGTACTGTATTAGTTTGAGCTGCCATGACAAAAATACCATAGCCTGGGTAGCTTAAATAATGGATGTTTATTTTGCATAGTTCTGGAGGCTAAGAAGTCTAAGATCAAGGTGCCAGCTGATTTAGGTCCTATGAAGACATTCTTCATGACTTTCAGAAGGCTACCTTTTTGCTGTGTCCTCACATAGTGTGGAGAGAGCTCTAGTTTATCTTTTTACAAGGGCACTAATCCCATCATGAGCTTCAACGTGTCAATTTTGCAGGATCACAATTAAATCCATAGTGTGTACATATGTTTAGCCAGTTAGCGAGCAATTTGACAATATCTAGTAAAGTTGAAAAAACGCATCCATCAACCTAGCAGTTTAATCCTAGAGAAAATCTCACACATATGCACAAGGAGACAAAAAAGCATTATTTGAAACAAGGAAAAATAACAGAAGTTAACATAAATTGCCAGTAAGAGTTAAAAGGAAAAATAAACCCTGGGATATTCAAACAATGGAATACTCTTTATCAGTGATACCTACGGGTAAATATAGGATTGTTGTGGTAAGCCACCAACTTTTAAATGATTTGTTCCATTTCTAACTAGACACAGTATTAAAGTCAGCTCTCTATAATTTCTAATTTTATTACATTTTAACTACATAATTATGTCCATAAGCCATACTCAGAAGTGCTATTTTTTTGTTGTTGAATTACTGAGCTACTACAAATTCGTTTTGTAGAGATGCCCATATTCAAGTGCTGAATGGGCAGCATTGTGTGAATGCGCACTTTGTATCAGCTCCTGTAAGCTCATCAAGAACTGTGATGAGTCTATGAGTAACACTGAATGTGATTCTTAATTATTTAATCATTTATAACATTATTAACAGCTTATGTGGCTTTCTCTGGCTAGAAGAAAGTACAGTTATGCTTGATGGCTTAGATGATAGATGGAGTGCTCTCCCCTCAAAACCCATCACCACACACAGGCACACATAGATACGCACACATGCTTCATTGCTAATGAACCAAAAAAATATTAATAGTAAATCCACTAATAAGTATGCAACACTTAGAAGATCAAGAGGGAGCAGTTCAAGTAAGTATCTGAATGAAAAAGGGCTATTTTACCTGCATCTAGTTATCCTGCGTCTCCACCTGGTATGCCAACCTTAGCATATCAAGTAAGCAGAGGGCATTTTGAAGAGTAGAAGTCTTATTTTACACGCAAGAGTAAGGTAATTTTATATCTGCTCTAACACTAGATTAAGTAGTTACAGACTATTGTTAAGCTACTAAAATAATCATGAAGAAGAATGGATAGAAGAACAGATCCTTGCAACAAACCCATGTTAATTACCCTTGCAGCTGGGAGATCAATTTGCATA
Source organism: Homo sapiens (assembly GCF_000001405.40). Lineage (NCBI taxonomy): Eukaryota > Metazoa > Chordata > Mammalia > Primates > Hominidae > Homo > Homo sapiens. The sequence continues at coordinate 140,109,951 of NC_000006.12, read as the reverse complement.
GTCTTTGAAGCCTGTCAGGTATGAATTGAACCACTGAACTGCTACATTTGATAATCCAGGCCTTGAGCTTATTTTTTTTCCCCTGAAGATACTGTTTCAGCCTACCAGGCAGCTTTCTTTATATAAAAGTACTCATTTCTAATTAATTTTCTCCTATATTTAACACACACAGAGACACACATATACCCATTTATGTCCTTCAAAGAAATTAATAACAAAATATTATGAAAAACATGGGTATTTTAATTATATATATGAAAGAAGAAATATTTGGGGTACTGTAAGTTTTAGGTTTAGTTCTCAAAATCTGAGAACTCGAAGAATCTGAAGACATTTAAAGATTACAGTTGGCTAATAAAAATGAGACAGTATTCTAAATGGCTTTAACTGTGTTTACTCATTTAATATTCAGAACAGCCATATGAAGTAGGCAATATGGCTTTTCTTATTTTACCCAAAAGGGAAAATGAGGCACAGAGAACTATCATAAATTGACAAAGTCACTCAAGAAAATGGCAGGATCAGGATTTGAATGCAGATTACGTTATTCCCAGCACATTCTCTGATCTGCTTCACCCTGCCTCTTCAAAAAAGTCGGCTCTCCACTGTCTATCCTAAGAAATCTTCTAATTAATAGCATTAATTTAAACAGAAAAAAGTAGGGTTTCTTGGTATTTAGTGATGTTTAACATTGGAATAACTTGCCCATTTCTGGGCTTTGAAAATTAAAGAGCCAAGAGAGTTACAATAGGGAATAAACAATAAAAAAAAGCGAGGAAAAAACTCAAGTAATTGAATGGAATTCTCCTAAGGTTAATGATTTTTTTTTTAGAAAATTTAGCAAAAATAGGATTTGGCAAGAATTATTCAATCAAGTTAAAAAATTATTTGGAATGAATTATCATGAAAATGACAGTTAACTTAGAAAATGTTAATCTACATTCTTTCAGTAATATTTTGACATTAGGGCAAGTCCTCTTTGAGTATGAGTCTGCTGATTATGGTTCCAGTCATCTTTTTCGCATAATCAAATCTTGTCAAAAAAAATCTTAGTTATATGTGAATGCAAAATCTTCTAAAATTTGGCAAAATTATTTTTCATTGTTCGCAGTAGATCTAATCCCATAGAATTCCACTTACCTTTAGCAAACTTTTACAAAGCAGTCAGTTTAGTTTTCATCAAAATAACAAATATTTTCACATTGATATTTCTGTAATTTTATTCATATTCAATTGGATTTCATAATTATTAATATAAGAATATTGGCATGTTTGTGAAAAATATAAAGTAGATTAATATCTAGTAGATGCATACATATGGGGGGTAGGCATTAGAGTTGCTTACTAGCCACGAGTACCCAGTACTCTATAAGCATCAGTCAGCTCACGTGGTACAGAGGGAATGGAGCTCTCTGGAGACCCAGAAAACCCTATCAAGTGCAGATCAGGAGTTTCTTCAGTATTTGCAAAATCCTTCAAAAAATACTGGGTTAGTCTATTGTACATTTAGAATGATGTAACTGCATAATGTTCACACACTCATATCACTCTCTGTGTCATGAGGTTACCTCACTATGTATATTTGTCATGTAGTTCTATTTTCATGTTACAAGAACCTAATTCAGATTAGCTTATGTGTTAAGATGGATTCATTAATGCAAATAACCTAATGAGTAGGGCTAAAGTTCACCACATGGTACAGTGCACACAAGAATAGGCAAACATAAATCCAGCCCAGATAGGCAGGCTATAACTTAAAACATGGCTAAATTGGAATAATTAGGGAGAATTGTTACTAATTTACAGAAAATATAAAACAATGACTGATTACTCTCTCTTATGTCACCTAATCATACATTAATTTCTGTAATATGCATAATATTCCATTAAATTGTATAATTACAAATGCTTGAATGTTAGCATATTTGTTGTGGGAGAATCCAGCTGACTCTAGGTAATCATAGAATTTACCTGATTGAAATATACACGTGGAAAGAGGGATGAATAAGCATTAGAGAGTAGCCTACTTGCCAGAGCACCCATGCCCACCTGTGATCATACTAGAGGGGTTTCTCTACATGAACAGAATTCCAGTTCTGAGAATTTTGTCTTATATTCTTATAGTTGCAGCCAACTCAAATTCCAAGAATCTTAGAAAAAGATTTAATCATCCAATCTTGGGTTTGATATCCATCAGTAAGTCAATTACTGAAGTCACCTGAAAAAGTGACTAATTTGCTAATTATTTTGGAGTATTTATAAATATTTATAATAGATATACAGATGTGTAGGCAATAGCCTGGTAAGGGGGTAGGTTTTCCATGAGAAAAACTAAATCTCTGCCCACAACTGAAGTTCAAATGTGTAAAAATATATACAATAGATTTAGGGAGAGTCTAACATCCATGGGACCCTCAAGCCAGGTCACCATAAGTAAGATTAGGCTCTCATAGGATTGGATATTCATTCACCACAGGAAGAATTTGCTATTAAAAGGCTCAGTGTGATGCTATATTTAAAGCTACATAATTCTTGCCTGAGGCACTAATACAGACTAGGCTAACAAGATCTCTGTAGTAAAATGGAAAGAATTCTATAACTAGAAAATAAAATAAATCACAGTAAGGACTCAGGCTTGCCAGAAATGGCTATTGTCCTGTCTCTTTTCTTTCAGAATGTAGAATATTGAATTGATAATACACATCAGCCTTCTAACTTGGAATCTGATAAGGTGATTCTAATGTAACCCAGGTGAAACGTGTAAGAATTCAAGGAGAGTCTGAACAATGTACTGCAGAACACTTCCTGTAGAAGTATTGGCATGCAAACAGAAGAGGGGGAAACACATACACGGGGCAGAGGAAGACAGAGTGCTCAACAAGCACTGAATGAGGATATAATACACCAAATAATTTTCCAAAAATATTAATTATAGACTGCTAAAATTCAATAAGATATAGACCCCATGAAACAAGATATGAATGATGAAATGATAAAAATATGAGTTGAGATTAAAAATGAGATGTCTGGGCAGTGAAAAAGTCATAAGGGAAATAGACATTTCTTAAAAAAGAAAAAATGTATAATTACCTGAAGAGTTAATAAGTTTGATTTGACAATTTCTTTTTATTAAGCCTTATGTTCTAAGAGATCACCTTCTTGTAAAGCAGCTTTTGGAATATTTATAAAGACTAATCTCAGAATAAGGCACAAAGAAACCTACAAAACACACAGAAAGCAAACACAATGCCAACAATAATCTTTGTCCCAAGTACAATAAAATAGCAAAATAACAATAACAGAAACAATAGCAACAACAAAACAAAACCCAAAATGACAGGTTTTTTTTTTTAATATTCATATGAAATCCTAGGGTCAATAGGAAATCAAAACTATGTATAATTAAAAAGTATTATATGTCATATTTCCCACAACTCAAAATGTTTTCATTATTAAATGAGAAAAAGTAAAAATTATTTAATTACTTAAATTCAACTTAATAAATTCACAAAAGACATACAATCAGGAATTTAAAAAATATACAAGAAATTATCATGTTTAAATAATAAGGAAATGAATAAATACTTTGAAATAGCAGTAAAAGAGACAAAGTTACAAAGTTGAATGCATTAAGACTAATAGACAAAAATCTACATAGCAAAGGCTCACAAACAGAAACGGTGGGAACCAAGGTCTTGGTGAGAAAATCTGAACTGTAATTAAGAAACTGCTGGAGGCTCAGGGTGCACGGTTCTGAGACTTAAAACACTCCACCAGGAACTAGTCAAAGGGGGCCCCCACACACTTTTGTGTTTTACCTCCAGGGGCATGGGCAGGTTCTCAGAGTAAATATCACAGAAAAATTCCCTCGTGTTTCCAGCAGGGGGAGGGGAAAAGGAACCATTTTGAAATGTAGCAGAACATTCTGTTCTTAACAAAGCCTTCGCTTCACAAATCCTGTCCTCAGGAGACTCCAGCGAACCAGAGTCTAACCTGCTGGGGCGTTAACAGAGCCTGACTCACTTGGGGGAAGCGAAATACCCAAGTTCTGTCAGCTCTAACCTTCCACATGGGAAAAGGAAAATACCTAACTCCAACCCACCTGAGAGTAGGAAAAAACTGAGAAACAACTCGTGAAATTTACAGTCTAGAGGCCTAAGTTCACTAAAAGACTGAGACCTAATCATAGAACTGTAGAATATTTGTCTTACCCCCACGCTTCGCCACATTGGTAAAGACTACGTTCCAAGTAACTGACATTCAGGAAAAGTTTCATCAGTTGTAACAAATGTACCACTCTGGTGGGGGCTGTTGTTAAATTAAAGGGGGAGGCTGTGCACGTGTGGGGACAGGGGATACGCTGGAAATCTCTGCCCCTTCTTCTCAATTTTTCTGTGAACCTAAAACTGTTCTAAAAAATAAACACTTAAAAAAGTCAGACGACATGCATTTTAAAGTAAGAAATGCTGCCAATGCTAAGACAAATATTCCTGAGCACAGGAAACATGGAACAGTTTTGAATTAATTTTGTGAAGCTAACATTACTCAGGCTATGGCTATAGTGGAAAAAAAAAGACAAGAGCAAAAGGAAGGAAGGAAGGAAGGGAGAGAGGAAGGAAGGGAGAAAGGAAGACAGGGAGGGAGGGAGAGAGGGAAGGAAACATTTTTTCATTCTACCCTGATAGAAAAACTTTAAAAAGCAATAAAAAGAGTGTGAGTAAACAAGAATGATGTTTATCTGAAGCCCTAAGCTAATATTATGCATAATTGGGAAACACTGGAAGCATTCATTAAAGTGAGAAACAGCAACTATTACCAAAAGTACTAACACTTAGTATTTCTTTGGAAGTTCTCACCAAAGGAAAAAGAAAATAAAAATAAATATAAGATATAAACCACTATAAAGAAAAAAATTATTATGTTCAGATACTTTCTAATTATAAATCCAAAGAATCAAGTGAAAAGCATTTTAACAAATATAATTTTCCAATTTCATATGTTCTAACTGATGATTGCTGACATGTAAGAAACTGTTTTACATCCACATCCACATACACAAATAAACTTAGTAAGAAACAGGCAATAATCTATTGGAAAACCTTTTAAACAAAATTGCATAAAAGAAAACATGAGTCAACAGACAAAGGAAGCATGAGAAAATTTATTGGAGCATATCTGCCCTGTTTCTACCAAATCAATAGATACATTTAATTTATAAGGACATAAATATAAAGTCTATCAATCTAGAAGGAAAAAACCGGTAGACAGATTATTGAAAAAAATTTAACTTAAAGAAAAAATTAATAAAAAAGTTATTGTTCTTTTGCATTTCAATATGCACCATAAGGCTTCACTAATTTTTAAATGACTAAGAGTAAAAATAGAAAGATCAATGAAAAATTTAAAAATTTCATCAAAGGGATCCAAGTTTAATGAAAAATTTAGAATATAAAATATAATCAGTGTAGAATTTAGGGATAATAACTAGATCATAAGTCATTTAATTCCCTCTTGATGGAATTTAAAAAAAAAATCTTTAGTTTGCATTGTACCTGCACACACCTCCCCGCTTCAAATATATGGATGGATTTATCATATCTATGCAAAAACTTACACAATAAAGGAACTAGAAGAAAAGGTATCTGATCTTGGAGTAAGGAAGACTTTTCTAGGCATAAATGTAGAAAAGAATCTTTTAAGGAAATCTTAGAGGTACTTACACAAAATTAAACGTTTCCATATGTCAAAACATTATAAGCAAAAAATTTAAATTTAAAATCAAATAAAAACATGGGAAAATATATGTAGACTATTAACAAGGCTTAATATTGCTATATAAAAATGTCTAGGAAATTGGTATGATTGAGAAAAGATTGAGGTAAGAAGAGAAGCAGAAATTTCACATATGAAGAAAAAAACTACTAAGCATATGAAATATGAATAAAGAAAGCAATATACATTCAACTAATGAAAAAACGTTGCAAATTACAGAATTTTCTTAAAAATACGCATAGTAAGCAAGGTTTCAATGAAATAAAAATATACACACTGCTGGTGAATGTGCACTGATGCAAAAGTTAGGAAAGACATTTGACAAGTAATGGTTGGTTATATCATCTAGCTGAACGATTATACTTCCAGAAATGTATTTTATCAAAACTATCTGAAATATATAAAATATTCATGTACTCAATATTTATTATATTGTTATTTATAATGTGAAAAAAGAAGAAATACATTTTAATCCTCTTTAACAGTAGATTGGTTAAATAAAGGATGGGCTATAAAAGCAATGGAATATCAAGTAGTCTTCAATCATTATATTTTAGAATAAAATATACCCACATTAATTTTATTAGAAGAGCCATCTCTTCAAATGACACCTCAATGATATAGGAATAGCAAAACTGAGTACTGATGTAAGCAAATCCACAGTATCCCAGTTCCCCTTGGCTTTGTCTCTACCTGCCCTTACAGGAGCCTATAGGGCACCCATATTTAAAAATAGCTGCTTTAGAACAGTACTTAGTGGAAAATAGGCTGGGTGCGGTGGCTCATGCCTGTAATCCCAGCACTTTGGGAGGCCACGACGTGCAGATTACGAGGTCAAGAGATCAACGCCATCCTGGCCAGTATGGTGAAACCCCGTCTCTACTAAAAATACAAAAATTAGCTGGGCGTGGTGGCGCACCCCTATATTCCCAGCTACTCAGGAGGCTGAGACAGGAGAATCACTTGAACCCGGGAGGCAGAGGTTACAGTGAGCTGAGATCTCGCCACACTGCACTCCAACGTGGCGCGACAGAGTGAGACTCCGTCTCAAAAAAAAAAAAAAAAGTACGAAAATAAATGTTTTAGATTAAATGTTAAGGAAAATCTAAACAGGTTATAAAACAATATACACACTTTAAATGTATACATATATGCATAAAATGGTTTAAAACATTCCTTTAATACACATGGAATGGATGTTTTTAAGATTTTCTTTGCGTGTTTTTCTGTATTTTTTCACTATGTGGGAGGAGGCTGTATTATGATTTAGTAGGCGGAAAAAATATATAACCCCTCACAAAGAGCCTGATTGCATAAACCATAGGCATAGATGTGGGAATTTGGGATGTAGGGATGGGAGCATGATGACCTTTATTTGAATCTGGCAGTGGCAGCCTTTTCTGTAACACCTCCCCATAAGTTTTTGTGAAACTTAGAAAATAAATTTTCCTCTCTGACCAAAGTAGCAAGAAAAAAATTTATTATTCCTCGCTGTAAGCTAGAAAAATATTATTTTCTGTATGATTAGAAGAGAATGATCACGTAATTAGATGAATATTAATTGAGTCATTCCCAAGATACATGGAAAATATTAAGAATTGCTGAGAAAAGTTATTTATCTGATCTTCTGTGTGCTGCTATATTCTATATTTCTGTGTATTTCTATTTACTAATTTACAAAATTAAATAATCATATGTATGGAACTCAAGCATCAACTTCCCCATCTCTCTTTTTGGCTATCACTCTCCAGTAAACATGGGAAAAGAGAAAGTTTGTTAGGCAGTTTGTTATGTGTCTGCTCCAGAGTTGTCACTTATTTAAAGTTTTTGTGCCCCTCTGTTCCTCTGTAGGTCACTGTTCACTTTCTATCAATTTTAGTCTAGAACAGCATGGTCTGGTGGAAATATAATGTGAATCATATATGTAATTTAGTAGCTACATTAAAAATAATTTTAAAACAAGCAAATTACTTCTAATAAAATATATTATTTAGACTAATACATCCAAAATATTAGTATTTTGACAAGTAATCAACAACAACAAAAATACTAAGACTTTTTTTTCATACTAAGTCTTGAAATCTGGTGTGTGTATTTCATGTACAACACCTCTTAGCTGGGACTGGTTGTAGTTAAGTTGTCAGTAACCACCTGTGGCTAGTGGCTGCCACAAAAGTCAGCTCAGTTCTAGAACCTCTTCCTGTATTTTGACTATTTCCTCCTTTGCTATTTTCTACAATTCTGTTTAGAACTCTCCATTATATAACTTCATTCCAAATTTCTCCTAACAAACTTGTATCAGAAGGGTTTGAATAATCTAAGTGGAAATACAATATGTGAAGTAAGTAAAATAAAAGTGTACAGACATGACTCCAAGAAAAAAAATTCTACAAAGAGTGGCATTTTACTTTGTGATCATCTCCGTTCCTAGCTGCGCCCTCAACTTCCATGTCTATCATTCTCTCAGAGAGAATTTTCACCTTTTAACTTCCCCCATGTGACTCTTCACTCACCAATTAGGAAACACTGCTGCTTGCCTAGAGGAGCTGTCCTTACCTATATTTAGCACTCAGCTCTCAAGCAGACATGTCTGCTTCATGTCTGAGATGTTTGGATGAGACTCAAACCTCAGTCTAAAGTCACACTCATAAAGCATTGCGGTTTGTGAAGCTTCATGCCCCACAAAACAGTTTGAGAAGAGTGGAAGCACTTTAAGTAGCCCCACTTTCTGTGTCACCCAATCAGTGTGATTCAGGCTCATACTTTTATTCTTCTAATTGTCATATCATAGTTTTTAGAACACACATGCACACACACAAACACTAACATGTGTCCCTGCCTTCCAAGGACAAACTAAACTCTTTACATGAATGCAGTTTAACCCAACTTAATAAGATAATTTGCCATTTGCTTATAATTTGCAAGGCTACACTCTCACAGAAGAGTGGGTACATCACCCCCGTGCCCTACAACTAAAAATTTCCCCCTTCAGATCTGCTAAGAGGAATGGGGTGCCACTGATACTTAGCCAACACTGGAGCCCCCTCAGCTGAACAAAAAACAGGCTTTGGCTTTAAAGGTTTTTATTTTTCTTTGTGTGGTAAAGGAAAGCAATTTTTCTCCCCAGTATCTATTTGATAGGGAGGTGGTCTAGTTAGTCCAACTTCATAGGTTAACTATGAGAATAAAAAGAAAGAACTGTAAAGTGCCTAGTAGTAAGCCTGACATGTAGAAGACATTCAGTGAACCTTACTGATAAAGTCTGATGAGAAGGAAGATGATGAGGATGACATGGTCATTGCTTTAGTTAGTTTACAATCAAAACCTATTTTGCTATATTTTTCCAAAAGTATACTGTAAGCGGAAAATATTCATCATACTAGGCTCTTGTATTGTCCCTTCATGAAGTCAATTTGTGGTAGTAAAAAACTTATTTTGCCTGAGCAATTAAAAACATTAAATAGTAGAGATGTTTTATTATCAGATTTAATTTTTATTCACTTCTATATTTTTCAGCAATTTATTTGGATTTCAATATAGAAAGCCAAAATATATCATTTTAGTGTCTTTAGTGGGACAATAAACATTATGAAAAAATAAGTTTAGGTCGGGGGTGGTGACTCACGCCTGTAATCCCAGCACTTTGGGAGGCCAAGACAGGTGGATCACAAGGTCAGGAGGTCGAGACCATCCTGGCTAACACAATGAAACCCTGTCTCTACTAAAAATACAAAAAAATTAGCCAGGCGTGGTGGCGGGCACCTGTAGTCCCAGCTACTTGGGAGGCTGAGGCAGGAGAATGGCATGAACCTGGGGGGTGGAGGTAGCAGTGAGCGGAGATCATGCCACTGCATTGCAGCCTGGGCAACAAAGTGAGACTCCATCTCAAAAAAAAAAAAAAAAAGAAAAGAAAAGAAAAAATAAGTTTATTTGATAACTACATACTAAGATAATTGTATACCAGCATTCATGACCAATAAACCATATCAATCTAATTTCACCTTCAGGTAGTTGTAAAAACAAATCAAGCTTAGTGAAATAAAGTTCTTCTCTGTTTTCTTACACATTTTGTGATTGAGTGGGATCTTATATCCCTTGATCTAATGAAAAGAAAGAAACACATTCAAAGCAAATTTCTTTTTGGCTAAAAGACTAAGTTTATGTAACAGAAAAATTTTCTTAATATAGCAGATTTAAAAGATAATTACCAAGGTTAATTATAAATCAAATGTAATCATGCACATTAGCAAAGAAGAAATTTGGACACAATTTTAGAAATTAAAAGCATCCAGCATCTCTTCTCTCTCCCTGTACTTTTCTTTAGTTACTCAAATGTCTACAGTCTTAAAATAAGTAAATAAATAAAAGTCTTGCCTCATTACGTTTGCCTGTATTGCTAATCTACCCCTCTTGTTTTCTTCACAGCCATACTTTACTCATTGCTTTCCATTCACTCTTATACCACTGCAGCTCCCACTTTCACTCCACAAGAAAATATTGCCGTTTCAATAAAATCCCCAGTGAAGTCAAACAAAATCAATTGTGTAATTTAGGTCTTAACTTTTTCTCTCTATGGACGTTTAACATGTGACCATGACCACTTTCTTAGAAGTCTCTTCTCCTTTCTTCCACACAATCACTCTCTCTCTCCTGGTCACATCTAATCAATATTCTTCAAATGATTCTCTTCACGTGTCTTCAAATTTTACTGGTCTCTAGTGATCCCTTTTCAATCAAAACTCTCTTTGAGAGATTTCATTAATTCCCATATTGTTACTATACATATGGTAACAGTAATGATTCATACATCTATATCCTTAAGTCAGACCTGTTTCTCTCTTTGACTTCAAACCTATATTTTCACAATGATCCAGACGTCTCACTTGTATTTTCAACAGATATTTCAACTTCAAGACTTCCAAAGAAGAATTAATCATGCCCCACCCCTATTTGCGTGCTTCACATCCTGTCCCCCTATCTTGGTGTAAGAGACCACAAGTCTCCAAGTCAGGAATCTAGGAGTCATATTCACTCTCTCTCCTTTAGCCAACTGGCCACCACGTTCTGAAAATTTTTTCCCCAAAGACCTCTTAGAGCTCTTTCTGTCTCCCTTCTGCCGTCCTACTCCTCCCATTCAGGCTTTTGCATCTCTCACCTGACCTAACAATTGCTTTTGCTTCCTAACTCATCTTAGTGCAGCCACTTTCACATTCATCCATACCCCCTATCACCAAAGCACAACGCTTTAACCTATTCTCTTGACAGCAGCCATTTTATTTTGCAAACATATAAATCAGAGGCTTTTCCTCTCCTGCTAAAATATTTTCATGGTCCCCAGTATCTACAGGTTAAAATACCAAGTTTTTGTACAGCATAAGACTTCTCATGATTTTTACCTTCCCGTCACATTCTCCTGCTCCCTTCCCCCTGCACTTTGTACATGAGCCAAGTGAAACTACTAGCTATTTCCAGCTTCCAAATGTTTTCCTAAACCTTTATATTTGGCACTCGAATAGGATCTTAAAATAAGATTTCAAGAAAGAATACTTTCAATATTAAATCAAAGTGCATCTATTATGATTTGTAGCCAATGACATATACCCACTTGTCAAAATATAAAATAATATATGAAGAGGTATAAATAATATCATCAATCCTGTGGAAACGCAGAGATAAAGAAAATCAATGAAAGAGATGTTAGGAAGAAATTCACAGAAGACATAGGACCCAAGTTAAAAATGGAAGAATGACATTTTAAAAGATAGAGGGGAGTTGGGGGACATTTCAGAAACAGCACTGACAGCAAAGGCACAAAAGTAGTTACTGTTTATGGGATAGTGAAAAAACAACTGATGAGAGAACAGAACACATGCTGGAAAGAGAGAAATAAGATCTGATAGGTAAATGCCAACAAAATGCAGAGGGTCTTGAAAAATTATACGGATAGTGAATGAAATCCTTAAATAGAATAGTATTATAATTATGAAGATGAGTTTGAGGAAAAGAAATATTCACTAAGCTGGTGAAGCTGCAGTTCAGTAATACTGATGAAAGGGAATGAATGGAGAAATAGAACCCAGGGTAGTGAACGAAGGGTTCGTTGTTGAAGCTGTGAGAATCAGCTGGCTCTCCATAGAGAGTATGTTGGGGAAGGAGGGAGCAAGGACTAAACTGTGGAAAACACACAGAGTAAATGAAGAAGAATAAAAATAAAAGGAATAAATATATGTAGAGTACTCAGCTGTTTTGTTTACACTGCTGTATAACGAACTCTCACAACACTTCATCCTGGAAAACAGCAGCCATCTATTTCTCATCATTCTGTGGGTTAGCTGGTGCTCAGCTCTGTGGTTTCTCTGCTGATCTTGCTTGGGGTCTCTAATGAAGCTGCAGGTAGCTGGCAGATGGGGTTCATGTACCTGAGACCTTGGTGGAAATGGCTAAAAGGCCACGCTAGCTGGAACACTGGGACAGCTATCAGGATGGCCTGGCCTCTTCTCTTGCTCCTTGTGAGTACTGTAGAGATAATTTCTCCATCATCTCTACAGATGTTCTCTCCAGCAGGGTAGACAGACTTCCTACATGGCAGCTCAGGGTGCCTAAATGCACAAAAGCCAATGCTTCTAGGCCTTCTTAAGGTTTAGGGCTAGACCTGGCACAGTGTTAACTCAGCAGTATTCACCTATCAAATTTTATTTCTTTCGTTTTCCAGCATGCTTTCTCTTCAGTTGGTCTTCTTAGTATCCCGGAAGCATGTCCAAAATTATCCTGTGGCTTTTACTGATGATCTTTGCCTTTTCTAAAATGTTTTTTCTTTTTTACTCCCACCCATCTTTTCAAATATTAGTTGTGTCAAAGTGCATCACAGGGGCCATTCATATTCAATATGGGCGGAAGCTATTCGAGGGTGTCAGTTTCAGGAGGCATCTTTTCAAGTGGCCAGCTTTGGAGTCTCACTGCCACATCAGCACATAGGATATTTTCAGTAAATATTACTCATCAATGCATCACAGAAACATATGAGGAATGAATTATTATATCTTTTGACAAATGAAGAAACTGAGGCTGATAAATGTTACATTTGGCTACTACTAACCAGTAGTAGCAGATGTTTTTATCAACCTCTGAAATGCTATTGTACATTATGCTAATTTGTAAGAATAAAATAATACCAATTTCGATAGAGATAAGGTAAAGGCTAGGAGTGAGTGTATGATATGTTTCCAGGCTAAACTCTTAGTTTAAAGCAAGATAGTGACAAGAATAATAATCTAGGAGAAAGTATGCTATAAAGGTGCTGTGAGATTCTTTAAAATGAAAAATTCCCTTCAAAGACACGATTTTCTGTTGAGCCTTTGGGCAAGACACTTAGTTTTCACTTTACAAATGATAGTCACAGACCATGAACACCTTTTTAAATGCTATTTTTCAAGGCTGAGAGCAAGCGTTCCAATTATAAAAGAATTGATCTTGTTAAACTTATTCTTAAATTTTTTATTTCCCTCCTTGGTTAATTCAATTTCCCTTCAAATGCATGAATCATCAAGACATAAACATTCAGCCACAATAGAAGAGGATGTTACATTATTTGGATGTACCTGATAGAATTCAGACAGAATAGATTGAGCAGGGTCAAATGAAATCCTCTTAGCTGCATACTTACAGCAACCAGGATGGTTACCGTTTTCTTGTCTTTATAAGACTTTACAAAAGATTCGTGATAATAAAAGAATGCACATCTCTCTTTGGTTATTCTATCCAAAATGGTAGCAAATGTTAAGAGATGGAGAGCTAACATTTATCTGTGCTTAACACAGACCAAGATTTGTGTTGGAAAAATGCTCTCCACCTCAAGCAGTTTTTATAACAACTCTGCTAGAAGATATAGTATTATTCCATTTTTACAGCTGATGGAAAATAAAGCTCAGAGAAGCTAAGTGCCTTGTGCAAGTTTAAACAGTAAACAGCTGATCTCTCAAAGGAAATTACGAATTTGAATGCATAGCTAACTTCAAAGTCCTTCCTTGTTGACTACCTCTGAAGCTTTGAGTTTCATGATCATTTATTACCATAGTCAAGAAACTGAATATTCATAAACAAAAATTAACCTAACAGTACCATAAAATCCAATTTGTAGCAAGAATCAGAAAGATTAGAATTTGTAGGTTTTCGAGGTGTAGGTTTCTGAGGGTAGATGGAAGAGGGAATGAGAGGCATTTGCCTTTGTTTTTCAGAGAAGGAAAAGGAACAAACCAGACCCCAGAGACCCTCCCTTTTATCAGGACTTTGCTCATGAAATATTTTGGAATTGTCCTCTTCCTTACCCCCTACCACTTTAACCCAGAAATTTCTGACTGCACATTTGCCAAAGGGGTTTTACTATGGTAACCTTCAGGCCTACACAAAGAACACAGTCAAAACAAATAGCTCTCTTTAAATGTCATTATGGGGAGTAAAATTCTATGTGCTGTATTAATGGGCCTCCCACAGCTAAAACCTAGCATACCACTTTGAAAAATGTCCCCTGTGGGTATCGCTTAAACCAACAAAAGTGAGGGAATTTCAGAGTTAAGAGAAAATCTAGCTCTGGTGAAAATTAATAGAAGACAGAAGAGTATGAATAAAGAAGCGAGAAATCAGGGAAACAAATTAAATTTGCTTTGTTTTCATCTTCTTTAATGTTATTTTAATATGAAAGGCCTAAAGAGAAGGCCAGCTTTTTTTAACATGCAATTTCCTTATTTTTGAATTTAATAAATCTTTAATGGAAGTAGAAATCCTGCCTTTGGCTTAAGAAATATAAAAAAGAAGAGAGATATGTATTTTTCTTAACCATCAGACAATATTCATAAAAGATCAGAGCAATGCCCTAAGTAAATAATAAACATACATTATTTACGCAGCATGCACTGCTTACCTGATAAATATGTTGGTTGCTCATTTTTAAAGAACTTATTAAGGAATATGCAAATTTCAAAAGCTTATTAAGGAATTAGTTGGCATACCTAATAGATCTCTAGAGAAAATTTGACTCTTGATGTAAGTATATCTTGAGGATAGGACTGATGTATGGTTAGAAATCTTCATAAAATTATTTTAAATCTTTCACTAGTTCCTTACTAAACCTCTACTTATTTGCTTATTGTATCTTTTTCAAGGCAAAGGAATTGGTTCTTGTTTTTCTTCCCCTGCCTGGAGCCTGAGGCAGCTCGTTTCAATTTATGCTCTGGCTCCCCAGGATAGCTGAGAAACTTCACTGTCCAATCCTACAGGGAGAAAAAGTGACACTGAGCATAATCAACACTGTCTCTAACCAGGATGCTTATGATATGGTAGTCTTTACGTTAGCTTTGCTTTGTTCCCACTCTTCTCTCCTTTCTTCCATACATCTCCTCATAACTCTATTTATAAATGGCCTTCGCAAAACCAAATTAACACAGTAAAAAGCTTAACCATGTGGTGCCCAGCACAATAAGATCTGGAAGGTCTGTCGTTATTGGATGCCGAGGATGTATTTCCATGTCCTGTGCCTCATCAGCAGGTAAAAAAGAGACTCTGACTTCTTAAAAGATAGTCTGTGATTTCTTTTCTGGAACTTAATAAAAAGTCACTCATCATCCGTTTGTGAGTGAGAGCTGTCTGAGTAAACAGAATTGACTACCATATTATTTTTGAATTGTCTCATAGCTTCAACTCTGGAGAGATAACAGTGGGGTTGATGTAGAAATCTTGCCTAAATGCTCCCTACCATGAATGACCACATGTTCCAGCATGGTATGCCAAGGGTAAGTGCCTATTAATTATTCCTTTGTAAATGTTTTGCTATTAATTAAAAGAGAAAACAGATTCAGAAATAAAGCCAGCTTTCATGGGTTCATGATACTCCTTTATAATAGTAAGAATCTGGGTTAAGTTAATCTCTCACTGAAATAAGCCTGTGTTTAGAAATAAGCATGTGTTTAGTAGAGACAGCAGTAGAATAATGTCTGGGCCTTAACTCTTTCGTATGCTTAAAGTGATTTTGATTATTTCATCAGAACTTCTTCACTCAAATTGAATGATAATATATATCTTATAGAATTTGTTGCTAAATTTTAATTATATAATATCTAGTTATTTAATAAATGCTTATTGTGCCACTACCTTGTGCTAGGCTAAGCCCAGGGAATAAGCTGATAGACAAAAATCTCTCTTCTTAAGTTGGATCTTATATTCTAGCAGTGGTTAAAAATAATAAAAATAGAGCAGAGAGAAAGGGATATAGAGAGCAAAATAGAGAAAATGGTTGAAAATCACATTCTGGAGGTGGCCAGTGACAGACCAGTGTAGAATAGTTTGGAAATATATTTTAATGTATAGATGAAACTAATTAGAAGCAGAAAAGTCATAAAATCCAATTTACCTTTGAAAAGATTTACTCTGATGACTGTGTAAAAAATAAGAGGAGCAAGAATCAAATTAGGGGATCATAGAGGAGTTTATTGCAATAGTCTTAGCAAGCAATGTTGAGTTTTTGAACTAACATGTTAGTGCAAAAATTCTTCACAGATTGTTGAATTTAGGGTTCTTTTGTGTGTCAACAGTGTTTGTACATGGATTAGATATAGGGTAGGTAGAAAAGGAAAACAATCAATCTTGGCCTTATCAAAAGGGGGATGCCAGTGTCTAGATACAGGTAAGCATTGACACTCATGAGACTTAGGCCTCAGGGCTCCTCCATTTTGCAGGCTCTTTCCAAGTCTCTTGTCTGACCCTAAAAGTGCATTCATGTTGTTACATATTTTTTATACCTTCCAAAACTAAACTATCTTAACTGTGATTGGTTAAGACCACCATCTCTTTACACTGGGTCACATCACCCCTAAGGCCAAGTGGCATTGCAGTAGTCGTAGACATTTCTGGATCCAGCTAACAGGCAGTTGCGCTGGGGATTGTGGTAAATTGTTAAACATGATTCCTAATAAATCACTCCTTTTTTTGTCCAGATCCCTTTGCAATGTAACTCTACTCCTCCCTCCATCAAGAAGTAGGGTCTATTTCTCCACCCCTTGAATCAGTCTGGTCTTGTGACTTGCTTTCATCAATAAAATGTTGCAGAAGTGAAGTCTGAAAGCCCTGCTTGGAGAAAACATGTAGCTTCTACTTTCAATCTTGGAATCCAGTCTCCACAAAAAGAAGTCCAGGCTAGCCTGCGGAGACAGAGAACATGTGGAGAGAAAGATCATAGTGAATGAACTACCATATGGAGAGTGAAGCCACATGGAAGAGAACCACATTGCCCCAGTTTGACAGTAACAGCAAAGCTCCATTTATTGAGAATGAAGCAATCTTTGATCTCTTAGCCCTAATCAAGTCACCCCAGCTGACATCACATGGAGTAGAGACAAGCCATCCCCACTGAGCCCCAAATATCCAACCAACAAAACTGTAAGCAATAAAATGTTTACTGTTTTAAACCACCATAATATGGGACTTTTTTTTCTTGCATAGCTGTAGATAACTGGTATAGGATAATTTAGCTTGATTTCATTAGAATGTATTGATGTGGTTTGTAGTCACTTTAATATATGGTTATTATGTTGTCGCCTTCTCTCCATATGTGGGACTGGGCTACAGCAATAGTCATGCCTCCCATTGTGCTGACTGTCCTGGCATCATGACACCAATGTACAAGGCCAGAAATGCTACAGCAAAATGAATCTGTCCCATGATGACTGGCACCCAAAGTGTGTGAACATTGGATGAAAAACAATACTGAAATGTACAGGGCCAGAAAAAAACATGAGGAAAATTCTTCCCAGAATTAGCTGTGTAAAATTCTAAGTGAAAGATAGGTTATTATCAATGATTGATCAAAATGGAAGTTATTAAAAATATACAAATTATCAATTTGCCATGTAATTTGTATGAGACTTACACACAATGAAATTTACCAGAAATGTGTGCTTCTTGGGCACAAAACTGTATCAGAGAATATAAAGTAAGTATATTTGAGAAGGATCGTGCTCAACAAACACTTTGTAGATATTTTTTCTATGAGACCACAGCTTCTAAATATGACAACAATTTTGAAATTTTTAATGACATCATCAATGACTAGCCTGAAGCTGAAGTAAACTTTCTAAACTGTCAAGTATTTAAATTTATTTTAGTTTATTTTTATTGTTAATTTTGTAAAGAAAGGATTATGCTAGAGGCAAGAATGAATATCATTTTATTGTTTCTATAGAAAATATTATAAATGGTGTAATATGGAGAAGTGAGCAGAAATGTGTGGCCAAAAATAGAAAAAAAATGTACAGACATGTTTGAGGCAGTTGATTCTTTCAAATATTATGTTATTTTCTGGATTTTTTCTGGATTTTCTGATTTTGCAATTTCTCAGCTTTTAAAATTTTGTAATTTATTGTTGTCATGTCTCATTTTAAAGAAATAGTTAGGCCGGGCGTGGTGGCTGACACCTGTAATCCCCTCACTTTGGGAGGCTGAGGTGGGTGGATCACCTGAGGTCGGGAGTTCGAGACCAGGCTGGCCAACATGGTGAAACCCTGTCTCCACTAAAAATACAAAAACACACACACAAAAATTGGACGTGCATAGTGGTGGGTGCCTGGAATCCCAGCTACTTGGGAGGCTGAGGCAGGAGACTTGCTTGAACCTGGGAGGCGGAGGTTGCAGTGAGCTGAGGTCTTGCCACTGCACTCCAGCCTGGTGATGAGTGAGACTCTGTCTCAAAAAAAAAAAAAGGAAAAAAAGAAAAAGAAAAAAAGAAATAGTTACGTTGCAACCTAATTTTGAATTTATATCTTTTAATTATTTTTCCTAACAAAAGCTGTCTAAACAGTATAAATTTCAAGCCTCAAAAACTCAGGCTATAACCTGGTGGTTTACCATAATTAGAACATTTACCATAATTAGAACACTGAATTTAATATTGAAGGTATAAAAAGACTTTGGAAATTGTAATTTGCTACCTAAGTATGAAGTCTTGCCATGTTTGTGTTTCCTTTCCAAAAAGCACTGAATGGATCCCCAGTGTCTAACTGTGTAAAACAGCTGAGACGTCACTGCTTTCCAATCTCTTGAAGGACAAGTGCTCATCTTGGCTCACCTTGGAACCCACTTCAGAACCCAGGGGAAGTGGTAAGTGTTCTAGTGTACGCATTGGAAAGGGAAATATACAAACAGGGCTGAGGATATCTCGGGACACAAGCAGCCATCAATATTTTAAGATGACCAACAAGCAATAGTCAAGGAGCTCCCATTGGGCAACTCTTCTCAGCTCTGAAGAGAAGAGCCAGTGCAAATCCCCAGCAGGGCTGTGGTGCTCACCTGGTGGCCAGTAGGTGGTCTTAGGCATTGGTTCCATTCCCTCATTGTTTTTGCTTCTAGCAATAATAGCTGCTCCACAGCCTGTCAATTAAGACATTGCTCCCCTACACCTCCAATTATTATTTCTTTTTTTTTTTCCTTTGTTTTTTTCTTTTTTCCTTTTTTTTGAGACAAAATCTGGCTCTGTCACCCAGGCTGGAGTGCAGTGGTGGGACCTCAGCTTACTGCAACCTCTGCCTCCCGGGTTCAAGTGATTCTCCTGCCTCAGCCTCCTTGTAGATGGGACTACACGAGCTCACTACTACGCCAGCTAATTTTTGTATTTTTAGTGGAAACGGGGTTTTGCCTTGTTGGCCAGGCTGGTCTTGAACTCCTGGCCTCAAGTGATCCACCCACCTCAGCCTCCCACAGTGCTGGGATTACAGGCGTGAGCCACCACGCCCGGCCACCTCCAATTATTTCTGATGAATGCTTCAAGATCCTCTTTGGAAGTTTGAAAACAAAAGAAAAGAAAACCAGCCACCAGCCAACCAATGACCAAAACTTGCTCTCTGTTTTCTTCCTAATTTCTAATTCTCCTGGAGCCAATGTGAAAAGAGAAAAGTTGTGCATAAAAGTAAGCACAAATAATAATATATCAACAAATACTCATATGTACCCCACAAATATATAAAATATTAGGTATCAATAAAATAAAATAATCAGTATTCAAAGCTATTTCAAACTCAGAAATGCATCTCACCAATTATATGTATATCTATAAACATCACAAATAATAGGATAATTGGGCATGTCCAGGATTATATTGGAGAAGCAATGTGCTCACAGCATTGAAAGAGCAAATTTCTTCACCCACTTGCAGATGATATAATTTTAACCTCCAATTCCCCTGTCTCCATTGTTCATCTCCTCCAGGACTGTGAACAGATTTCATCAGTTTTTGGTTTCATTATTCCTCCACTGGGATATCGGTCTCAGTTTATAAACATATTCAGATCTCTTCAATAATTTAAAAAAGAATCCTTCCCTGAATCCCTGTTCAATATTAACTAACTGAAACCTACAGGGTAACGAATCTGTTTTTAAAAAAGAAAGATAAAGAAAATATCTGCGTTTTCTATAATATTATACGAACTTGAAAGGCAAAGAGTTAGATGACATTTTCACATAATGTGCATATTGTTAGATTAAGTATGATTTATATGTTTAAAATTAAACCTTTTTTAAGTTTTATATGCAATAATAGAAGTATTTCCTATTTTATGGCGTAAATCTGGTTGTCCATATGCAAGTTAACAGCATTTGAGGCTTCTTTTTATAATAACTGGTAAGATCTTGCCCATCGGAACTTGGTTGTTGGTCATTTCTTTGAAGCATTTCCCTATTGACTGAAAGCAACTAAAAAGGTAGGTTTGTTTAGGATATGAAAACTAAGTTACCCTATGGCCCCAAAACCACATTAGATACTGATTAATTACTTATATTCAAGTAAAACATTGACTTACATTAAAAAACCTTAGGTTCTAAATGTCCTATGCCTAACCTATTCAGTACAATGTGACACAAATTCAACTTGATTTCCTATACTGGTTATGCCAAAATAAAGCTATTTCTTTATTAAAAATAAAAATAATGAATGCTATTAAGGTGGCAGCTTCATATTCTCATAAGATTTTGCTGTTCAAGCTAATCTTTAAAGGTTTTACCAGTGATACCATGCAAGTGGGTTTGCATCCACATGTGTAATGCCTTTATTTCTACCAAATCACTTACAATGTCCAGATAGACATATTTGTCTAAGTTAGCCAAACTGTGGCAATGCCTTTTAAATGCCAGATAAAATCTATTAAAATTTGTATCTTTTCATATGGGCTTGGGCTTTTAATTTTAAAACAAAGATTTTGAAAAACTGAAACCTACAAGATGGATTTAAAAGTTATTAAAATTATCAATAAATAATATTAATCATGTTAATACACATTATTATTACAATCTGGGGATAATTTAGGAGAAAAAAACAATATCTCCTTTCTCAGTGAACATCAAATAAGAGGGTCGTTGTGATATTTAAAATTTTGTCTTCATTCATCTTTGTAGAATAAACTTTTGGAGAATGAGCTATCATTAGGAAAATTTTCACTTTACATTTTTGTCAGTTTCCATCATATTTTGCTGTGAAATACCAGAAACTTTCAAATAAATTTCAATTTCTGAAAATATCAACACATTATGTATGGCTTTTCAGGTCAGCTTTCTGGTTCTAAGTCTTTTTTTTAATTGGTATCGTCCACTTTCTTTTTCTTAGTTATGCAGGAATTATAATATGGGTCTTCTGTCAGAGCTCTACAGCTCCTAAACCAAGGTATCACATATCTTCAAGACTGCTGAATACTGGAAGCAAAAAAAAACCCCACGAATTTTGCAGGTATTTATGAGAATATTTATTAAGAACACATAGTACACATAGTACACATAAATAGTGTGGAAGTCCGATATTTGATTGAGTTCTCTTTTCCATGATGTGACTTTTTTTTCTATTCAGACTTATGAAAGTATAACTGCATTATAGCAGCTTTGATTTCAGCAATATTCCATAGCTTAAGAATCCATCCTTCAGTAACTCATTGTGTTAAAAAAGTCACTTGCATCTGCCAATAGAGTTTCTCTCTGCTTCAGCTTACATTAAGAGAAATATCCCTTAGAATCAGCCTAAACCAATATAATAGATACTTCTGTACCTATAGGTAAGGTATCTAGGAGGAGAACATGTGTTAAGTAGAAAGTACATCCCCTATCAATGAATAGTACACAATTATCACACATAGATTTACATAGCCTACCTTGTATGACATACTCACTTTGCCACCATAGTTCTGTAGTTCTTTAAGCAATGTTAAAAGCATTCTGTTCTTATTTTTGTTTTTTTCTGTTTTGTTAGAAAACATGTCTTTCTTTCATGTCCTTGACAAAATTTTAAATTGTCTAAATATATGCACATTCACACCATCTTCTAGATTTGTTAGATTTTCAAAATACACGAAGATGAGACGTGATTCCAAACTTTGGTCCGATGAGCAAGAGAAACTAAGACAATAGTAAAGGAACAGAAACCTTTTTCAAATCCCAGCACCTCTACCAGCTACTCCAAGTTTACATTAAACCTCCAGAAAGGTTTGTAGGGTGATAAACATACTTCTAAAAGAAGATTTTAATGCTCAAGAAAATCTGATACACAGTAACTGCTATCATAGTTCCACTCAGAGAATCTTCTGTCCTTATTTAAAGTATGTCATTTCCTTCCTTCGGAGTTCAGAAGCAATAATAACAAAAAAGTAAAATGTTTTCCCCCTTATTTAATTACAATCAAATGAGGTTATTGTTCTTCCTATGAACCAAGAATCAAGGCATTGGAATGACAATAAAAACTAATTTAACAAAAGAAACTACACAAAATCACTTTGTTAATTTAAAAAAAATTAAATTCACACCTCAGTCACAGATAACTACTGGGAAATATGCATCTTGCTTAATTAGTCTTGGTAAAATCTAAATATCATCAGCTTATTTTGTGAGTGTAGTCAGCTGATGCCCAGATTGGAAGCTTAGGAGAAACTATGCTACATTGTCCAGTACAAACATGTCATTCACTGAGCTGGAACCAAACTTCCCGCTGTGTCCTTCCCCCAGTTCAAAATCCCCGTAGAATTTCCAAACAACAGTGTAAATAAGATAGGTCCTTTCATCAACTCACACTCATGACTAAATCAGAACATAACAATGCTTAGCAGAAATTGATATTTTACCCTATGAATTAGTAGGGAGAAAAAATATTTTGCATGAGTGTGTGATTTGTCTTAAGTTTTGAACTAAAGGGTGGGGGAGTAGCTTGGTTCTAGTTACCATCAGGACCATTCGTCAGAATTAAGATCCTAGTATTACAGAGCTGGAAGCCTCCTGCAGAGGTCATCAAGCCCAACCTCCTCCCTGTTAATCAAAGGGAAGCCCAACATATGCCCCAGCGTGCACTATGATTTGTAATTTGAAGTTGACAGGGTATAGAGTTCTCGGAAATTATGAATAAATTACCTTACCATATTCTGCCTTAGTATCGCCATCTCTACAATGAGGACAAGAGTAACTGTTTCAAAGAGCCATGGCAAACCAATCTGAAATTCACAGAAGAAAAGTCATATTGATAAATTAATGTAAAAGATGAATTTGTGACTAATAACCTCAGGATAGAAAAGAATACATGCTTAAAAAGTGCAAAACATAGGTAGCTTAGTTTTCAAAAGCAAAGGAACTAAATTTGAAAAATTAAAAATAACATCAGTAGAGACTATATGGAAATAGTCTCCCTGATATTTTATAATATTTTTGATCCATCTCTGAGTTGCTTTTTCTGTCATCTTTATGCCTCTAATTTCAGAATATTCAGCAGAATAATAGGTCTCCTGTTGTAGATCCAATGTTAAAAATAGCATTAACATTGTAGAGATTTGGAAGGTGGTACTGAGAATATTGATTAGCCAATAATTGGCATGTTCCTAGAAAGGAGCATAGTTCTGAATCGAACATAGCATCCCTTTAAAAATGATGTACTGATACTTAATCAGGTTATGCAGCTTCCTTCCTCCCCTCAAAAAATTGCTCTAACAGTAGCTGAGTATCCCTTGCTGGTCAGCCTCAAAGCTGACAGAGTGACCCCAGAGCAAGAAGATCTGCTTCTGATTCTCTGGGTTCCCTGCCCAAGGGGAGGAGGAGCAACTGTCAGGCAGACCAGAATGGGAAAGATCTTTTCAGATTTAGAGTCTTTCCTCAGTGACAAAGTTGAAGCCATTTGGGGCTCAATATTGCAGAGTTAACTCCAGCCACTAAAGTACATCAAAACAGAAAAAAAAAATGACAAGAATGCCATGTCTTTGCATCACATTTTCAAAAGCAAGGGGGAAGAACCCTATAACCTCTGAGAATGCAGATAATATGAGGTAATAGGCAAGTAAGGCAAAAATATTACTATCTTCCCTCCCTCAGCATCCAGAAAAGATGATTACTGTAATAACCATCATATTTTGCTATGCATTAAATATTTAAAAACTGTAAGATCTGGAAAATGCGGATATCAACCCTTTAAGTAGCTGTGCTATCTAAGTATCATAGTAACCTTCTCTAGCTTTACCATCTTGTGAAAGAGCTCACCTGCTAGAAAACAGTAACTATAGGATGGCTTTCCTTGCCTCACTCAGAAAAAAATACTATTCAACACATTATATATTTTTAATTTGTCTCATAGTTTTTATTTATATCTAAACTTTTCTATTTGGTCAAATAAAGAATGAGGGAATACATGAAATAACCCTAATTCCAAGGTGACCCAGGAACAAACAGATTCATACACAGAGACATTTGAATTAAAAAATTACCATACAACTCTGGGTCAACACATGCATGTGTGTGGTCACTCACTACCCCTCACCCAGGGAAAACATCACTGATCAATATAGAACATGCTTCATTTAGAGCTCTCCCCTTCCCCCCACACCCACCCTCACCTAAAGGCCTTGTGGTTTTTCAGTTTTTTCTCAACATGTCACTCTGGGTAATTACTACTCATTTCCAAAATAAGGAAAATCAAATGTGGATCCCCATGAAGCTTATTGATCGCAAGGGCACTTGGGCCAGATGAAATCTAAGAGGTTCTTCATGTCTTCCAAAAGAATCATCAGTGTTTCCTGTTCTGTAGAAACTTCTCTCTTCTAATTTCCTTTGAATAAAATGCTTTCCAACTGAATTAGTTATCTAGGGGTTGCCATAACAAAGCAGGATAGAGTGGATGCCTTAACCAACTGAAATCTATTTCCCTGAAGTTCTGGAGGATGAAAGTCAAAGATTAAGATGTTGGCAGGATTGGTGTCTTCAGAGGGCTCTCTTCTGGCCTTGTACACAGCCATCTTCTTTCTGTGTCTTCACATGGTCTTTGTCCATGTCTGTGTCCAACTTTCTGTTTCTTATACGAACACCAGCCATACTGGATTAATGTCCACCCTAAAGACCTTATTTTAACTTAATTACCCCTTTAAAGACCTTATCTTCAAATACAGTCACATTCTGAGGTACTGAAGGTTAGGACTTCAACACATGAATTTGGGAGAACAAAACTCAGCCCATAATATGCACATTACTTAAAACTGAGTTATTCTTTAAAAATAAGCCAAGTTCCACAACATTATGAGGTATTTACCTTTATATTTCAAATAATAATATATTTACATTGATATGTTTCAACTGCATTCTTTCAGTCATCTGTATCATCATGGTATGGCATCTATGGTAAATTGTGTATTGAAATACTTGTACTGTTCTTTTCCTTTTGTGACATTTAAAGACAAAGTCAAGGTTTGCAATTATCTTTCCTAGCTGATTCAAATTCCTATATGGTGATGACCTTTGACCTTGAATTTCTGCCTCTAAAGTTTCTCCTTTCTTCCTGTTATTCTAAACTTTCATGTATCCAGTTTCAGGATAATTTACACTATTAGAAACCAATCTTCTGTGCTTTCTCTTTTTCCATTTTGATCTTATGCCTTGATACTTATCACTGTTACTAATAATCTCTCTTCTTAAAATAATGTGTTCAGTAAGCAAAGTTTTTTGGGGAGGTAGAATACTATTTCCTGAGAACTCAGCCTTAGTATCTATGTGTGTTCAGGTGTTTCTATATAACATTTCAATAGAAAAGTCAGATTCCTTTTGACCATAAAAAGTGCTTATCCTCAATAAAAAAAAAATAGTTGTCCTTTAATAGCTGGAATGTTTTAAATGTATTTTGCTGTATACCTTCTGTAACCTCTCAGCAGAATTTCATAAAAAGTTGAAATTGATGTTTTCCCCTATAAGTTGGTGAATTTCTTTAATTAGGTAAAAAAGAAGGAAAGCATTTGGAAACACTCATAAAAGAACTCCCAAACTAGTGAAAAATCAAGGCTGTCATAATTGACACAATGGAATAGACAAATGCTGGGTATTTAAAATACCTAGCAATACCAGGAAGACTGAAAAATCAAAGATCTAAAGCTCTCTCTTCTCCCTATTATTCAACAACATTAAACATTCCTTTAAATTCATATTAACATAGAAGATCCAGACAAACCAATAATTTGACAACTTGTAACAATTAATTAATTGTGTAGATTAAACCTAAAGCAAACCTTAAAATTAGACACGCTAAAAACATAGTTCGAAAGGTCACATGACTGGAGTTGCAAAGCCTGTTTTACTATGCTGCTGCTTCTTAGAAACAATTTATTGTGTACTGAGTCAACTTAGTAACATAAGATTTACAAATATGGAAGTATCTCAAACTGAAGTGTAGGTTTAATATCTGCCTATTGAAAATTTCTTTAAAAAATGAATTCGCTTGGGTTACTCTTACTCTTTGTTTTTTTAGCAGAGAATCAATTATTAAAATTTCATTCTTTCTATTTATGAAGTCGTTTTTATCCTTTCCTGAAAACAATATCCAACACTCATAAATTACTAGAACCCCTGAATATTTCCCAGAAAACAAAATGCAGTCTTTTCCTGAGTCACCTTGTACTTGTGCTGACAGATTGACTCACAGTCAGACTTGATGCTTTATGGTTTTTTGGCCAGACTTCCATCTGCACAACGGGTTGAGGTATAAGAATATCTCTGCCTTGGCCACTGTTGTTTTCAGCACAGCTTCACTTGTTCAGTGCCCTTTACTTAACCTTGATACAAAAAAAGAAGTCAAGCCTAGGCATTTGCCTTTTACCAAATAAAATTTTATTAAATATGTGCATTTGTGTCTGTGTGTGGAACTGGAATAGGCTAGGAGCAATGCCAAAAGGAAAAGTTGCAACACAAGTTTGAACAGCAAGTGTCTTTGACTTATTGCTGTGATTATACTAATTGCTCATCTACTTGGTGGGAGGTTGCAGGAAGCTGTTTTGAAGTAATCAAGCTGAGATGGGCCCTTCTATTTATAATAGTTCTGCAAATTCTTATACCCCAAAAAGACTTAATTGCATTTTTCTTCTTTTAAAAATAGATTCATTCTCCCTTCTTCTCACCATTTCCATTGCTTCAATCCAATAATAAATATTTGATAGCTTCTTAGTTATTACATGAATAAGCATAAATTATCCTTTATTTCATAGATCTGAACAGAAAGCCCTCAATATTCATTATTGGATTTGAAGTGCAATACAAACCTTCTACAAAATAACAATAATTCTTTAGGTAATCTCTTGTAGAGGGCAAATTTTATGCACATATCATTCTCGTGAAAGTAGTTCTGTGTTATGAGAAAAACAACGATGGCCTTTGCTCAAAGCTTCAATCCATATTTATTTAGTAAATATTTTATTGCTATGATTAGCATTGTTATATCACTGAATAGCATAGCATCAGCAGACATAAGTCTTTGTTAGCACCATATGTGGTCTTTTATACTTTATTTCAATTTATTCTGGGTAAGAATTTTTTAATAAAAATTCAAATGTTGATAAAAGACATTATTTTGGAACTCTTTAGGAGCATAGACATTTCATGTGCTACTTAATCCTTCTATGTGCAGTTCTCTTTTGCTATTTTATCCTGATAAACAAAGACTGCATCATGATCTGGTAAGAGCATGTAAAGAATCACTCAAACCCAAAGACCTCAACTGTGTTACTTCCTAATTCAATGGATTTGGATTTTTCTGAGCCATAGTTTACTTAGCAATATACACTGGACATTAATATCTATTTTAGAGTAGTTGTGAGATTAAGTAACTAGCAGCCATAACACATATGGCACAAAATAGAAACTAAAGTTTACAGTGACTTTCCTTTTCTTCAAAATACCCACAAAATTGTATTGCCTGTAATGCCTTTTAGTACTTTGGGCTTTAGGAACTATTTCTTATTCCTGTCTCTTGTTCATTCTCTTCTATCTTTAATTTCTCTTTAACTGTTAAGCAAGTATTAATATAACAAATGGTATGAAACCATTTTAAGAAAAGCCTACTTACAAATATGTAATTAGAAGTTCATAAATTAAGGTGTGATGAATTTCATAAAATGAGTCACAGAATTATTAAATACTGGACCTGAGAGAAACCTGAGAAATAGCTGGTCCAATCCTCTGGTTTTGCAGAAGAGGAAACCACAACCAGAGAAGTTAATTGATTTGCTTAGGGGCATATAGTTGCAATTTTTTAATGTAAAGCACTCTTGTGCACTTCAAATAATTACACTTTTAAAATTTTACTTTCATACTGTGTTTAAAAAAACTAATATTAAATAATCTATTTTATGAACAATTACATAAAGTTGAAGATGATTATTTTTATATGTGTGGGGTTTTGTACACGAGGCATGGTTTTATCTTCACAATCATTTCTCAACTACACTGTAGTTTTGTGTGTGCATCATACTTCACAAGCACACAAAGTTTAGCTCTACTCTGGGGTTTTTGAATGGCTGTTCTAGGTGGAGATCCTGGAACACATCTGCATCTTAACAAGATTCAACATCTGAACCTGTAAAACTTTAGACAGAATTCAACCTGATACCATTAAGGAAAGAACCACCAGAATAGATATTTCAACATCTTAATGAGTCTAGAATTGAAGCAAGCCTTGTAGAAGGGAAAATCCTCCCCAATTAAACCTAGTCTTTGAAAAGGTGGTTAGATATTTCAGAAGATGAAAATAGCATCCATAATAAGTTATCTGAATTTAGGCAAGAATTAGGAAGAAAAAACAATTCTCAGTTCTTCTTCCTAAATTTGTCTCTCCCATCTTCCCCATAAGGAGCCCCGCTCTTCCCACAGGGACCAAGGTAACTATTTGATAATTCCTTCTTTGCAGCTATTTCCTGATGAGCTAGATGGAGAATTCACAGATTAATGCCAACCTCTTCAAATAACTGTATATGATGAAAAGGAAACACTGGCATGGTTTGTCCATGTGGCAGGTTTTTAATATTTATTCAAAAAATATATACTGGAAGGAGAAAACAGATATGGGAAACTAAGATGTATCATTCATATAAGAATACAATTTTGTCTATTAATGACCACAGTGTGTGATATTTAATTGGTCTTCAGAATAATTGCATATCAAACCATCTAAATCTGATAACATGTTTGGTCAATAATGATCTCCACATAGGTTATTGAATTTTTGCCCAGCTGGCACTGGTTGAGGCCCAGGGAAGCTCTAAGTTTAAAAGAACTTGAGGAACAAAAAAGAATAAAAATTAGGTACAAGCCTTTTAAAATTTATGTTGATCCCAAGTTCACTATTTTGCCATTTGGGTAACAGTTATATATTTTGTGGAGCTCCCATGATATCTTAGACATAAACCCACACGAAGTAGATATTCAGTATCTATGACTTAGGGGATTGGCTGATCTATTTCATCTCTTTCCTTCTAATGGTTGTTCAATAAGTCATACAGTAACTACTGTAGTTGCTGTATTGAAGTAGTCAAGTGAAAAAGAATATTTTTTTCTCCCTTGAACAGTATTTTCTGCTAACACAGCACACTTGTAAAAGCCCTTGAATATTTCAGCATAGGCATCAGATAAACATATAAATAACTAGATAAATAACTGACAAAATGCTGCAAATTATTTGGCGATAAATATAAGCACACCACAAATTACAAGGTTAATGCTTAACATCTTTTAGAAAATGCTTCTAAACTAAGGCTGTATTGTTAACATGAGATTACGGAAAAGGATTTTGTAATACTTAAAAGTTCTTGGACTGTTGGACAGTGAGTATTTTCTAATTGCTGAGCAAAAATAACAATATGGCATGATTCAATTCTGTAAGATTGAATGATTAAAAAAATCAAAATCAAAGGCTCTTCTGTTTGTACTATGAAGCATTTGGAGTTAAATTGTAAATAAGGACTGGAAAGAACGCATACAATTTAAGTAGCAGTCAGGACCAGTGGAGTATAATTTTTGGAATGCTTAAAATGATTATGAGATTGAGTAAGAAAATCGTAATGCCCAATTTTCTCTGAAAAAAAAAAAGTTATAGATGCCCTAAACAAGACACCAATGGTTGATAAAAAGGCAAAAATAAAAAATTTGGTCCCTGAATGATGACAAGTCAATGCAAATAGTGTGCTTTCCATTGGAAGCACAATTCCATATGTTCGTAGGCCAGCTCTGTCAGGCCCATTGGCAGGCCGTCCTGCTGTGCTCATCCTCAGTATGACACTCACCAGGCAGAGATGATGATGTATAGAAGCCAGGAAAATTTCCACTACGTGTCATGATCATGAGAGGCATAGCCTAGCTGCTGCTGAATGGTGGCAGCAGAAAATTCAGTCAACATATTTTAACCTTCAGAGTTATTCAGGCACATTCTGATCTCACCAAATGAGCTGATAAGAGTGAAGTACAAACTTGGCGTCAAACAGCTGTTTCCAAACAACCAATGGGAGGCAAGGCAAAGGAGTGCTTTCTTTCCGTTTTTAGGTACAGTCAGTGCTTTTCAAGGCTAAAACTTCAACAACAGTTTTTCCATTGCATAAAACAAAAACAGCTAACCTTTTAAATGTATAGGAACACAGTGGGGTAATAAAAATAAAAGGAAGAAGAGAAGAAGAAAAAGAATAAATGGAAGAATAACTTAAATGTTATAGGGTAAAACCAGCCAGGTTCTAAAGACAAAGCACTCTATGAACATTAGATTATGCAGTTGATTCGACCCTAATTCAAGTCAAGCTGGTTCAAATGTTTCACTTGAAATTTTTTTGTCCTTTTTTGCTTGTTGCTTATCCTGAAATCTGATCTACTTGTAGGTTTAATGCAGGGGACGGGCAAAAATCTGACCTATCCTTAGTATTGTAAGGGATTGCACTAAATGTGGGAGTAAGAGCAATAATTCCACAGCTTCCTTCTTGGAAACAGGCCCAGCTTGAAGAAATAAAAATAGAAGTGTCTGAATGCAACTAAAAAGCTCAGCCACATGGAATTTAAATGCCAATTCCCTTTAGCCTTTTTTTTTTATTTTTTTAGTCATCAAAATTCCTAAGCCCACAAATTCAAAAACTCTTACAGTCCAGCATCTTTTCTGGTAACCCATCACTTGAAGTCACATTGATCCAAAATGACTGCATATTGAATAGCTTCAACCCAGCTGTCCTCATACTTTTAAAAAATTATTAAGTTTAAAATGTAGATAAATAAATACATATGCCAAAGGGCACTAGAGTTCCAGGACAGGACTCGTTTAGTTGATGTTCATCCTTATGATTCCAGAATACACTTATATTAAGTTTTTTACGTTCTAAAAAAACACATTTTAAATTGAAACAAAAAAATTCCTAATATTTTTGCCAACCTCTGTTTCTAATTTGCCCAAGGGCCCTGTTTAGCATATTTGCAGTATCATATATTCAAAGTGGAAGAACGGGAAACAAAAAACAGATTTAGGAAACCAAGATTTACCACTAGTATGAGATGATAATTTGGTGTATCTCATGATGACTACATACATTAATTGTTTTTATGAGTGCTTCCATATTTTAAATTGTCTTCTGGATGGTAGATATATCAACATTCTCGGAAAAATTGAATTTCTCTGTCACTCTGCTGTTCATTGATCTTTTGTCTGCATGTGGTCTTTTTGAAATTAAGTGAAACTCTTTGTTTAAAAGAGATACTTAGGGTGCAAAGAGGAATAAGAATCTGGCCTAGGCCATTTAAACCCATGTTTATCCAGTATTCATCATTTTCTCCTCTAACATATGAACGTAGTTTCCAAAACCACAAATCTCACAAGTGTTTAGATCCAGACTTGTAAACAGGTTTGATTTCCTTTTACTGAGCGTCTTCCTTCCTCTTCTCTTATTGCATTCAGCTGGCTCTAATTCCTTCTGGTGTACTTAAAGAAATGAAATATTTTGTCTGAATTAAGAATAATCATGTGTTTGAGAAGATCAATCCTGAAACAATAGAAAAGTGAATTGTTTCCAATGGATCTGTTTACAATGACTGAGCAACTAGGATTTGGATGAATAAATAAAAAGACCAGTAATTTTATTGAGTTATATTGTTCAATTTCAATTGTGTCTCTTAACATAAACAGCTTAGTGATTGATGTATTATTGAATATTCGTGGAGTGTGCCTGTAATGAATATGTTTATGAGTGACCCTCTGAGAGTAAATCAATGTTAGAAAGAGACCTCTGTTTTTTAGGAGTTTAGATGATTGCAAATCAAACTTTCAAATGTCCAGATTTTAACACCTAGTACTTTGAAATTTAGAGGGAAAATTAAAAGTACCCAAAAAGCAAACGAGCCAGTGAATTATGGGAAAGAAAAAAAGAAAACATTTTTTTTTTCTTTTTTCAGACAGTGTCTTGCTTTGTCACCCAGGCTGGAGTGCAGTAGTACAATCACAGCTCTCTGCAGCCTCGTGCTCCTAGGCTCAATCTGTCCTCCCACCTCAGCAGCTGGGACTACAGGCATGCAGGACCACACCCAGTTGATTTTATTGTTTTTGTTATTGTTGTTGTTTTGTTTTTGTTTTTATTTTTTCGTAGAGATGGGGTCTCACTCTGTTGCCCTGGTGTGTCTTGAATTTCTGGCCTCAAGAGAGCCTCCTACCTCAGCCTCCCAAAGTGTTGGGATTACATGTGTGAGCCACCACATCCAGCCAGAATTCTTATTAACCTTTTTCAGTATCTGAGGCCATTATTTGGAAGCATCCTTAAGAAAATGACCAAAACATCACCATGACAGAGTCAAACACACTAGTGTCTTAAACAAATCATGCTCTTTTCTTTTAAAATTATGCAACTATTAATAGGCATGTAATTCTACTTATTATTCTCCCTAGTGGATAATTTATCTCTGTGAAAATGCTCCTCCTAGTAAGGTATTGAACTACATTTTGTCTTGAGCTTCATAGATGTCCAAGTATCTGAATTGATTGATGAGGCAAGGATATTCAATTGCAGAATCCCTCACTTCTATACAATTCATGATCTCCCTCAATTACTCTATTTTCTAAATGCTTATGACCTGGTCCAAGGAACTCGTAAGTCTTAGAAACGTATCTTCCACCATTCTTGGAATCGCTGCCCACAAAAATCATACACAAATGGGATGCTTCAATAATTTCTAAGTGGGGGAATGCCTAGGAAATGCAATAGACTGTTATCCTCAATCAGGAGGATATACAATCTGTTGATACAGCCTGGGGTTAGACAAGTAATGTCTCTATGACAAGGTGCTAAACTATGCTCTATCTTCCAATAGTACCTCTTCCTTCTCACATCTTCCAACTGGTATCTCTTCCCAGATTCTCTACTTATTCTCTTTTTTTCTATATACCCATATATACAGAAATATCTTTCAATCATATGTGTACAACTCCAAAATTCTTATTTCAAGATTAAATTATTTCTCAAGCTTATTCCTGTCTTACGTTTTCAACTGCCTGCTACTTTCCCCCCAAAATCCACATTCTGTTAAACCAGATGTCCTTCCTGACTTCTTTATTTCTATGTATGTGCCAAAATTCCCCTAGTCAGCTTAAAATTCAGTCATCTTTTTCCATTTCCTGTCTTCATCAATTCACTACTATCACCTTACATTTACATTTTGCTCCACAATTTTCAAACTGTTTCTATCTATATATTTTTATTTAATTGTAATAAATATGTGAAGTATGGGGAAATAATGCCTAGGTACTTGCTAATAGTAGTCCAGTTCATGAACCAGTAGCATGGCTGTCACCTGCGAGACTTTCAGAAATACAGAAGCTCAGCCTCCATCCCAGACCAACTGAATCAGAATCTGCAATTTAACAAGATCCCTGAGCAAATGATACATTATGGTGTTTTAAGTATTAATCTATTACTTGGAAAAGGTAATAGATTTGCTTAAGATATCACAGGCAGTAAGTGGAAGAACCAAAATCGAAAACAAAATATTCTAGCTTTCCAAGCCCAAATACAACGTTATTACAGGTGTGGTCCTCAGACCAGCAGCATCGGCATCATCTTGGGAGCTGGCTTAGTAAAATACAAATGCTTGGGGCTTGCCTCAGACCTCTAAATCAGAATCTCTGGGGGTAGGGGCCAAGGAATCAGTCTGTTTGCAAGTTCTGTTGATAATTCTTACATATGTTAAAGCTTGGGAAGCACTACTTTAATGTAAAATATATCTACTGAGTTCAATTAGGTGCCACTTTGTCTGCCATCATTCCTTCTTTTCTATGTCCTTTTCCACCTTCATATCTAATTAATGATTCCCTTTTAGGAAATAAGCTAATAGCCGTCTTCTTCTTTAACCAACCAATCCAGGTATCTCTCTCTCTCTAAATCATCTCTTATGCATTCATTCATTCAAAAAACATTTCAGTGTCTCAGACAATAGGTTCATTGCAAAAATTTCAGTGGCTCCCACTGCCTCCAAAACAAGGCAATTCTCTTCACATTGCCCTTAATGAACCTTTCCATTGCCATTAATGAACCTTTCCATTGTCCTTAATGGGAACCTCAAACTCCCATTTTTCTTATCTGCCACTGTTGTTCTGTATAAGGCTATACTCCAGACAAAAGGTCAGGAGGAAAAACCCAAGGCAATCCACTAAAACAAGGACATACCTCTAGGTGAGATTCTGTCTCCAGCAGCAGAATCTGAGCTGGTGTTGAGTCAAAGCCTTTGCAGGGAAGACACTCAGGCTCTTCCTCCTGGAGCCAAAATTTATCTTAAAAAACGATTGGCTGGCTGGGCGCTGTGGCTCATGCCTGTAATCCCAGCACTTTGGGAGGCCGAGATGGGTGGATCACCTGAGGTCAGGAGTTTGTGACCAGCCTGGCCAACATGGTGAAACCTCATCTCTACTAAAAATACAAAAATTAGCTGGGCATGGTGGCACATGCCTGTAATCCCAGCTACTCGGGAGGCTGAGGCACGAGAATTGCTTGAACCCTGGAGGCAGAGGTGTCAGTGAGCTGAGATCACGCCACTGCACTCCAGCCTGGGCAACAGAGCAAGAACCCCATCTCAAAAAAAAAAAAAAAGAAAAATTGGGTTTGACTCACTGTCAGAATTGAAAGAGGCATGGATGTATAGTGAAAAACATGGACCCAGACAGTTTTTCACAGTATGGAGGGAGTTTTTTGAATGGTTGACAATCATTTAGTACAAGCACCAACTATGAAGCCACATAGATGAAGAGCCATAAACATAGTTAGAAAGACTATAGGTAGAGGGCCATGTTCTTTGAATTGCCCAGTGTCAGGAATGTAATAGGCATTAGAGAACTTCAAATGACTCCTCATCTTATTCTAAACCAGATAACTGGGTTCCACTGTGATGGAACGTCTTATACTAAATCCAGTGCCTTATCGGCAACAGCCTGAGGTGTTCTGATACCCACTGAGGACTTTACATTACAGCAGTAATTCCCAATTTTGGCTGCATGCTAAAATCATTAGTGGAGTTTTAGAAAAAAAAATTATACTTAGTGCCTTTATCCAGAGACTATATTTAATTGATGCAGAGTGAGGACTGGTCATTTTATTTTATTTTTACTTCCCCAAGTAATTCTAATGTGTGTTCAGGTTTAAGAACCACTGCCCTGTACAGTGATCCCGATACTATGTGACCTGGTAAAATGGTAAACATCATACCACACCATCTTGTGAAATGGCAGTCTAATATAGTAGGTCTGGGATGGGGCCCATCATTCACGTAACTAACAATTTCCCAGGTGATGCTGATCCTACTGATCCACAGATCACACTTCAGGTAACAAGGCGCCATATGACTCAAACTTCCATTATTGTTTCCTCTGCCCTCCAAATGACTTTTTCCTCTGTGTGCAGTCAAAAATGGAATCCTCCCTTTAAAAGGGTCCCCATATATCTTATATAGTTTACTCATTCATTCCATAAATATCTGAGTCCCTACTGTGTGCCAGACATTGTTATAAACGGTGTCTAAAGTGGCTATAACTTATCCCAATCAACTTCTTTCAAATAAACGTCTGAATAAAATAAATCACACTATGTAAAATCAAGAAGCTGATATTGGCATTCTACCTTGAAAATGTGCAGATCCGTGGCTGTCTTGGAAATGGCCAAACAAGGCAAAGGGAAAAAGTATGGTATAGTGT
This sequence comes from Homo sapiens, assembly GCF_000001405.40. NCBI lineage: Eukaryota > Metazoa > Chordata > Mammalia > Primates > Hominidae > Homo > Homo sapiens. Next base: position 140,073,683 of record NC_000006.12, on the reverse strand, counting down.
GGAGATTACGCAACACAGGATAAAGAACAGAAGCCTAAGTACTGTGTATCTGAGTCTCTGTTGCCTCATTTTTAAACAAAGATGATGACAGTAGCAGCATCACAGGATTGTTGTGAGTCAATAAGAGCCTGCATTTAACAGTGTTTGTGAACAGAAATGTATTATATTATTCTCATAAACTGGCTCTTTATATTGAAATCCTGAGAAAATTTTCCAAAAGATTAACTTCTCATTTATGTGTAATTCCTTGCAAATAAGTTCTGCCAATTTTTTTAACCATTTAGCAGCTTTGTGAACTTAGCATAAATTTTTTAAATAGAAGAGGAAAAATCAATGATAACAAAGCTAATATGTCTTTTCCTATAATAAAGACTTCATAACTACATACTCAGATTACATATGTAGATTTTTAAGTATATGAGCTTCAAATGAGTTCTTTGTACATTTTAGAGATGCTATAATAACTTCAAAGCAGTAAGGGGAGGTAATAAAATATGCAAAGCCCTACCATATAGACAGTTTCCAAACACATACTGATGAGAAGATCATCTGTCTCAACAAAGTCACATGCATCCTATTAAGAAAAACCCTTTACAAGTGGTTTCTTTACATCTCTTTCTTATAAAGAGAAGGGAATTGCCATCACACCCTTCAAAAACCAGGATGCTTCTTGTTTTATAGATCATAGAAATTTTGCATGATTATTTTCTGCTCTTGAATTGGGAAATTCTTCAACACACAAAGTAGTAAGTTTAGGTCATTTCCCCCTTTTTTAGCCTTGGCAACAAAAACTAAACTTGAAGAAAATATTTTTAAATACTTATTTTTTTAATAAAAGTTAACTCTAGTTATTCATACAAAATTTCAAATTTGTGCTGATTTTTCTCATTGCTTTTCATACTTTGATTATATTTGTCCAATTTTTCTTCTAAAATAAACTTTGGCTTTAGCACATCTACAAAAATGCCAAACAGGAAAACAGGACAAGTTCTAATGTCTATCAGGGTTTTGGCAAAAACCCTCTCATGTCTATCAGGGTTTCTGTCTGCTACCGTACAAACTCAAATGAGGACATGAGAGTGCTTTTTAAAAGGTTGTTATGCTTAATCTTTAAGTTTTCATTAAATTAATACTGTTCTACTATATGATTTTTTTAAAAAATAGCGCTGACAAGTAAGTGTTTCATTTCCTCTTCTGCAAAAGAGTCTCAAAATAAGCAAACAAATAATATCTGAAGAATAAAAAACAGAACAAACAGCTCTGAAAAAGACAGGTGGCAATCAAAGTCGTACATATTCCTGTACTATGATTAGTTTGAGAGGCATAATGTTTATGAATAAGAAACATATTTTTGCTACTGATCAGATTCAAATATTCTAGAAACTTGGAATTACAAACATTTGCTTCTTTGCCTGTCAGGGGGCAAATACAGGCAGCAGCTAGAGAATAATTAGTAGAAATATGATGGCAGGTAGTAACATTAAATATTATTAGTTAAAATGACAGAAGTGCAAATTGTGAAAACTCAATATATGGTCAGCAAGGCATAATTGGAAAATATGTCTTAAAAGGTTAGGCTGTGACTCAAGGAAGTTTAATCTAGAAATAATATCTTTTTAAAAAAATCATTTCAACATAGATCATATCCGCTGCATCTTCACAGGTCAAAATAAATTGCCCTTTTCCTCTGATGGTGAATCATAATAGTTTCACAACATGGTCTTAAAATCCACTTAGATAACAAATGGTTGAAAATAATGAATTCTAGATTTCTTCCTTTTGCCATCAGTCACCTTGAAGATGGACTTGACTTCACTGAGGATAAGAATAGTGCCTTACTCATTTCTCTCTCTGTGGCTCAATGTGGCCCAATAATGCTTGTTAAATGAATAACTGCTGCCAACAAATGCTTGTTCAATGAATGAATCAATCAATGAAGAGGCACTGAGGACATATCCTCCCCCACAGAAAGCCTCTCATGACCACAGTGCACAATTACAAAACCAAAATAGTAGCTAACAACTTGAACTCCTGTATAAAACCAAAGGAGCCTCTTTGGGAATGTCCTTCTATCTGAAACAGCAATATAATAGTTAAATCCATTTCACCATAAGCATTTAATTATCCATTCCTATCTACTCATTTAGGGAGGTGCTGTTCTCACTGATTATTTTACAATTAGAATGGAGTTCAGATTTGTGGAAGAAAATGGGGAGAAATTTGGGCCTTTAAAAAGTAACTAACATTTTGTGCAAACCACACAAACCTCTGAGCCCTATTAAAATTACCGATAAGCAATCTTAGAAAAACATTCTCCAGTAATGGCTAACTGGGTTCTTGCAGCAAAGCAAATTGTTTTTTCTTGGCAAGCATCCCACAAGCAATAGGCAGCAAGAAATTGTTTGTGCTACACATACAAGTTCTCATGTGTATCTGCAATTCTAATGCCAAATTTGGTCCTATCTCAAAAGCCACTTTAACTGAAAAGACAACTGCCGGAGACTTTACCAGGATATCTAGTCAGGAACTCCAAGATCATCAGAAAGAATTTCCATGTATTACTGTGGCCGGTATGGAAAATCACACTGTCCATTTTGGGAAAAGATTCCTACACATTTTCTTCTCCTTTCTCCTGGCAAGAATTTTTGTTTGGTCAAGGACATCTGGTTAGCATGTAGCACACAGAAAACATACTGCTTGTCTTTCAGTAAAATAAACTTAAAATAACTAAAATGACATCAATGTCCAGAAAAAAGGAAAAACAGAAGAAATGTGCATTGGTGCATTGTGATGGGTCATTGGAGGGCTTGCAGTGGCCAAGCCAGGTGGGCTAAGCTAGAATAGACAAGTGAAGATCAAGAATTTGAAGCAATGTTTTGAATGAGATAGAGAT